>NC_000004.12:105796381-106421381 GCF_000001405.40 Homo sapiens | reverse complement strand
CTTGAACCCGGGAGGCAGAGATTGCAGTGAGCCGAGATCACACCACTGCACTCCAGCCTGGGCGACAGTGTGAGACCCCATCTCATAAAAAAAGGAAACAAACAAACAACAGCAACAACAATAGAAATGTATTATCTACAGTCCTGTAGACCAGATGTCCAAAATGAGTCTGACAGGGTTAAGATTAGGGTGTTGGCAGGGCCAAACACCCTCTGGAGGCTGTAGTATATAATTCCATTCCTTGTCTTTTCTTGTCTAGAACTGCACTCCTTGCATTTCTTGGCTCATAGTTCCTTACTCCGTCTTCAAAGACAGTAGCATAGCATATTCTTTCTCTGGTTCTGCCTGTCTCAGTTTCTTTCATATAAACTTCTTCTCTTCTGTACCAAATTTCTCTTTGCTTGCTTCATATAAAAATCCTTGTATTGCATTTACATAATCTAGAATAATCTCATGTTATAATTCTTAATCACATCTGCAAAGTCTTTATTTTATTTTATTATTATTATTTGCATTGTAAGGTAGCATTCAGAATTTCCGGAGATTAGAACTTGGGTATTTGTGGGAACCATTATTCAGCCTAACTCACTCCCCTTTTTCTCAGATAGCCAATTGAAGGAATAATGGTCTTTGTTTTGTTTTGTTTTATACATCATTTTGTTTCTACCTTTGTAAGAGAGTGTTTTTTTACTTATCTTTCTGGAATGGCCACGTTAAGCTGCCTAGAAATATACCCTGGGCCTTAAGACTTGGCTTTGTTAATGCACAAATGTGTGCAAGGGAGCATGCCAGGTAGAGGCAAAAGTTTTGTCTGTTAACCAAGACTCTCCAGTGTCCAGCTACCCTAGAAAAAAACAGCCACTAGCACAGATATTCCATAATCTACTCCTATTTTTCCACAGACTTACCTTTTACTCTTAGGAATGATTTATTCATAATGTTCTAAATTTGTTCTTCAATCAGTAAATCTTCTGTAACAGAAGACCTTCTAACTTGGTCGAATTAAAATTCTATTCAGACTCAGGTTTTGTGTGCCCCAATTTTTGTGTTCAAAATTGGAGGATTTACACTGCTAGGGCACGGCAACTCTAAGCCTTATGGTAAAAGGTTATGAAATATGGAGCTTGTAGCACAATTTTAAATATAATTTAAACAAATAAGAATGTAAGAGTAACCACAAATCTCACCACACTCACACGAGAAAAGAAACTGATTTATGCTACTTTCCTTTTACATACAATAGAGTTCATACTATATATCAGTTTAAAAATAATTAAAATGAAGTAGCTTGTAAACTAAATTAAAAGATAGGATAGGAAATATCTGCACTAAAATATTGAAAAATAGAAAGATGAAAAATACAGAAGAGAACATAAAGAGATATATAGAAATTTTTAAAAGAGTAATATATATTTAACGGGATATCAAAAAAGGGAGAATGGGACAGAATTAATTATTTGAAAGATAGTTGTTACAAGTTATCCAAAACCAATAAATGAATTTTAAAATGTCTATGAAACACAAACACGACTGTCTCTTTGAGCTTCTGTAACAACAACAAAAAATGACATAGACTGAGTGGCCAATACATTTGTTTCTCATAGTTCTAGAGGCTGGGTCCAAGATCCAAGCTCAAGCAGATCTTGTGTCTGCTGAGGTCCTGCTTCCTAGTTCTTAGATAGCTGTCTTTTCGCTGTGCCCTCATGGTGGAAGGTGCAAAGTAGCTCTCTAGGGCCCCTTCTTATAAGGGCACTAATCCCATTCATGGTGCTCCACCCTCATAACCTAATAAGTTTTCAAAGTCCCACCTCTAAATACCATCACACCGGGGATTAGGTTTTAATATATAAATGTATTTATTTATTGGGATAGAGTCTGGCTCTGTCACCCAGGCTACAGTGCAGTGGCTCAATCTCAGCTCACTGCAGCCTCTGCCTCCTGGGTTCAAGGGATTCTCCTGCCTCAGCCTCCCGGGTAGCTGGGATAACTGACATGCACCACCAAGCCCAGCTAATTTTTGTATTTTTAGTAGACATGGGGCTTCGCCATGTTGGCCAGGCTGGCCTCAAACTCCTTGCCTCATGTGATCTGCTGCCTCAGCCTCCCAAAGTGCTAGGATTACAGGCGTAAAGCACAGTAATAATATATGAGTTTAAAGGAGTGTAAACAGTCTATAGCAAGAATAAGCATACATATACAAAATAACATCTAGGTTCATTTTGCAAAAAAATCTAAAAACCAAGGACAAAGAAAAATCTTCAAAGCAGACAGAAAAAAAAGTGCATACTACCTTACGTCTCATTTCAGTCCCCAGGTACCAGTGCCAACCTACACCCATGCCAATAGCCCTTCCCACAGTAACATGACCATACATCCTTTTTAGGGATAGATTTAGGAAATGACTACCATATACACTTGTCTTGATGTTATGGGATTCTTCCTACTGGAGATGAGACCTCTCTTTAGTCAGAAGATTCCGGTATGAAACCTGACTGAGGTAGAAAAAAAAAAAAGCAAGGGATTGTGACTTTTTTATTCTATCTATTCTATTAACTATCTCCATAATATTCTGTGGATCAGGTCCCCTGGCTGTTATCCTGATCTGGCCACTTTTAATAGTTACTGTCTACACATTGCTTCTGGTAGTTAAAAGCTGCCACATGGCTTCTCTAATTTCAGGACTCAGATATCATTCCACTGGTATCAGAGAGCCCAGTCCTATAACAGCATCTCCTGCCAGCATATCTGATACCGTGATTGGTTTAGTGTGTTTGAGGAAAGAGGCCAATGTGATTAGAGCAGATAAAGTTAGGAATAGAATGAGAGGAGATGAGATAAAGATGGAGAACATGAGGGACAGAAGGAAGGGAAATAAGGGCAGGGATTTGTAAATCACTTTAAGGTCTATGGATATTTTTCTTGGTAAAGTAAAACACATTTGAAGATTTTGATCAGAGGAATGATGTGATCTAATTTACATTTTACCAGAATCTCTGCTATGTTAAAAATATACCACAGGAGAGCAAGAGTGAAAGCAGGGAAACCTGCTGAGGAAGCTGTAGCAAAAATACAAAGGAATGTTGTAAACCAGCAGGTTAACCTTTCATTGGAAGAAGTTCTCATGCTCTATTGACATAGGAGGAAAGGAGAAAATTAAGCAAATAAAAACAGCTTGTGCCAGGGGAGAAATATGAAGAAAATCTCATCGGATATTCTTTGTTGTATCAGGCACTGAAAATTTTGTAGTCTACCATGTTTCCTTTTTGTCTTGACTACCAAGAAGTTCAGAGCCAAATCTGATACTTAATAAAATTCTTCATCAATATACTTATTAGTTCACTTATACATTTAATCAATAACCAACTATTTCATAGCTAAACACTGTGCCATAAAAATAGTCTCAGTCTTGAAGATCTGAACCAAGACATTGTTTTGTGGAAGATAGATGTACTGTAGAAAAGTTATTTCTTTAATTATTATAACTGTCACCGATAAACATTAAATGTCAAAATAAAATTTGGGCAGAACTCTATGAATTATTTTGACACATAGAATGGTTAAGCTAATATCAATCAACACATAGTTTTTGGAGTCAAAATTATTCTTTCTCAGACATGACTAATTAATGATTTGTGCTTTTTTTAATAGATGAATTGTGAATTGGATTTTCTTTTGAATCATATTTGTCTGGTGGAAATCACTAATCTAGGCATTCTCAGACTGTACTAAATCAGTGTTTTAATAGAAAAAATTATACTTTGTAGCAAACTTACCTAGATAAAAATCATCTTGCTTGCATACTCTAACAAATTATATCATGAAACTAAACTGTAATGAGAGTTGGAATATTTGAAGTGCTCTCACTCTTACCACATACCTTCAGTTTAGCTAATTTAGGAACTTTAATGGTAACCCATAAACAGTCTTTTTATCTACAGTATGGTAAAATACTCAGTGTTGTACCAGTAAGCCTGACAATTCAACCAAGCATAATTAGATCAAGAAAGAGCAAAAACAGCGTCATGTTCATTTTAAGACGTTTCAAAACTCTGGAACTGATTGTGGAAAGTCCAGCTCTTGGAATTTAAAAGGCCAAATGATACCAGGAAGCTAGTCACTCAATGAACACGATAACTTTGGGGTTTCAGATGTTACCAGACAGTGATTACCCAGAGGACAGGGAAATAAGGGGGAAAGTTCCACATTTGGTAACTTGGTAACTCTAGCAAAATCTTAATGGGAAACAAAATTAAATCTTCTGGACGTCACCAATGAAAATATCTAATTATCTATATATCTTATTTAGAGCTATTTCTCCAGTATTTGGGAATGCATAAGTAATTACCATACTTATTCTCAATTCCACAGACAGAAATTTGAGACTATTTAAAGAACAGTCATAAAATCTTAATTTTTGGTAATACAGAAATGTTACCAGAAAATAAAAAATTTGACTTGTTAAAACATTTGGTTATTTGTATGTTTTTCCATTATACTTTACTATAGAATTATTTTCTTGGTTTTCCATTGACCAGTTTTTAAATTGTTTCTATTACTCCTCAACCTCTATATGTTTTTACAGACTAAAATAAAGAGAAGTTTCTCAATTTTTTCCTTTTGGCGTATTTTTTCTAACTAGATTCAAGTAAGGATAACATATCTAAGAAAAAAATCAGTGGAAAATACATTTTTTGACAACTATTTATTGAGCTAAGTACCATTCTATTAATAAGACACTGGAATATAGTAGTAAAAATGTTCTGTTGCAACTATTTTTCTCAGTTCATCAATGACTTCTGTGATGGTTAATTTTATGTGTTAACTTGGCTAGGATTGGTACCCAGTTGTTTGATAAACACCAGTTACTATGAAGGTATTTTCCATGAAGGTATTTTCTGTGAAGGTATTTTCAGATGTGATTAACATTTAAATCAGTAGATTTCAAGTAAAGCAAATTACCCTTTATAATATGTGTACACCTCATTAAATCAGTTGAAAGTTGTGAGAAAAAAGACTGAGATCCTCCAAGAAAAATGGAATTCTGCCTCCAAACTGCTTTTGGACTCAAGACTGCAACATCAGCTCTGCTGGGTCTTCAGCCTGTCAGCCTGCCCTGCAGATTGCAGACTTGCCAGTCCCCACGATTGTGCCACAATTTCTTAAAAGAAATCTCTTTTTTTCTCACTCTCAGGTATGTGTGTGTGTGTGTGTGTATGTATGTGTGAGTGTGCATTCTCTCTCTGTATAATGTATATACACACACACATGCTATTAGTTCTGTTTCTCTACAGAATCTAGACTAACACAACCTCCATGATAATAAGTGCAATGGTCAGCTCTTGTCCTCCTCCTTCTCAACTTTTAAGCAGCATTGAGCTAGTTGATTATCCCTCCCCTTTGATATTCTTTTCTTACTGCAATTCCAAAATATTACTCTCTTGGTTTTCCTCCTACACCACTCACCTCTTCTATTCAAACTTCTTTGTTGTTGTTCTTTTCTAATTTCTTAATGTTGGAGTGTCTTTGGGCTATTCCTCGATTCCCTTCTCCTCTTTATCTACACCCGTCCTTTGGTGATCTGATCCAGTTTCATAACTAGATTGGTGCAAAAGCATTGAGGTTTTTGCCATTACTTTCAATGGCAAAAACTGTAATTACCTTTGCACCAACCTAATATAAAGGCCATCTATATGTCAATGACTCCCAAATATGATTTTCTAATCCAAACTTTGTTCTGGAGCTCTAGACTAATACATACAACCCAGGACTTGAAATTTAGCTATCCAAAAGATATTCTCAAAATTAACAGGTGCGTTATTAAACTCCAGTTTTCCCCCCACCAACCCACTCCAGCCCTAGACTTTAGCCATTTTACACCCAACATCAATCACTCAGAAATTCCTGTTGTTTTTGTCTCCAAAATATATTATTTTGAATCTAGCTGGGCGCAGTGGCTCACGCCTGTAATCCCAACACTTTGAGAGGCCAAGGCGGGTGGATCACTTAAGGCCAGGAGTTTGAGACCAGCCTGAGTTTGAGACCAGCCTGGTGACATGGTGAAACCCCCATCGCTACTAAAAATATAAAAATTAGTTGGGTATGGTAGCACATGCCTGTAATCTCAGCTACTCAGGAGGCTGAGGCAGAAGAACTGCTTGAACCCGGGAGGCAGAGGTTGCAGTGAGTGGTGATTGTGCCACTGCACTCCAGCCTTGGCAACAGAGCAAGAATCCGTCCAAAAAAAAACAAAAACAAACAAACAAAAAAGAATATATATATATATATATATATATATATATATATATATATATATGAATGTATCTGATCATTTCTTACATTTCTTATCACTCTACTGCTATAACCCTGTTCTGAGTCACCATCACTATCTTCTACATTCATTGATAACATTCAAGTAATTTTCATTTCCACCTTTGCCCCTGCCGCATCTTTTCTAAACACACTTCAATGTAAGTCAGATCTTGTCACTTCTCTGCACAGAATTGTTCAATTATCCCTCATTTCACTAAGCTGTGAAAACCAATATCCTTTACAGTGGCCTAGATAAAACATAAGGCCATTTTATTCTATATGAATGAGGTGATGCAGAGGCCCTAAGACACTGCATCATTTAGCCCTGTTTCTCTATTAGCTCCCTGGCCTTTCATCTCTCTACCCTCCCCCTCTTATTCTACTGGCCTCATTGCCATTTCTCCAAACTGTAAGCAAGCTGTAACTGAGGCTCTTGCCTTGGTTGATGTCTCTGCCTGGAAAGCAGTTTCTATTGATAATCACATGAATCACATGAATCACATTCTTTAAGTCTTTGCTCAAATGTCAACTTCTCAATGAGTCTTACTGTAATCACCCTGTTTACAATGGCAACCTGCCATCACAACCTGCACTATTGATCACCCCCTCTTTACATATTTCCATATTATGTGTCTTATTCATTGACCTAAACTCCAGACTCATTTATCCCCCACTAGTACAGTAGAAATTTGTGACAATTTTGTTCATTGTTAAACTGAAGTACTCAGAACAATGCATGACACATAATAAGTAAATACTATATTTTTATATTTTAATAATTGAAAATAAGATATTTGAAAACGCATTTTTTGTCACATTATAAAATTTAAGTTACCAGCATATGTCAGAAAATCAACCTAAACTCTCTTATAGTCCAAACTCTTCTCAAATAAGATTAACTCTATATTCAATGTCTCCATTTGATGCCATTTTTAAGAGAAGAGTTTACTGCTAAAAACTAAAAGATTATACAACACATACTGATCACAAGTCCACAAAGCAATGGAGAGCAGTGAATAGTGACCTTTCTCCCAAGATTAAAAAGAAATGAGTGAGGAGAGACTGTACCTACTATTGCGCTCCTGACTATACCCCAGCTTGTCACCATAGGAATGTGGGTGTCATTAAAAAGAAAATGGTATAAGATCATGGAAACTAACCTATTTACCTGTAGCTTTAATAATTGCATACATCAATCCACCTGCTTTTTTTAGAACATTACTTGAGTAAACCTATCTGTCCATATGCCTTGATTTTACTCAAGACATAACAATTTACATAATCGTTGCAATATAGTCTAACTCATTGTCTTTGAGGTTTACTTCTAAACTGGAACACACTGTCATCTCAGAAGCATTTGTGCAATCTAAGCAAATCACTAATCATCTTACAAGTTGGATTATACTTTTCTATGGAACATGTTAAATACAATGATATGAGGTCCCTTCTCCATTTATTATTGGTTCATTCATTTAATTGAGTGCTCACAATCTTCAAAATGTTATCCTATAAGGCAATCAGTTATTAATATGAGTTAAGTATGTAATCAATAATAATGCAAACTATAATGTACATATGCAAAATATAATAATGGTGTTGTAAGTTATACCACTACCCAAATCCCAGAAAACATTGTTCAAAACATTAAAATCAGTAACAGGTATATAGCTAGTTCTATGCTTGGATCTCTCTCAAAATAGTTAAATAATTCACACAAAAAACTCTAAACATTTTAAAAATAGATTTTCTGTATCTATATTGCAGTTATATTACTGTTTATTTCTTTTATTACTTTTCCAGTAATAAAAGAAAAACATATTTATTATGGAAAAACCAAAAAATGTTTGAGATAGGTATCTAGATTTTATACAGTACACCAGAATCACACATCAGCAGTGTATCAGAGAAATTTTTAAAGAAAAGGAAGGGAAAAGAGAACAACCTGAGCCAGATCTTAACTTGAAATCAAGAAAGTGCCAGTACCAATCCATTCTCAGGATCTGGTCAATGAGGTGCTTAAATAAAGTACCACTACCCCATACCATTTATTGTACTTGTAATTGAGATCAGAACTGCATGTAGTGAGAAAGAGTGTGTTAAACATACAAAAACAATGTAGTTTTGTATGTTTCAGTTTGTGTGTTTTAGTTTGCCAAAGCAATATTGAAGTCTTAAGGTTTGAAATGTAATTGTCAGTATTTAATTATTGTGTAATCTACTGTGAAAAAAAAGAATTTCATAATAATCTGCCATGAAATAATAAGAAATATACATATTGGTCTCTGGACCCAGACCCTGGCACAGAGTTCCTAAAACCCTTGTAATTTCCTGAGTGAGAGGGCTGCTAGGAGATCTTTTGTTCTAATGTTTGGTCTCTGCTCCAGTTTCCAAGACAGAGCTTCTAATACCTTTGTAGATAAGGGTGCTAGGAGAATCTTTTATTCTATTGTTTTGTCTTTGATCTCAGTTCCAGACACAAAGCTCCTAGATCCCTTGGAATTCCCTCGGTGATAGGAGTATTTTTTTTTTTTTTTAATGAACTGACCCTTGGTCCCAGAAAAACCAAGCTAGGATTATAAACTTGGAGCTTTCAGCCCAACTCCTCCTTCTCCAGAGAGGGGAGAGGGACTGCAAATGGAATTGATAATCAATCATGTCTACGTGATGAAGCCTCCATAAAGATCTCCAAACTGTTACTCCAATCTCGGAGCTTCTGGGTTGGTGAACACGTCTGTGAGCCAGGAGGGTGGCATACCCCAACTCCACAAAGGCAGAAGCTCCTGTGTTATGGACCCTTCCAGACCTCACCCTATATATCTTCATCTGAATTTTTTTTCCTGTATCATTTATTAAATAATGCATTAATAGACCAGGAAACATGAGTCAAGTATTCTCCTGAGTTCTATGAGCTCTAGCAAATTAATCACACCAAAGGAGAGGGAAGTGGGAGCCCCAATTCATAGCTAGTTGGTCTCCAGCTAGGTCACATGTGGTTGCAACTGGCATCTGAGGTGGGGAGCAGTCTTGTGGAACTGAGCCCTCAAGATGCAGGATCTGATGCTATCTCCAGGTATATAGTGTCAGAATTGAATTGAATTAGAGGATACCCCACTGTTGTCCACTGGAGAATATACCAGAGAATTGCTCGATGTGTGGGTAACCACCACAAACACCCTCAGCCACATTTGGTGTCAGAAGTGTTGAATGACTGTGTGAGTATAGAAAGTAGAAAAAAAAAAACAGTTTGGTTTTTCCTATATACTTATATCCCTATATCCCTGTTACAGAAAAAAAATCTGTGTCCTTTTTGTAAAATAGGGAGAAAAGACCACAATCAGTTTTTTTATTTTATGCACTGTCTGTTTTAGTCTGGTTACAGAAAGCTTGCAAAACCAGGTTTTATTTTATGTCTTTAATAAATTCTTTCTCTCAAAACACACAATTAAAATTAATAAGAAAAATACAATATAACTTTAAATGGGAGCTTATATACTGCATTCTTTACAACAGCTGCTTCTATTTCATTTTTAATTAGCCAAGTTTTATGTAGAGTCTTTCATTTTAAATTAGCCAAGTTTTATGTAGAGTCTGACCTCACAGAACTACAATATGATTAGCCTCAAAGCACATGTTTCTGATTTTGCATATCTGAAATAACATTTTTTAGTGTATTCAGAAAATGAGACAGCATTGGGCCTGAGAGGAAAAAAAATCTATGTATCATTTAAAATATCATTGAAAAAAAGTACAAATGTTACCCATTAAGGGAAGGCACAGAGAACTATAGGCTTTATCTCACACTTGCTTAATTCACCATTTCTGCTCTCTAGAGAGCAAAACAAAAACAGAGCCCACAATTTTGACATCTAAAATGGATAGTTGTAAACATGGTTAAAAAAAACCAAAAACAACAATGATAGGCAGGGTCTAGTTTCTTCTTAATTTCCACTCCCAAAGAAATGTTGTGTTTATGTGTAAAAACTTTCTTCTAGGGAGGTTAAAAAACTTATGGACACTAATTGGTGAATCCTCTCAACATTCTTAAGGGATAGGCAGAAAATTTCTGTCAGTCAAGACATAAATAAAAACAAAGTCACACTCTATTATCTAGTACAAAAAAGAAAATCTAATGAATTATTGCACAGAAAACTGTTAATTAGCTATTCTTCTTTGTTGAGAGCCAAACAAGAAGAAATTGGATTCAAATGTTATTAAATTACAATAGTGAGACTGTCAGGCCTCTGAGCCCAAGCCTGCACGTATACATCCAGATGGCCAGAAGCAAGTGAAGAATCACAAAAGAAGTGAAAATGGCCAGTGCCTGCCTTAACTGATGCCATTACCTTGCGAAATTCCTTCTCCTGGCTCAGAAGCTCCCCCACTGAGCACCTTGTAACCCCCGCCCCTGCCCGCCAAAGAATAACCGCCTTTGACTGTAATTTTCCACTACCTACCCAAATCCTATAAAACAGCCCCACCCTTACCTCCCTTTGCTGACTCTCTTTTTGGACTCAGCCCACCTGCACCCAGGTGATTAAAAAACTTTATTGCTCACACAAAGCCTGTTTGGTGGTCTCTTCACATGGACACGGGTGAAAGAGACCGTAAGATAACAATATGAAAGAACTTTCAAATGATGAGTGTAAAAAATGAAGCTGAATTAGGTAGTTTAGCCTACACCATGCATGGTAAGAATAGGACATAAGATAACGGGCAAGGTTTTGGGTCATGAAGGGGCACAAAACACCATGTGACCTTCTCCTGCATCACCTCTTCCCACCTCGACACATTCAGACACAACACATTCAGACAAACATAATTCGAATTATTTTCTCAGCACAGTATCAAATCTCAGAGCCACATTTTTCCTGCTAAATGAGTTTATCCTGGGTAGGCACCAGAGATCCATGAGATGATAGTATCTTGAGTCATCATTTCTCTTATGGAAGAGGGTAAATAAAGATAAATTTCAGATGTCATTTTGTAACGCCTAAGGTTCTTGCCTAGCTACGCCAAAGAATTGGTGTGGTGGCTCACCGCAGCGAGTGATAGATACACGGACCAATAGAGAGAAAAAGCTGTAGGCTTTATTGAGCAGAGTGAAAGTACAAAGCTTCCACAGCATGAAAGGGGTCCTGAATGGGTAGCAAGAGTGAGATTATATGATTGCCTTTTAAACTCTTTAGGCGGGAAGATGTTACCAGAGCGAGAAACAAAGACAATTAACCATTTGTGACATGTCTCAGATCTTGAGGAAAACCGGAACTGCAACTTAGGTTTTATTTATTTTATGACTTTTCAGTGGCATGGCAAAGGAGACATGATCTCACAGGACTTTACAAAGTATGTTTACAAGGAATTGGAATTGGGAGTATAGATAAGGTCTGCTGGTCACAGAAAAACAGGCAGTTAACATTCCTTTTACTTTAGTTTTTGGGGAGGGGGAAGGAAGAGAGGGAGAGAGGACACAGGGAAACTTACGGCAAAATTTTCGCTGTTTATAGTTTTCTTGGGGAAGAAAACACATGCACAAACCCTGACGTTAGGAATATTTTAAGCATGTATCTTCAATATTATTCATCCAGGACTAAAGTAAGTCCTGATGCAGGAAATGAGTGAGTTTCACAGCTTTCTGAGGCCCTATTCGACCCAGGAAGTTCAGCTGGCCCCTCCTCTCAATTTTTACGTGGTGTATATCAAGGCAGAAATAAGGAATGTCCATTTCAATCTCTTCCAAACTCAATGAACTCCATCTCAGTGAAAATTACATAGAGGTAGTTTTGAGATCAATATAAGAAAATGAGAGCTATCATCAACAGTCCTCTCAAGGATACTGTCTAAATGATTACTGACCAAATAGGCAAAACAACTAAATTTGCTCTGTGGTGCTTTAGGAACCTAGAAATAAAAAATTTCAACATATTTATTTCTCTCCTGCACATTGGACAGCCATAGTGAGCAACTTTGGCTCTGAATCTCAGAGAAACGGCCCATCTTGGTTTTTTATTAATCTCTCTATGGTTTCCCAAAATATATTTTAATTACATAAATGGTTCAGAGTATTATGCATTAGTATTCCCTCCACCAAAGCACAACTTCATTGATTTAATACAGCCCAGTTATGTAGTTTCTCACAGTTGGTAATGAAAATTTGTTCTCTATTTTAGAGATATTGGTCAAATGGACTTAGAACCCAGGGGAAAAAGTGTTGATCTAATACCAATGTGGCTCTCAACATTTCAAAGAATCAAAGCAGCAAACTGTGAATGTTTTCAAAGTTTTGGGTTTCGATTTTAATAATTTCACATTTTGTGGGGAGATGTGTGTGTGTGTGTGTGTGTGTGTGTGTGTACATATACTTATCACAGATATCATCTAAATGACAGGAATTATCATCTTGATTACATTTATTGGCTTAATCAAAAGTATGAGATTAATCCAGACATCCAAGTATGTTTTCTTTAGAAGTTCATGCATTTGGGGTGGAGCCAAGATGGCCAAATAGGAAAAGCTCCAGTCTAGAGCTCCCAGCATGAGCGATGCAGAAGATGGGTGATTTCTGCATTTCCAACTGAGGTACCAGGTTCATCTCACTGGGCAGTGTCGGAAAGTGGGTGCAGGACAGTGGGTGCAGTGCAACAAGCATGAGCCAAAGTAGGGTGAGGCATCAACTCACCTGGGAAGCACAAGGGGTCAGGTAATTCCCTTTCCTAGTCAAAGAAAGGGGTGACAGAAGGCACCTGGAAAATTGGGTCATTCCCACCCTAATACTGCACTTTTCCAACAGTCTTAGCAAACAGCACACCAGGAGATCATCTCCTGTGCCTGGCTCGGAGGGTCCTAAGTCCACAGAGCCTTGCTCATTGCTAGCACAGCAGTCTGAGATCAAACTGCAAGGCAGCAGTGAGGCTGGGGGAGGGGTGCCCGCCATTGCCTAGGCTTGAGTAGGTAAACAAAGTGGCCTGGAAGCTCGAACTGGGTGGAGCCCACCACAGCTCAAGGAGACCTGCCTACCTCTGTAGACTCCATCTCTTGGGGCAGGGCATTTTCAAACAAAAGGCAGCAGAATCCTCTGTAGACTTAAATGTCCCTGTCTGACAGCTTTGAAGAGAGTAGTGGTTCTCCCAGCACGCAGCTGGAGATCTGAGAACAGACAGACTGCCTCCTCAAGTGGGTCCCTGACCCCTGAGTAGCCTAACTGGGAGGCACCCCCCAGTAGGGGAAGACTGACACCTCACACTGCCGGGTACTCCTCTGAGACAAAACTTCCAGAGGAACGATCAGGCAGCAACACTTGCTGCTCACAAACATCCACTGTTCTGCAGCCTCCGCTGCTGATACCCAGGCAAACAGGGTCTGGAGTGGACCTCCAGCAAACTCCAACAGACTTGCAGCTGAGGGTCCTGACTGTTAGAAGGAAAACTAACAAACAGAAAGGACATCCACACCAAAACCCTGTTCGTACGTCACCATCATCAAAGACCAAAGGTAGATAAAACCACAAAGATGGGGAAAAAACAGAGCAGAAAAACTGGAAACTCTAAAAAGCAGAGTGCCTTTCCTCCTCCAAAGGAACACAGCTCCTCACCAGCAACGGAACAAAGCTGAACAGAGAACGACTTTGACGAATTGGGAGAAGAAGGCTTCAGACGATCAAACTACTCCGAGCTAAAGGAGGAAGTTCAAACCCATGACAAAGAAGTTAAAAACCTTGAAAAAAAATTAGACAAATGGCTAACTAGAATAACCAATGCAGAGAAGTCCTTAAAGGACCTGATGGAGCTGAAAACCAAGGCACGAGAACTACGTGACGAATGCACAAGCCTCAGTAGCTGATTTGATCAACTGGAAGAAATGGTATCAGTGATGGAAGATCAAATGAATGAAATGAAGTGAGAAGGGACGTTTAGAGAAAAAAGAATAAAAAGAAACGAACAAATCCTCCAAGAAATATGGGACTATGTGAAAAGACCAAATCTACGTCTGATTGGTGTACCTGAAAGTGACGGGGAGAATGGAATCAAGTGGGAAAACACTCTGCAGGATATTATCCAGGAGAACTTCCCCAATCTAGCAAGGCAGGACAACATTTAAATTCAGGAAATACAGAGAATGCCACAAAGATACTCCTCAAGAAGAGCAACTCCAGACACATAATTGTCAGATTCATCAAAGTTGAAATGAAGGAAAAAATGTTAAGGGCAGAGAGAAAGGTCGGGGTACCCACAAAGGGATGCCCATCAGACTAACAGCTGATCTCTCAGTAGAAACTCTACAAGCCAGAAGAGAGTGGGGGCCAATTTTCAACATTCTTAAAGAAAAGAATTTTCAACCCAGAATTTCATATCCAGCCAAACTAAGCTTCATAAGTGAAGGAGAAATAAAATACTTTACAGACAAGCAAATGCTGAGAGATTTTGTCACCACCAGGCCTGCCCTACAAGAGCTCCTGAAGGAAGCACTAAACGTGGAAACGAACACCCAATACGAGCCACTGCAAAAACATGCCAAATTCTAAAGACCGTCGAGGCTAGGAAGAAACTGCATCAACTAATGACCAAAATAACCAGCTAACATCATAACGACAGGATCAAATTCACACATAACAATATTAACCTTAAATGTAAATGGGCTAAATGCTCCAATTAAAAGACACAGACTGGCAAATTGGATAAAGAGTCAAGACCCAACAGTGTGCTGTATTCAGGAAACCCATCTTACTTGCAGAGACACACATAGGCTCAAAAAAAATGGATGGAGGAAGATCTACCAAGCAAACGGAAAACAAAAAAAGGCAGGAGTTGCAATCCTAGTCTCTGATAAAACAGTCTTTAAACCAACAAAGATCAAAAGAGACAAAGAAGGCCATTACATAATGATAAATGGATCAATTCAACAAGAAGATCTAACTATCCTAAATATATATGCACCCAATACAGGAACACCCAGATTCATAAAGCAAGTCCTTAGAGACATACAAAAAGACTTAGACTCCCACACAATAATAATGGGAGACTTTAACACGGCACTGTCAACATTAGACAGATCAACAAGACAGAAAGTTAACAAGGATATCCAGGAATTGAACTCAGCTCTTCACCAAGCAGACCTAATAGACATCTACAGAACTCTCCACCCCAAATCAACAGAATACGCATTCTTCTCAGCACCACATCACACTTATTCCAAAACTGACCACATAGTTGGAAGTAAAGCACTCCTCAGCAAATGTAAAAGAACAGAAATTATAACAAACTGTCTCTCAGACCACAGTGCAATCAAACTAGAACTCAGGATTAAGAAACTCACTCAAAACTGCTCAACTACATGGAAACTGAACAACCTGCTCCTGAATGACTACTGGGTACATAACGAAATGAAGGCAGAAATAAAGATGTTCTTTGAAACCGACAAGAACAAAGACACAACATACCAGAATCTCTGGGACACATTCAAAGCAGTGTATAGAGGGAAATTTATAGCACTAAATGCCCACAAGAGAAAGCAGGAAAGATCTAAAATTGACACACTAACATCACAATTAAAAGAACTAGAGAAGCAAGAGCAAACACATTCAAAAGCTAGCAGAAGGCAAGAAGTAACTAAGATCAGAGCAGAACTGAAAGAAATGGAGATGCAAAATCCCTTCAAAAAATTACTGAATCCAGGAGCTGGTTTTTTGAAAAGGTCAACAAAATTGATAGACCGCTAGCAAGACTAATAGAGAAGAAAAGAGAGAAGAATCAAATAGATGCAATAAAAAATGATAAAGGGGATATCACCACCAATCGTGCAGAAATACAAACTACCATCAGAGAATACTATAAACACCTCTACGCAAATAAACTAGAAAATCTAGAAGAAATGGACAAATTCCTGGACACAGATACCCTCCCAAGACTAAACCAGGAAGAAGTTGAATCTCTGAATAGACCAATAACAGGCTCTGAAATTGAGGCCATAATTAATAGCTTACCAACCAAAAAAAGTCCAGGACCAGATGGATTCACAGCCGAATTCTACCAGAGGTACAAGGAGGAGCTAGTACTATTCCTTCTGAAACTATTCCAATCAATAGAAAAGAGGGAATCCTCGCTAACTCATTTTATGAGGCCAGCATCATCCTGATACCAAAGCCTGGCACAGACACAGCAAAAAAAGAGAATTTTAGAACAATAACCCTGATGAACATCGATGCAAAAATCCTCAATAAAATACTGGCAAACCAAATCCAGCAGCACATCAAAAAGCTTATCCAGCATGTTCAAATGGGCTTCATCCCTGGGATGCAAGGCTGGTTCAACATACACAAATCAATAAATGTAATCCAGCATATAAACAGAACCAATGACCAAAACCATATGATTATTTCAATAGATGCAGAAAAGGCCTTTGACAAAATTCAACAACCTTCATGCTAAAAACTCTCAATAAATTAGGTATTGATGGGACGTATCTCAAAATAATAAGAGATATCTATGACAAACCCACAGCCAATATCATACTGAATGGGCAAAAACTGGAAGCATTCCCTTTGAAAACTGGCACAAGAGAGGGATGTCCTCTCTCACCACTCCTATTTAACATAGTGTTGGAAGTTCTGGCCAGGGCAATCAGGCAGAAGAAGGAAATAAATGGTATTCAAATAGGAAAAGAGGAGGTCAAATTGTTCCTGTTTGCAGATGACATGATTGTATATCTAGAAAACCCCACTGTCTCAGCCCAAAATCTCCTTAAGCTGATAGGCAACTTCAGCAAAGTCTCAGGATACAAAATCAACGTGCAAAAATCACAAGCATTCTTATACACCAATAACAGACAAACAAAGAGACAAATCATGAGTGAACTCCCATTCACAATTGCTTCAAAGAGAATAAAATACCTAGGAATCCAACTTACAAGGGATGTGAAGGACCTCTTCAAGGAGAACTACAAACCACTGCTCAATGAAGTAAAAGAGGACATAAACAAATGGAAGAACGTTCCATTCCCATGTGTAGGAAGAACCAATAAAATGGCCATACTGCCCAAGGTAATTTATAGATTCAGTGCCATCCCCATCAAGCTACCAATGACTTTCTTCACAGAATTGGAAAAAACTACTTTCAATTTCATATGGAACCAAGAAAGAGCCGGCATTGCCAAGTCAATACTAAGCCAAAAGAACAAAGCTGGAGGCATCACACTACCTGACTTCAAAACTGTACTATAAGGCTACAGTAACCCAAACAGCATGGTACTGGTACCAAAACAGAGATACAGACCAATGGAACAGAACAGAGCCCTCAGAAATAATGCTGCATATCTACAACCATCTGATCTTTGACAAACCTGACAAAAACAAGAAATGGGGAAAGGATTCCCTATTTAATAAATGGTGCTGGGAAAACTGGCTAGTCATATGTGGAAAGCTGAAACTGGATCCCTTCCTTATACCTTATACAAAAATTAAAGACCTAAATGTTAGACCTAAAACCATAAAAACCCTAGAAGAAAACCTAGGCAATACCATTCAGGACATACGCATGGGCAAGGACTTCATGAATAAAACACCAAAAGCAATGGCAACAGAAGCCAAAATTGACAAATGGGATCTAATTAAACTAAAGAGCTTCTGCACAGCAAAAGAAACTACCATCAGAGTGAACAGGCAACCTACAGAATGGGAGAAAATTTTTGCAATCTACTCATCTGACAAAGAGCTAATATCCAGAATCTACAATGAACTCAAACAAATTTAGAAGAAAAAAACAAACAACCCCATCAAAAAGTGGGCAAAGGATATGAACACACACTTCTCAAAAGAAGACATTTATGCAGCCAAAAGACACATGGAAAAATGCTCATCATCACTGACCATCAGAGAAATGCAAATCAAAACCACAATGAGATACCATCTCACACCAGTTAGAATGGCGATCATTAAAAAGTCAGGAAACAACAGGTGTTGGAGAGGATGTGGAGAAATAGGAACACTTTTACACTGTTGGTGGGACTGGTAACTAGTTCAACTATTGTGGAAGTCAGTGTGGTGATTCCTCAGGGATCTAGAACTAGAAATACCATTTGACCCAGCAATCCCATTACTGTGTATATACCCAAAGGATTATAAATCATGCTGCTATAAAGACACATGCACACATATGTTTATTGCGGCACTATTCACAATAGTAAAGACCTGGAACAACCCAAATGTCCAACAATGATAGATTGGATTAAGAAAATGTGGCACATATACACCATGGAATACTATGCAGCCATAAAAAAGGATGAGTTCATGTCCTTTGTAGGGACATGGATGAAGCTGGAAACCATCATTCTCAGCAAACTATTGCAAGAACGATAAACCAAACACCGCATGTTCTCACTCATAGGTGGGAATTGAACAATGAGAACACATGGACACAGGAAGGGGAACATCACACACCGGGGCCTGTTGTGGGGTGGGGGGAGTGGGGAGGGATAGCATTGGGAGATATACCTAATGTTAAATGACGAGTTAATGGGTGCAGCACACCAACATGGCACATGTATACATATGTAACTAACCTGCACGTTGTGCACATGTACCCTAAATCTTAAAGTATAATAAAAAAAGTAAAAAATAAAAAATAAAAAAAAGAGAAACAAAAAAAAGAAGTTCATGCATTCTTCTCAAAAATACAACTTTATATCCAAACTTTAATTAGCAATTCTTCCAGACATAAGCCTTGCTTCATTTTCTACCCATTAAAGTTTGTGCTAGTTGAAATTTTATAAGATAATAAAATTTATCTTATTTATTTTATTTATTCAGTGTACATTACTGAATTTTCACTCATGGCAATGTACACTGAATTTTCACTCATGTATTCAGTTCATTGATTTATTCACTTCTGTAAAAATTCAGAGATTTATACCTCTTATTTGCAATATTATTCTACAAATATTCCATTAGAATAGAAGATCCAAGACAATACAAACATCATTGTTTGATGTCTCACTTATTGCTGAAATGAACTAATTTAATCATTACAAATTACTTGATGACTTTAAGTATTTCTACTAATTCAGTACCTCTTGACAAACCATGCCCAAAAGTAAAGCCACTCATTAATGTCTTTAAGACAAAATGAAGGTCCTTTTTTTGAACAAAAACACTTTACACTCACTTCAGATATTTTTGTTTTAACATAAACAAGGTCTTTAATAAAAGAATTTTTTTCAAATTTTGTTAACAAATTTAGAGTACTTATTTATACTTTTTGTTTACAAAAGTTGACTTTTTCTATATTTTGTTCTTTTAAAAAATACGCTATGTCATCTCTGAAAATATGTTGATTAAAAACTTAAGATTATATTTCATTGTAAAGAAGGTTCCAAATCAATCAATCCCTCATTAGTTTAAGTGCATGCTGCATATAGTTTGATGTGTAATTTATACGGAACTCAGGATATTTACTGCTAGACCAAAAATCCCATACAGTTCTTTTACATGACAAAAAAACTATAATTTATGGAGAAAGAGATTTTAATATTGAACGCAGACAATACTGTCTTTATTTGATTATATTCAATCTCATTTAATTTGCCACTTTTCCCAAGACCTGTTTTCTGAAAAGGAATACCATAAGATAATATGCGAAAGTTAAGATACACAGAGCCAGAAATGAGATCAACATATTTGGGTTTATATATTTTGAAATATTTTTTATCAAAGCTGGTGTCACGTGATTCAATAGCCTCTTTGGAATAATAATACAGAATCACTCCATCTCTTATTTTGCTCTGGTTATTTTTCCAGGACCAAAATATCCAAGTTTAATTGCTGAATAATTTCCAATGTTCAAGACAAAGCCATTCAAAGGTTTTGTAGGTGTTAAAAAAGACAAAGCCAAACTTCTTGCCATGGTCTGTAAGACACACCATGTCCTGGCTCCAACTTACCACCCAGACTTCTACCTTCCACTGCTTCCATCCTCCTCTGTCAAACGCAACCTGAGTTTCAGTTTCCCATTCGTTCCTTAATCCTATTTTTCTCCTTCATGCCTGTGTCCTTAATCAAGTTTTTGCCTCATCCTGTAAAGTTCTCCCAATTTCCTTCTCACTACTGAATTCTTCATTCTAAAACTGTCTCCTCCATTCCGAAGCTTCCTCTCACGCCATCCATCTTCTTCATAGGCAGAATTAGTTGCTCTCTCTTCTGTGATTCCCATAGCTCTTTATTAATATGTCTATTATGTCATATTATTTATAATTCATGGGTTATATCATGAACTTGTTTGTTTTTGAGACGGAGTAAAATATTGCAGTGATTTCCTTTTTCAAAACTGTAAGGCATTCAAAAAATAATAAGGTCATGTCAAAATATATAGGAGCTACTAGTGGCCAAGGTTGGAGTAATATAAACAACAAAGTTAAGTACTAATAGTGTCAGATTATAACCCATACTGATATAAATAAAAAATTGAAGTTAATTTAAAAGTGCAAAGGGAATAGCTATTCTTTAGAACAAATTACATTAAGCATACACCACATTTATAATGGTTGCAGGCAATATCATAAATGAATACCAAAATCAGTGAACAATGTTTGATAAGAAATAGGGTATTTGCAGTGTCAAGGTATCTTTCCATTAGAACGTACCTTTCAAAGGAAAAAAAATAGAAACTTCACACTGGGGAAAACTACCAAACATTACTCTTAACAAGTGACCAAGATTAACATCCATCAGTAAAAAGATATACAGACATCAGATACCTACTGATATGATGCACTGAGAAGGACACAACATCATTTCTGTAGTATTCTTGCCAAAAATTGATAATCTCAATATACTTTTGAGAAAACAACAGAAAAACCTATACTGAGGAACTCAATAAGTACCAAAAATAACTGCCCTAAGTTACTCTTACCAGATGTCCTGTCCATAGTGGATAAAAAAAAGAACGAAGAACTGTCATAGTTTGGAGGAGACTAAGAAAGCATAATAATTAAATGCAATGTGAGAGCCTGAATTGGATTACAGACCAGAAAAAGGACATTGTTGTGACAATTCACAAATTAAAAATAGCCTCTTTTATATACACATATATATCAACAATAGTTAACAGTATTGTACCAATGTCAATTTCCTGTTTGAATAGCTGTGCTAAGGTAATATAAAATGTTAATATTATGGAAGGCTGAGTAAAGAGAATTCTCCGCACTATTTTTGCAACTTTTCTGTAAGTCTAAAAGTATTTCAAAATAAAAAAAATTAAGTAAAATTTTTAAGTGATATCTTTCTTCAGTTTCTTGTTTAAAGTCAACGTATTTCATAAAGTTCTTTCTACTTATTCTAGCAACAGTTAAAGTCTAAAGCCAGACTACTTAAGTTTGAATCCCAACCCCACAAAATCCTAGCTGTATATCCTTGAACATGTTACCTTATCTCTCTGTGCTTCCATTTTCTCACATGTAAAATGGAAGTAATAGTAATATCTACCTTATAAGATTGTTTTAAGGATTAAATGGTTTAATATGGGCAAGTGCCTAGAAGAGTGCCTGCCACATAGTATGCAATACATAAATGTTACTCATTATTATTATTATTATTCAACTTACATGAACCTCTTCACATTTGTATGCATTGTGATTTTCAGAACATACATCCAGTCTTGTGGATGATTATGATAAAAAGACAAGGGTTGCAGGACTCTGTTTTCCAAGCAGTCTTCTACTTTTATACATAATTTATATCAAAATGTTGGAAGTTAAAAATGAGAATGTTGAACACTGTTTACATGTAGTGGAATTCGTTTACATGTAGTGGAATTACATGTAGTAGGCCACTGCGTTGGCCTCTCAAAGTGCTGGGATTGCAGGCATGAGCAACTGCATCTGACCCTTATCTCTTTGTCTTTATATAGTTCCATTACAATGTGTCCTGGTGCAAGTCTCTTTGAGTTCATTCAACTTGGAAGTTATTGAGCTTCTTGGATGTCTAGATTCATGTCTTTCATCAAATTTGACTCCTACAATACATATGTTGGTCTACTTGATGGTATCCCACAAGTCTTTAAGTCTATGTTCAGTTTTCTGCAGTCTTTTTTTTAATTTCTCAGACTTGATTATTTAAATTCTCCCAGTGTCAAGTTGGTAATTCTTCTTTCTGCCTCCTCAAATCTGTTATCGAATCCCACCGGTGAATTTTTTATTTTGATTAGTGTGATTTATAGCTCTAGATTTTTTTGTTTCTTTTTAGATTTTTTATTTTTATTGATATTTTTATTTTGTTCATAAATTATTTTTCTTCATGTATTCTTTTAGTTGTTTGTGAACTTTAAAACAGGTGTTTTAAAGTTCTACCACTTGATAAATCAAAATTCAAATTCATTTTAGAATAGTGTTTTTGGAATGTTCATGAATAATGTAGGAAAGTTTGGGTTATTCAAAAGTTAAACATAAGAAAGAAATGCTCAACTATACGCAATTTTATCCTGCATCCCACCACATATAATATGCCTTGCACAATGTCTATCAGATAAGCATCAAAAGCACTTTATTAAGTATAAAGACAAATGAACTAATTGGTATTAACATGATCTTATCATTAATAAATTTGTGTACAGCCATGATTTGATGACTCTGCTTGAAATGTTACTAGGCTAGAGCTAAAATTATTATTGCATGTTTGTTTAGAAATGCTTTATGTTTTATTTAATTTTGTTACATCACAAGAGACAAGTTGTATTTTATTTTGAAAGGAAAATTAAAGTTTATAATTCTAGTTTGTGTGGGAGAGGGTAAATAAGGTTTTATACACAAACAACAATTACATATTAAATTCTATGCAATGAAGTATGTTCCAAAACTAAAAATGTGCCTGATCTAGCAACAAGACCACACTTGTTACTGTGTTTTATTTAACCATTTAGTTGATTTGAAGGCACAGCGTTCTCTTCACAATCTCCCCTCTTCACATCACACACATACTCATGAGTTCACCGTATACACATTCACATTTCTTTTCAATTTCACTTTTGCTTTTCAGTTAACAAAATCTCAATAATTAGTTTTTTTGAACAGTTTTCATTTCATCACCATATTCAGGAGAAATGACTTTCAAAATTATGTCCCTAACAATATTTTGAAATAGATAGTTCTATGTGTACTAATTGTGAAAAGAAACTGTCAATTGAATATAATATATTAATATTTATGAGAAATATGACTTGAGCCAATTAGCTAAAAATATATTATATGCATTTCTTAATTTAAAAGGTGCTTCAGAGAGATTTCTACAAAGTGGTGCAATAACATCAGGAATCAATCTACCCACCTAGACAACAATTGCACTAACAACATCTGTCTAACATAACTATTTCTTAACTCTATAGTCTACTAAAGGCTTGTAACTTCCAGGGGATGGTTGGACAGTAAATTGTCAGCTCTTAGCTCAGCAGCGAATACCAATCCCCCAACCCTAGCCTGTGGCAGGCATCTATTCATTATCTCTGGAACAGCTTGTACATGGCCTGTGGGAGCCACAGAGAGCAATAAGAACTTGTTGTCCAGTGATTAGAATCTGTATTCCGATTGCTGCTTTTGATCATTGAGGTGCAGACCAAGAGGCAGGCAGCCAGCCATTATAGCACTAGCCCCTAGTCCCCACCACTATTTGTTGCAAGGCTCTCTTTCTTAATCTGAAGTGACTTTCATGGTATTTAAAGGGCTAGAATCCTTCCCTCTTTCATTTTTCTTTTGCCTCTTCTGAGTCCCCTGCAGTGCATATGTTGGTCCACTTGATGGTATTCCACAGGTTCTTTAGACCCTGTTCATTTTTATTGAGTCTTTTTTCTTTCAATTCCACAGTCTTGATCAGTTAAATTGTCACACTGTCATGTTTGCTGATTCTTTCTTCTGCTGCTCAAATCTGTTCTTGAATCTCTCTAGTGAATTTTTCATATTAGTTATTGTACTTTTAAGCTCTAGATTTTTTGCTTCTTTTTAGGTTTTATATATTTTTATTTCTATACACCTTAAATACTAGGCCATTCAAAAACAACTGTATATATTAAGAAAATTAGAAAGTGACTACAACTCATGCCAGGGAAAGGTGCAGGCTTAGAAAAGACTAAAGATGACCTTAGGTTTACCCTCCCCAGGCTAATCATTGGTAT
Source organism: Homo sapiens (assembly GCF_000001405.40). Taxonomy (NCBI): domain Eukaryota; kingdom Metazoa; phylum Chordata; class Mammalia; order Primates; family Hominidae; genus Homo; species Homo sapiens. The sequence goes on along the minus strand of NC_000004.12, from coordinate 106,396,929 downwards.
AGAGACAGTCTACAACAATCAAAACCAAAACAAAACAAAAATAGAAAAGAGCAAACCCTAAGGAAGGGGGAGAATCTTATCTCCAGAGTTACCACATTATTAGATTCAAATGTCCAGTTTTCAACAAAAATTCCAAAGCATACAAAGAAACAGGAAATCATGGCTCAAAGGAAAAAAATAAAAAGAAACCAACATAAGCAGTCCCTGAGAAAGACCAGATTGCATAACTACTAGACAAACACTTCAAGACACCTGTTTTAAAGTTCACAAACAACAAAAGGAATACATGAAGAAAAATAATTTATGAACAAAATAAAAATATCAATAAAAATAAAAAATCTAAAAAGAAACAAAAAAATCTAGAGCTATAAATCACACTAATCAAAATAAAAAATTCACCGGTGGGATTCGATAACAGATTTGAGGAGGCAGAAAGAAGAATTACCAACTTGACACTGGGAGAATTTAAATAATCAAGTCTGAGAAATTAAAAAAAAGACTGCAGAAAACTGAACATAGACTTAAAGACTTGTGGGATACCATCAAGTAGACCAACATATGTATTGTAGGAGACCCAGAGAAAGAGAGAGAGAAAGGGGAAGAGAGATTATTTGAAGAAATACTGACCCCAGACTTCTCAAATTTGATGAAAGACATGAATCTAGACATCCAAGAAGCTCAATAACTTCCAAGTTGAATGAACTCAAAGAGACTTGCACCAGGACACATTGTAATGGAACTATATAAAGACAAAGAGATAAGGGTCAGATGCAGTTGCTCATGCCTGCAATCCCAGCACTTTGAGAGGCCAACGCAGTGGATCACTTGAGGCCAGGAGTTTCAGACCAGCCTGGCCAACATGGTGAAACCCCATCTCTACTAAAACTACAAAAATTATCTGGGCATGGCGGTGCATGCCTGTAGTCTCAGCTACTCTGGAGGCTGAGGCATGAGAATCACTTGAACCTGGGAGGCAGAGGTTGCAGTTAGCCGAGATCATGCCACTGCACTCCAGCCTGGGCAACAGAGTAAGACTCTGTCTCAAAAATATAAATAAATAAATAAATAGATTCTTGAAAGCAGCAAGAGAGAAGTGACTCATCACATACAAGGGTTAATCCATAAGACTATCAGAAGATTTCTCATCAGAAATTTTGGAGGCCAGAAGGCAGTGGGCTAATATACTCAAAGTGCTAACACAAAACAAAAACAAAAACTGTTTACCAGAAAATCTGTGTCTAGCAAAACTATCCTTCAAAAGTGGGATCGAAATTAAGAAATTTCCAGATAAACAAAAGCTGAGCAAGTTCATTAGCACTAGAGTTTGCCCTGCAAGAAATTCTAAAAGGAGTCCTGCAAGTTTAAATAAAAGGACACTAGATGGCAACTAGAATCAGTATGATGAAAAAAAGATCTCAGTAAAGGTAAATACACGGGAAATTATTTAAAAACTAGTATTATGTAACAACAGAGTGTAACTGCACTTTTTAAAGTTCAAGATATTAATACACTAAAAAAAGTCTAAATGCTAGTATTATTATAGCTTTGGTTTGTAACTCTACATTTTGTTTTCTACATAAGGTAAGAGATTAATACATCTTAAAACTAGTTTATTTTTGCACACAAATGTACTAAGGTGTAATTTTGTGACAACACTAACTGAAAGGGATAGGGATAGATGTGTAAATGGGCAGTGTTTTTATATGTTGTTAAAGTTAATCTGGTATAAATTCCAATTAGAGTATAATAACTTTAGGATGTTAAATGTAATCCCCATGGTAACCACAAAGAAAATAGTTATAGAATGTTGTATCCACAAAAAGAAATGAGAAGGAATTGAAACATTTCACTACAAAAAATAACTAAATACAAAGGCAACAATAAAGTGGTGTCTTAAAGAAATATTTATACGCTCATATTTATGGCAGCATTATTCACAATAGTTAAAACATGGAAGAACCCAAGTGTCCATCAACTGATGAACAGATAAGCAAAATGTGGGTGTATATATATATATATATTATGATTTAGCCTTAAAAAAGGAGGAAATTATGACATGTGCTACAACATGGATGATTTTTAAGGACATTATGCTAAGTTAAATAAGCCAATCACAAAAAGACAAATACTGCATAATTCTACTTATATAAGACACTTAAAGTAGTAAAAATCACAGAGATAGAAAATAGAATGGTGGTTGCCAGAACCTAAAGGGAGGGAGAATGGGGAGTTATTGTTTAATGGGTATAGAGTTTCAGTTTTGCAAGATGAAAAGGGTCCTGAAGATGGATGGTTGCACAACAATGTGAACATACTTAATAGCATTGAACTGTGCACTTAAAAAAATTGTTGAGATGGTAAATGCTGTATGTATTTTACCACAATACAAAAAATTGAGGAAAAAACTTTCCTTCAAGGATTTTCAACATCAACAATTCTTCTGAGAGGCTTTCTATGATTAATTAGCTTTTGAATTTAAGCAGAAATGAAACTCAAACCACAATAAAGCATGTATTCTGTTAGTTTTTATATGAGGATATGGTAAAAGATAATCTAAAGATTTAAATAAATAAATAAATCTAAAGATTTAAATCTAAAGATTTAAAATAACTTCACATTATATTATATTTGAGACTAAAAGTCATATTTTATAGTATGCAAAATATAAATTAGCAATCTCATTATTTTTATTCCCTGTAGACAAAACATAAAGAAAAAGTAAAAATGCAAGCACATGTAAGTGATTTTTTTGTGTCTGTTGTTCAGGAAAGTACAGTTTGCTTCAAATCTGAGCCCAATCAAGGAAAATGAAATAAAATAAGACACACTATGAACCACAGCAAAGACTCAAACCTTATATATTTATTTTTTTCCTCTCAAATTTTCCAGCTAGTTTTACATGTCCACTTTACAAAAGGGAGAAACTACAAGTGAGAACACATACAGAAAAGTGTTTTTATATTTCTTCAGCATATGTTTTGTCATTAAATATTTACTTCATTAAGCTACATACCATAGACTCAAAGATCATTCGTAAAGCAAAATTTGTGTGGGGACAGTGATTAAAATATAGAAAGAAACGAGTGCTTCTCTTGTCTTCTTTGCTTTTCTTATGTATATTTTTCATCTCATTTCAATGCAAGTGATTTTACAGAAAATAATCACCACTCAAAGCAAACTATTTTCGTCAGAGGGGGAAAATTAATGAGTAAACAGAAATCTACATTCTCTCTGAGAAATGTTATCCCTGTGGGTTATTAAATACTTGATTTGGGCTTCTTGAATTTCTAACTAGGATTTTGTTCCTGTAAACTGTATAAGTTTATCAAACAGCATAAAGTTACTCATTGCATGCTCTCTAGAGAAAAGAAGGAATGGCCTTTCCCAATGAAGACAAGAGTGATAATGAAAATCAAATGTGAAATAATCAAACCCATGGCAATGCATTTTCTAGGGAAATATTTTGTTAAAACGTTATCTAATGAACTGTCAGGGCCATAATTTAGCACAGAATTTAGTCTTGGAAACACTTTGGGTAATAAAATATTTGAGCTTTGCACTGTGTTCCACATCTTAATGTACACCTAATGGTTTTATTCATTCATTCGAAGCCCATTTATTGAGTGCCTACTATATTGCCAGGTGTTATACTTCTGCCTTTGAGGAGTTGAGGATTGAGAGAGAGCTTTACAGGAAAACAACAGCTGAAGTACAAGTTAGTTAGTAGTTTGAGAGGTCTGTGCCCTGAGGAGCATGTAGGAGGCACACTTCACCTAGCTTGGAGTAAGGATGAAAAGGTGCCACAAAACCATTCCCAGCCAAGTTTACTTGAAGCATAGGTGAGTTTTAACAGTCAGAAAAGAATGTTTTCAGCTGCAAGAAGCATGGACATATTTGAGAACTGTTAAAGGTAAAGTAGCACTTGCAAATCAGCTGCGGGGGATAAGAGAGTAGAAGACTAGATAAAGAGAAAAAAATCAATCTCATTTTCCACAGATATGTTACTTTATTAGCACTTACTATCTGCCAGGATAAATATTAGGTAGGCCGTAAGCAGAAAACACATATGAAAAACATGGTCACTGTCCTTAAAACACTTTTAATTAGAGTGCAGGGCAGGAATGGCAAGGGAGGGCAGGAAGACCTTCTAAAAGCAAGTGTAATTAAATGCAGCATGGCATAATTCCCACAGTAAACAGTTGGAATACATGAAAAGACGGGACCACTTCTATCTGGATATGAAGTAAGGACTAATGAGGCTGTTGGTTCCAGGTGCATCCTTCCCTTTCCCACAACTTATAGAGATCGCAGCATTCTTTCCTGCTAAATAAGCCCAGACTCACTTTTCAAATAATATTCCAGGCACACACAGCCAGTCAGAGTTGGTACATAAGACAAATCTTGAGTACTCACCAGCTTGAAAAGCTTAGTTTTTGAAGGGAAAGGAAGAGAAGGTGATGTGGAGTTAAAGGTCAGAAAACAAATGAGGAGAATCCCTGAGATTGGCTGAAATTGGCTCTTTCTCTCCTCACTGGAGGGAAGAGTAGAAGGGTAGGAAGATCTTCAAATGGAAGGGCTGACGATCTTGGCCCATGCCAGTTGCCTGTATAATCTGTCCTTTAGAAGAGAATTGGTGAGGGCACCATGGTCCATGCACATCCTTGATCCTACAGCAAGGACCAGAAAGAGAGAGAGAGATTGAGTCTGCTAACCAGTGAAAGAGGCCACAGGAAAGCTCCTAAGTAGAGATAAAGAAGAAAGTAAATTATAGTTCTAGTTATGAATGGCAGAAGGGGCCAGTGGGACGTTATGGGGAAGGAAGCCAGGCTTCCTTGTTCCTCAATATAAAACAACCTCAGTATTTCACTGGAAAGCAAATGGAATGCTCATCAATTATATTAAAAGTAGATTGACTTATTAAAAATGCAGCAATGTTTGCCAAAAGCAGATGGAAAACAGAAATTCAAAACAAGGTGAGGTCATTTGCAAAACCCCAGCCCTACCACTAACTCCCAGCAGCTGACAGTTCTCCTACATCAATATGGTGCTGATGGGAGGTGGGTGGGTGGGAGGCCAAATGGAGGAGGGGAGAGAAAAACACAAGAAATGGTTTATAAGTTCTTTTCCTTCCATCATTTTCCAATATGGATAATGACATTCCTCTTTACCCTTCTATTTGGTAGGCATTGGTATCAACTGCCCATTTAGAGTCTGTGAATTACTAGTTACATTACTAGTTACATCCTTGTGGGAATCAGGATTTTTCTTAATATACCTATTATATATACATGTTCATTAATCTTAGACACAGCCATGTATTACAGTTAAAACCAACCAAACTCTGGTAATTTCTGATCTGAACTTGGATAATCACTTTTTCCATAATGCTGCAATTTTAATTCTAAAGCTTGAAGTAACCTTAGAAATATCCAGTGTATTGCTCTCAATCTCCCTACTGGGGAAAGTCAAATCTGGAAAAATCAGGTTTTTTACCTTAGTTTACAGAATATTTTAGTAGCTAGAATTCAGGACTTCTGGCATCTATTACAGTATAAAATTGAAGAAAATGAATACTTTGGCTTTGAATAATTAATTCAAGAACAAGGCTTAGAATGCTAGCCAATGGGTGTTCTAACAATACTTAGTTATTACATTGCTTTAATAAGATCTATTAAGTGGTGATGTAACTAAAATAGCAAGAATGATAAGCATAACCAAACATTAATTAGGATTCACATGATTTTACAAAGCTTTTTAAAAAAATCCTCTTAGAACTATTGCCACAATGAAAACTTACTGTACTTAAAACAGGGGAGGCAGGAGAGCAAAAGCTTTCCCACCTATTTCTAGCAAAATTAGAAAAAGCTGGCCTGATTGGCAAAACATGTAAAGGAGAGATTAAATTAAAAGAAAATCAGCCCTTGTTACTTTAATCATCAATATGTTGGAAATTTTTTTGACAATCACTGTCAATTTGCTCATTAGGTCACTATTCAATTACCCAAATTTGAAACAGAAAGTACTGTTTTCATCTATAGGGGGATTAAAAATTAAGACATTACAAATTATGGGATTGTTGACTGTAATCAGTTATTCTTATAGCTTTTTTCTTTTCTTTTTAATGAGTTCTTCAAATTAGTGCCTACAAAATATAGTTTCCAGAAAGACAGATGTGGGTGGGTCTAGAAGCAGACAGAATGATGCTTTTTCTCAAGAAAGAAATGTTGTACTTTTGGGAGTTAGAGAAAATAGCTAAATGATTTTATATGCTAGATTCTAGAATCCTCACTAGTTTTAGGAAAAAAGTGAGTTTATGAAAATATATAAAATTGATGGGTGTATGTAGAATTCCTAGAGGCAATGGATTAGGAATGTCATATGGGGGTTCTAGGCAACCAAGCATTAGACTTTTTAATAGAAGTTTAGTTTTTTTAATGGCACTGCGACTTCTGTTCTGCATTGCCAGTCCGTATCTCAGCTTCTCTTGTTTGAAAATGGAAACTTCCAAGGCACCTCTCAGAATTTCCGGAAAGTAAGTGATTGAACAGTTTTATTTTCTTAATTTCTGTGAAAATTTTTGAGATGCTTCACTTTACTTTCTATCTCCAAGTTTCCATAGTTTTAAGTGCCTTGAGGTCAAGGTACTCTAAATGAATAGTCTAGCTGATGGGGCAGGATAAAGTAGACAGAAGAAATATTGAGCTTGTATGGAATGTAACACGGTCCTCAAACCTCTACTTTTTTGTTTTTCCACTCTTGCTGACAGAACTCATGTCTTCGGAATAACAATATAACATTGTGGTTCAGAACGTAGCCTTTTGCATCAGGTAGTATAGGATGGAAACCCTAGCTCTTACTTTCAACTGCTACTCATATGACAGTGGATACATGCTTTACATCTCCTGAGCTTCAGTTTAACTTATGAAACATGTGACAGAATGTTGAGTAGAATATTTTTCTGTTATCTTTGAGTTGCTGAGGCCCAAGACTGATAATAAAAATACTATTGCGCCACTTTGAAAAAAGAATACTAATACGCCACCAGATATTGAGATCAGAAACCTTCCCAAAGGGCGTTCAAAGTTAGACGAGAGAACAGGCCAAACTACTACAATTACTATGCCAACTTTCCCAACAGAAAGTTATGGAACCTGCCTGATATGGTTTGGCTCCGTGGCCCCACCCAATTCTCACGCCGAATTGTAATTCCCAGTGTTGGAGGAGGGGCCCGATGGGAGGTGAACTGAATCCTTTGGGTGGACTTCCCACTTCCTGTTCTCATGATAGAGTTCTCACGAGAGCTGGTTGTTCAAAAGTGTGTAGTGCCTGCTCCTTTCTCTCTCTCTCTCTCTCTCTCTCTCTCTCGCCAGCCATGTGAAGATGTGCTTGCTTCTGCTTCAACTGCTGCTATGATTGTTTCCTGAGGCCTCCCCTGAAGCAAAAGATGGTATAGCCCACAGAACTGTGAGGTGATTAAACCTTTATTTTTAATAGATTACCCAGTTTCAGATAGTTCTTTATAGCAATGCGAGAATGAACTAATACACTGCCCAACCATCATTAGTGAACATAATGGGTAGAAATACAAGATTCAATATTACACAGTTAAGAACATCAGATCTCTCAAAACTCTGATTACATATAGATAATACCTACCTAACATAATCCTCAAATATAAGTCATAAATTGCATCTTGTTACCCTCCTGCTTAAAACCATAAAGTACGGCTTTATATTTGACTTAGAATCTAAATCCAGACTTCCTCCAACAGTCTATGACATGCTTACTGCCTATTCCTCCAACTTCATTCTGTTCTATGTACTTCCTAACGAAGTATGCTCCAAACACCATGGCTTTTACGGTTCTTTCAAACACCCTCAGCTTATCTGTTTTCTGGGGCCTTTGTACATTCTGCTTCTATTGCATGGGGTGTCTTTCTCTATTGCAAGATAAACTCCCTTCCTCATTCAGGATTTCTCAGATTAAATGTTACCACTTTGAGAAGGCCTTCTATGACCATGAAATCTTGAACATGTCTTGAACCCTCTATTTATTCTTTAACTCAGCCATTTATTCATTTCTTCTATAATTACCTGAATTTGTAGTTATATTACTTATTTTTGCTTTTAACTTTTTTTGTATGTCTTTCTATGAGAGAAGAAACTATGTCTATGTTGTTTAATATTATGTTCCAAGTGTCTGTATTGTGCCAGACATAGAATATGTGCTCAATAAATGTCATAATTATTTTATTGGCTTCACTTTTATGAATATAACTGCTAACCCATAGCTCTAAATCTTCTTTTCTCTAAGGTATACTAGAGCTTTATGTCTCTAACCACTTCCTGAATATTCATACCTGGATATCCCATATTCAATTAAAAATAATATGAAACAAAACTACACTGATGTCCAGTCTCACACCACTTACAGAGTATAATAAGCACTTTCAGAGGTGCTACTGTAATAAAGCTTTTATTTCCTGTGTGTTAAATGTTGCTCTGTGTACAGAAGAGGTGTATTAGTTATCTATTGCCACAATAATGCTATGTAACAAAACCCACAAAACCACAATGGCATACAATATTAAATATTTATTGCTCATGCACCTATGGTGGTCAGCTAAGAAGCTCTGAGCAGGTTTGCCTATGGGTCTGCAGATTGTCTGGCTGTCAGCTGATCTAGGCTATCCTAGCTTGAGGCAACGAAGAGACTACACTTCATCACGATCTTCTCACGGCAATGACAGACATATAAGAGAGTAGCCTCAATTCAATAATCCTGTTTCCATCGTGTATACTCACATCCCATTGGCCAAAACAACTCCTTGAACCCAGAGTCAACAAATTGGGTAGGGTGAGAAGGCCCCTAAATAATTATGTATGGCAAAGGACATGGATACAGGGAAGGGTAAAGAATTGGGGACTATTAATGCATCAATGTAGCAGAGGAGGAAACAAACAAAAAGCACTCAAATTTGCTCTTCAGTAAGTCATATTCTGATTGAGGAACAGACATAAAGATAAAGTTTACCATAAAATGCAGCTAAAACAGGGATGGGTTTGAAGAAACTTTAGGAGCAGGAAGAAAGTGAGGGAGAGAGAAAGTCTTCACAGCAGAAGCAACAACATGTAAATGTTGAAGGATCGACAGAAATTTATCATACTGAGAAACAGTAGAAGGGAGGAAAAATGAATAGCATGGAGGTAAGGAAAAGTGTAGTGTGTTATGGGAATAAATAGTAACTTGTGTGATCCAATTTAAGTATAAAACTTGATGGGATACATTAAGAAGGGGGGACAGATTCAAGCCAAAACTGAAAATTTAAGTTAGACTTAGAGAATGTTCATCTCACTTTTTAAAGCAAAAGGATTATCAAAATCCAAGATAAGTGCCCCAAACCTCAGCATCACACAATATACCCAAGTAAAACTCCTGCATGTGTACCCCCGAATCTAAAATAAAAGTTGAATTTTTTTTATTTTCAAGGTAATATTTTTTAATTTCAAGACAATATTCATTGACTAACAGCTTTCCTCCCTACTTTATTCTCAGTTAGTGGTACCCTGGTTTGATAAGAGTAGCAGTGTGCCAAGTCCAGGGGACGATTCGTGATTGAGCTTAGCCAGTCATAAAGCTCCAGTTCCCCTCTGGCATATGCTCGCGTTCTCAGATCCCATTGCAGTAGGAGTGTGTATGCAAACCAATTCTGACAATTAAAATGTAAAGATTAAGTCTTCCTGAGGTTCTTGTTAAGATTTTGCTTCATGAATAAGATGAAGGCAAGAAGGCAAAACTTCTTTAGAAGAAAAGAAGTGCCCTTTTTGTGCCTAACTTCCTACAAGTACATTTGTGTGACCTGGGGCTATGAGAGACACATTATAACCTGCCAGTAATAAGCCACAGTAGGAGAACCAACACAGTGGGTGGCTGTGGGGATGAAAAGTGAAAAAAGAAATGACATCTTTGATGATGTCACTGAGCTACTGAATCAGCCCTGGATTTCTGTAATTCAGAATTCTTCAAATACAATATAATTAAATATATTCAATGCTTAAGCCACTGTTGGTTGAGGTTTTTTGGGGGGAGGGGGTTGTTGTTATTTGCATATTTTTTGCAATGAATCAAAAAGGCTTTGTGGATCATTTATTTATCTGTATGAAAGCTTTACAAAAACACCTAAAAGCATTATCTAACACTATTTTTCTTACGGCCAATGGGATGGTGTGCTATACAGTTTGTTTACCCTCCAGATCGTCTGTCCCTTTTATTACATTCAAAGGCTGACCTTTATGGGCCTTCTCAATGGACTCCCTTGGCCTCAAGCCTCAAGTTTGTTTCCATCAATTAAAGTCACCAGCAAGAAAGCAGAGGGTGGGGAGAGTAAGAATAGGGTATCTATTCCCTTCCCTCCCTTCCTTGTGTATCATTGTGGATTAGAATTTTCTTCATCCTTCTGCTGAAAGCCAAAGTCCTGACCCTCAGAGTTCTAATGACCACTTTCTTCCTTAATCTCTCCAAGGAGATAGCTTCTGGCTTTTGCTAGTCCCTGGATACTGTTGCAGGATCACTGGGGTGTTGCTTTTCTGGCCAGAAACCTGTGGCCAGTGGCACCTTAGCCCAGGTTTTGCTTGGGCCTGCAGGGCTTGTTCTGCCTAGTCAAACCTGGCAGGCTGTGCTTAGCTCATGCTACTGGCCTTGATCCCACACCTCCAAGGGAGGCTGCAAGTCAGGCGTGGAGTGGCAAATGGTGTGTAAGCGGGTGTGGGGTCTGGCCACAGCACAGTCAGACACACCAGCCCCCTGCCACCTTGGCCCCCTCCAGAGTATGAAGGGCAGAGCCAAGGGAAGGCTGAGAGCAGCTCGGCACTGGCCTTCAGGTGCCCCTTTGTGCAAGCAGCCTGGGTGCCATGGATGGCAGCAGGAGGCAGACAGGCTCCTGGACGGAAGGGGACAGGTCCACAGTGAGGCTCCAACTTCAGGCCAGGGAAGGCCTGAAGGCTGGGGGCCAGGCTGCCAGTTCCATGTACCACAGTGGGAACGTGTGGTGCCTTTTACAGGTTGGCCCATAGCCGCCAATGGACCAATTGGTGTGCACTTTCTGCCCTCTGAGGCCCATAAAAGCCCTGGGCTCAGCCAGAGCAGAGCAGAGGATGGAGAAACAACAGGATGACCAGCTGCAGAGATAATGGGATGACCTGCCTGCAAAGAGGAGCCACCCACTCTAGGGATTCCTTTCTGCGGAGAGTTGCAGGTGACGGAATGACCAGCTACAAAGACAGCAACCCTCTCTGCTAATAGCTGAACACTTGTTGGGATAACCAGCTGCAGAGAGGAGCTACCCTCTCTGCTAGGAGCCAAACACTCATTGGGACACCCTGGCTACAGAGAGGAGCTACCCACTGTGGGTCTTCTCTGAGCTGTTCTATTCCTCAGTAAAGCTCCTCTTTGTCTGGCTCACTCTCGACTTGTCTGTGTACCTCATTCTTCCTGGTCACAGGACAAGAACTCAGGACCCACCAAATGACAAAGCTAAAAGAGCTGTAAGACAAACAGAGCTGAAACATGTCCCTTGCTCACCATGTTGTGGGTGAAGAGATGGAGAAAAGAGCTGCAGCCCTTTGGGGACCCCAGGCCTGGGAGCTCCCCAAGCCAGGGCTGTGATGCCCTCTTTGGGACCCTGCAGTTCCTGGCATCTCAAAGCTTCCAGTCACCACTGCATTTCCCAGTGCCAGCTGGGGAAGCTGCTTGCAGTGCATCTGCTCCAGCTGCAGCCTTGCAGAGAGCTGGCACCCATGCCGGCATCTGGAGCTGCCCACCCTGTGGCATCAGACAGTGTGTCTGACTGTGCGGTGGCCAGACCCCATGCTTGCTCACACACCCCTTGCCACTCCACACCTGACTCACAGCCTCCCTTGGAGGCATAGGATCCAGGCTGGTACCATAAGCTGAGCACAGCCTGCCTAGCCAAGTGGGCAGAACAAGCCCAGTGGGCTCAAGCAAAACTTGGGCAAAGGCGCCATCAGCTACAGGTTTCCAGCCAGAAAAGTGACACCCCAAGGATCCTGCAACATTTTGCTAGGCCCAAGATACCAAACCATTACTTGTAGGTTTCTCTTATCTCTGTCCACAGCTTTATAAATAACCCCTTTATTAGCTCTCCTCAGTTACCTAATTTGAGTATGTCATTTGTTTCTTGCTGCAATTCTGACCTAATCAGGTAGAAAGAACATGAGATTTTTCATATAAAGAACAAAGGTACAAATACAAACTTACTGACTAAATGAACTGAGACAAGTTCCATACTGATCTCTTATAAATGGGACAGTGCAGAAATATTCACTCCAGAGGGTTATTGTGAAGATTAAATATGAAGTACCATGACACATCCTGGCACATAATAGATGCCTAATAAACGCAAGTTCCTTTTCCATGCCCTCCACTCGAACTCTTTCTCTGAATTATTGAATAAGAGAATCAGTTTATTCCAAACGTACAATTTTACATAGAAGAGCTAAGACCTACCCATAATTTTTTTTTTTTTTTGAGATGGAGTTTCACTCTTGTTGCCCAGGCTCGAGTGCAATGGTGTGATCTCAGCTCACTGCAACCTCTGCCTCCTGGGTTCAGACGATTCTCCTGCCTTAGCCTCCCGAGTAGCTGGGATTACAGGCACGTACCACCACACCCAGCTAATTTTTTTGTATTTTTAGTAGAGATGGGGTTTCACCATGTTGTTCAGGCTGGTCTCGAACTCCTGACCTCAGGTGATCTACCCACCTCAGCCTCCTGAAGTGCTGGGATTATAGGCGTGAGCCACCACGCCCGGCCCTCTTAATGTAATATTAAAAAATAAAGCAATGGTTTATGTACCTCTCCTGTCTCCTTACCATGGCCATTGCAAACATCAATAACTGATTGTGGCACTTCTCACTGAGCTCTGATGTGATCTCAGAATCTTTTTCCAAAAGGCCTTCTAAAATGTCATTTTTCCCTCTCCACTTCCTCTAAAATGTTTGTTTCCAGTCATTTTAAGAATATCAAAGTTCCAAACCAGATTGTGAGTGCTTAACATAACAGACAAGAGCCCACGTTCTAGAATTATCTCTGACCTTCTACAGCAGCTAAGATTTGGAGCATGGTTTTTGAGTGGCTCCAAAAACATTCAGTACATTCATCTCCTGGCATCATTCTACCATCTTGGGTGCCACTCGAAAATAAAAAAATGAAGAAACAAAACAAGAAGCCTGAGAAATTCTTTTTCACAGAGAGCAGGTTAAATGATCCATTCCTATTTCTAGATTACAGGATAAGAGATGAAGACACAGTGGAAGATCATCTATCTACATTCTATTACATTGAAGAATGGATTATCTGCACATATCATATAGGTTTAACGTTGTTGTTTAACGTTAATAAGAACTTATTAGCTGGTTGGTAGTATTAATTTACAGGAAAAATTTTCACAGCAGAGTTTTTATTTAAAGAGAAATTTAAAGCATCTCTCTGATATTAAGGGCTGCCTGCAGCAATGAAGCATTGCTGTATTGTAACCATTCCACTCATTGCATTATTCTTTGTAATATACAGGTAACATATCTATGGAAACTAAATTCTCAGTTTCCACAAGTGGACCCTACAAAGGAAAGAAAACTGAAGAGATATTGTTGTGGATAATAATATTGTTTATTCAGCTTGCATATTATCCAGTATAATGAAAAAATGTTAAAACTTTGATGTATCATGTAGAACTACAAAAATATATCTCCTAGTCTAAATGACAAGCATGTTTGGCAAGCATGTATGTGTGTTTGTGTGTGCGTCTTAGTATATGTGCTAATTTCCCCTCAAGAAATATTATGAAGCATTATATGTATGGGTTTGTAGTATATTCAGCAGAATATTTTATAGCATTTATAAACATTCATGTATAAAGACATTGTGCTAAGTGCTTTACATAATAAACTAATTCAACTCTCATAATGTAGTACAATAAAATATATATTGCTACTATTTCCATTTTATACATGGGAATCAAGGTCCAAAAATGTTATGTGAATTACCCAAGGTTCTAAGTTTGACAGTGGCAGAATAGCTCTAAAATATGGGCTTCTATTCTAAAGTCAATGCTATTAAAAAATTCACTGGCTGGGCGCAGTGGCTCATGCCTGTAATCCCAGTGCTTTGGGAGGCCAAGGTGGACGGATCACCTGAGGTCAGGAGTTCGAGAACAGCCTGGTCAACATAGTGAAACCCCATCTCTACTGAAAAAAAAAATACAAAAATTAGCTGGGCATGGTGATGCACACCTGTAATTCCAACTACTCAGGAGGCTGAGGCAAGAGAATTGCTTGAACCCAGGTGGCGGAGGTTGGCAGTGAGCCGAGATCATGCCACTGCACTCCAGCCTCGGCAACAGAGTGAGACTCCATCTCTATTAAAAAAAAAAATTCACTACACTCTCTCATGAATGCACCATGCCTTATAATATTCTCTAAAGCAAATCAATAAATACTCATTGCATGTAGTAAAAAGAATGTTTAAGAGCACATTTATTTCAGGTAATGAATGACTCAGTATATCCAAGGACACAATGAACAGGGATTGACTAACAGTGAAATGGATGGGAAAAGAAAGCATGGGAATTAATTTGTAATATTTCCATTTATTTAACAAACATTTATTGTCCCCTCCTACTAGGTGTTAGGCACTGGGCTTAATAATAGGAGTACAAAAACCCATAATATGCCAGCCTTGCCTTCAAAGGGCTTAAAGTCAAACAGAGAGATGAGGATGTGTAAATATGCTATTCCAGAGGAAATGATAAAAATCTCACCAAGCACAGTAAGAGCACACTAAAACGTACTTGTCCTTAAGACATCAAGGAGAGAGTTGGGAGGGCCGTGAGACAGGCTCCACTGAGGAGGTGACTATAACTACAGTTTAGTACTGAAGCAAGTAAAAAAAATAACTAATTTTTTTCTGAAGCTTACCTTTTTATTGAAAACAGATTTGTTGACATATAATTTACATATCATTAAATTCACACTTTTTAAGTACACAATTCCATGGTTTTTAGTATATTAATTGTGCTATGCAATCATCACCACTATTCAATTTTAGAATATTTTCATCATTCTAAAAGAAACCCTAAGATCATTGATAGTCACCCTCATTTTCTTGATCCCCCTCCCACAACCTCCTAGAAATTACTAGTCTACTTTCTCTCTGTGGATTTGCTTATCCTGGACATTTCATATGAATGGAATCCTACAATATGTGGCCTTTGTGACTAGCTTATTTCACTTAGCATAATGTTTTCAAGGTTCATCCATGTTGTAGCATGTATCAATATTTCATGAGCTTTTATTGACTAATAGTATTCCATTGCATAAATACACCACATTTTATTATTCGTCCGTTAATTAGTTGATGGGCATTTGGAATCCTTCTACTTTTTGGCTACCATATATAATGTTTCTGTAAACATTGATGTATAAGTTTTTGTGTAGACATGTGTTTTAATTTCTCTTGAATATACATTTAAGAGTGGAATTTCTAAATTGTATGGTAACCCTAAGTTTATTTGACATTTTAAATTTATTTTTATGCATACATTATAGTTGTATCCGTAAAATATTTATGGATATGTGTGATATTATGATACAAGCATACAATGTGTAACGATCAAATCAGGGTAATTGGGATATCCATCACCTCAAGCATTTATTGTTTCTTTGTGTTAAGGACCATTCCAATTCCACTCTTTTAGTTATTTTGAAATATACAGTACATTACGGTTAACTATAGTCACCCTGTGTGTTACCGAACATTAGATCTTATTCTTTCTATCTAACTGTATTTTTGTACTCATTAACCAACCCCTTTTTATCCCCCCTCTCCCCTACCTTTCCAAACCTCTGGTAACCATCATTCTACTCTGTATTTCTGTAAGTCCAATTTTTTTTAGCTCCCACATATGAGTGAGAACATGCAATATTTGTTTTTTTATGCCTGGCTTATTTTATTTAACATAATGTCCTCCAGTTCCATCCATGTTGTTACAAATGACAGGATTTCATTCTTTTTATGAGTGAATAATATTCCATTATTTATATTACCACATTTTAAAAATCATTTATCCATTGATGGACACTTAGTTTGATTCCATATCTTAGCTATTGCGAATAGTGCTGCAATAAACATGGGAATGCAGATATCTCCTTGATATACTTATTTTCTTTATTTTAGATATATTTTCAGCACTGGGATTGCTGGATCATATGATAGTTCTATTTTTAGTTTTTTGAGGAACCTTTTCAAATAACTAAATTCTCATTAACAGTATATGAGGGTTATATTCTCATTAACAGTATATGAGGGTTCCTCTTTCTCCACATTCTTGCCAGCTGAAGAGACAACCCACAGAATGGGGGAAAATATTTGTAAACTACACATCTGACAAAGGGTTAGTATCCACAACATATAAGGAACTCAAACAACTCAATAGCAAAAAAAGCAAACAATCCAATTTAAAAATGGACAAAAGAGCTGAACAGACATTTTTCAGAAGACATACATATGGCCAACAGATATATAAAACATGCTCAACATAACTAACCATCAGAAAAATGCAAATCAAAACTAGAATAAGATATCATCTCACCCTGGTTCAAATAGCTTTTATCAAAAAGACAAGCCTAGCTTTAAAGTTTTGAGAAACTGCCAAACTGATAGCCAAAGTGGCTGTACCACCAGCAATTATTAGGATTCCAATTCTTTCATATCCCCAATAATGGTTGTTACTGTCTGTCTTTTCTATTTTTATTTTAGCCATCTTGGTTGATGTGAAGTGGTACCTCATTTTGGATTTGATTTGCATTTCTCTAATGATTAACAATCTCAAGCATCTTTTAGTGTATTTATTGGTCATTTGCATAACATCTTTGGAGAAAAAAACTATTCAAATTATTTGCCTATTGTTCAATTCAGTTGCATTTTTATTATTAAGTTGTAAGAGTTCCTTATGTATAGTTATGTGCCACTTAATGACAAGGATACATTCTGAGAAATGCGTTGTTAGGTGATTTTGTAATTGTGTGAACATTAGAGTGTACTTACACAAATCTAGGTGGTATAACCTATTGTTCCTAGACTATAAACCTGTACAGCATTTTACTGTAATGAATACTATAGTCAGTTGTAACACAGAAATATTTTTGTATCTAAACATGGAAATGATACGGTACAAATATGAAATTATAATCTTATGCAGCTATGTTCATATTGGTCTATCACTGACCAAAGCATTGTTATATGGCACGTGACTGTATTCTAAAGTTTCTTATCAGGTATATGAGTTGCAAGTGTTTTCTCCCATTCTGCCATTCTGTGGGTTGATATTTCACTTTCTTAATGATGTTCCTCAAACCATGAAAGTTTTTAATTTTTGTAATGTCCAATTTATCTATTTTTTCCATGTCACTTATACTTTTAGTGTTATATCTATAAAAACAATTGCATAAGCCAAAATAATAACAGCTTACTTCTATGTTTTCTTCTAAGAGTTAAATAGTTTTAGCTCTTTCATTTAAGTCTATGAACCACATTCAGTTAATTTTTGTATATTGTGTGAGGTAGGACCTGTCACAGTGATGGAATCTGCAGGCCAGTGGAAGTTTGTTAGCTGGTTTCCCATGCTGCGGGCAAAGAGCATACTAAATCCCCGTGGAGGTAAGTGCCTCCTTGATTCATTTTGCCAACATTCACTCTACTCCTGATATGAGCCAGGGACTAGTGGAGGGTTTAATCACTACTGTAGCCTGGCTGTCTGCTATGTCTGACAGCTGACCTTTCAGACACAACGTATCTTCATTTTCTACATGCAATATCCAGTTGTCCCAACACCATTTGTTGGAAAGACTATTCTTTCCCTTGTCTAATTGTCTTGGCATCCTGTAGAAAATCAGTTTAACCTAAATATAAGAATTTATTTCTAGACTGTCAGCTCTGTCCCATATTTTTATATGCCTATCCTTATGCCATAAATATTTTTGAGTCTTAAAAGACGAATGGATATTTGCTAGGCAGAAAAGGGTTCAGGTAAGGTGTGAGTGGGAGACAGAGGGCATTCTAGATGGAGACAGTGGCATGAGTAGAGATGTGAAGGGGAACATGATGACCACACTGGGGAAGAACAGGAATTGGGATTTAGCTAGAGCATTAACAGCTATGACACACAGTAGGTGGTGGAGAGAGAGGGCAAAGTCTACAACTAAGGAGTTTGACTATTACTGTACAGAAACGTGAGCTTGTGAAGACTTTTACACATGATCGTATTTGACTCTACAAAGGTCTCTCTAGCAGCAGTGTGAAGAATGAATTGGAGGACCATAAGGAAGGCAGAAAGGCCATTTCAGAAATTAAGTCCTCATGTTCAAGCAAACAATCAGAAGAACATAAAGTAAGGCAGTAGCAATGGGGCCGGAGAAGAGGGATAGATGCATGTGACAGATGTTTACAGGGAAAAATCAGTAATGATTTCTTCACCAGTTGGATGAATTATGTCTAGGGAAAGGGAATAATTAAACATGACTTCCAGGTTTCTACTGAAGAGGGTTACTCACCAAGCTAGAGAAAACAAGAGGAAGAATAGGTTTGAGCAAAACCCAATAATTTCAATTTGGGATACCTTGGATATTCCCAAGTACTTTCTATGTGTCAAGCACTACAGAAAACTGTTTTACATACAGTATTTTATTTAATTTATACGCATTATGCCACTAGTCCTGCAAGGTTTCATTGAATCTCTTTTACAGAAGAGGGAAATAAGTCTGAGGAAAGATACAAAATTTAACCATTTCATATTGGTAGTTTGTAGTAGTTTTAAAATATCTCTATATATTTAAAGTAACTATCATGATTGTGTCTCATTACAGAAGGTTATTATAGGGGAAATACACTATGTGTAAACTCAAAACAGAAAAACTAACCCATGCTTTGTATTCCTCTCAGTTGGAGTTACTTTAATTCTTAGCACTGTCAGTAAAGACACATACAAATAAATAGATTGGAATGGGATGCAGATTGAAAATCTACCTTATTGTAAAGATTAATTTAAATCCAACTGATGTATATGAAATATCTGCTACAGTGAGACATTTTATAGAACATATTTGTATAAATTACTTGCCTTAGCCCTTAAAACAACCATCTAAAATGTGTCATTTCTTGTTTTGTAAAGAAGTAACCTACGCTAGGATAACTTCCTGATTTTTAACCCAGTTCTTTCTACTTATTTTGTTTCTAAATATTATACCTTGGCATAGAAATACACATTCAACAATTATTTGTTTGAGTGAGTATAACTTTTCTTATAGGTGATAATAAATAAAAGAAATAGCAATTGAGACTTCTGATTTTATAACAATGATCTTGAACCATGGTGTATCCAAATTCTGACTCTTTGGGTAATTCCTGCATTATAAAACACATGTGAGATTTAAAGAAATACACCAATAAATCCTGAAAATTTTTAATTGCATTATAATTATTTTATCAAACCTTTGAATTCTGAAAAGCAAGTGATGTACACAACACATGGTAGTCATCTAATAATGTTTTAAATTTATTAATTAATTTTATTTGGGCCTGACTTGAATAAGCTATAGATCTTCTTTAATATCTACAGAGCTGGCATAAATTTTAATAAATACATTTTTGTAATGTTTTACTTTTGTAAATCAAGTTGTTTTAAAAATTTTTTTTTTGAGACGGAGTCTTGCCCTGTTGCCTATGTTGGGGTGCAATGGTGCCATCTTGGCTCACTGCAACCCCTGCCTCCCGGGTTCAAATGATCCTTCTGTCTCAGCCTCCCGAGTAGCTGGGATTACAGGCCCCCACTGCCATACGCAGCTAATTTTTGTATTTGTAGTAGAGACAGGGTTTCACCATGTTGGCCAGGCTGGTCTCAAACTCCTGACCTTGTGATCTGCCCGCCTTGGCCTCCCAAAGTGCTGGGCTTACAGGTGTGAGCCACCATACCTGGCCAAAAAATAATCTTTATCTTAAATAATAGTGACATTTATTTAATTTATCTTTAATGCACATAAGGAACAAGCATAGGAGAAAATACATACTTTTATATATGCTTTTATACTATATGTTGTAAATATATATTATGTAAATATATGATCTCTTATTGTCACTTGAGGTTGTGGTGTCATCTGTGTATTTATTTAGCACAACATCTCTAAATGTTATTCTTTATCCTATTGTTATATTGTAAATTTGGGCACACCACAGAATTTAGAAATTGATAACTGGCTTAGCCCTTAAAATATTGGCCAAGCACGGTGGCTCACGCCTGTAATCCCAGCACTTTGGGAGGCTGAGGTGGGCGGATTCGAGATCAGTCTGGCCAACATGGTGAAATTCCGTCTCTACTAAAAATACAAAAAAATTAGCCTGGTGTGGTGGCATGTGCCTGTAATCCCAGCTACTGGTGAGGCGAAGTCAGGGAAATTGCTTGATTCAGGGAAGTGGTGGTTGCAGTGGGCCAAGATTGCGCCACTGCACTCCAGCCTGGACAACAGAGCGAGACGCCATCTCCAAAAAAATATATATACATATATATGTGTGTGTGTGTGTGTGAGTGTGTGTGTATATATATATATATAAAACATATATGTGTGTATATATATAAAACATATATGTGTGTGTGTGTGTGTGTGTGTGTGTGTGTGTGTGTGTGTGTATATATATATATATAAAACCCAAGACTGAAAATAAAATTAATATCATACAAAGGTGATATACAAAGGACCAACTTGGGCCATAAAGCTATTTTGCCATTTATGAATGCAGTCTATTTCTTGCCATTTCCTTTGCCAAGTTAAGTTTACTATTGGGCTATGTATAAATGATTTTTATTCCATTTTGTAATATCCTCTATACTTTCCCAAATTGGCCAGAAGACCAAATTCAACTCTTCTACCACATCTGAGATTATAACAATATGTTTCAGATGATTGTCTTCAGATACTGTGGGCCTACAGTTTGTTTTTTAGCCCAGCAATTTTATAGCAATATTGTAAAGAAATGACTTCAATTTTATATAATCATGCTTGGCACAGATAATGGCTCTTATCCAGACCTCTTTTAGGAATTATGTAAATATCATACGTCTCTTTTTCAAAATTTACCACCACAGTGTTAGATTACTGACTTCATCTGTAATAGACCACACAACGTATGGATCTTAGCATTTGTCTTTTTTGTGCTTAGCTCATGTGATGAGCACCTGACAACCATTCTTAAAACTTACCACCCACTCTCTCCTGCTCTGCCTCTGACTTTTAAATCATGCTTGTTAATTTCTTTGGAGACTTGGCAGACAAGCAGGATGTGATGTACTGTGTGGAGCCATGCTCACAGAGGTACAATACCAGGTCAGTGTAGGATTTTACTGATGTAGTTATTCCTAATAGTTTGGAGGTATGACGAGAATTAAATAGAACATAAGCAAAAGACTTTTGGAATTCAAATAACATTTTGTCCTTCCAGGTTTCTCTAATTTATAGTATAATGAATAAGCATATGGCATCCAGATTGAAGTGGATCTGGGTTAGAGTCCTATCCTAACCCGGAGCTGTGAGCTGTGTGACTTGGGGAGTTTCTTTATCCTGAGCCTCAGTTTCCTCATCTGGAAAATGACTATAATTGTGTCTACAACACAAACTTGTTATGAGGATTACACCAAAAAAATTACATAAAGCACTTACCATATGCCTGCCTCAAAAGGCAATCAGCTGGGTGTGATGGCTTATGCCTGTAATCCAGCACTTTGGGAGGCTGAGGTGGGAGGATCACCTGAGGTCAGGAGTTCGAGATCAGCCTGACCAACATGGCAAAATCCTGTCTCTACTAAAAATACAACAACTAGCCGGACATGGTGCCCCATGCCTGTTATCCCAGCTGCTTGGGAGGCTGAGGCACGAAAATCGCTTGAACTCGGAAGGCGGAGGTTGCAGTGAGTGGAGATCATGCCATTTAACTCCAGACTGGGCAACAGAGTGAGACTCCATCTCAAAAAAGGAAAAAGTAATTGCTCCATGAAGTATAGTTGTTATTATTATTAATACTATTATTGCTATTATTGTCTGGTTTTTTTTGGAAGTCTATATGATGAATATAGCCCAAATCAATCAGATTGGGCATAAAACAAAAGCAAAGCATGTTATTGCTAAACCTCAACTTTGGGCAACTTTAGCTTTTTTTTTTTTTTTAGAAAATCCATCACTTCTTGATTTTATGTTTTAGATGTTTTCCCAAAACATTTTGGAGAAAAGAGGCATAAAAATGAAGTACTCATTTACATACATAGTCCTGATAAATTGTACCTTCTGTGTCCCCTTTTCTTTTTCCAGTATGACTTCTCCCCCTCTGTACACCCTGGAACATAACTCTGCTGTACTGGCCAAGTGCTACAGCCGAAACGAGAACAGTATCTGGTTAAGCAGATGTGTATCAACAACTACACTCTGGAAAAAAGGATGCAACTCCAGTTCTGCCACTTAGCAACTGCAAGATCAACCACTCTGTGCCTCAGTGTCCTTTAAAATCGGGTTAATAACACTACCCAATGCAGAAAGCTGTGTGAGATGGTATATTAAAGGGTCCATAAGAGTGCCAAGGGACATGGTCATGCAACATAAATCTTAGTTTTCTATTACAGTATTCACGGTATGTAGTATTCATACATAGCATTGCATGCACACATACATACAAACATAAAACTGACATTTTCTTTTCTGCATCATGGTAACTACCTTATTTTCCTATGGTGTGTCCTTAGGTAATCTGCACTGCATAGAAATTTACAAAATATAACACCTATTTGATTCTTACTTTCTCAGTATCTTAGTCACTCCCACTATTCATTGTTAGGAATTTGGAAACCCTGAGTTCATGTTTTAGGTCACAAAAATACACTTAAGGCTCTGCTGTTGTTGTTTTACTGTTTCAAGCTAGCTAAAGACTGCTAAATTGTAAAGCCTTGCTTTATCCCCAGAAAACAGTCAAGATCTGAATTTTATACTAGTATCTATACCAACTGTGAACTGATACTCTTTGATAGGAGTCTAATGAAATTGTCATGTTGTCCTAATTGATGTATTTTTCCATATCTTCATTTATGTTTACAGTTCATCACTGTGCGAGCAACACACACACACACACACACATACACACTTCTCTATCTAACCTAAATATGGGATGGGAAGATAGCAAGGAAGTTAGGGGATTTTCTGACCTTTCTACGGTGAATTGACAGTCTCTTTTATTGGTTCCAATGTTTCAGATATTTTGGTATCAGCAATTCTGGTGATAGTATCTAGGAAGTTAGCTCCATACCACAGCTTTTGCCAGGAAAATAAAAAGGTTATTTCTCCTTGGAAAGTAAAAACTACATATCCTAACAAGTTTACAGTTCTTTTAGTGTAGGATCTATTTTCCTTGACTTGAGATTGTCAATTCCTTTGAAAAAAAAAAGAAAAAAAGAAAGTATTTACCATAAAAGGAGATCTTTGTGACATGAAGTGTAAATAAATAGGGTGTTACATCTGATATTCATGACCATTATTTCTAAATACCATGTCTACGGCATTTATGATACTTTGTATTATGATGAGGAAAGTATCTATTGCTTCCTGGTTATTACTAGAATTTATAACACGGAAGTGTTTGTAATTGAATCATGCGCAAAAGATAAGTGAGTCTCTAAGAAGTTAGAGCCAGTCTATTGTCTGGGCTCAGAGACTGAGGAGTTAATAGCTTTATTAAAGATTATGAGACCCTCTGCCTCTGTGCATTTGGCTAAAAAAAATATTTATCCATATGGGTTGAATATATGTTATTTCTTAGGTAAGAAAAATAAAACATAAAATCTTTGACATATGAAATTAATTTATATGAACATACTTTTATGATATTCTATATTATACCATGTCATCTATTTCTCTTGAGTGAATAGAAATGATCTTTTATAAAAAAGAATCTAAACCAGGGTAATGGAATTTAGCAGAAGTGTTTCAAGAATAAGGTTTGGGAGATTTGAGATCATTTGACAAATTTTTTGAGAATCTGAATTAAGCACATTTGTTTTGTTGAAATTTTTTCTTCAACATATTATTTTCCTTTAGTAAGTACAGTATTAGAAAGATATTGATTTTTTGCTTGCTCTTGAGGTTTTAGTCATTTCTTCAATAATGACATATATTTGTATGATTAATCACTAATTATAATTGTAAATGATAATGCGAGTGTATGTATGACTCTCAGTTTTCAACTTAATTGTCTCAGAGTTGGTGAACAAAAGTTTGGTTATTATAAATCAAATTCTTATATCCTCAAGACACCAAATTATACATCTAGCTTATGCTCATAGATATTCTTTTCAAACTATAAAAGTGCAAAATTAAATTGTCACACACACACAGACACACACACACAGAGAGTGAAAAAAAAATTTATTAAATATAGAAAGCCAAACCTAATATATTAGCCACCTCAGAACAAGAAAGGAAATCTAATACCAGAAATGAAGATGATTACACATTTTTAAAATCATAAACATGAGCAAGGCAGATATGTGTTTATTATAGTATAAATCATCAAAATCGACACAAAAAATGTCAAATTACTATGGCAGAAATTGTTAAAGTTGTTTGAGAATCAGTTCCAGAAAGTTGTTCAGCTTAAGCTGTCTTCATGGAAGATTTTTCAAACCTTTCAGGGATTTATAATTGCCAAAGGATCTAAATTATTGCAGAGAACCATAAAGGAAGAAATTTTTTCTAATTCATTTTAAAAGGTTGGCATATTTCTGATCTGAAAATCTGACAAATATAGGATAAAAAGAAAAAGCTGTCAATCCATCTCACTATTGGTAACATTGCTAAAATTATAAATAGATCTTAGAAAATTAAACAAATACAGTACTCTCTCAAAAGAATATTATATCCTGATTAAGTAATTGCCAACAAGTATTTTGCCTCCGCACAGTTCACAAGCTAAACATACTCCCATTATTAATGCCTCTCATCAAAATTGTGTGATTCCTCTCAGCAGTGATTGTTAAAGAAAAGGAGTAAATAGGGGGAGTATATGGGTAGATTGCAAAAAGAAATGTACCTGTTGTGTCAATCCCCAAAAAGAGACACTGTCTTATGGTCCCCAGGAAATTAAGATTTAAAAGTGGTTCTATTTTCTTCTATATTCTTTTCTGTATTTTTAAATGCTTTTTATAATGTATATATTTATAATCTGAATAATTATATGCCAAAATACTCAGAAGAAAAACAAACAAGCAAGCAAACAAGAAGAACAAAACCAAACAAAAACATCATGAACATTCCTGCATGGGGATGTGACTGGTAGTCTCACTAAAGACCAACCAACCAAGCTTAGGCTGAAGATTTATATTCCCATAAATATTTCTGTCCAGACATGGCCATTCTTCATTGGTTCAAGAACCTTCAAACTGCATTCAAATTAAGACCATCTGTCCACCAAATTTAAACTGCTGACCAGTGTCCTAAAACATCCAACAGTAAGATCTGATGCCTTATTCTAAAACTATCTCAGACTGAGTTAATCAAGTCAGCACCAACCATAACTGGCTTATCAGTGTTCCTCTCAACTTGGTTAAGTGTTATCCAAGGTTAAAGCCATTTGATCATCCTAACCACAAAATCTGGTCAATACTCTTAATGTCTTCTTTATTAAGAAAAGAAATATCTTCAGAGCAAAGGATTAACCATTCAAGCCAATGAAAATGGGAACTTGTCTAAAACTGTGAAAGTACATTTTAATCAAATTGCTATATCAAGAGCTACTTGCAATAAAACTCATTTGAGTAGAGACACAATTTTCCTGAGTATACAGACATGTAAATTATAAATTATATATACACTTGTATATACAAACACGCATAAATATATGCATGTGAATATATATGTATGCCCATATGTTTGTATGTATGTGTGTGTACATATATAAAATTTGAAATACAATAGTTGCTTGTCAGCTAGAGTCACCTTTACACCAAAATATCTCATTTCATCAACTGTGGAAAGTCTAAATGTCCTCCTAATGATTTCTGTAAGTTCCTGGGGACTAGTGTCCTTCTAGCTTTAACTTCCTGCCTCTTCTAAATTACTTTAATTCAGATGTCATCCCACAATCTCCAACTTTTGTGGTGCCTGTCCTGTGCTAACACAGGAGTATAACTTAGACTTTTCCATTAATTTTCATCAAAATAAAATAAAATACAAAGCAAAACCAAAAACAAAACAAAAATAAAAAGCCACCTTCATGTAAGAAAACTGTAAATGTGGCTGACTTTAAAATAGTTCCTTAGCCCTTTACATTTACAAAACTGAGAGATCTAGCTTTCTGCCCTACTATAATGTCATAGTTCTTCATTCTCTCCTTGTCTGTTCCTTCCTTCCCTCCCTGCATCTCTCTCTCACTTCCTCATTTTATGTCTCTCACTCCCTCTCTCCTTTTATACCCTGATCTTCTCTACTCTTTTCTTGGCTTTTTCCCTTCGCCAGCAGATTGGCTGTTACAATACTTTCTGTGAGTTTAGCTATTGTTCTCAGGATCCCGTTTTCTACCTCAAGTAGCTAAATTAAACAATTTTCTCAGACAGTATCCTTCCTAAGAGAAATTTGGCAGCCAGCTGTTAAAAGATAATACATTTTTTATCCCTACTACATCATATTTAGCCAAGTCGGTGAAAATGTAATTTTTCAGATTGTTCTTTCACCTTGATTCAAAAAAATCAATCTTTCAACATCATCTAATAATAAATTATTCTGCTATAAGACCTCTAAATTGACTCAAATCTAAAACCTGCGTTAGACTTATGAAAAATTATCAAAAAAATTTCAATTTTACTGGAACTTATAATCATGCTCGTGAATTCTGAACTTTATTTTTTAACAGTCAGCTGTTGCATTCAGCAAATGATTTAAACTGTAACTTTGAAGTCGGGCAGGGGGGTGGTTGAAAAACTAAGAGCTTATGCTTGCTGTGTTCTATAAGGAACATAGGAAAGAAAGTTTGGCTTTGTTCTTCTTCAAAAAATCCCCAACACAATTAATATGTGTTTATGTAGATGGTTGAAGAATGTCCGTTTACAGTTTAAGGAAGAAAAATTAAAATAAATCCTGGCTCAAAAATCACTTCTTAGGAAACAGGCTGCTACTGCCACCTGGGGGAGATTCTTTCCACTTCATTCAAGAAGCCCAATGTGTTTATCAGATGAAGGAAGGCAGTTCATGCCTTCCTTGTCACAGCTACACAGGAAGAAGACTTTTTAACTCTCTGCCCGTGAAGTCATAAGGCACTCCAGATGTCTCCAAGTTTCTTTCACCCAGAAATACATATTTCATCGACTTTTTGAGAAATACAAGAGAAGATGAATCAGACTATAACCATACTACTAAAAGCACCAAGAAAGTATTTTGGATCAGTATGGGTAATACACTAAGAAGTAGAAAAAATAAAATTTGAGTTTTCAGTAAGAAAATAAAACTCAAGTTTTTAAGAAAAAATGTATTTGACTTCAAGTTATAGTTAATTTTACTCCTTTCCTTAAATATACTATCATTAATTGATATGAAAGCTACATGTGCTGATATAATCATTCCAGTGGTTTCATAAATTAGGATAAAATAATACTTTTTATTATATGAATATAGCAAAAAGAATTATCTTTAAAAATTTGAAAAGTATTATGAACTAAATACTGATGTGAAGTCATGATCTAATTGTAGATCATGAAAAAATTGTAATCATTGCTAAAGAATGTCTAATTTCTGTTTAATACCCATATTGCATTTCCTTATGCTATAAATAAGTTGTTACTTATAAGAAATGCACAAAATAAAAAAATACTAAAAATAGAATATTTCTGTACCTATTAAAATTACAAGTCTGTCAAGTGTCATAAAAAAGTCAGTGCTGATTAGGGGAAGACAACTAATCATTTATAAAGAGGCTGTCTGGCAATAAATTAACTAAATAAAATACATACGGTGTCAGTCCCAGAGTGGTACAATAACGCTATCAGAAGGTGAAAGTTCATATGAAAGAACAACTGTGCCAGGGCGAGAGACGTCTTTGTGGAGAAAGCATTTTCAAGACTGGAAAAGGTAAGCGAAATATAGCAAATGGATTGGGATTGAATAATTAATTTTCTAAAAACATTACACCCTGATTTAGGAGTAAAAAGAAATTGACTGCATCTCACTGCAGTTGACACCACTGAATGAGCTGGGAGAGCTGGTGTGAACTGGAGGGACCCGCAAAATGAGTGTCTTTTTATGGAGGTATGAAGCTCCTTCAAGGTGTTCACGTTAGCGTGTGGGTATAATGGAGTGAGGGGCATTAAAGGACAAGAAGGACCTGCGGTACTTAAAACTGTGTAATAAAGTTACAAGATCTAGGCAAAAATAATAAATATGCAATATTAAAATGTCTTTATTTCTGAATTGGTAGCGTGGGCAGTTTTAGCAATTGGCAAGTAACTCTGCTTATAAATCTAGTGAAAATGATTAATGACCTTAAAATGCTATGGGGGATCATGCAGTGTACAAAGGATCGGCCACTGTACAGGTATTGTACATGGAATAGATTCTCCCAAGATTCTCCCCCCTTCTAACTGAGCTGCCCAATATGTTAGGCTTTACTTTCTTTATTAAAGAGCCAACACTTACACTAATGGAACATAGAGATGATTTATTAATTATTTTATAACAGAAATTACAAGTAGTTTGTATTTTCACCAATGTTCCCTGGTTGTAAAAAAAAAAATTTGGTAAGCAGAAACAGAAGTCTTCTTTAACATTATTCATATTTCATAGGAAAGAAGCATTCAGGAAATCAGGAAGGATGATTTTTTGCAGATACCACTTGTGTATTCAGGCAGTGGGTCGGGAAGTGGGAAGATGGGGGATGTTGTTAGAAAGCAAGAAGGGTTGTTTCTTCTACTGTTCTATTCTTACTTCTCCAATAGTGAATAACTTTTAAATACTACTGCTAGCTTTGCCCCTGAGCTCAGGAACTTCAACACCTTTTCCTAAACCAACTCACCTACCACATTGATGAGTTAACATATTTCTCTTAAACATGGTTTTTATGATCTTCATGTAATTTGGGATTTTTTCTGTTTCCTAAATCCTTCCTTATCTGTATTTGACTTCTCTCTCCCTTCTCATTGTAAACTACAATTATTCCACATTCCCTTCTGTCACTGGGGGATCTCCACTTTAGTGGAGCAGTCCTCCTCCATGCTTTAGTCACTACGAATGAAGGGAAAACAAATCTAAAATCGTACTTGGAGTGCAACCAGGCCAGGTAAGAAAACTTACATTGGGGGAATGTAGAAGCCTAATTATGCGTGCTATGCCTTTGTTTTCCTACAGCCATGACAGACCCCAACAAGATGATCATCAACTTGGCCCTCTTTGGCATGACTCAGAGTGGAAAAAGTTCTGCTGGAAACATTCTGCTGGGAAGCACAGACTTTCACAGCAGCTTTGCTCCCTGTTCTGTGACCACATGTTGTAGCCTGGGCCGCAGTTGTCACCTCCACAGCTTCATGCGTCGAGGTGGGCTAGAGGTAGCCCTGCAGGTCCAGGTGTTGGACACTCCAGGTTATCCACACAGCAGGCTGAGCAAGAAGTATGTGAAACAGGAAGTCAAAGAGGCTCTGGCACATCACTTCGGGCAAGGGGGTCTCCACCTTGCACTCCTGGTTCAGAGAGCAGATGTGCCTTTCTGTGGGCAGGAAGTAACTGACCCAGTCCAGATGATCCAGGTAATACTAAGATGCAATTACACTAATGCCATTATTACTTCTTGGAGGACATTATCCTAATAGTATAATAATAATAATAATAATATTATTATTATTATACTATTAGTATATAATAATATAGTACATAATAATTTATACAACTAAGTGTTGGTCACCTAGGAATTGTCAGTAAAAATTATTTGATTTTCCCAAGTCATTTTTATGACCTCCTTCAGAGGAACCCAATCAGTCATTTTACAACTGGTTTGTAGGAAAAAAAAATTGAGATATTAAACTTCAGAGGTTAACCAAGCCTCAAACTCCTAGAACAAAAAACCCAAATAAGTTTGTAACATGTTGTCCCTGGACTGTCTGCATCAGAATCAACTGGGCTGTTTGTTAAAGAAGATTGATCCAAAACGTACTGAAACAGAATCTCAGGAGTGGAGCCTGCATATCTGTATTTTCATAATTTTCCATGTATTTCTCAAAAACAGTCAGGTCGTAGAACCGTTGAACTTAAACACTGACTTGCATCCATTCAGCATCAAAGGGACAATCTCTTATAGTTCACCAGGAAATGGGTGCTCATTCACTGACTTGGTCATTGAACACTCTATTGAGCATCTAAACAGTGCTTAATTACTGGTAAATGAGACATGAGCCCTTCCTTCAGAAAGTTTACAGTCTAGAAGAGGAAAATTAGATAAGCAAACCAGAAAAAGACAATGCATTAAGTGCCAAAGTAGTATAATGAAAAAGAGGGGGTTTCATAAGACTTAAGTCATAGTGAGCATTCAAGGGAGAGTTATGCATTATTCATAGGGAAACAATTCAGAACTTCAGATTCTTTGCTTGCCTTATCAGTTGTAGCATAAGTGACTGCTCCATTCTAGCCAAAAGAAGACCATAGGGACCTCAGGTTGAGCATAAATAACACATGCCACCTTTCCCTGGTGGTCTATTCCAATTTGTTTGCTTGTTCATTCATTATAGGTCACTAAGTTGGAGGCTTATTCACAGTCTTCAACTGTGAATAAGGAGAGGAGCTGGATAAGAGGCCTGGACATGACCACAGCTAGGAGATGGAGGGAGTTGGGAGTTTGTGTGTGTGTGTGTGTGTGTACGTGTGTGTACATGTGTGTGTGTGCATATGATGTGTGGACTATTACTAACAATAGTCCACACAGCCCTGTGTAGACTATTACTAACAATAGTCCACACAGCCCTGTATAGACTATTACTAACAATTCCTGGAAACTATTCCTAACAATTCCTGGAAACTATTCATTGAGCTGCTCTATTCTATTCAATCTGTTGATTCTTCAGTCTGAGTCAATCTAAATTTAGCTGCTGGACTTCACTAGTATTACTCAAGAGCCTCAATGAGTCACTGAGCTCAGAGACACCAGGTCTATTAGAAGCTCCACAGTTAAACTTTATACTGAATGGTGAACAGATCTTTTCTGTTCAAGAAGAACTTGTAAAAATGCTACCCTTCTTTTGGTTCAGTCTCAGCTCATACTGACATAGGCCCTGTTACAGCCCAGAAAGATAGTTACTTGGTTTTAATGAAGATTTTTTCCTTTAACTAGAAAAGATACTTCTACGTGACAGATACACGCATTGTTTTTCAGTAACTGTGCATGTTTCTAAAAATGAAAAAAAAAAACCCAGCCATATGTATAATCACAAGAAACTAGCAGAAAAATCAGGGTGACAGGAGCATAAAAAATGCTCATCATGTAACTCCTGAAAAACCAAGGACCTGCTATACAAAAGTAAGGAAGAATAGAAGATGATTGCAATTAAGAAACAGTATGGGATCTAAGAAAGCCCACAAGCCTCCTCCAAATTATGAAAGCCTGTATTTCAAGCAATGTTTCTGGTAGAAATCAAGTGGTGGGAAGCCTGCATCCATGACACCAGTATAATCTTTAGACAGTTCTTAAAAATTCATTTAAAGCTATTATTAAGTAAACATTTAGATGAGGCTATAGATGGATATAATTCAGTAAATGCAGTAAACACATAAACAACTCTTTTTCAAAAGCTACCCTGACTCTTTCCATACGTCTCAATATTTCCCTACCATGAACCTATGCTGAGCCCAAAAGGTTATTTTAAATATCATACATTTTGAAAATAGGTTTTAATAGTTTTAGCATATGGGACAATAATGTCATCTGTGAGTCTTTTTTATATATGTGAACTCAATTCATACATGTCTTTGGTCGTTTAAAACAATATTTGGCATATAGTCTTCTCTTACAGATGCCTTCCAAATCAGTATGCAATTCAGGAACTGAAGGCAGCAAGGAGATGAGCTAGGGCAAAGCTCAGATCCCAAATATTTCTTTCTGAAATAAATAACTTCCGTCTCCCAAGAAAATCAGCAGCCAAGGTTTAATAATCTTGAGTGGCCTATGATCCCTGGGAGCACTGCAGACCTATTCCAGGGTTCTGCTACGGTCTTTGGTTGATGGTCACTTAAGCACAGGCTGGCTGTTTGTGATCTTCCTGAAGGTGCCTCAGATACTGGTGGCAGCCATCTGTATGTGCTCACAGATTGGAAGCTGTTGCAGAGTGTCTGAATATTCAACAGGACCAGCAGCTGTTAGGAAGGAGCAAGAAGCTGTTAGGTCCTCAGGTTTCAGGCACACTATGGATTTCTTTTTCTTCCTGGCTGATGCAAAATGGAGTATGGAGTATCTGCCTTCTTTCTTTTACCCCTTTTCAGGGGCACTGACTAGTACTGTAGAAGGAGCCTACCAAGCCAGAGTCAGAGAAGTAGCTTCTTCTTTCCCATGCCTCCCGGTTGTCTCTTTAAATATCTTCCCCAATTTGTACTCTAATATTTTGCAGAGGAGTTATATTCTACTGGCTGTGACGATGGAAACATTTTCCCCAAATGATCCCTTTTTCTTTTTGTTAGGCCTTTATTAATTTACAGTAAAATGAAAGAGATATCAGTGAGTCATGTCCCCAAAATCAAGAAATAGAAGGAAGAATTTATTCAAATATTATCTGGAATCTCATTTGAATGTTTATAAACCCACAAATAATGAATCAGAGAAGATATAATATAGTCACCTCAAGGAAAGAGCTGGCATACAGCCAAGCTGCAGTAGGAATTGTACCTAGGTATTGCCTATGGTCCATTTCCGCCCCCCCCCCCCCATTATGGTATTCTGTATTATTACTGCGTACAAGCAAGTTTCAAGCATGTACTTTTATTTCATCATCAACAACCGAGCTGTTGATGTTGCAGACGAATGTGTTTACAAAAAGCTCGGAAAAGCTAATTCAGAGCCTGAAAATACTAAATGAAGATTGTGGGCTTAGTTGTTAGAATTTAGTTAAAAAAACAAGCCTAATTACTTCATAGGTGTATGACTATAAATGTTACTAAAACTTTCTTGGTTTCAATTCCTTACTTGTAATGTGGAGATAATTTTATGTATGTTAAGAGTTCTGAGCATTATATTTAATAAATACATCATGCTCAGCATTGTGCCTACTTACAGTAGGTCACAGAAAATGGTAAAGTATTACTAGTATTGTTGTTTTTATTGTTATGATCACTACTGAGATTGTGAATGAGTACTCATTCAAATGAACTACTGGATATGGGCAAGATAGCATAGAGATTACGAGATGGGTTCTAAAGTATTCAAGTCTTAGCTACTTATTTGCTTTGTGATCTCGGGCAAGTAACTTCTGTAAACTTCATTGGTAAATTGAGAAAGACAGTAGTGTCTGCTTCATTGGGTTACTTGTGGGATTAATGCCCTTTCAACGGTAAATGATATAGCTTAGGCACAGGCACGTGGCAAGTGCACAGCAAATAGCTCTGGCCATTATTATTTCATTGTTAGTATTTGTCTTATCCTAAAATTAGGAAATAGTGTTTTTTAGGTTTATCCTGGTAGACTTATGAAGAAAATAAGAGTAAAATCAAATTTACGTGGCCCTGATTTATAAACATAAGAAGTAACTTTTTTATTAATTTAGAAAAAAAATCTGGAAAAATCTTCACTGGCTTAGTATGGTTAAATTGAAGAGCCCCAATTTAGTGGGAAAGATGGGGGACCTTGGTTCCAGGTCCAAGCCTGTCAATAATCAGCCATATGACTTTGGCCAAGTCATTTAACACCGTAAGTCCTCAATACCTCATCTGTAAAATGAGGCAGTTTATAAGATGATCTCTGAGGTTGAATATTCTCTGGATCTGGCCTAATGAGAAATTATCATTCAGCTTTGGCTCTCTGAAAAGGAAAATGTAATGTTTTAATTGGGGTGAGAGTAAGGGAATAGCATAAAGTATAAAAAAATGGTCCTCATTGTCCTCCTGTTCCGTGATAATTTTTTTCTCAGTTGATGTAATAGTTGGCTTTTTGTTTGTTTGTTTCACCCTAAAAAGTCCAGATGCTATGATTTCATCAACCACAAACAAATGGGGCAGGGCTGGTGAGGTCCTGGGAAAATGAACATAATTCCTGGATAACAAAGTTTATATCCTAACCAGTAGTCCCAAAAGGACTAAATGGACTCATACCCATTAGCACTCAAACCAAACAATTCATGATTGATCATAAAATTTTCATCTAGCTTAGTACTATATTTAAATTATTAACACCAGATAACTTACATTAACTTATCTTGCTTTTGGATTTTTATGTGAGGTATCAATCAACTGTAATGATTCTTTCTCTGGGTCCATAGAGAACATGTTTGGCCACTAACGTGATGACTATTCAGCAAGCAACACTACTTTCAAATATTCAACTATTTTCTGGCCAAAATCGACTTAAAGATTTTAAGCTAAATCAACCACTCTCTTCTGTTTTTGGCAGTAATTCAAAAGTGCAATTTCTCTCACAGTTTAAGGTATGAGCATCCTTTCATAAATAAATGTGTAAAAACTTCCCAGTGGCTGAACACATGGACTTTTAAGTGGCATGGCACTTACAAATCTATTATCCTTAGGTGATTTAACTCACGTTCTCTGAATGAGATTGTGGTTTAAAGTATGGGAAATGTCTGGTGGAGACCAAAAGGGAACATGTTAATGTTACAATACAGAAAAACAGGAACAAAAGAAATACTATGAAAGTTAAACCATTTACTTCATTAAGTACTAACCTAGAAAGAAAATAATTCTGTGTTACGATATATAACTCAAGAAAGGATTGTTTGTGCCAAATAGTTTATTTAGCATGCACATTTATTGTAGCAATACTGTATTTCAAAAATATTTAAGGAGGCAAATACCTTATTCATTAAGTCACTGGGGCTCAAAAATATTTAATAACAAGTATGATCTACACATCAGCCAATACATATCTAAGGGTAAGTTTAGGATGGCTCTCAAGGAGTTAAGAGCAGTAGCTATTTAATAATTTGTATGAAAACATTTTGATATCTGACAATCAGTATGACCATATTCATAGCGTACTTGGTGAATATCAGGTCTGGCTCTAAATTTGATAATCTTTCAGAGATAAGAGTGATCAAAGATCAATAGCTGTACTTGTTTAGAAATAAAATCTCAATGCTGTACAATCTCAATCATGCTTGATTACATTAATTACCTTGTTAATTCCTATGTATTTTTTAAGAATCTGGTGACTGCATCATCACATGCAAGACATCTTGTCTGGTCTTTCCTTTTTACCCTTACTTCCCACCTCCACCCCAAAATGGGCAAAATGATCACCTTT
Source organism: Homo sapiens (assembly GCF_000001405.40). NCBI lineage: Eukaryota > Metazoa > Chordata > Mammalia > Primates > Hominidae > Homo > Homo sapiens. The sequence continues at coordinate 106,361,340 of NC_000004.12, read as the reverse complement.
ATAATGCTAACATAATTTCTATCACACTTGCAATTGAAACAAATTCAAAGTATTTCTTTCCTGTCTGTCTCCCTTCCCAAGTTAATTTAGTACACAAAAATCTCCACTAACTGTAAACAGAATATGTCTGTCTTGTTCCACACCTGTCCCTACCATGTAGAGCATGCCTAGAACAAAGTAGACCCTCAATAAATATTTGCAGAAGGAATAAATCATCTAAAATGCTTTATAAAATTCAGATTCCAGGCTCCAGCCCTAATGGTTCTGATGCATTTTTAGAAAGCCTCCCAGGTGATTCTGATGCAAATGATCCAGGGATTGCTGTATTCCCAGAGGCCAGATCTAATATACTTAGTACTTTATTAATTTTTTTAGCCACTTGCATTAGTTTGCTAGGGCTCCTGTAACAAAGTACCACAACCTGGGTGGCATAAACAGCAGGTATTTACTGTCTTTCAGTTCTGGAGGCTAGAAGTCTGAAATGAAGGTGTTGTAAGGGTTGTCTCCTTCTGATAGCTGTGAGAGAAGATCTGTTCCAGGCTTCTTTCTTTGGCTTGTAGATGGCTATCTTCACGTACGCATGGCACTCTCCCGGGACTTGCGTCTTTGCCCAAATTTCCCTTTTTTTATAAGGACACCAATCATACTAGACAGGGACTCACCCTAATGACCTTAGCTTAAATAATTATATTTGCAATGACCCTATTTCCAAATAAGATCACATCCGGAAGAACTGGGGATCGGAATTTCAACACATGAGTTTGGCGGAGGATGCAATTCAACCCATAACATCACTGCTCATTTACTTTGCAACTCTGTGACTCCTCTTCCAGCAGAGACCTGTTAACAATATACAGAATATACAACAAACTCTAAAGAGGTCTGCTAATTTTGCTATGTTACCATTAGGCAAAATGGGATGCTGACATTATATGGATACTAATTTTTTAAAAATTTATTTTTTAAAGTTTATAATCTATTACAGTAATTATTCCCTAATATACTGATTGTGAAACTTTAAGCAGGGTATTTTTAGAAGGAATAGAAATATGCAGTTATTCTATGGTGGGTGTACATAGAAAAATTTTGAACACATATGAAGAAAAAGTTTGGGCCTATTCCTTGAAAGAGTCCCTCTGAATAGAAAATAGTCCAGACTACAGGCAAATTCATGATGATAAACTGCAAAAAAAAGAAGCTTTACAAAGATTAATTATACTTCAAAACCAAAACCTCAAAAGAAATAAATAGAACCCTAAGACTTCTATTTGAGATGACAATGAGGGTCTAAATTCCAAATTAATTTAACAGATGTTTACTGAAAGTTTACAATGTGCTAAAAGCTTTGATTGATATGGAAAGACATGAATCTTGCCTTCAAAGAGTTCACTATGAAGTTGTAGAAATTGATGTATAAATAAATGAATCTGATAAAAGCCAGACTGTATCAGTTGTAATTGGTGACCATGATTGTGATGTTTCTAATTTTAAATGTTTTGTCCCGTAGTTCTCACGAGTATTTTCATGTTAGATTTACCTATCCAGATTCCTTCTTTCCTTACTCCTGCTTGCCTTCCTTCCTTCCTTTCTCCTTTCTTCCTTTTCTGTTTTCTTTCTTATTTCCTTCTTCTTTTTTCTTTGTTTTCAATTTTTCCATATTATAAATTCTAATCCTGTATTTTTTAGGTACATTGAAAATGATTTCCCAGACTGTCTTTCAATATTTTCAATAATTTTTTAAAACCAGAGTTTGTACTAATACATATAACTCAAAGTCTTTATAAGTCAGTTTGCCAATATCATAATGGAGATAATAATAGTATCTCCCACAAATAATTGCATTAAGCTTCAAAAGAGGTAACGCATGTAAAGTGCTTAGCATAATATCTGGCACTAAATGTTAGTTTTTCTCCTTTCTTTCTTTCTTCTGATTATTAGAGGTCTTGGGTGTTTCTTATTATGTTTATTCCTAGGCATTTTGTATTTTTCTTGCCATAAACTAGTAGTAGCTTTGGAAATATTTTGGTAATAGGAGTGTTCGGAATGGAGGTAATGTTATTTTGTTGTCACATTGTGATTTCATGTAACTTTAGAAATATCCCAAAAAGTTCAAGGGTTATTTCTAGATGCCTTTTATATTACATGAACAATTTGCCACATGCTGTTACTTCTGCTTTATATCAGCTTATATTCACTAATCAAACAAGAATTTATTACATAACCAACTTCCACATATTACTAAACAAAGGAATGCCAGTCTTCAATGTTTTTCAACCACATTAGAGGAAGTCATCAGATAAATTGGGTTCCATTCTAAGCATGTGAAGTCAAGAAGATGAGACTCACAGTTATAATATTTTGTGGTTCGTCCAAATCACCAAATGTATTTTTATCTGAGCTTTTCCATTACATGTCACCTGATTAATCAATAGATTCTTAACAGATTATGTAATTTTATATCTTTAGTAGATGCTTTTAATGATAATGATAAAAGTAAAAGATAAAACAATTCCCTTGACTAAGGTCCTCCGACTTAAATTCAGTGGCTTTAATGGACTCAGGTAGTCAGACAAGTATAAATGATTACTGAATGTTGAGAAATCTATGCAGCAATGATAATATGCAGTTTTGAGGTTGTGTATATATCAATTATCATAGTAAAATAAAAGAGAGAATTTAATTCTCTGTTTAATCCTGCCTTTTTCAGAAAGTCAAGCCTTTTCCCTCCATTTACTTAAAATACTTGACCCTGTCTTCATTTCCTACATTGTATATCAGCTTTCAGAAACATAATAATATGGATCTGCTGGCTATCTATATTGGACCGTAATAAATCCTTTGCTCATTTTTGAGGAATATAGTTCAAGTTCAATAGTTATCTAACTTCTCTCTTTCAGGAACTTCTTGGACATGCTTGGATGAATTACACAGCCATTCTTTTTACCCATGCAGAAAAAATAGAAGAGGCTGGGCTTACTGAAGATAAATATTTACATGAGGCCTCTGATACCCTGAAAACGCTGCTAAATTCTATTCAGCACAAATACGTTTTCCAGTACAAAAAAGGAAAATCACTCAATGAACAAAGAATGAAAATCTTAGAAAGAATCATGGAATTTATAAAAGAGAACTGTTACCAAGTTCTTACATTTAAATAAAATTTAGGTGAAAGGAAAGGAGCATTGGGTATTGGAGTCAGAAACCTAGCTACAAAGAATGCCTTTATTGACATGAATGTGGACCATAAGTATTCTGATATGCTGCTGGTGAGAGTGTACATTGGTATAACCACTTTGGAAAACTAGAAGTTAAAAAGAACATCAATGATTCAAGATTTCTAATGCAAATCCCATGACATAGCAATTACACTCCTAAGTGTATACCCAACATAAATGTGTACATTTGTGTACTAGAAGACATGTATGCACAATAATGTTCATGGAACTACTATTCAAAAGCTAAACATACAGACTATTCAAATGTCTATTAATATTAGAATGGTTAAGTAAATTGTGGTATATTCCCACAGTGGGATATTAGAATAAGTAATTAGAATAAGCAAGCTCAACTATATGTAACGATACCAGTGAATTGCCCAAACATAATGTTGAAAAATAAGCCAGACATAAAAGAGTACATACTCCATGATTCCATGTGCAGAAAGTTCAAAAACAGTAAAACAAATGTAATCTAAACTACTCTGATGGTAGAAGTGCTGGAAATTGGGAGAGTGGTTAACCTTGGGGAGGAGATTGTGAGTGAAAGGTTACACTTGATGTGGCTTCTGAGATTCTGGTCATGTTCTTTTGTTCTCTTGATTTGGAGCCTGGTTTCACAGGATTTGTTCACTTTGTGAAAATGCAACAACAAACACTTGTGATTTATAAACTACTTGTATATGCTATATTTAAATAAAAGTTAAAAATAATTAGTTATTATCCATTAAAAAGGAACTAGCTCCACTGCTTACTTGATGCCAGAAAAGAAAAATTGTTTAAACTTGTCAGAGTCTGTTTCCTTCTTTGGAATACCTACTCATAGTTATTGTAATGATTAAATGCCATGGCACATGGTAGTTGCTTAAAATATGTTAATTTTCTTTTCCACTTCCTTGTAACCTGTGGTTTCTATTTCAGTTTGGAAACATTTGGTAAAAACTCAGAGCAAGCCCTTTAGCAAAAATGAGTATAACAATTGTGATAATTGACTATGAATAAAGCCTTCACTAAAGACCTTCTACCTTTGAAGGTTGGCCACTATGGTTTAGTGGAGAGCTTCAGGATGGTCCCAATGGTAGCAGTGAAAATTGAAGGAAAATAATTCCAATCAGTGATAAGAGTGAAGTCCACCAGCAAGTCAAAATTAGATCACTTTCATAAATATTTGTATATGAACTTCATAATTTATAAAATTTTTTCACAAAGATAGTTCCCAATTTACAGTTTGTTCTTATAAGCCGGTGGTTATTCTCCCAGAGTAGTCTTCAAAAGCCTACTTTAATGCACAATATTATGTGAACTCCAGTACACGTTTGAATTTGTGCTAGATTTATAAAATGTTTCTATAGGAAAGCATAATACAGATTCCAACTTAAAACAACATCTCACTTATTTCTTTGCATGACCTCTTGCTCCTATGCTGTGGGCCCTGGACTGAGAAGTGGGAGACTCAACAATGGGGCAGAGTTTGGAAGTGCAGTGAGAACTGACACTTGCCCCACGGGTTGTTGGGGCTTGGGACAGAGAAAGAGACTTGATGCTAAGAAGTTGAAACAATGGTGACTGGTGGAGAAAAGGAGAATGGAAAAGAATTCAGGTGTTAAGTTCTTCATATGCTTCATTTATGTGTTGTCAGTTAACTTTTCTAGAAAACAAAAACTAGTTCATTTCAGGAAGTATATATGGTGCAGAACATTAAGGATTTAAGCTCTGTGAGGCTGGCCTGATATTGATGATTAATAGAGAGGTGCTTTTAGTCAAAGAGGATTTCTGTGATATTCTTCCCTGAATTATTTATTTTTATATTTGCATATACAGTATCACCCCTTATCTGTGATTTCACTTTCTGTGGTTTCAGTTACCTGTGGTCAATTGCAATCTGGAAATATTACATAAATAAGATTTCTTAAGAGAGAGACCACATTCACATAACTTTTATTACAGTATATTGTTGTAATTGTTCTAGTTTATTTTTAGTTATTCTTGTCAATCTCCTACTGTGTCTAATTTAAAAACTAAACTTTATCACAGGAATGTACATATAGGAAAACATAGTATGTTTAGGGCTCAGTACTCTCTTTGGCTTCAGGCATCCATTAGGGCCTTGGAACATATTCCCTCTGGATAAGGTGTTCCTACTGTGTATACATGTGTGTATATACACACACAGACATTTCCACATAAATACTTAAATGTGGTAGTATTACATACTTTATTTTCTTTTAGCAGTCTTATGTGGCTTTTTTGCTTTGCCTTTACCTCTCTCCTCTTCTCCTTGCAAATCTGCCCATTACAGATAACTGATGCCAACCAAAAGCCTGGTGTCCACTGTTTCTATTTTTCTTCATGTCCAGGTAATCATCCCCACACAGCACATATAAACACATAAAAATATACAGGGCTTTTCAACTTAAAAACAAGTTTTTGTATTACACTCTTCATAATATATTTTTCTTTCACTTTAACACGGTTGTAGGACTTTCTCCTCGTTTCAGCTAAAAACTGGGTTCTTGTCACACGACCAAGAAAGATTAGGCTCATGGACACATAGAAGGGTGAGAAAAACGGAATTTATTGGGTGAAAAACGAAAAAAAGCTCAGCAAAGTGAGAGGGGTTCCTGTTAATGGGACCCCATCTCACCAATTGAATCCCAGGTTACCACCCAGTGACAGGAGAGGCTAGGCTCCTCCTCTCTGCAAACAACAAGAACTTCCCGCGGCTCCACCTTGTCCTCTCTGTGTGCAGGCCAGTTGGAGATTCTCCAGGAGCCCTTTTTACTTGGCTGTCTCAACACCACCTCATTTAAATTTTTCCAAACCTAAAATATAGCCCAAATTCATTCTTTTTAAAGGCTGCAAAACATTTCACAGTGTTTATGTAACAATTTATGCAACTGCTCCTCTGTTGATGAGCTTTCCAGTTTTCTGTCACCCAAAGCAATGCTCAAGCAACTATTCTTGTACATATATTTTTAGTTAATACTATTTTTCTGTAAGTTATATTCCCAAGAGTATATATATAAAAGTATAAAAGTATATATACATTTAATATATCTTAACAGATTCTTTGTAAAAATATTGTGATAAACTTGATTTCCAACAACGTGAGTTGTTTTCTCCCCATCAATGGGTGTTATCATCTTGAACACCTATTGTTAACAAGTTGAATAAATGTAAAACCACAGCCCACTGTTACTTTATTTGCATTTCCCAATTGGAACGATTTTCTGTATTTGGAACATTTTTGTGTAAGCATTTTGGTAATTTAGACTTAGTCTTTTATGAATTGGCTCTTCACATCCTTTGTCCTTTTGTCATTTCTTTTTCTATTGGATTACTTTTTGTTTGGCAAATTGGAAGAGCTCTATGTATGTTACAGATATTAACCCTCTGTCTGTCCTCTGAGTAACAATTGTTTTTTCAAATCTATTATTTGTCCTTTAACTTTGTATGGTAAGTTTTGCCAAACTAAATTTGTGAAATTTTTTATAGTCATATATTTCCGTGTACATGATATAGCTGGTTTTAGTTTTACTTCCTTTCAGATGAGTAACCAGTTGTATTTGTTCTATTTATAAATTCATCCTTTTACTACTTATATGGTAGGTAGGTAGCTAGATATAGAGACTGAAACGTATATCCTGGATCTATTTCTGGATTTATCCTGTATTTTTAATCCTATTCTGTTACCTATTTTATTTATATTGTTCTCAATACCAAAGTGATTTAATTGTAATAATTTTATATCATTCCTTGATATCTAGGAGGTCAAACTTGTTTTCTTTTTTCAAAATATTTTCTGGTTATACTCAGGCATTCATTCATACATGTTCTTAGATTGTTTTTCCTAAATTAAAAAAAAAATATTTTGTGTGTGTGTGTGTGTGTGTGTGTGTGTGTGTGTGTGTATGGTAAATGACACCCCATGATATTAAATCTTCCTTTACAAGGACACAGAATATTACATTATGTTTATTATTTTATATTAGTGTATTTATTGTATTTTTTCTTTTCCTTAGTTTTGCTACCTTGATAACATTGCTATTAATTCAATATTTCCCCTTGATAATTTGGAAGTTCTATTCTAATTCACCCTCATTAAAGATTATTTTCTTGCCCCTGATTTCACAATCATGTACATACTTCTCTGCTATTGCCTGATGACACAGTATGAACTATTTCCCTTACCAAGAATTTCCTACTATTAAAATAAGACCCTTACAATACTTCCATTTCCGCCCTAGTTCTCTTTCTCCTATCCTCCCCAGAAAAGTGGACTTTGGAATGCTTTTCCTTTCACCATATTACTAGATTGTGCTCAGATATTTAATTATTTAATTCAAGACTCCCCCTTGCAGGTTGTCCCTTTTGTTTCAAGAGTCCTTTCTTATAACTTACATTGCATATATCCTGGTAGTTTATCATTAGCTCTTTTAATTCAATATACAAATAGTAGAAGGTCCATATCTTACCACTGTTTTCCTTCCTCTTCATCTTTTCCCATCTTTCTGGTTAGTGTGTTTTCCCAATATACTCTGAATTCTAGTATAATATCCATGAAGCATTAAATTCTAGACATACTCTTCTGTGTACCATTATGCAATAGCAATCCTAGCTTTTCATAAGAATCAGCATAGTGGGTGTAGGGAAATATTTTGTTAGTTGGTAATGGGGATGTTGGATTATATGAATGTTAAGGCACTGAAGTGAACGTCTTGCTGCTGTTCTCCATTTGAGGCTGGTTTGTTCAGCTTTTTCTGGATGACAGTGTGTGCATATTCATTGAATAAACTCATCTGTTCTGGAGGTAATTACAACTTGCAGCTGTTGGGGGCTCAAAAGACCATATTCCAAATACGAGACCTTGGCATGCTGAGTACTTTGAACTGAAGGAGATTGGAGGAGCTTCAGAGGCAAGGTCTTTCTGTCCTTCTCCTGCCCTCCTATGTTCCACCTCTTTTTCCCCTTGAAGAAAGTCACAGAAACCAGAATTTCTTATCCTGAAAGCAAGCCATAAAACTTAGAAAGGTCACTGTCTCCCTTCTCCCTTGATGACCCTCATTCCAGAAGGGTCCTGCCCCATACCCAGGGGAAGGCATGCTACAGACACCAAGAAGAATCTGGATGGCCTTGCTGGGTTTCCCTGACCAGTCTATTACAGTTTAGCACTTTCTCTTTTATCCAATTACATTGCTATATGGCTGTCCATTCTTCAGCAATCCTAGGCACAAAATAGACAGCTTTCCCTGAGTCTTTTGGTCTTCATTTCTGAGGGCTCGTGTATCATGTAAAACTTGGATTAAATACACTTATGTTTTTCTCTTGTCTTTTGTTACAGGAGTGTCAGCTTTGACTCTTAAGATGGGTAAGGAAAGGTATCACATCTTTCTGCCCCTACGCATCTAAAGAACCATGAGACTAGGATTACTTTAAGTAAAATAAGCGATGTCCAGCAAGTTCATCTTTTGTACCCTGCCACCTTTCCTATGAGAGTCTATTATTTGCAATATTTTCTCATGTCCCTCTAGATGCCTAATCTGTATGCTGTTCTCATCCAGACACCAAAAATCTCTACTAAAGCTTAATTTGAAAGTGCTTTGAGTATTTTAGAGGATTGGAAGACAGTGTATCTGATGTTTTTGTGCAGCTAGTGTTAAAGTCTCATTAGTGCATTCAATGTGGGGTCACCAGTGATTACCCCTGCAATCTATCAGCTCTGACTCTTGCCAGGCTTGTTCCTCTAGATACATCACCTCAAACAGCATTTTCAAAGACTTTCTTTTTTAAAGCTATGTTTATCTATATTTTTTATATTAAAATTTTTCTTAGATTTTCTATTCTACTGATTTTCAGATATACTGTACTTCTTTTACATAAAGCTAATGCTTTTATGTGGCATTGCTATTTCCCAGATTCTCACTCCAACTTTGTTTTCAAAACAAATCTCTCCAAAAGTATCTGAAAAGTTTTTGTTTTTGTTTTCAATGTATGTGCAGTTTTAACACAAAAATGTTATCCTTTTATAGGAAAACTGAAAGTTTTCGAAAAAAGTTATTTCTACTGAAATCATTCCCTTTTGCTAAACTTATTGAAAGTGACTTTTAGTTTGCATTTTTCATTAATCTTTTTCAAAGAGAAATACAGTTGTGGTGTTGATTTTGGATGACTCTTGCACTGTTCTTTCCAAATTCCCCAGGTGTGAAAATTTGAGGGATTTTAAATGAACAAGTATCAGCCAAATATGCAATCTGAAAACCAAAGTGCACATATATATTGGGTGCATTTCTCTGCTGGGATGCATGATATTCTAATGAGGCAATTTACAAAAACAAATGTAAAACTTTGTCAGAGCAGCCTTAATATGAAGGTTCATCACAAAAAGGCCATTGAGGAAATAAGACATTAACAATGGCTATTTGAACAATTCTGTAGGCATTATGTAGCAATGGGAAGGGCAAGAGTAGTTAACGCTTCATTAAAAAGGATTTTTCTTTCTTGCAATTATTGGGTCTCAGGCTTGTTTCTGCTCCTGTTGCTAAGGCCAACAGCCTGCCAGATAGGAAATGATGTTGATGAAGACAAAAATCATACTTACACACGTTTTTGTACTTAAACATCTAGAGAATTGGGAATAGTGTGTGTTAGGATAGGTGGAAGTTAGAAAGGAAGGGGAAAAAAAAACCCAAATACATAAGGGTGAAAAAATACAATATACAATAATTAGTTCACACTCTGAAATTCCAGATGGCTCACTTTCACACCAACAATTATTTCATTGTTCTGGGTCCTTCCTCCAAATATTTTTATGGAGTTATACTCCTATGAGTTATCTCTGCCAAGATTTACTCAAAGGAAAAACCATAACTATACAAAGTACAATGCAAAATAATGTGAAGTGACTCTTTCTAATTCCAACAAGTTGGTACCTGAAGATGATTCAGTTTTGTACAGAGGCATATTAGCCATCAGCAACTATCCTTTTCATCATTATTGCAAATTTTGGGGTTATAAGTAGTATCACAATGGAGTATACCTATGTTTCTGTTTTAAATTATCTATCTGTATGGAACTTAGTGACATCTATCATGTTGGCTTTTGGGATGGACTGTCATTACACATTCAGTGCCCTCAATAACAGCGCACTATTCAAAGAATCATGGTATAAACCTCTTCAAAAAGGCAACTGCTACCAGCAGCAGCAGCTTGGTTTTGCCAAGTGAATTCTCCCTATATATTTGAATAGTAAAAAGAAAAAAAATTGATAAATTCTCTTCATAACCACTCCAAAGAGTGTTTAATAATCTCAACTCTCCCTTTAGAATCTCTTAAGTATTCCACTAAAGGAGCTAATCATAAACTACTCAAATTTAGGTATTTTTATGTCACTATTTTTCTCTAACATTTAAAGTAAAGCTAAACTTTTCATTCAAATAAAAGAAACCACATGACCATTTAACTAACATGTTAAGAAAGCATGATGTATTGGAGAACACAGGATCAGTAAGAACTGAAAAAAATTAAACCAGGTTTCAACTTTGTATGGGGCATTTATTTAACTTTTCTGTTGACTCTTTGGGGTAAAATGGCTGATCTACCTCAAAAGGAGCTTTTAAGGGGTGGATAAAACACATGAAAAGACTAGTTAGAAGGCAATAACAATCTTAATAGTAATTCTGTAATAAAATCCATGACAGTAGACATGTATTATTAATATATCACCCTTACATTTGTTAGAGAAGGCATGATTATTCCTTAACTAAAATTTTGGAGGGTAGAGCTTTCTCCATGAGACAGCAATTTGCAACATTATTGCCTGTTGAGCATACTAATTTGCCCTTCCTAGTTCTTTTTATTTTGCATCTTGGTGATAAAGTTGTAATTTTCATACTGCTGGATAGCACTTAGAATCAGGACTTGTGTCACTATTTATGTAGGTGAAATACATGGCTAATGTTATATACTTCTGATACTTTTATATTTTAAAAGGACGTATCATTTCTCTGAAAAATTGAGGAGGTATACTCAGGCCATTTTAATGCCCAGTTATAAGAAACAGCGAGGTGCTCCCCAACTAAGATTTTTTTTTTTTTTTTTTTTTTTTTTTTTTTTTTTTTTTTTTTTTGAGACAGGGTCTCAACTCTGTAGCCTAGTTTGGAGTGCAGTGGTGCAATCACAGCACACTGCAGCCTTGCTCTCCTGGGCTCAAAGTGATCCTCCCACCAAACACTACCCCCTATCGTTGAAATCCTTAAAAACCAGAATACATCAGATGCTGAAGTGTTATGTCCAGTTTGCCAACAATGCTATTTCTTTGTTGATTCCGTAAGAGCTCTCCCATCCCAGCAATACAAATAAAACAGAATTAAGTTTTCTGTGAAAACAAGTACTGAATAGGGCTGAATGGATAACTTGGTCAATGCTTTCATACAACTTGAAAAATCACTGATTAATTCTCCACTTCTTTCTCTCTTTAGCACTCTTTAGCATGGATTTTTACATGGTAAAGACCTGTGGGAATTATGGAGGGAAGCATGGACATTTGTTATAATTTGGTAAGGCATAATATAGTACTTGAGAAAGACAAATGTGACATTTTTGGAATGTACTCTTTTGTAGTAAGTCGTCATAAATTTCAGCACAAATGAGCTACTGATGATGCTACATTATGGGCTTTTAACAAAAGACCAATAGTTTTTATTATCTCTAGGTTTGATGAACGATTTAATCATCAGTTTAGGTTTCACTAACAAAACATTAGATAATTTGATCTGGGGTACAGTATTTCAACATTTAGTTGGGAAAATTTCAACTACCTAGGTAGTTGAAATATTATTTAAATTATATTAAAGAAATTTAATATAATTGAGAAAAATTAGAGCAAAAAACTCACAAAAGACTTTGTCACCAGAAGTATTTATTCCCAAAAGAATGACATATCTTGAGAACAAAGTAACTTTTGAAATTCATTTTGTGTTTAGGTACCAACAATTGTTAATGACGCTCAGTTCATATTTTCAGAATATCACATTGATAATGGTACTATAATATATCCTGGCCTACCAGAGTTCCATGGATTTAAATAAATAAAATTTAATTCTGCCTTTTATAACATGCAGGGTTGTTTTATGGTTGTTGAGTTTTGTGTGAGTGTGTGTATTTGTGTGTGCCTCTCCTTCTTATTGAAGGATTCAGACAGCTATAATGCTAAAATGTTTTGTGTGTGTGTGCATGTGTGTATTTTTAAAACAATGTCTATACTTCTGCCTCTATTGATGCCATTCTTTTGTTGAACCTGTAAAGGTAAGGCCCAGATTCTGAAACCTGGTTAAAGTCACTAATATTTCTCTGTGAGGCCCCTTGTTAGCTACCAGCCCTCCCCTATCCACACTCCCTATCTTGCTGACATGTGTGTAAGCCCAAATCATCAGTAATCACCTCAAGGCTGATGACCTGTAGGCTTATAATTCCTCAATTAATTTTTATTGCTCTTACAATATTTGTAAGATGAGTGAGAATAGCTATTTGACACCTTAATATATATGTATGGTATATGTTAAGTTTTAGGCTGTAATTTCTTTTAATATACTGACAGTATGATGACACATGAAAAAGCAAAATATCAGTCTGTAATAAGATATAAATTATCCTTTATTAGGTACCCAAATAATCTTTAAAAAGAAGCTAGAATTAAAAAAAAAAAGGATAGCTGCTTTTATGATCAATTTATTAGAAACTACTGTGGCAACTGTTTACAATGTGTTCATTCTTTAGACCTAGTCAAAACTTATTACTAATTATTTTGCTAAATAGAAAAACTTCAAGCCAGTAGGAAATCTCAGTTTTTTAAAAAAATTGCTGTTATTGTATTATTAGTCAGGGTTACTCTGGCAGCAAAGCAAAAATGTTCAGATGCCACTTCTCCTAGCTTTTATGTTTGGCTTTCAGAATGAGCAGTTGGTCATTATCAGTATTATTATAATATGACCAGTTAATAAGTCTGACAAACATTTTCCAACCTGTCATTTTTGAAAAGGAGAGGATATTTTTGATACAGATACACAATATACAAAAAATCCCAGAGCTTGAAATTTCATGCATCCTGTGCCTACAAATAAGAAACTAAACATTAATCTAGTTAGTTATCTATGTGTATAAAGAAAAAAAAGCTGCTAATCAATATTCCTGCTAAAAAATAAATTATTACAAAACATAGGCAACTTCCTCTCTCCATTATAAATGATCAAAAACCGAGGTAAAAATCTAGTGTTTCCCCAATCAATGAAAACAATATATACCAAGTAAATGACTAGTCAAGTCTAGAAGAGAGTAATGCAAAAATGAGCCACTCATATTTTAGGTATAAGTGACAAATATATTTCTCTTTATTACTTTTAAGGTTTTCTCTAATGTCTTTTGGTAGTGGAAGCATTTTATTTGATTCCACTGTTGCTCATGGTTTGAGCCCTACATACTCCCTTCCCTTTCACCTCAAAGGGAACTCCTTTGTATGTAGCCACACACTCATCATTAGTGTGAAGATCAGGCTGGATCTGCTCCCAAATCTTCTTCTTAGGATTCAGCTCCTTGTCAGGCTCTCCTGTGTAGGAGAAAAAAAGCACAAGAAAATTACACAGCTAATATACAAAAATATTAAAGAGACTATTCACAGAGATTTCCAGTGAATTGTTTTGGCAACATTTTCTGATTTTTGGACCTAATCAAACTTTTAACATTTACTTTATTTTTATTATGTCAGCAGTTTATATTCTTGATTGGTAAAATAAAATCGTTGTTGTTTCTTTATGTATATTAAAGATATCATATTTTACTCTTATATTTTATAAGTAATAAAGCTTAATGAATTGTATCCAAATTATCAAAATAATAAAATGTAAGGTACTCATTGATATAGTTTGAGTCTGTGTCCCCACCCAAATATTATGTTCAATTATAATCACCAATGTTGGAGGTGGGGCCTGGTGGAGGTGATTGGATTATAGGGGCAGATTTCCTCCTTGGTGCTGGTTTCATGATAGTGAGTTATCCTGAGATCTGGTTGTTTAAAAGTGTGTGGCACCTCCCCGCTCTCTCTCTTGGTCCTGCTCCTGCCACGTAAGATGCTCGCTCTTGCTTTGACTTGCTTTGACTGCCACGAGTAAAATTTCTGAGGCTCCCCAGAAGCAGATGCTGCCATGCTTCCTGTACAGCCCGCTGAACCATGAGCCAATTAAACCTCTTTTCCTTATAAATTACCTAGCCTCAGTTATTTCTTTACAGCAGTGCATGAATGGATTAATATACTCATTTTATCATTAAATATAAAGGAAAACTGTGAAGAAATGAAAATATATTTCGATATGTTATATTTTTACAACTGGCAGAAGCAGCTTATGCTTTAATATGTTTCAAAATACAAAATGAGCAGCTAGATCACTGCTCTAGTGCTTAAAGATTTCTTATCAATACTGGAGAATGGCTTAAATTTTGGGTTTCTCTAGCTAATGATGATAACTACTTTGGATTTCATTTGTTACCCATTCTACTCGGTGAGATGTAAAGAAACAGAAAGGAGTAATGAGACAGGGACTAGTATTTTCTAAGCACTAGGAACATATATTGTTGCCTAAAATTCACATAACTCTGACTCTAATTTTAAGTATAAAGAAACTGAGGCTGAGAAAACACAAGTTGCTCAATGTCACATGATCAACAAAGCCCCTGTTCTGCTAGTACAGCACTCTGCCCCCTGACAAACCATACTTTAGAAAGTAAACAACCTTTTTACATGTGGTTAATACCCACAACCCCTCTATTTATAGTAACTCATAGTATAAATTTTATAATAAAAGAAAAATTAGTAGTAGAGTATATCTGGTCTAGGCTTAAAGACAAGTAATGTACCAAACAGCTCCTCTACTTAATGACAGAAAAGTAGAGAGTAAAGTTTAATATAAGTTCAATAGCTGAGAATGTTCAATATTTAGAATGAAGAATCAGTCAGTTCAAGAAACAATGAAGAAAAGTAACATATCTCTTAAGCTGTAGAACTTCGATGATTCAATTATTTTCCTGGAGGTAATAAAAAAAATTGCTGAAGTATAATTAAGTAATGATAGAAATATAAACCTTCTAGATCTTTTTTTCACTGACTCCTAAGTTGAGATCTCTTGGAATTACTTAATTACTGGAAGTATTTATATTTTAGATTAGGAATATAAAATATATTTTATATTTATATTTTATATTAGGAATATAAAATATATTTTATATTTATATTTTATATTCTGATGACATCTTATTATATAAAATAGTATTTATTTTCCAGTCATATACATATAAGAATAACAAAACTGTGTAAATTAGTTGGTCATTGTAGTTTTGTTGTTTATTAGCTCTTCAGAAACTATGAAACTGCAAGAACATACAACATTGCCTTCTAACATGCAGGCTTTCAGAGATAACAGAGTAGTTAATTGAATGATACACCTACATTAGAACTTGTAATGAAACTAAGACTGAAAGTGACTGGTATAAAAAATAAGAATTTCTCCTACTCCTTTAAGGACGTTTGATTCGACAATAGAGAAACTAATAAATAGAATGGAAAAAAAATAACCATAAATAAAGTTCAATTATATTGCTCCTTAGATCCATAAGATTTTTATTTTTTGTTTGTAAATCATTCCTTAATCTATAATCATAATCTTGTGCATATATTGTGTGGCAAAGCAGGCACTCCAGGATTCTGGAAGGCTAGAGGGAGAGATACTGTTCAGGGAGACCTAAGCACTGACTCAGATTTGCAACCTTTGCAACCTTGGCCCAAAAGGATGTTGCCAAACTGATAATGAGTTAGTTAAGAAGCAGACTGACATACAGGCTTCTTATAAAGAATATAGATTGTGTGGGTAAATTCTTGCTGCAAGCAGACATAAGCCCTAAGTATAAAAAGCTGTGATGCAGCACAAAATTAACCTTCTCAGATCTAGAAAGAAAGTGCCATATAAACTAGATAACATTCATAATAACACACAACACGTATATAGTGCTTACTAGGTGCTGGTCATTGTACTGAGTGCTGTACATATATTAACTTGTTTAATCCTCTCAGTACATATGTAAGTAATATTCATTACTCTCATCTTACAGATGAGGATATTGAAGCACAAAAGTTATAGCAAAGAATTTAAAATACCAGGCAGTTGGCTAAATGTTTCAAAAGTTAAAGCTTACAAACCCAGTTAAGAAAAATACCAACTAAAAACCCCTTCTTATAGATGAAAAAGCTGAGGTTCAGAAAGATATGAATAAGATGAGTAAGCGAATCATGCAGCTATCTTGGGAAAGAGCCAGTGGCTCAAGTGGAGTGAACAAGGAAAAGCTGGAGTTCATGAGATTAACAAAATAATGGGAGATCACTGTAAGAACCTGGGCTTGTACTCTAGGTGAGATGAAAAGCTTCTGAATAGTTTTGAGCAGAGTAATATAATCTGCTAGATCACTCTGCCTGCTCTAATTGAAAATAAATGGAAGAACAGGGAGGGCAAAAGCAGGATGATAAGTTAGAAGACTTCTGTAAATATGCAGAAAAGAGATGTTGGCTTTGGGATTAGGGTGCTAGTGGTGGAGTTAATAATTATTTTCGGTATGTTCAGAAGGTAGAGCCACTAGGATTTTCTGAGGAGAAGATGTACAGATTGAGAAAAGCAGTTAAGCAACTAGGAGGATGGAAATCCTATCAAATAAGATGAAAAATACCATGGAAAAATGAAAGTCTAGGGGGAAGAATGGGATATGTGTCCTTCCCCCTTGGAACATGTACATCAAAGAGTTCATTTGGCAGCTATCTAGCTTATCTAAGTGACTGGGTAAAATTGCCAAAGGAATAAGCATGGAAAAAAAAGAGGTCCAAATCCAAGGTCTGAGGCCCTATAACAGTAAGAATCTAAGGAGGTAAGGAAGAATCATCAAAGGAAATGACAGGGGCAGCCAGTGAAGAAGGAGGACCACCAGGAGAGTGTGGTGCCAGAAGCCAAGTTAATTAATAATAAGACTGAGAACTAGACATATAGCTACAGGGAGTGACTGGTGATCTTACCCAAAGCAGTTCTGGCAAAACACAGTGGGGAAAGAAACCTGATTAAAATGGGTTTTCAAGAGGAGGAATCAAGTATAGACAATTTGGATTTTTAATAAATGGACTTTTAAGTTAAACCTATGCTTCATAATTATCTATTAATTTCTACTATTAATACGACTCGATATCAATAGAAATAAGCATGATCTTGGAAATTAAAAGTCTGACTGTAAATTCCTACTTATTATTTGATCATAAATAGTGCATTCTCACAAAGACCTGGCATTGTCTTTGTTTCCTAGCTGTAGTACTGTTTTCAAGTTAGTTTTGCTTGGTGGGAGTAGAGTGGTGAGCATATGCTCCATGAATCTAAAGCCATTAGGCATCTCTGAGAAATCATGGAGACTGAGATTTTCTCGAAATGTAATCTCCAAAAAAATGTTGTTAGAGCATAGACCACTATGATTTCTCATCTACCAAGGTTCAAGACACAGATTCATTCAAAGTCATGGGTACTTGTAAAAAAAAAGAAAATCCCCTGTGTGCTTTTTTTAGACTAGTCTACTTTTGATTAGGAGAGTAGAAATGAGTTCCAAGGAAATTATTCCATGCTTTCATCCATATTTTCTGTCTTACTATTCCATGTTAAAACTCTTCATATTGTAATATTTCATTAAACACAGTTAACGGAGAATTTTAAAACATGCCTATATAATCACATCAGCCTTGCTATTCAATAAAATTCAGCTACTTGCAATCAGAAATGACAAAGGTGACATTAAAACCAATCCCACAGAAATACAAAAGAACCTCAGAGACTATTAAAAACATCTCTTTGCACACAAATTAGAAAATTGATAAATTCTTAGAAACACACAACCTCCCAAGATTGTACTAGGAAGACAGTAAAAACATGAACAGACCAATAACGAGTTCTCAAACTGAACCAGTAATAAAAACCTACCAATTAAAAAAAGTCCTGGTGTGGTGGCGCATGCCCATAGTCCTAGCTACTTAGGAGGCTGAGGTGGGAGGTTGGCTCGAGCCTAAAAGGCAGAGATTGCAGTGGGCCAAGATAACGCCACTGCACTCCAACCTGGGTTACAGAACCAGACCCCGTCTCAAAAAAAAAAAAAAAAAGCCCTGGATCGGATAGATTCGCAGCTGAATTCTACCAGATGTACAAAGAACTGGTACCAATCCTACTGAGACTATTCCAAAAAACTGAGCAAGAGGAGCTCCTTCCTTGTGAAGCCAGCATCAGCCTGACACCAAAAACTGTCAGAGACCACAAGGAAAAAAGAAAACTTTAGGCCAATATCTCTGATGAACACTAACACAAAAGTCATCAACAAAATACTGGCAAATCAAATACAGCAGCACATCAAAAAGCAATATACCACAATCAAGTAGGCTTTATTTCTGGGATGCAAGGCTGGTTCAACATATGCAAATCAATAAATGTGGTTCACCACATAAATAGAATTAAGACCAAAAATTATATAATCATCTCAACAGATACAGAAAAAGCTTTAAATAAAATCTACCTCCCTTTATGATAAAACCCTCAATAGACTAGGCATCAAAGGAACACACCTCAAAATAATAAGAGCTATCTATGGCAAACCCATAGCCAACATAATACCTAATGGGCAAAAGCTGGAACCATTTCCCTTGAAAACTGGAACAAAACAGGGATGCCCACTTTCATCACCCCTATTCAACATAGAACTGGGAGTCCTACACAGAGCAATCAGGCAAGAGAAAGAAAAGGCATCCAAATAGGAAAAGAAGAAGTCAAATTATCTGTCTTCACTGATTTATGATTCTGTACCTAAAAAACCCTACAGACTCTGCCAAAAGGCTCCCAGAGCTGATAAATGACTTTAGTAAAGTTTCTGGATACAAAATCAATGCACAAAAATCAGCAGCATTTCTATACACTAAAGTTCAAGCTGAGAGTCAAATCAAGAACACAATCCCAATTACAATAGGCACACAAAAAATGAAATATCTAGGAATGAACCTAATGAAGGAGGTGAAAGATCTCTACAAGGAGAACTATAAAATACTGCTGAAAGAAATCACAGATGATACAAACACATGGAAAAACATTGTACACTCATGGATTGGAAAAATCAGTATTGTTAAAATTGCCTTACTGCCCAAAGTAATCTACAGAGTTAATACTATTACTATCAAACTACATACAACATCATTTATAACAGAATTAGAAAAAAATTTTCTAAAATTTGCGTGGAATGAGGAAAGAGTGCAAATAGCCAAAATAATTCTAAGCAAAAAGAACATAACTGGAGGCATCACACTACCCAACTTCAAACTATACTACAAGGCTACAGTAACCAAAACAGAAGGGTACTGGTACAAAAATAGACACACAGACAAATGCAACAAGATAAAGGACATAGAAATAAAGCTGCATGCCTACAACCATCTGATTTTCAGCAAGTCAACAAAACAAGCAATGGGAAAAAAACTCTCTATTCAATAAATGGTGCTGGAATAACTGGCTAGCCATATGCAGAAGAATGAAATAGGACCCTTACATTTCACCATATACAAAAGTTAACTCAAGATGGATTAAAGAATTAAATATAAGACCTAAAACTTAAAAATCCTAGAAGAAAATCTAAGAAATATCTTTCTCAATATCACCCTTGGCAAAAATTCTAGGAAATATCCTTCTCAATATCACCCTTGGCAAAGAATTTATGACGAAGTCTCCAAAAGCAATTGCAACAAAAATAAAAGTTGACAAGTGGGAGCTGATTAAACTGAAGAGCTTCTGCACTGCAAAATAAACTATCAGCAGAGTAAACAGACAGCCTAAAGAATGGGAAAAAATATTCGCAAACTATGCATCCAACAAAACTCTAATATCTAGAATCCATAAGGAACTTAATTCAACAAGCAAAAAACAAATAACTCCATTAAAACATGGACAAAGAACATGAAAAGACACTTCTCAACAGAAGACATATATGTCGCCAACAAATATCAAAAACACTCAACATCACAGAAGTGCAAATCAAAACCACAATGAGATACCATCTCATACCAGTCACAGTGGCTATTACTAAGACAAAAAACAAAAATAAGATGTTGGTGAGGTGGAAGAGAAAAGGGAATGCAAATTAGTTCAGCCACTGTGAAAAGCAGTTTGGAGTTTCTCAAAGAACTTAAAACAGAACTACCATTTGACCTAGCAATCCCATTACTGGGTATATACTCAAAGAAAAATAGAATATTCTACCAAAAAGACAAATACACTTGTAAGTTCACTGCAGCACTATTCACAATAGCAAAGACATGCAATCAACTCTAGTGTCCATCAACAGTGGATTGGATTAAAAAAATGTGGTACACATGTACTATGGAATACCATGCAGCCTTAAAAAAAGAAATTAATATCCTTTGCAGCAAAATGGATGCAGCTGGAAGCCATTGTCCTAAGTAACCCAACACAGGAACAGGAAATCAAATACAGTATGTCTTCACTTATAAGTGAGAGCTAAACCTAAACATTGCGTATACACAGACATGAAGATGGAAACAAAATGCACTGAGTACTACTAGGAGGGAGGTCGGGAGTGGGGTGAGGGTTCTAAAATTACCTATTAGGTACTATGCTCACTACCTGGGTGATGGGATCATTCCTATACTAAACTTCAAGGACATACAATTTGCCAATATAAGAAATCTGTATCCCTTGAGCCTAAAATACAAGTTGGAAAAAAAAAAACCCAAAAAACCTTAGTTTAATTTTATTGCACCATTACAAAATAATTCGCTCACACACACACACAAATCCTCAGTCATTTCTACAAATATGTCTCCAAATTGTTCTTTTACCTAATTCTATTTATCTTCATTTATATCTGCCTTTCCCAATTACTCTAGTCAAATAAATATCCTTTAAATGCAGTCTTAATTTCTAACTGTTTTTCTTTTTATCAGGTCCTTCCTCTTATATGAGATAAATACTTATTCTATATCTGCCAAGAATCTTTTCTCTTCTGCTTCAAAGACCTATTTGAAGAAACTTTCTCACACATTATGAAGCTTCATCTGTCTCAGGAGTATTTTTATTAGAGAAAACAGGCAATACAAAATGAAACTTCCTTTTAGATTATTAAAATCATTACATTTTAACTTAGATATTTTCTCTATATCCTGAATTTGAGTAAAAACATATGCAAGTATATTATTAGATGGAATTTATAATTATAAATCTAAACTTTTCATCTCTGTCTTTCTGTGCTGCAGCATGAGACAATCTACAGCATAAGAGATTTTGCAGCACATTAATCTGTTCTCTATCCACGTCATACTTTTCTGCTACGCTGGTATTAATATTATTGCTTTAGTTAGGACAAAATCTCTCTGTGGTGTTCTGTTAGTCTGTTCTCATGCTGCTAATAAAGATACATCCAAGGTTGGGTAATTTCTAAAGGAAAGAGGTTTAATTGACTCACAGTTCCACATGGCAGTGGAGGCCGCCACATGGCAGAAGGTTAAAGAGGAGCATGTGTTACATGGCAGCAGGCAAGAGAGCACGTGTAGGGGAATTGCCCTTTTATAAAACCATCAGCTCTCATGAGACTTTTTCACTATCATGAGAACAGCACAGGAAAAACCCTCCCCCAGGATTCAATTACCTCCTACCAGGTCCCTCCCACGACAGGTGAAAATTGTGGGAGCTATAATTCAAGATGAGATTTGGGTGGGGACACAGCCAAACCATATCATTCTGCCCCTGGCCCCTCCCAAATCTCATGTCCTCACATTTCAAAACCAATCATGCCTTCCCAACAGTTCCCCAAAGTCTTAACTCATTTCAGTATTAACTCAAAAGCCCACAGTCCAGCATCTCATCTGAGACAAGACAAGTCCCTTCTGCCTATGAGCCATAAAATCAAAAGCAAGTTAGTTACTTCCAGAATACATTGGGGGTACAGGCATTGGGTAAATACACCATTCCAAATGGGAGAAATTGGACCAAAACAAAGGGCCCATAGGCCCCATGCAAGTCTGGAATCCAACAGGGTAGTCATCAAACCTCAAAGTTCCAAAATGATCTCCTTTGACGCCATGTCTCACACGCAGGTCATGCTGATGCAACAGGTGGGCTCCCACAGCCTTGGGCAGCTCTACCCCTGTGGCTTTGTAGGGCACAGCCACCATCCCAGCTGCTTTCACAGGCTGGAGTTGAATGTCTGCAGCTTTTCCAGGCACACTGCGGAAGCTGTCAGTGGATTTATGATTCTAGGGTCTGGAGGACAGTGGCCCTCTTCTCACAGCTCCACTAGGCAGTGCCCCAGTGGGGATTCTGTGTGTGGGGGGGTCCCATCCCACAGTTCCTTTCTGCACTGTCTTAGTAGAGGTTCATGACGGCCCTGCCCCTAGAGCAAATTTCTGCCAGGACATCCAGGGGCTTCCATACATCTTCTGAAATCTAGGCGGAGGTTCCCGAACCTCAGTTCTGTGCCTCTGCAGGCTCAACACCATGTGGAAGCTGTCAAGGCTTAGGGCTTGCACTCTCTGAAGCAAGGGCCTGAGCTGTACCTTAGCCCTTTTTAGCCATGGCTGCAGCAGCTGGGAAGCAGGGCACCAAGTCCCTAAGCTGCACACAGCACGGGGGCCCTGGGCCCAGCCCAGGAAACCATTTTTTCTTCCTAGGCCTCAGGTTCTGTGATAGGAGGGGCTGCTGTGAAGGTCTTTGAAATGCCCTGGAGACATTTTCCCCATTGTCTTGGCAATTAACATTTGGCTCTTCATTGCTTATGCAAATTTCTGCAGCTGGCAGAAATGGGTTTTTCTTTTCTACTGCATCTTCAGTCTGAACATTTTTCAAACTTTTATGCTCTGCTTCCCTTTTAAACATGTTCCAATTCCAAACCATGTCTTTGTGAATGAATACAACTGAATGCTTAAGAGCACCCAAGTCACCTCTTAAATGCTTTGCTGCTTAGAAATTTCTTCTGCCAGATACCCTAACTCATCTTTCTCAAGTTCAAAGTTCCATAGATCTCTAGGGAAAGGGCAAAATGCCACCAGTCTCTTTGCTAAAGTATAGCAAAAGTCACTTTTGCTTCAGTTCCCAACAAGCTCCTCATCTCTATCTGAGACCACCTCAGCCTGGACTGTATTGTCCGTATCACTATCAGCATTTTGGTCAAAGCCATTCAACAAGTCTCTAGAAAGTTCCAAACTTTCCCACATTTTCCTATCTCCTGAGCCCTGAAAGTATCCAGGAAGTCCCAAACTGTTCCACATTTTCCTATCTTTTTCTGAACCCTCCAAACTGTTCCAATCTCTGCCTGTTACCCAGTTCCAAAGTCGCTTCCACACTTTCGGATATCTTTACAGCAGTGTCCCTACTACCCAGTATCAATTTACTGTATTAGTCTATTCTCACGCTGCTAATAAAGATATACTCGAGGCTGGGTAATTTATAAAAGAAAGAGGTTTAATTGACCAACAGTTCCACATGGCTGCAGAGGCCTCACGATCATGGCAGAAGACAAAGGAGGAGCAAAGGCATGTCTTATATAGTAGCAGACAAGAGAGCATGCGTAGGGGAACTGCCCTTTTATAAAACCATGAGATCTCATGAGACTTATTCACTATCATGAGAACAGCACAGGTAAAACCTGCCCCCAGGATTCAGTTACCTCCCACCGGGTCCCTCCCATGACATGTAGGGATTATGGGAACTACAATTCAAGATGAGATTTTGGTGGGGACATAGTCAAACCATATCAGGTGTTTTATACAACATGTACATTCATGGGGAGGAGAATGATTACAAGGTTTACTCAATGTGTCATCTTGAGCCAATCTTGAAAAACTCAATAATAGTTAATAATGGTCATTAATGTAAGACTCATGATTCTTACACAGGACTGATTTTAACCTTTAAGCATTACAAACATCACTTTGAGAACTGATTCCGAAACTATTAAGTAATTACTAATAAATACCTACCTGGGAAAGCATCAAAAGTAATTCTGTCTCCAGGAACAGACCCATTTGGAGGAGCCAAGATTTCAATTTTCTCTGGTGAACTAGCACACATGACCATTGCTTGAGATAATACTCCCCTCATCTTTGCAGGTTTCAGGTTACAAAGTAAAATCACCATCCGATTTTGCATCTGTGTGAAATATAAACTGGTAAGTAAAGATGTACACAGATTAAGCCTAATCATATCCAGACTACATTAAGCTACACCTAATATGCTAAGTATCAAATGTTCTACTTTTGTGGATGTACCTTTGTCTTTGTGTGCCCAAAGTCTCTTATTGTTGTTACGAAGCTTTGCATAAACATGAAAAAAAAATTCCTCCAAATTGATAACGCATTATGGTTGAAAGAGCAGAGGAATTTCAGTTAAAAATTTACTCAATGAATAAATGAGTGAAACAGACTTGGTTTTGAATTTCAGCTGCCATGTACTAGCAATGAGAATGCATAAAGTTGACACTCCTGTTTCCTCAAAAAATGAGAGAAATAATATTGAAGAGTTGTCATAAGGATTAAATCATAACATGCATAATAAAGCATTTAGCCTAGCATTAGAATTAAAATAAATGGACACATTTACACATGTGCATTTTCTTCCCTACACATTTGATCATTTCCAGAGCTATGCTAGATTTATTTTTTAATTTAAAAAAAATTGGCTGGGTGTGGTGGCTCACACCTATAATCCCAGCTCCTTGGGAAGCTGAGGCAGGCAGACTGCTTGAGCCCAGTGTTTTTTTTTTTTCGAGACCAGCATGGGCAAAATGGCAAAACCCAGTCTCTACAAAAAATAAAAAAATTCGCTGGGCATGGTGGCATGTGGCTATAGTCCCAGCTACTTGGGAGGCTGAGGTGGAAGGATCGCTTGAGCCTGGAGGCTGCAATGAGCCTTGATTATGCCACTGAACTCCAGCTTGGGCAAGAGTGAGACCCTGTCTCAAAAAAAAAAAAAAAAAAAAAAAAAAAAAGATCATTTAACAATTTCAGCATCATGCATCATGCAACTAACATGTAGGGCTAGTTCTACAAATTTTTTATGGAAGCAAACGGAAATTTCTTTAATCTTCATATTTGAAGTGTCTTAATTTTTTTCTCCAACTAGCAAAAGTAAGAAATATAGTTATTTAAATTCTTTCAACAAGTTTAAAATGAATCATACAAGAGAACTATTGCTCAAAGGAGAAAAAAAGATGCATTCTAGATAAAAGATGGTTTTATAAATAAATGTTATATGCAAATTTACTCTGAAATACTATGATTTAAAAAAATGAGCCTAAGAGTCAAATTCGAAATGAATTAGGGGGTCTTCATAAATAATATTTCTCTTCGAATGCTTCAAATAACTTGACAATGTCACGTATATGAGAACTTAAAAGTTACAGCAAAAGTGTTTAAGAGTAGCAACAGGATTAGTAAGATGCAATCCTTTAAGGATCTGACGATAGCTATGAAACTTTTCCCTAGAAAAATGTACCACCTACAAAACAGAGTATATAATTTTGAATTCTAAGTGTCCCTACTTTATAGAATGTTTACTAGTACTATCTTTTTTTTTTTAACTTTTATTTTAGGTTGTATCTTGATGGGTTAGATACAGATGTTTATAAAAATAGCTTTGCTTATGGTTGTGAATGATGGCTGCTGGAAGAGAAAAAATAGTCTACAACTTATAAGAACAGAAAAGATGAAGCCCAAATGAGGAGTTTTTCCAATTTAAGCTGGCTGAAGATCAGTTGGTTCTTTTCTCCAGGGCTCCTAACTTCATAAGGAGTTATGAATCAGTTCTGGTCCTATATAACATAAATATTAAAAAGTAAAAAAAGCACATGCATATGCCAAGTCTACTTCTTTTTTCCTAGATAAGAGAAACTTCACTGATCTCCTTAATTCCATCTTCCTCCCATCAACAGAGCAGCCAGAATGATCCTATTAAAATGTCAGGCTGACCAATGTTATTCTTTTGCTCTAAAATCCTACAATGGCTTTCATCTTACTCAGAAAAAATGCCAAACTTTACAATGATCTATAAGACATTTGGCACCCTTATCTCTGATTTCATCTCCCATGACTTTCTCAGTTATTAACCCTGCTCTATTCATATCGGCCTCCTGCTGTTCCTTGAACATCCCAGCCATCCATTTCTCCCAGGACTGCCTGAAATGCTCTTCAGCCAGATAAACACATGACTTGCTTTCATTTTCTTAGACCTTTACTCAAATGTCACTTTCTTTTTGAGGTCTTCCCTGGGCACTTTATATAAAATGTCAATATCATCCTGGCCTCAATACTTACTAGATTCTTTCCCTATTTTTCTCTTGGCACTTATCACTATTTAACATACTAAATATTTACTTACACCTTGGTAATATTTCTGACTCCCTTATACAAATGTGAGCTTCATAAAGGCAGGGCTATTTTTAAAAATATGTTTGTTGCTTGTGTGTGGTGGCTCACACCTGTAATATCAGCATTTTGGGAGGCCAAGGCAGGCGGATCACCTGAGGTCAGGAGTTTGAGACCAGCCTGGCCCACATAGTGAAACCCTGTCTCTAATAAAAATACAAAAAATTAGCTGGGCTTGGTGGTGGTGCCTGTAATCCTGGCTACTCGGCAGGCTGAGGCAGGAGAATTGCTTGAATCCGGGAGGCAGGCAGTGGTTGCAGTGAGCCGAGACTGCCCCACTGCACTCCAGCCTGGGTGAGTCTCCAAAAAAAAAAAAAAAGAAAAAAGAAATTTATCTATCTCTGTATTTTAATTTGTTGCTGTATCCTTTACTTAGGTGCTTGGTGCTTAATAAATACTTGCAGCTATAAATATAATTGAATGAACACAGGGATTTGTTCAAGTTCACAAAACCAACAAGCAGCAGAGTAGCAATAAACAAAGGCAGAACTATCGTAATGTTGAAGTCCATATTCTTTGCAATATCTCTGAAGCACCATGGGACAGAGGAAATAGGTAGATGATTCAAACCACCATAGAAGACATCTAGAAAGAGGACATTTAAAACTGCTACTGTCTTCGATTCTTTCCACTGTTACTAGATTTTTTAAAAACCATATTTCTTCAAGAAAGTAAATATGGTATTCAAAAGTAAAGAAAAAGGAAGAAAGTAAACTTTTGTTGAGAAGGAGGTTTGAAAGCTTATAAGAAAAAAAGCAACAGTTAGAAACCACTGCTCTGAAGGGTATCATCATGGAGTATCAATTTGCTTTTAAAACGGTTATCATGCAAGGTTATCCTTCATAAAATATACCATCAATACTTTTCACATATTCCAAATACCCAGCTCTAATTTCACTATAGAAAGAATTAAATTTTAAATAGGGAATAATATTATATAAACTGTAACCATGGTTTGTTTTCTGAAGCTACACAAAGCACAGTCCCTGGTGCTAAACTCACCAGAAGAAAGGAAAAGTGGAGATACTCTAACCTCCTATCAATTTCTTTTATGAAACACTTAAAACCCAAACTTCACTGGCTCGGATAATTAATCATTGGAGACCTAAAAGAAATGAGCTTGTTAAGTAGGAAGTAGAAGAAATCACTTCCTTGTACTCTTGATGATAGGTCAATATTGATCCATTACCCGTACTGTGTTCCAGCAACGCTGAAATTAGAGAGCCAAAACAAAAGCCCAGGCTAGGGATCAAAAGTGCAATTTGATGCAATTATGATACAACTGTCTACCAAATAAGTAAAGGAAATGAGTAAGGAATCCTAGACAGAAAAAACAAGTAACACCCTTGTTTTTTTGAGACATGGTAAAAAAAGATACTCGAGTCTCTTCTTAACCTTCCGTAAATATAACACTAGCAGAAAAGTAAAGATAAATACCAAATAATCACAAGTGACCTTCCACCTCAACTATGGAATGGTTGAAACTGTGTTAAAGAGTCTAACTTCCACCTAAAGGGGCTATCCATTACTAAGTGTTAACCAATTTCTGCCTTAAGAAAATAGCAGGGGGTTGGGAAGGGTAGGGGTGGGGCTTAGTTCTGAATTTTTAAGAAACAAGACATCAGGATTTTCATGTAAAATTCCATGTGTAAGTATTTTATGAAATACTATGAAAGATAAACTGAAACTTTTTGGGATTGCATTCTTTCCTTGGCCCAGCAGTTTGTAATTTATGACCTTGGTCATATGCATGGCTCTAAAAACTACATAGCACCTGTAGTTAGAAGTTTCATGACTAACTCCACCTTGAATGGTAAACAGTAAAGCTGAACAGTATAGGGATTAAAGATAATCAGCCTCAGAGTGAGATAAATGAGTATATATATATATATCTATATAGACAGATGTATAATGAGTATATATCTATAGATACATAAAAAAGTGAACCAACTTATATATATATGTATATATATATATATATGTATCTCTGTATATATATAGCATAACTTGGTTAACTTTCCTAAACGTCATCTGTAAATGAGGGTGATACTACTTAACTGACAGTTGTATATAGTAAGAAATAAAATAGCATGTGAAAAAAATTTATCTATTAAGTACTTCTAACACAATAGTCATCATAATCATTATTTTTATCACTGCTTCATCATGGAATTTTATAATTCCTTGCTTTTCAAAATCATGTAAAATAAACCCAGAAAGCACCAATCTAAAAGCATGAGAGCAAGTTTTATTTCTCTAAAACCCAAAAAATATTTTCATACTTGAGGAAAAATGAGGAGAGGGGATCACGGAGATTGAACTTGTAATTTTTAATAGTATTCCTTTATTTGTTAAAAATGGGATGTTTTGTATTTTGTTGTTACTTAGATTTCAAATATATTTTATATATATATACACACCAATAGTTTTTTAATGCAAAATACAAAAGTAAAAATACTTTAAAAATAGATAAAATAATACATCTTTTCTTCTTCCTATCCTTATGCATTATATCTTAATTTACAGATGTTTTACAGGTTTTTGGTGGTTTTATGCTTTTTTTGTGTAATTAACCACATTCAAACTAATCGACTGAACTAATTAACAAGGGCACATGTTGTATGGTATACAAAATTATAATGGAAAGATACCAAGAAGGAGGGAATGAAAATGTTGTATGTACACAACAGGAATTTCAGTTGTACAGATTACCTGTTCAAGAGGAACATGATTCACCAGGCCACTGACAACTGTCCTTGGGGCTATTTCTCCGACATCTACTTCTTCCACATACAAAGAATCTGCATCAGGGTGTTTTCTAGCAGTTATGATGCAACCAATTCGAAGATCCAGACGGGAAACATCTATTGGCTTAGAGTCGGCACTTCCAGCTATTGATTGCTGTTTTTTCTCCTTCTTCTCTCCTAAAAAGTATTTATGAATGGGTAAACATCAGAAATAAAACCAAGCAAAAAAACACTATGAAAACTCCATGGTATCCATACCAATGAGCTTAAAAGGAAAAAATAAAAAGAATGTTTATCTCCTACCTTCACTTAAATAATAACAAAGAAAAAAATTATCCAAGTCATAAAATCTTGAATCCTATTTTAGCTATTTCTCTGTTGTATTTCTATTTGAAGACATTGTGTGAGGTTGGCAAACTATGGCTCATGGGACAAATCCAGCCTGTTGCCTGTTTTCATAAATAAAGTTTTACTGGAAGACAACCATATTCATTCATTTACATATCATCTATGGATACTTTTGCACCAGGGCAGAGTTGAGTAGTTGTGACAAAGGCTTTAGGCAGAAAAAGTTTGCCTTTCCCCGAAACAGGATAATAGAGACTCCTCTAAAAACTTTTACTATGGCTCTTTGGAAGGTGATAAATACTTTATTTAGAAAGAACACCACAACCAGTACCCAAATGACAGAATGAACTAGAGCAGAATGCAATTTCACTCATTAAATATTTTCCTCCTCACTTATATACACTAGTAAGTACATAATTAATTTCTCCATTTCTTAGATTTCTCTGAAGATATATTAGGATTTTAGGGTTATCCACAGTAACTATTTAAGCAGATAAGAATATTTTATTCTGATTATGTTTTAATAATTATATTTTTATTTATTTGCTGAAAATGTAACTCTTATTAACACATGATTATTTTAGCTACTGAGTTAATTGTAACCTGCAAAGAGGATTCATATTCTTTAAGTTTACAATTAGCTTTTCTGGCCCCAAAAAAGTAAAATCAAAATAAAACCTTATTTACCTTTGAATCCAAAGAACAGAGATAAGCTATTGTAGCTTGGAAGCATTCTTTCTCAACTATACATTTATTTAATCTTTCAACATACGGAGTGCTATGACACTGGAAACAGTAAGATGGGCAGTCCATGTTGTCAAGGCACTCAAAATCTCTTTTAAAGAAGACAGACATGTATATGTATAATGAATATGTGATAAACATGACATACACAAAGAAATATAGAAACTCAGTGAAGAATAATTCTGCATGAAGCAGGAAAGGAGAATTCTGTGTAAAGGTATTCATAATTCATACAACAATAAGTTTATCAAAGAGGGGATGGAATTAACTTAAAATAATGGCCAATTTTTAATCTCATTAGCAAGCTTTAAAAAAATTCCATTTTCCATAAACAAATTAGCAAAAATTTTTCAAAAGGTAAAAATCCAAATTATACAGAAAAATATGTACAACAAAATTACCAGAATATGCCAAAAATCTTAATATTTTTGTGTGATAAAGTATATGCATTTACTTTAAAAATACTGTAGTATAACAATATATCTACATTTGTATATATTTTAAAACTCTAATGTACTTCCTAGGCATTTGAAATACTTTTATCAGGAATCCCCATTCTAGAAATGATTGCAAATATTAAAATCTATACCAAGATCTTTGTTAATTATCATAAGGAATTTCAGAAATCCTTCACTGACAAATGAGTGACGCTCAATTAAGATATGTGGCAGTCTAGCTGGGCATGGTGGCTCATGCCTATAATCCCCGCACTTTGGGAGGCTGAGGCAGGTGGATCACCTGAGATCAGGAGTTCGAGACCAGCCTGACCAATATGGTGAACCCCTGTCTCTACTAAAAATACAAAAATTAGCCAGGCATGGCGGCATGCACCTGTAGTCCCAGCTACTTGGGAGGCTAAGATAGAATTGCTTGAACCCGGGAGGTGGAGGTTGCAGTGAGCCGAGATTATGCCACTGTATTCCAGCCTGGGTGACAGAGCAAGACTCCGTCTCCAAAAAAAAAAAAAAAAAAAAAAAAAAAAAAGATATGTAGCAGTCTAGAAAGATCATATGGGCACCACAGCCCTTGCATGAGCAGAATCTGGCAGTCCTAGCTAGCAGCTAAACACCTATGGAACAGCCCTCTATAACCAGCACTGTCTAATATGGTAGCTGCCAGCCACATAGGTTATTTAAATTTAAATTTAAAATTATTTAAATTAGAAATTCAGTTTAGTCATACTACCCACATTTCAAATCTTTAATAACCACATGTGGCCATTGACTACCATGTTGGATAATGCAGATATAGAGTACTTCCATTATCATAGAAAGTTCCATTGGATAGAAGTGTTCTAATCTTATAACTCCATTTGGTCTTGTGGTCCTGTGTGCTCCCTCTTCCATCAAAGGAGAGCCTTGTTGCCTTCTCTAACTAGAAGACTGATTAATCCTGAGTCAGAACAGTGCACCCTCCTTAGAGAATAGAATATGGATTCCACCAAATTTGCAAGAACAGGTTATATAGTTGTTTTGTGTCTACTTCTTAACGTACTTTATAAACTAGAAGAGTTAGTCTGACTTGCTTTCATTGTAATCATACCACCTAGTGGTGAAGTTGTATAGCAGAGGCTGTACAGCCCCTACCTACTTTTAACTAACAGAGGTTACTGATGTTTGCCAAAGGAACTGGCAAGTGCTTTAGAGGCTAAATTGGCTTGGGTTAGTTCATAAATCCCTCTGCATGTTATATTTTCCAAAAAAAAAAAAAAAAAGTAAATAAGTTTAAGTATAATGAGAAATATTCATAATTATTTATAAAGGCAACTTTTTAGACATATCTGGGGAAAGGAAGTCAGATTTACAATTAGAATAAATAGCTTTAGCAGCAAGGCTAAAAATAAACTAGAAAAGATGAGGCTTTAATATTAATTCAGATGAAAGATCGTTGAAAACCTGAACTGAGGTAGGACCTAATGAAAAGAAAGAGCAGAGCTGGGGTCTATGTATGTTTTGGGGACAGGAATAATAGAATTTGTTGGTTAATTAGATATGAAGAACAGGGAATAGGGACAGGTTAAGGTTGATGACTAAATTTCAAGGGTTGTTGCCTAAGTGGATGGTGACATTTCTATCTACTTTAGTTCTCATGGATTCTTGAAATCTTAGTTCAGACAGTCTGTTTTGACTGGTGGAATGTTCTTTTCCTATCTTCACAACTGGTCCTAAGCTAGTTTCCTATCTGTGACTTCTCTCAAACTATACCACAAATAGATACCAAAATTCAGCCATACCAAACTACATATGGGTTTCTACACTTAACCTTTACAGTCTGTTTTAACTTATGCCAGTCCCTCTGCCTAAAATGCCACATTTTTACCCCGTTAATCTGGTCAATATTCACACACCATTTAGGACCCAGCTTTTATGTTCCAATATCATATTGTTCCTAATTTTATCCTAGCTCATGAAAGTTGAACTTTACTTTTGATACTATTATTATTATCATTATCAAAACTTGACATTTTCTGATAATCCAGTCAAGAGCTAAATATGCTTAAAGGTCAAAAATACCTTTCTTTTCAATTTTCTCTTTCGCTTTCTTTTCGTCTCCTGTTCCTCCTTTTATCTGTTCTTTGGTACCAGAAGATACGGTTGTTACTGCTGTAGACTGTATCACATTTTCAGAAACCATAGAATTAGCGTGCAGTGGAGTACCAGATGGAAATGGTATTTGCTTCACTGAGACAGAAAATGAAATAATGTCATTCATATTAAACCAATAAATATGACAAAAAATATGAAATTGTGAACCACAAATGGGAACTCTTTTTAAATGAAAAATTCACTGTATATGGCTATCAAATATCCACTGTCTGAGACTATAAAATGGCTGCCAAAAAATTAGGCATATTTTAGCCATAATTGAGGTATCAAAGAATAAAGGCATGATTCCCATTTAATCAATTACTAAACCGAGAAACCTGCAAATAAGAACAGCTAACATTTATTATGAACTTACTATGCCCCAAACACTTTTCAAAATGCTTTATACAAATTAACTCATGTAATTCTCATACTCTAAGAAGTAGGTTCTATCCATGCCCCCATTTTATTGATAAATCTGAGTCATTTAGAAGTTATGAAGTTGTCCAAGTTGCCTAGATACAGATTCTTACTTCTTTCCTCACTGTTGGTGTGACTGGCCAACTTCTTAACTTCTGGATTACTCAAATTTTCTATATTTAATTACCTCCATTTTGAATTTCTGCCTGAATTAGCTCTTGTTTCAGTTCTTCAATTTCTTTCTTCAGTTTAGCATTTTCAACTCGAAGTTTCTTCTCTTCCCTCAAAGTTGCCTGCAAAACTAGGATCAAGAACATCCAGTTAAAATATGTTTTTAAAAGAGGTTTTGTATGAATACTATTTGAAAAGAAGACAGCCAGTATAACTACAGCTAGGATAATACTAGCTCTAGTGTAACCAAATGTTTGGCCAGTGCCTTTATGCCAGTTTAATATTTATTAAAACAACATGCTATTTAAGAGAGAGAGAGAGAGAGGGAGAAAATATATGAAATAAGAGTAAAACAGAAAGACTTTGTTTATGAATCATTTTCCTAGCTCCTATTAAGATGCTAACTAAGATCAAATTACCACCTTTTCAGCATTGCGGCTATAATAAAAGGCAATGGCAAATAACTTAAGAAGCTGGCACAAAAGTGTCAATATGTGGCCAGGTGTAGTGGCTCATGCCTGTAATCCCATAATCCCAGCACTTTCAAAGGCTGAGGCAAGAGGATCACTTGAGCCCAGGAGTTTGAGACCAGCCTGGGCAACATGGCAAAACCCATCTCTACAATAAATACAAAAAGTAGCTGGGGGTTGTGGTACATTCATGTGGTCCCAGCTACTCAGGAGGCTGAGGTGGGAGGACTGATCGAGGCTTGGAGATTGAGCCTGCAGTGTGAGTTGAGATAGTGCCACTGTATTCCAGCCTGGGTAACAGAGCAAGACCCTGTCTCAAAAAAATTTTTAAAAATAAAAGATAAAATGTCAATAACAGATGCTGAAAAAAAAGAGAAGCATTATATTAAATTATATATATATTTTTAAAAAAATTCTGAGATGTTACCACACAAGCAAAAACTATTCTCATGTCTTTCTTTTTAGTCATTACCTTTTAAAAGAAGCTGAATATTGCTAAAGTCTGAGTTAAGCTAATCAAACATTCAATGAGTGAAATAACTCAAGGATTTGCTCAAAATATAATGTATGTGTTAAAAGTGTGCAATGGGGTAACAAAAGTATAAGAGAAAAATAATGGTTCTCAGTGGGGTTGGTACTGCTTTGTAGGTAGGATTTTGAAAATCTGTAGGATTATTTTTGATTGTTAGTACTGGCATTTATTGGGCAGAAGCCAAGAATGTCAGATGTCCTGCAGTATGCTGGATACTCCTGCAAAATGAAGAACTGTTTCACATCCTGCAGAACTTTATAGTGGCCTATCATAAATTTGTATAAGTAAAAATCCTATTAATAATTATTTGAGTCTAGATTTTTAACTATTCTTTATATATAA
The DNA here is from genome assembly GCF_000001405.40 of Homo sapiens. Taxonomy (NCBI): domain Eukaryota; kingdom Metazoa; phylum Chordata; class Mammalia; order Primates; family Hominidae; genus Homo; species Homo sapiens. Next base: position 106,326,236 of record NC_000004.12, on the reverse strand, counting down.
ACACAAAGTGTTTTTAAGCATGCTTATTATACCCTAAATTTTCTATGAATCAAGTACCACATAAATCAAGAGTAGACTGTACCTTGTTTTATTCAAAATACTATCTAATCAATCACTCATCAGTTTGAATAAATCATCTATATCACTATCTGCTTCTGGTATCTGAGACACCTACACAAAGGCAGTCTGACTATATACCTATACTAGTTGGCATTGTACCTATTGCATTCTTGATGATTCCATGTATGTGAATCATGGGGCATGTGACCCTCTTACACTGCCTTTAGTGGTATAATTCTGCTGAAGTATTACTTACTGAAATACATATTATTGTTACTACTACTTATACCTTTCTTTTTATTTCTCTTCTCTATTTTATATATAGGATTAAGATATGTTTTAAAATTATATATAGGTAGGTTATTTTTCTAGGAAATATTTTCCTTACAGGATATTAACAGAGATTTTATAAAACATTCATCCTAAATTGGGAGCAATATGACTAAAAACTACCAGTATAGGCTACCAAAGAATAATATAAAGGTGAAGAATAAGTAGAAAGATTTTCAAACTGGCAAAACTAAAATGCTTATCAAGAGGCTAGGAAATGGCCACCTACAGAAGACAAAATTTGGTTTACAACATATATTATATCATATGAGCAATGACTATGTCCAATCTCTTCATCTTTTTAATAAAAAGAGAGTAAGAATTTTTAAGAAAAATAATTTTAAAATCTCGAGAAACACTATAAAAAAAGAAACAAAGTGGTATGTTAAAATTAGAAAAAAATTGATAAAGTTTCTGGAGAGTAAATACAGGTTTTTGTAAGCCATTAGCTTACAAAACGTAGGAAAGCATTTATTTCTACTAGTGACAGCAAAAGATTTTGAAATTTCTATTCTGACATTGACTACTGAAAATAAAATACATTTAAACAAACAAAACCAAAGCCAACTGAAGTCCTGAAGGTAGAAATTCAGGTTTGATATTTTTCTACATATAACAGAAACTTCTAAGTAAAACTTAAATAACTTAAAGCGGTAAACATTATTTTTTCTCCATCAATGTATGAATTCATTTTAAGTATCTCCTCAAAAAATTTTAAATTTTCTTACTTGCTTTCTCCTTAAGTAGAGAAACTTGCTGCTTAAGATATTCAATGATTTGATCTGCCTCTGCACCCTTCTGCTCCAGTCTCTTCAGAACAGCATCATTATTTGCCATTTTTGCCAAGAGACGGCAGAAAATCCTATAGGAAAAATAAAAGTGATAAATTACACTGTGAAAGGAATAAATTTATACTATAGGCCACTATGAAAAAGCAGTCTGAAAGGAAAAACATTTTCTACTGTAATAGATAAATATCTTAGAAAAATAGTTTTCCTATGGAGAGCAACAAGCCAAACAAATAGCAGAAATGTTAAGTAGACTAATTCCTGAATCTACTTAGAAGAGGAAATATAGTTTGTTCTTAAATGCAGAAAACAGGCTATTTAGCCACATTTAAGGTTGAAAGCTTTCAAAGAAAGCTTCAGGTACACTAAGAGATAAGAATAACAATAACCGTAACTATGCTAATGAGTATTACATCTGTGTTCCAAAGTAAAGAGTTGCTGATTTCATTCCTTTTATATTTCTGTATACTGGATCCTTCTACTGTGTATTCACTTAGGTACAATTTTCAAGAAGAAAACGTCAATTAGGAAAGATAAATATTAAAAGAAAAAATCAACAATTAAGAAAATATTAATCATATGCTTGTTCAGATATAATGTCAGTATATACCGTTGTCTTTATTTTAAAAATTAGAATTTTAGTTTTATAATAAATTCAGAGAAATTTAAAAAAATACTATCAAGGTACAGAAAAATGTATGTAAGCAAACATTCTGAGATTAATTCACCATGTTAAAATTTAAACTGCCACATACTAAGAAAAATAATCACACTGACAATGGAGAGGTTAATCATTAGTAATACTATGAACTGTTCTTTTCTACCTGATTTAACAAGAATTTATAATTCAAGGTATAACAATGATACAAGTATTGCTGAAATAATTCTAACTTTAAATAAATGAAGCAGTACTCAATATTAATGGTGAAATTTTGAATAAAAACTAGATAATAGACACGTAACAGATTGTTTGAAAATTTCAAATTATTATATAATACCAATCCTATATAAAAAATATTCTGAAAAGCCACAATACACTGGCTGGTATTTATTTTTGAGGTGACTGTCTAGATCTGTTGGCTCATTTTTGAGCATCAGTCTATACTTAAATCTACTTGTTTCATATTAGCTGATACTAGTTTTCTAGTTTTTCTCTTAATTTTGAAATTTGAATAAGATGATTTGAGCCATATCTTTTCAAAATGTATTTTTCTAAAATGCACCAATTCATTCATTTTAGTATTATTCATCAAATATGTCTTTGCTAGAGATGTAAAACTTGCCAATTCTGCCTAATCAGATACTCATTATTGTTTGTGATAGCTACATTTTACCTATTGAGTATATTTCATCATTACTTATGTTAGACTAAAATAAAAAGACATCAAAAACTAAAGAAATGCTGTACTCAGGATACTAAAATTCAGAAGAGCATAGTTTTTTTTTTTTTTTTACTTTAACTTTCTTCATATATCCATTTCTATTAAGATATTTTCTCTACAATTCTGGCTTTGCAAACGTTTAAGTAACAACATGGTATTCTGTGTTCATTTTGGTAAAAATAGCAGAGTTTAAAGGTGGTATCTTCATTTGAATTTTTGTGCTCTTTTGGTCTGTATTTTTCTAAACTGTTAAAATAATAGTCCATAAAGAATAATGCTCATAAATAAGCCAACAGTTCTAGACAGTCCTTCAAAAATAAATACCCACCAAGTTGCTGAAAAATCAAAAAAAGAAACTCATGTTCTGACTCATACAGAAACATATAAAAAATCTTCTAAGAATAACAGTAATTTTGAAAATAGAGATAATAAATCCTAGCCTAAGAGAAAAAAATACAATTTTACTGAGTTGATAAATCTGTTAACTATTTGCAAAATATAAGTGGAATAGTTAGTTACATAAAATATGACTTTTATAATACATATTGAAGAACAAGCATAAGTTTAGGAAAGAGAATGTCATGTTTCAAAATACAGAAATACAAATGAACTAAACACTAAATACACATATGCAACTACTAAAAGGAAACAATGTGATAAAAAGAAGTGATAAAACTTTTTTTTTTTTTTTTTGAGACAGAGTCTTCCTTTTTCACCCAGGCTGGGGTGCAGTGGCACGATCTTGGCTCACTGCAACCTCCGTCTCCTGGGTTCAAGCGATTCTCCTGCCTTAGCCTCCCAAATAGCCGGGATTACAGGTGCCTGCCACCTGACTAATTTTTGAATTTTTAGTAGAGATGGGGTTTCACCATGTTGGCCAGGCTGGTCTCGAAATCCTGACCTCCCTCAACTGATCTGCCCACCTCGGCTTCCCAAGGTGCTGGGATTACAGGTGTGAGCCATTGCACTGGCGCCCAGACTCTACTTCTTCTCCAGTCCTAGATAACTGGGTATCTGGAAATATTATTCATGATGCCAATGTTAAAAAGTCTCATCTTGTGAAATCTAAAAATATTTCACTTCTAGTTACGTCTGTGTGTTAACAGAACTGTGCTCAAGTGCTAAAAGCCATTTGCTGTCTTTAGAACAGAAGCTCTGGAAACAGGTTTTCTAATACTTGTTGATTAATTATCATTTAAATTTTTTAAAAATATAGGTTGGATGCATAAGTTTATGTTAATGTTTTCTAGTAACATGCAGATAATGATCACTAGCACTGGCAGAGGAACATGGGTATATATACCCTTGGGCTTGCTTATATATACTTAGACTGTGTGACCTTGGTAAAGTTATCTAAATTTTCTATACTTTTTTTTTTTAATTTTTTTTAGTATTTATTGATCATTCTTGGGTGTTTCTTGGAGAGGGGGATTTGGGAGGGTCATAGGACAATAGTGGAGGGAAGGTCAGCAGATAAACATATGAACAAAGGTCTCTGGTTTTCCTAGGCAGAGGGCCCTGCCGCCTTCTGCAGTGTTTGTCCCTGGGTACTTGAGATTAGGGAGTGGTGATAACTCTTAAGGAGCATGCTGCCTTCAAGCATCTGTTTAACAAAGCACATCTTGCACCGCCCTTAATCCATTTAACCCTTAGTGGACACAGCACGTTTCAGAGAGCACGGGCCATTTAACCCTTAGCGGACACAGCACATGTTTCAGAGAGCAGGGGCCATTTAACCCTTAGTGGACACAGCACATGTTTCAGAGAGCACGGGGTTGGGGGTAAGGTTATAGATTAACAGCATCCCAAGGCAGAAGAATTTTTCTTAGTACAGAACAAAATGGAGTCTCCTATGTCTACTTCTTTCCACACAGACACAGTAACAATCTGATCTCTCTTTCTTTTCCCCACATTTCCCCCTTTTCTATTCGACAAAACTGCCATCGTCATCATGGCCCGTTCTCAATGAGCTGTTGGGTACACCTCCCAGACGGGGTGGCGGCCGGGCAGAGGGGCTCCTCACTTCCCAGATGGGGCGGCCGGGCAGAGGCGCCCTCCACCTCCCAGACGGGGCGCCGGCCGGGCGGGGGCTGCCCCCCACCTCCCGGACGGGGCCGCTGCCGGGCGGAAAGCGGAAACGCTCCTCACTTCCCAGACGGGGCGGCTGCCGGGCGGAGGGGCTCCTCACTTCTCAGACCGGGCAGCCGGTCAGAGACGCTCCTCACCTCCCAGACGGGGTGGCGGCGGGGCAGAGACACTCCTCAGTTCCCAGACAGGGTCGCGGCCGGGCAGAGGCGCTCTTCACATCTCAGACGGGGCGACGGGGCAGAGATGCTCCCCACATCCCAGATGATGGGCGGCTGGGCAGAGACGCTCCTCACTTCCTAGACAGGATGACGGCCGGGAAGAGGTGCTCCTCACTTCCCAGACTGGGCGGCCGGGCAGAGGGGCTCCTCACATCCCCGACGATGGGCGGCCAGGCAAAGACGCTCCTCACTTCCTAGACGGGGTGGCGGCCGGGCAGAGGCTGCAATCTCGGCACTTTGGGAGGCCAAGGCAGGCGGCTGGGAGGTGGAGGTTGTAGCGAGCCAAGATCACGCCACTGCACTCCAGCATGGGCAACATTGAGCACTGAGTGAGCGAGACTCCGTCTGCAATCCCGGCACCTCAGGACGCCGAGGCTGGCAGATCACTCGCGGTCAGGAGCTGGAGACCAGCCCGGCCAACACGGTGAAACCCCGTCTCCACCAAAAAATACAAAAACCAGTCAGGAGTGGCGGCGCGCACCTGCAATCCCAGGAACTCGGCAGACTGAGGCAGGAGAATCAGGCAGGGAGGTTGCAGTGAGTCAAGATGGTGGCAGTACAGTCCAGCCTCGGCTCGGCATCAGAGGGAGACGGTGCGGAGAGGGAGAGGGAGAGGGAGAGGGCTATACTTTTCTTAATTTAAAAAATTACTTGTACCTGATTTCACCTCCTACTTCCTTGTCACCTCCTTTCAGGGCTCCTTTTTTTTTTAATCTGTCCCATTAATGATGCTGTTCTTCAGGGTTTGGTCTTAATCACTAATCTTTTCTAGGGATCACAAACTAGCCTGACAAAGTTCAGGGATAGCTTTCTTTTCCAGGGCTAACAGTGTTGGAAATAACTGATGTGAATGTCTTTAAGTAAGACAGACAGACACTTTACTACTCCCTGTTGTCTGCCATTTATATTACCTACCAGGCTCCTAAAATAAGTTCATGACCCCAACTTTACACTCCCTGATTTTGTGTCATGTGCTGGGTTTATAGTAGAGAACAAAAATAAACATGTTCTTTGAACTAACTAAGCTTTCAGACAAATGGGGGAAACACAGTTGAAGACATTTTTAAAATAATGTTACGCTTAGGGCACAGTGATAGTTTAACAACAATACTGCTTAAAGCTCAAACAAATCTTTTACCATTCAACCCAGTGCTCATTTCATTAATCTCTATGCTAATTACTCCCCTGTGATTTTTCAATTTTACATTGAGTATAAGTCAACCTTCAAAATTTTAAATCCTCAGAGTTTCTAATATGTATAAAGTTTCTCATAGATGATAATAACAACTACATATATTTGTAGAACATGCGCTATGGCTGGCTAAATGCTTTACACAAGTCAATTTCGAATACTGTAATAATCTCCATTATACAGAGAAGAAAACTTGAATTAAAATTAATTTGCCTCATGTAATACATAGTAAACGAGGATTGAAACTCAGGTCTGTCTGATGCTGCAGTTAGCTCTTTTAATGCTCTAGCTATAATTTCTCTAAAGGATATAATTACGAAGCATTTTCCAATATATTTAATGACAGAATCCTAACACAGGAACAGCTATTAACATTTATTTGAACTAGTATTCTCTAAAACAGTTTAGGAAATGCTAGTTTAAGTCTCTGGACTAAAATGTAAAAAAATTAAGACTGTGAGATTAAAATAGATATAAGAATGACATGCACAGTAATTGAAAATATAAAACATTTATGAAGAGAGAAGCACAGAAAACTGTAGACCAAGTATGTTAATTGTGTTTGGTGAGGATCAAGACCTTTTCTTTTTCCTTTACTAAATTAAAATGGTAATAATGCATTTTTTAGGACAAAAGCTTTTGAAACATATTATCTAAATCATTCTGTCCCTTCACATTAATTTTGTCCTTCTCAATGTTAATTATCATACTTCATCAAACCTAAAAAGCCATTAATCATACGATGCCTCTAATGCAGAATCCCAAATACTGTACATGAATTTATAGTACATCTTAATCATTAAAATACACACACAAAAGATGATTTTTGAGATTCTGAGATCTTCACTATCATTTTTGTTTACTGAGCAATTTCCTCAGTAGTCCTCCCCACCCACACCATCTAAATTGCCTGCAATCTTTTTGAAAAAGCAAAATCTCTGCCCCACGATGACAACATTGGGAATCAAACATAAGTAAGTTACTACTTTGAAATCAAAGTTTTACAGGCAGACTTTTAATTTTAGAATTCTTATGCTATATAGGAACGCTACACAAATTTGAAAGTGTCTCTACTCAAAACCTCTAATTTCCCTATTTCAGAATTACAGTAGGTAAAAATTTACATTTTTGTTGGAAGCTTTAAATACTATACAAGAAATCTAAAATGCCATCAATTGTAAAATGGCTTCAATCCCAAGAAGCTCTATTATTTTATGTACATTATGAAAAAAAACACTATTGAATCAACTGACCCAATGCTTTCTTATTACTTAGACACATCCTATATTATTTATTGACAGACTTCTTTTAAATTTAACCCTGGATTTTTATCTTGTATCACCCTTTGTTTCCCCACATACACAGTAACTTTTCATTCTAATGCTAATCATAATCTTCTAAATGATCTTTAAAAGGGAAATTACACTCAACAACTATATGCCAATAGTGCATATATAACTCAACTGAAATAATGACAAGATTAAGTTATGACTAAGTGGGTGTAAGTGTGGGCAATGACAAATATCTCACAACTGCCAATTCATCTACAGTGATTTAAAGATGTCAACAACTTAAAAATACATCCCTATTTCAGAGATGTTAAGTAAGAGAAAAATGTGTATCTCAGAATTGATGGAATATAGTAATTTTAATCATTTTCTTCCTTTCTTCTCCTCCCTTCATTCCTATTCTTGCCTTCCAACTTCTTTCCCTGATTTGCTACACAATCTAATTACTGGATATGTAAAAATATTATAGTATACATAAAATACCCCACACTGAAAGACCGTCCTTATTATAGTGTAAAGCAATGTGGTACCTTTTAGCACTAGGTGAAAATTCCTGCTAGGATTTAAATCATATGTGTCAAAAGTCAGAATTTAAAGAAGAAAATTAAATACACTGAGAACAATGCATCTGAAGACACTCAAAATATGTAAGCGCAGCAACCAGCAGTAATTCCCTAGGTCTTTTATCAACCTTTGCCAAAACCTATAAAAAGAATATCTAAAATTGCTTTTTTATGGAAGTTCCTATTTCCCTTACCAGACAGCCTGCTTTCCCTTTACTGATGAGGACATAGGGGGTCCTGGAGGGTTTAAAGGATGGCTATAAGGAATGACTATAGGGTGGACAGCTATGAGAGGCCAGTCCATGCATTTCTAAATACCATCGTCATTAACACAAAAACTTTCCTCCCCAGTACAGAGTCCATAAAATTTAAAAAGGAGTATGCCTTGGCCTCCCATGACCCTCTTACCTCACAATAAGGCCATCTTTTACCTGGTTAAGATTTGCAGACTAGACCCATTACATACCTTGTCATTAAATACCTATAATATACCCTAACCTTTGCAATCTTGACAGATGTGATTTCCATTTTATAGACAGATCCAGGAAAATTACATGACTTATCTGAATCCCTTCAAGTACCACATAGCAAAGCCATGATTTTAACTTGTGTTTGCCACTCTGAAACTCACACTGGAATTCATTTTTCAAGTGTCCTCCAAAGCCTAATTAAATAAAATTAACCCTGTCATCTATAATACTCTTACATATCCAAATTAAGTGCATCAAGAATATAACTGGCCATTTCTTACCACCCATAGTCAAACCACCATTATGCTTCCTCTGGATTATTGCAAAACTCTTCTTATTGGTCTCCTTTCTCCTACCACGTCCTCCTCTGTGTATTTTCCTTAAAGAGTGACCCTCTTAAAAGGAAGTCAGAGCCCATCACTCTACTGCTCAAAACGCTCCAAAGTCCTATTTCATTTAGAATAAAAGTTAGATGTCCTCAAGATCTTCATGACCTGCTCGCCTTGATTTAATCTCCAGTGAAGGACTAAACCCTTCACTCAACTCTGCCCTACAGGCCTCCTTGCTATTCTAGCACGTTTCTGCTTCATGACCTCTGCAATGGCTGGTCCCTCTGTCTGACTGCACTTTCCCAAGATATTCGCGTGGTTAAATCTCCCACTTCTGTCAGCCCTTTACTTAAAAGTCATCTTTTCAGCAAGACCTTCCTGTGTCACTTTATACCCTTCTTCCCTGCTTTACGTTTCTCTTCAGGACTATCACGACCTAAAATACAGTATGTTTCTAATTACTTTGCTTAGTATGTGCCTTCCTCTCTAAAATGTGAGCTACAAGTAGACACAGATTTCCGTCTGTTTTGTTCACTGCTGTTCACCTAATGCCTAGAACGGTGTCTGGAATAGAGTGGGCGCTTAATAACTATTCGCTCAATGAATAAATTCCTGTCTTCACCCTCCTCTCCCCCAAAGCACCTAAGTCCTTTGACACACACATTCACATAACAGTAAATACGCTTAGGGATCGATATTTTTCTGTAGCATTCTTAACTTAGGCCTGCATCCCATTTCTCAAACGTGGCTCCTTTAGAAGGAAGTCTCAAACTCTTTCCTGTTTCCTTAGGCCAGGGCTGGTCCTGCTGCGAACGGACTACCCATTAGCAGCGCAGGCCAGGTCCTCTCTCCTGGAGGCAAGTTAGAGAAGGAAGACCCCTACGATCGCAATCGGCGATCCCCGAGTGAGTGACCCGCCACGACGTCACTCACATGAAGCGGAGGACCACGGGTTCCGAGACAGCCACAGCAGGAAGCATGTAGGTCCAGCCACCCGCGTACTATAGCAGTGAGAAAGGACCCAATGAGGTGTCCTTGCTGAAAGCCTGAGTGTTCTACAGATTCAACCCTCAATTCTTTCTTCCTCTTCCTGTGCTCAGTCCCATTAACCTGCCATACCACGCTCCTCGTCTTCCATTCCCTCACCCAGTATTTTCAATCGACCCCCCCCGTCCCCCCGCACCTCTTTCTCTCTCGCTATATGTCCTTTCGTGGCCAGTTTGGGCAAGGGGAAGGACACCACAAGTCGGGGTCTTTCCTCAGCGTTGGGTCGCGGTGGCTGTGAGGGCGGAAGAAAAGGCCAGGCTGAGGGGAGGGTAGAGGGTGAAAAGCTCGGATCTGTGTTTGGGGAAGGCCAGGCTTGCGCTCCTCGCCGGGTTCCGCGAAGGTTAACCTTGGCTGACTTGGCTCGCGAGCAAAGGGCAGCGTCTGAGCTCCCGGCGTTCCAGGAGTGGCCTCTTTTGTAGGAGCACCTGAAATGCAGCGTCTGGTGCACTAAGCCGTAGCGGCAGCAGCAGCCACAGCGACAGCGCTGGGGCCCTGTGTAGAAGCTCCATCCCCCTTGTCTTTGTGCTTGCCTGCGTCCCCAGACTCAGAGGCAGGTATTTGGGTAATCCAGTTTTCCGTGTCGTAGTGGGTGGGGTCTGTGGGAGGTAGAGGACTATCAGGAGCAGTGAGTGGCCCCGCATGTCTTCAGAATAGATAGAGAACCGAGCTGTGGAGCCGCTTGCTGATAGGTACTGTCTCCATCCCTAGCTACAGCCCGCCTTTCCTGTAAATCAGGTTCACCTGAGTCGTTTGGGAACCGTAGGCTTAGTAATCGCTCTGTCACTGCCTCAAAGGAAGGCTAAAGGAGGTTAGAGAATCTAGAATCCGCCCCTCCATTACTCACCTTGGAGGCAGAATTTTGCTTTGGTTTGTTTCTGGCCCTCGAGGTTTAGTCAGTCGTCAAAGTGTAACACCCCCTTGAGCAGTAGGAGAAAGTGAAGCAGAGGAAGGAAGTTACTTGAGGATTGTCAGTGGCTGCTTTTCAAGGATCCCTGTCCTGGTTTCTATCTATTTGAGACAAAAATAACCTCTTGAGAGAATGTATATATAAAATAAATGAATTAGTATCATTTTCCTGTTGAAGAAATGTGAAATTTTATTCATGATAAAATCGGCGTCTTTTGCCCTATTTTTTACTTTCTTTCCCCATTCGAGTCGTTTAAAACTCTAAGTTCTTTGAGGGCACAGAGTCTGACTTGTTCATTATCCTTTGCCCACCAGCTGGAAAAACAACTGACTTAAAATAGGGGCTTCAAAATATTTGTTGAATGAATGAATTTTCAAGCCCAACTGCTTGCACTGCTGTTTCCCTCATCTAATCTCTCATCTCTACGTTTTTTTTCCCCCGGTAGTTTTCTTCCACTCACGAGGTGTAAGTGAATGTATGTGTGTGTATTTTTGTGTGTGAGCCTTTTTATGTACAACCATTTAAGAGGTAGTGGAAAAAGAACACTGATTATGCTAATTAGTGTTTTATCTTTTTCGATCATTGTGTTTTATTTGGTTATTTTATTTTCAGCTATGTGATGATAAAGACATCTGATTGAAAATAAAATGGTCGGGCGCGGTGGCTCACGCCTGTAGTCCTAGCACTTTGGGAGGTCGAGGCGGGTGGATCACCTGAGGTCAGGAGTTCAAGACCAGCCTGGCCAGGATGGTGAAACCCCGTCTCTACTAAAAATACAAAAATTAGCCGGGCGTGGTGGCGGGCGCCTGTAATCCCAGCCACTCTGGAGGCTGAGGCACAGAATCGCTTGAACCCGGGAGGTGGAAGGATGCAGTGAGCCGAGATCATGCCACTGCACTCCAGCCTTGATGACAGAGTGAGACTCTGTCTCAAAAAAAAAAAAAAAAAAAAAAAAAATCAAGTAGTATAGCGTAGTAGGATTGAATAATAAAGTGCAACTGTCTCACCTGTCCTACTCTCAGTACTGTTCTTCAAAGATAACCACTTTTAACCTTTTCTAATTTTAGGTCTGTAGGTTAAATAATAAGTTAAACTGTTAATTCTTTTTGTTGACTTCTTGAGATAGCCCTAAGTTGAACTGCTAATTCTTTTTCCGTTGACTTCTAGAAATAGCCCACACCATTCACAATCTCCTCTGAATTTTGGAAGAGTCATAATCATAATTTTTAGTTTTTGTATTGGTTACTTTATAATTCAAAATAATATACGTAAACTACTTTTTTCACATCAACTTTTGAAAATATATTTGACTCCTTGTTTGGTAAAACGAGAAAAGTAGTGATTCTACCTTTTTCTTTATCACTTCAGAAACTACATTTATGCCCACTTTCTCTTAGCTGGACATTTACTTGTACATTGTCAAAGTTAGTAATATATTTCTTAACTATAACATTTGCGCTTTATTCACGTGCCAAAAACCAATAAAAAAAATAAAATGTTTACAGTATTATGGCTTTATAGTTGTTACTTAGAGCAAGTCCAAGCTGTATGCTCTGATATGTTTTTTTCCCCAGAGTTTTAACTTCATGATCCCTGTGCCATACTAAGGAGATTATTTATGATATCAAGGTCAAATGGGTTTTTATTTCTTTCCTGCCAAGGGCAAAATATGCTGTAGTTGAGCATGCTTTATATTTTGGAGTATGTAATACATAGTTTTTAACCGTCCCCACTTTCTTAATTGCCTTTCTGCTTTCTCCTGGGGAATAGGTAGGTGGATGTGCTTTCTTCACTGAATCTTCTCATTCTTTGTATGATGCACATAGAAGCAAGCTTCCATTCCTCTGTTTGAAGATTTTCCCCTTAAAGCCCAATGGCTTTCTGTTTAATTTGAACAGATTGCATTCTAGTCCTTTTGTATTGCTCCTATCCTGGGCTTATATTCATTCTTGGGTAAATAACATTGTTTCTTAGCCCCTCATCTTCTGTTATTGGGCTTCCCCCTATTTCCCTGGAATATATCCTAAGGAAACTTGCTCACAAAAGGCAAGTGAAAGGTAATTTTATTTTTTAATGTTCGTATAGCTGTAAATTATAATTTGCTCTTATGACTGATAATTTGGCTGTATATAGAATCAAAAGTATTTTCCTTCAACTCTCAATCCTTCCATGTCTTCTAACTTTTTTTTTTTCCTTTTTTTTGAGCTGGAGTCTCACTGTGTTGCTCAGTCTGGTCTGAAACTCCTGACCTCACGTGATCCTCCCACCTCAGCCTCTCAAGTATCTGGGATCACAGGCACAAGCCACTGCACCAGGCTCTCTTCTGACTTTCATTATTGCTGATGAGAATGCCAGTCTCACTTTAACTTGTTGATAGCAGAATCAGTTTTTTCTGTCTGAAATGTTTACAATTTTCTAGTTACGTTTGATGCTTTGAAAATGTATAGCAGTGTTTATCTTCTCATAAGCTGTTTTATTTTGTGTGAGATAAAATTTGATACATATTAAAACACATTGATTTTAAGTGGCCAATTTAATGAGTTTTGATGCATGTACTCATCCATAAAACCACTACCACCACAATCGAGATAGAGAATATTTCTACCACTACAGAAAGTTCCTCTGTTTCTCTGCTTATTCAACCCCTCTCCCCCATCTACAGTACTATCTTCTGATTTTTTTATTAATACTATAGTTTAGAACTATAGTTCTGGAATTACATTTAAATGGAGTCATACAGTATGAACTCTTTTGTGTCTGCTTCTTTCATAAACTTTATGTTTTTGAGTATATCCATGTTTTGACATGTTTGTTCCATTTTTGTTAAATAGAATTTCATGGTACAAATATGTTAATTGATTCACTTATGGGACATTTGCATTGCTTCTGGTTTTTAGCTATTAAGAGTACAGTTCCTATGAACATACTCATACAGTGTTTTTTTTTATGGACAAATGTTTTCATTTTTCTTGGTTAAAGAGTGGAATTTCTGAGTCATAAGTTAGGGATATTTTTAACTTTAGAAAAGTTTTCCAAATATTTTCCAAAATTCTTTTGCCATTTTACGCTCCCACTAGCAATATAGCAAAGCTCCACTTCCACATTCTCAACACTTGTTACTGCCAGTCATTTAAATTTTAGCCATTGTAGAAGTTAAAGGTTTGTCATTGTGATTTTCATTTGCATTTCCCCCAATTAATGATATTAAGAACTTTTTCATGTGCTTATTATTTTCATGCCTTGTGTGAAAATATGTTTGTGACTTTTACCTATTTATGTATTGGCTTGTTTTATTATTGAATTGTGGTATTTCTTTATAGACTCCGAATACAGGTCAATTATATACAGACACACATATGTTTGATTTTAAAAGGTCATATATATACATAATGTCATATGTATATACAGACAGATGTAAATAATATTTCCCTTTAACTCGAATTTTTATTTTCTCAGGGGTGCCTTTGGATATGCAGATGTTTTTAATTTTGATGAAGTCTACTTTGTCAAAATTGTCTTTTGTGGCTAGTGCTTTGTTCTATTGTGTCTAAGAAATCTTTGCCTAGCCTAAGGTTGTAAAGATATTCGCTTATGTTTTCAATTAGAAGACTAACAGTTTTACCTTTTACGCTTAAGCCTATGTTCCATCTTAGATTTTTGTGGATGTATCAGTAGAAGTTGAGGTTATTATTTTTTTATATGAATATCTTTTTCCAGCACCATTTGTAAAAAGGACTTTCCTTTTCCTGTTGAACTCTTTTGCTTTTGTTGAGAATCAATTTATTTTATTTAAATTCTTTTAATTATGAAATATGTGGTATTAACACACACATATGTAGATAAATATAGATACAGAGCATGGAAATTACCAAGCATAATGATAACATGAACACCCATTAATTCACCAGCTAAAAACTAGGCTATTACTCAAGATTTTTGAAGCTTTTTATGAATTTTTCCCTAACCTTACCCCACTTTAATTTGGTAGTAACCCATATTCTGAGTATTTTTTTTAAATTCCCTTACTTATTGAATATATTCTTACAATAGATATAAGTATTCCAGAATTATTTGTTTTATTTTTTGTTTTTGAGTTTTATGAAAACTGGAATATTTTATGTTACTTTTTTCACTCAATATTATATTTCTAAGATTCATCTATGCTATTAAATATGGCTATAGTTTGCTTATTTTTCATTATGTATACAGGTGAATAAAGCACAATTTATTTAACCATTTACCTACCATTGGACATTTAAATTGTCTCCAGCTTGGGGATATTAGGAGCAATAATACTGCCTTGATCTTTCTTGCACAGGTCCACTCTGTGTGTGTGTGTGTGTGTGTGTGTGTGTGTGTGTGTGTGTGTGTGTAGGAGTTTCTGTAGGAATATAATAGCAAGATAGTGTAAAACATATCTAGTGATTTTACTAATTTACACTCCCACTTACAGCAAATTAGAGATCCTATTTTTCCACATCCTTCTAACATTATGTGTTATCAGATTTCTTAATTTTTGACTGTCCAGTAGATAAAAATTTTTTGTGGTTTTAATGTGCAATTCCTTGATTATTCATGAGGTTGTTTATCTTCTCATGTATCTATTGGCCATTTCTCTTTATTCTTTTGTATAATGTGTTTTTCTATAACTTGTTTTATGTAATGGATGCAATATCTCCTCAAATCTCTCTATGTTTGTTAGAGTTGGTTTTTGTGTTATTTTTTCATAAATTATTTCAGTTGCTTCCAAAGCCAGATTTTTGGAGGTTTATTTCATTGTTTGCCCTTGATACTGTAGTCTTTCCTCAACTATCTGATGATTCTCAGACAACTCATTATTTAAGAGCTAAGGCTTCCTGGGAGCTTTGCATATATGGACAGGCTTATTGACGGATATATTTTGTTTTAGGATGGCTGGGTGAACAGCCAAATCTTAGCTGGGGTCCTACAAATTCCGGAATTGTGAGGAGTTTGCTCTTCTCACCAGTGTCCATAGCAACTAGTGTAGTTCTCAGTTTGTTCAGCTTCTTTAGGGAAGAACCTTATCTTTTTCTTTTTTTCATGGAGTGTAAATAACTGCCAATGTTGTGGGGCTGGTGGCAGAATTGACGCTTCTAATTATTCAACACTTCACCCTTCTGATTTCAAACCCTCTGACTGCTGTTTAACATTGTTCCCGCCTTCTCTGAGTCTGAAGCCTCTGAATCTGAAGGGACCAAACAAACCTCTTGACTATTACAGGTTGTAGCTTATTTCTTTCTGCTTCACTCTTCCTTATATATTTTGTTTTGTACAAGTTTCTAGAAATCTTTCATCACCTCATGGCCTGTTTCTCTTTTCTTCCTTGTTAAGGGTTTATACGTTTTATAATATTTTATTTTTAATGATTTCAGTAAGGTTTCTTGTCAAAGTGGATTTATTGAATTGGAATTCCAGCATATTTATCATTAAGCTGAGAAGGGAAAAATGCAGGGCTTTACCAGTAGAATGTCTTCTTAGTGAGGTCCATGGGTAAAAGATTTTTGTGTCAGAAGACCCTTTTTTTTGTTGTTATGGTTGCCTTAATGTGATTCAGATTGATATGGAGCAAGTTTCCTACTCTCCAGGCTACTACTTTACGCAACTTTGGGGCACCATTTATTTTGGAGTAAGTGCAAATAGGACGCCTCATGCTATACACATGGAACAACTATCTCTAAACTGGAGCCAATAGCTCTGTCAGGATTATTAAAAGGATTAAAGCAGATCATACATTATGTAAAATATCTAGCATAAAAATGAAAATTGGTTATTTAATATTATAGAGCCTTCTTTTAATCTAGTTTAAGCTTTACTACTATTAATAAGGTCCCCTATTCGTTACTAGTTGGTACCTATATTTCCTCTTTCCTGACCTACCTCACTGTATGAGAAGGAAGGTTGTCAGTGGTGTGTGGGTTATTCAATCTTTAGGTAAAGAGAGGAGCCTTATTGGCTGGGTGTGGTGGCTCACGCCTGTAATCCCAGCACTTTGAGAGGCCGAGGCGGGTGGATCACGAGGTCAGGAGTTCAAGACCAGCCTGGCCAACATAGTGAAACCCCATCTCTACTAAAAATACAAAAAGTTAACTGGGTGTGGTCGTGGGTGCCTCTACTCGGGAGGCTGAGGAAGGAGAATTGCTTGAACCCGGGAGGCAGAGGTTGCAGTGCGCGGAGATCACACCACTGCACTCCAGCCTGGGTGACAGTGCGAGACTGTCTCAAAAAAAAAAAAAAAAAAAAAAAAAAAGAGAAGAGCCTTATTAATAATATGAAGATGCAGTAACAAACTTCCTCTACTCTTTAAACTGTCAAATGTCATTGAGAATGGAATAATCTTTTCTTTTTTATGCCATTGAAAATCTTAGAGTTTGATTTAGAGCTGCAATATAAATTTATGCTGAGTTGTTTTGTCCTCTGATATTTTAGAATTTTCTTATACTTTGATATTTTTACTGTGAAGTGTTCAGGTTGGCATTTTCCTCCAAGTTGTATGTTAATCATGCTTAAGATTTGGTCTGTCTGGCTTAATGTTTGGTCTGTCCTAAAATTCTCTCCTTTTCCAGATTATCTTAGAAGACCTAGGACTCCAAAAATGTTTCCCCTGAAGGACGCTGAAATGGGAGCCTTTACCTTCTTTGCCTCGGCTCTGCCACATGATGTTTGTGGAAGCAATGGACTTCCTCTCACACCAAATTCCATCAAAATTTTAGGGCGCTTTCAAATCCTTAAAACCATCACCCATCCCAGACTCTGCCAGTATGTGGATATTTCTAGGGGAAAGCATGGTAAGTTATTTTCTTTTTTTTCCTATTTATGTTCTCTACTTTGTTACCCTAAGTTATAAATACTATATCCACTAAATATATAAAGCTATCATCAGTACCAGTGCACACATGTCCTTCTTTCTCTCATCCTTTTCCCCCACCCTGCCTCTCTCTCGTACACTTCCCCATTTACTTGCAAATCTACCAGGTAAAATTCAAACTCTTTACTAGGCTATTGCATACAAAATCCTTCATCTAGTCCTTGATCTAGTCTGTGCTGTCCTCTTTCGATGTATTGCTTGTTGTTTCCACTAATTTAACCCTTCATGCCAGCCAAGCTGAGTTGCTTTGAGGTTTTTTGATTCACATATCCTTGATTTTGTACTTTGCAATTTTCTCTCATGGATTATGCTATGCTCCATTCCCTGCAATCTGAGCTAAGTCTTTTTCCTAAGTTCTTTTATAGCTTTTATCACATTTTATTATTTTCTATTTAATTTTTCTCCTCTGAGGATTCTTAGTTCTTGAGGATAAGGACCTTTACTTGTGACCTCAGAGCACTCAATAAGTGTTTGTTAGCTGAATGAATGAATTAACAACTATATTTGAATGATTAATGTTTCTCAGATCTGAGAATCAGGATTTTTAATTTTCTTTTTCAGGGAAACCGTCTATTCTTAAACATATTTCTTTATCTATATGAAGGAAATGAAGTTCTAATGTTAGGAACTTTAGAAGAATTATCTAACAATATATTTTATGATTGAAAGTAATGATTTTGGCAACTGTCTTCAAATGAAAAGGGAGTCAGTAGATTTTTTTTTTTAAACTCCATTAGTCTTTTTATATAGCAGCCCATTTAGAGAACTGAATTAGAAAAGTTGAACCCTATTGGTTAAAAAGTCAGTGTTTGAGGAAGATGTTTACTGCGTTTTTAGTAGTGTAATCAGGTTCTTTCATTCTCCACTTAAAGATTCTTATGGTGGCAATATTTTTAATTATTTCAGAATTATTTTTGGAAGCTTAATTGCAGGGTAAGGTTGCATTTCTTAAAAATATTTTAAATGCATTTCAGTGAAATGTATTTAATTTTTCTAACATAAAATAATTTGTAGACGTAAAAAAATCTGAAAGTAAACCCTATGTAGTTGGTGATATTCAACTTTTTCCCTATAAAAGTGGCAATTTTATGTGTTTCAACCTAATATTAAAAACCCTGATAAATGCAAACAATGTTTTCTTTACTGTTTTGCTGAAAATAGACTAAACTGTACTTTCAAGTTCCCTGGTTTATTTCTCTTAAAATATTTACTCTGAGAATATTTGTGTTTTATAGACTGAGTAGAAATTTTTTTTGTAATGATAATTATTAATCGTTAAAATTTATTGAGCGTTTATATAAGGCAATATTCTTAGTGTTTTACATATTTTAATTACATATTTTAATTAACTTAATCCTTGTAACATTACTGTGTGAAAGGAACTAGTCCTGTCATTTTACAGATAAGAAAATTAAACCACAGAGCAATTAAGTCAAGGTTCACAATTAATTCATCCAAGGGCACACGAAGGAAATTAAGGAAAAATGGACTGCTAATACATTTTATTATTTTTTGAAAGATTGTACATGTTGCTGTAAGTGTATAATAATGCAAATATTGACAGAATTCTAATCAGAGCTATTCCGTACCATAAATACTGTTGAGCTCTACCACATACCTAGTGCTGTAAATAGTTAGATGTTGTCAGGAGGCTTCGTGAGAGATTTGGGAAAGAGAGTGGTAAAAAAAGTTAATTGTCTAGCAGATGATAAAAAAAAATTTGTTTTTTCATATTGACATATAGGTATATACACACAGACATGTTAAAGTATACATTATTTTATTGAGACTTCTTTTACTGTTCAAGGTTGACTTTGATTGATTGATTCTGCAAATATTAGTAAATGCCTGTCATGTTTGGCTTAATCCCTCAAGCAAGAGCATGGGTGGTGCCATGTTGAGGCCTTAAGGGTCTCTCTCTGTAGGGAACAAATTGGGAAGTCAGAGCTGATAGAAACCTAGCTTTGAAGCAAAAGTAATAAAGGTGCTGATGAGTTGAAGATTTATTTAGGAACCTGTCTTTCTTGTCCACTGCTTTGACAAACATGTACACTGGGGTTATAATACCTTGGTAACCCTTGACTGATACTATGGCCCTCCTTCTGCTAGATGCCAAATATACAAAAATGAGTAACTCATTACCCCAGGTCCCAAGTCAGCTTCAGAAACAGTAGAGAAAAATACAACCATGATAATATTAAATAATACAGTAATAGTTGTTATAATAGGTGATGTACAATGTGCTATGCTATGCTATGGAAGTACAAAGAAGAGAATGTTAATTTTGCGTTGAAGAATATCAAGGCCAAGCATGGTGGCCCATGCCTATAATCCTAGCACTTTGGCATGCTGAGGCAGGAAGATTGCTTGAGGCCAGGAGTTTGAGACCAGCTTGGGCAATGTAATAAGATTCTGTCTCTACCAAAAAAAAAAAAAAAAAAAAAAAAAAAATTAGCCAGGCATGGTGTCTTGTTCCTGTAGTCCTAGCTATTCAGGAGGCTGAGGCAGGAGGATCATTTGTGACAAGGAGTTTGGGGCTGCAGTGAGTTATGATCATGTTACAGGAAAGGGTCCCAATCCAGACCCCCAAGAGAAGGTTCTTGGATCTTGTGCGGCAAGGAATTCAGGGCAAGTCCATAGAGTAAAGTGAAAACAAGTTTGTTAGGAAAGTGAAGGAATAAAAGAAAGGCTACTCCATAGCCAGAGTAGCCCCAAGGGCTGCTGGTTGTCCATTTTTATGGTTATTTTTTGATTATATGCTAAACAATGAGTGGATTATTCATGCGTCCCCTTTTCAGACCGTATAAGGTCACTTCCTGACGTTGCCTTGGAATTTGTAAACTGGTAGGAGTGTAGCAGTGAGGACAACCAGAGGTCATTCTAGTGGCCATTTTGGTTTTGATGGGTTTTAGCTAGCTTCTTCACTGCATCCTGTTTTATCAGCAAGGTCTTTATGACCTGTATCTTGTGCTGACCTCCTATCTCATCCTGTGACTAAGAATGCCTTAACCTCTTAGGAATGCAGCCCAGTAGGTCTCAGCCTCACTTTACCCAGCCCCTATTCAAGATGGAGTTGCTCTGGTTCACACGCCTCTGACAGTCATGCCACTGCACTCCAGCCTGGGTGACAGAGCTAGACCCTGTCTCTAAAGATAAGAAATAATAAAAAATATATATATATTAATCAAACTCATATATAAAAGGTTTTGGTGGGATAAAGGACTTTAGACCACAGAGCAATGGCTCTTCTGTCTGTTATGTTTTATTTGCTTACATTCATTCATTTTGATGATGCTGGTAGTCTCAAAAATTAATGGATTTTCAAAAGATGTTGGCCTTTTATTGTTGACATATTTCTAGGAAACAAAGTCTTAATATCATTATTAATTATTCTTAATTTAAAAAGACATTTATGTCTCTTGATTAATTACAAGCTTACTTTTTTCAAAAATAATTTGAGACAAGATGCAGACATTCATACAGTATTTTATATATAGTACATGAAAGAAAAATAATCAAGGTGAAGATGTAAAAAAGGAAAAAAAACTTTCTCTACTCTCTGATGCTTAATGGTAGGTCCCAGGAATCAAACTGATAAAAGGCTGGTTAACAGGAGAAAAAAACAAACAAACCCAGATTTAATCTATAGGCACAGATTTCACAAAGAAATGCAACTCATGGAGGTAGTTAGAATTGAGGCTTATATACCATCTTCACAAAGGGAAATAAAGTATAGAGAAGAGGGTAGACAAAGGAAGAGGGGTTTGGGATTTGAGAAAGTGACTCAGAAATGCATGGTAAATAAGAATTACTTAGTAAGTTTGTTATGTAGATAAGAGTCATTTTCCTCTTCCTAGTGTAGGAGAGGATAATTTCCAAATGGAATTTATCAAATGGAAATTCCTTTCATCTTTACAGAGGGAGATTTATGTTCTGCTTAGACAGAAATGGAGAGAGAAGAGAGCTAATTGCCTTCACTCAAAATCCTTATGTCAAAGTGGGATATTTTGAGATGGCATATTCTGATTTTCTTCAGGGAGAAAGGAAACAGAATAAGATTTGAGGTTAGTAATATTAATATTTTTTTAGTTGGACTATAAATTTGGTTGTATACTTCTTATAGGCCAGGGCAAAGAAGTAAATCTAACTGCTTCAAATTATTTTTATAATGAGGCAGCTTATTAAGAAATTAATTTCTAGATACTTAAACGTGGAAAAAATATCAATTTAAAGCTTTATAATGTTTGTACAATCTGTTGTCTAGATGAACTATGGAGACTATGGTATAGAAATTTATTTGGTATGAGGATCTGAGATCTCTGATCTGATCTTATGTCTGTTGTTATGGGTTTGCTTTATTGTTCTTTTTGGTGTTAATCTCTGAACTGGGAAGTCTCTGTAGCTTTTTGTCCCCCACCTTTTTTTGTGTGAGGGAGGTACACTGAAGAATGAAGAGGTTCATAAACTTAGAAAGGAGAGCTTTATTTATCATAAGGGTTATAGCCTGCAGGGTGACCACTGTGACAGGCTGGGAAGCATAGCCTTTTGTGAGAAGCTTGAAACAGATACTTTGAGGGAGGGGCAAAGGGAACAGAAATTTATACTGAGCAGAGTGGCCAAATATACATATTCAGTAAGCTGTGGGAGGAGTTATGAATATTTATGAAAGGAGAACCGTGTGTATGTGCATTAAACTTCATTCCCCTTCAAGCCCCTTCATGGGTCCCACATATAAAAAATGGCAATGCTAGCATCATCTGAGGGTCATGATCCGAGGGTGGAGTTTTTGGCCCTCTGATGTCAAAGGTGGAGCAGAGGACACGAAAACCCTTACTGCTTATTCTTGGTAGACTGGCCAGAACCACTTCATGGTTGGTTATCAGGCAAATGGTCTCTTATCAGGCAAAAAAGAAGGGGTAGTGTCAGGTAGTTGGTTGATATCAGTTGTGGAATCTTTTGAAAGGGCTGGTTTTTGTTAAGTCCCTAGGGAAGAAAGCCTAATCATGGTTAAGGGGGTGGGGTATAATGAGGTTGTCTGACCCTAAGTCCTATCATGGCTGAGAACTCAGTTTTCAAGGTTACTCTGGGGTCCCCTTGGCCAAGAGATGGTCTCTTCAGTCAGTTGAAGGGCTTTGAAGATTATTTTTAGTCTATAGTAAACATCTAAGGAAATGAAATTTTAAGTTTAAAATTGCAGCTTCAGTAGGCTTTGGGAGGTCTGTGAACCCCTTCAAATTACATATAAAATTGTGTATGTGTATATACATATGTACACATGTGTTTGCTGAATAATGAAAATGCATAGTTTTTCGCAGATTTTCAAAAAGGATTCCTAATGGAAAAAAAAGAAAAAAGGGCTTAAAAGCACTGGTGTAGAGTATCAAGGGGTATGGAGAGATTATCTTCTTTACTTAAAGGCTAACTTGAGAAGTTCTAATGTCAGGTACTAGACTTTTCAAAATTGATTTGACCTGTACCTAGTGTTGCACCATGTCATATATTTACCAATTAGGAGACCCACAGTCAGGGCCACTGTGTAGGGTTTTGCCTCACTGCATAAAAGCTTCTGGATAATGGAGTAAGTGGGAGCTGAAATCTGATTCTCTAATTTATTCTAGGGGGAGGGGTGCTTTTTCTAATTTGCTTAAAGAGAACTGTGAAGACTAGTGGTAACTATATCTAATAGTAGACTATAGATAGCTCCAGCCATTTGCTGAAAGCCCAGAAAATAACTTTCAGTGAGTTAATTTTTGTTCAAAAAATAATTTTTTGCCAAAGATTTTTATTTGTTACCTGGCTTTAGTGACATTAATTAGATGTTGAAAAATTACGGGGATCATTTGGAGCTTTTTACATCACCAAGCAATTAATAGATATTTTCAATCCCTGTATACTTCAACAGCCCTTACCCTTAATCCAGCTACAGATTCTAAAGAATTTCCAGTTGTAAGTTTATCCTATTTCCAAAACCATTCTTTGGTTGACAGTACAGTAGATGCTGAGTATTAACCATGGGTGGTGAACATCTGTAAATTTGGCAGAGGCCTGTCTTTCCACACTCTTTCCACCAAGAGCCCTTTGTTTATTCCCACTGTATCTGGAAGCCTCTTTGGAGCTTCACTTTATGTATTTGGGGTTTTTTCCTCTGTTCCTAGGCCTCCTTTTCTCAATTGACAAAATAGTTCTAAAGCTCCTTCTTTTCCTTCCTCTACCTAAACGGGCCTCTATAAACACCGAATTAGGAACTGCGTTATAGCATGATTCTCTTTGGGGAGTATTCTTCCTTATTTTCCCTGTGAACCTTCTTTTTGATTATCAAAGTCGGGTGGGAACTGATCCGCTTAGAAACTGTAATCGTTCTACTGATTGTTGTTCTCTGAGGCCAGTTCAACAGCATGGTTAGTCCCGTTAGCCCTGTCCACTATATTGCTGTTTACTCTGCTTCCCTGACCTGCCCTGCTACTCCTGTATTTCAGCAGCCCTCTCTGCTAGGGTAACATAGGTCATGAATATGTGTAAAGTTTATATATTCTAAGTCTAGTTGTCTGAAATGAAAATATGGATTGTCATTAGGCTAGGGAATTTGATTATCTTGTTTTTATTGGCAATGTTTAGCATTCTGAAAAGTTGTGTGTATAAGGAATAATTTACCGTTAGAGTAATTGCTTATGTAAAAGTCTGTTTGTTCCAAAACATTCTAGTCATTTCAGTTGCATCTACTTTGAAAAATTTGAAGTTTCTGATGAACAGTCTCCTTAGTGAAAGTATTTCTCAATATGAACACATATTTTTCAATGGTGTAATACCACATGACTTTGATTTGTGTCTCCTCAAAGAATTTTGATTTTGATTCTACTTTTCCTCTTTTATTCTGTTCTTGCTATGCAGATATCTTGCTATTGTTAGTCATGCCCCCTCCCACCCTGCATGTTATTGTTAAGTCAGTAACAATTGACTTCTTACTTGGAGTCACATACTCTTGTTACATGTGGTCTGTTTTAGTAACATTATGTTTTCACATGTTATGTTAGCTCAGAAGTCTAGCTTTCACTGTTTTCTATAGATCATTCGAAACTAATCAAAGATGATAATATTTTCTTGCTAACTCAGCAGGATGAAGTTTTTAATCTCAGGAATGGCAAACATTTTATTAGAGTTTCAGAATTTTTTTTCTAATAGGAGAAAAATATCTTTAGGAGAAAAAAAGCCAGTAAAGCCTGAAAATACTATGTTAACAAATTTTATCTTTTCTTGTGAGCTTGAAATCTCAGCTGTGTTTAGAAGCAGAGTGAAGATGGTAAATGGTAGTGCATCCTTTTTTATTTGGTATTGATTATCCAGAAATCTTTCAATGATTGCTGGTGAAATCAAGAATAAAAATTATTTTATTTGAAATTAAAGTAGAGAATAATAGAATTATATGGAACTACAAGATAATTTATTCTGTATCTCTAGCATATAAATTTTAATCTGTATTAGTTTCATAAGAGAAACAGAACAAATTATATATATAATTATATAAGTTATTTATGTAAGTTATATGAATATATAAAAAAGAATTGCTGGGAATTGGTTTGCATGATTGTGGGGTGCTGCTAGGCAAGTTTGAAATCCATGAGGCAGGTCTTCAAGAAGGACAAGCTGAACTCTTGGGCAGAAGCTCAAGCTGTCATCCACAGTTGGAATTTATTGTTCTTCATGGAAGCTTCAATTCTGCTCATATTTATTTATTATTTATTTATTTATTTTTCAGAGACAGGAGTCTCACTATATTGCCCAAGCTGGTCTTGAACTCCTGGCTTAAAGTGATCCTCCCGTCTCAGCCTCTCATGTAGCTGGGATTATAGGTGTGAGCCAGTGTACTTGGCTTTCAATTCTGCTCTTAAAGGCTATTAAACTGATTGAATCAGGATTACCCTGATTATCTAGGATAATTTCCCTTAAAGTAAACTGATTATAGACTTTACTCATTTACAAAATAATTTCACAGCAACATCTAGATTAGTATTTGATTGAATGACTGGATTCTATATTCTAGCTAAGCTGACTCATAAAACTGACCATCACAGTGTTCTGGTACCAATACTATTCTTTAAGCATAATGTTTTTCTTTGTTGGTTTTGAACTGTATAAACACTTATTGAAATATCATATTTTAAAGGTGATGAGCTAGTCTCGATTTTTACTGTTAATAACAAAAGTGATGCAGTAAATATATTGTAATAACCCTTTATATTATTTTAAGACATTCATGATTCACCTCTTTCTCTAAATTTAAACAAAAAAACCACTACTTTAAAAAACTTTATTTTACTTCCCCCTACTCCTTATTCAACTCCTTTATTCTTGCTTAAATGTGTGTTCTCTTCAGTTTCTTAGTGTTAACTTTGTATTAGCCTGTTTTCACACTGCTGATAAAGACATACCCAAAACTAGGTAATTTGTACAGGAAAAACGTTTAATGGACTTACAGTTCCACGTGGCTGGTGGGGCCTCACATTCATGGTGGAAGGCAAGGAGGAGCAAGTCACGTCTTACATGGATAGCAGCAGGCCAAAAAAAGAGAACTTGTGCAAGGAAACTCCCCCTTATAGAACCATCAGATCTCATGAGACTTATTAATTATCACAAGAACAGCATGGGAAAGACCTCCCCTGTGATTCAATTACCTCCCACTGGGTCCCTCCCACAACACGTGAGAATTCAAGATGAGATTTGGGTGGGAACACAGCCAAGCCCTGTCAAACCTAAAACACACAGTTCAGGCTAGAGACGCTACATCATACTTTTGCTTCCTCAAATCTTTGTTAGAAGTAAGACTATTTCACAATTATTGTATATTCTACTCTTTAAAGTTCATCTTAGCATCACATTATTTTTTATAAATAATGCTACTACATTGATGATTTATATTTGGCACATTATGATTCCTAAATGCTTTATTCTGTGAAACTATATTGTTTTTATAACATGTTATTTTTAAACAGTGGTCCAGAGATTTCAGAATGAAGACTCTCTAAAGATTTCTTTAAAAAAATGGTTCATATTGGAAATATTGTTTTGGTATACACTCCATTATCTCTGGGAGAAACTTTGATGTTCTGCTGAGGATTATGGCTCAGCAGTATTAAAACTATGCTTAATAGTTCCATAGAATCTTGAAGCTTTGGCAAACACTTGTTTATGATGTTTTGAAGGGGTTTCCAGAAACCTGAAAAATTTTAGTTGTGCCAGATACTTTGGAAATCTCTTATAGATATGAAGAATTATGAATATCCAATTTAAAATGGTTAATTAATGGAATATGCACATTTTAATAAATTATTTTGTTTTTGTTTTACATGAAAGTCAGTGCTACTGAGTTATACTGAGTTTATAACGTGGGCATGTAATTTTCTACACAGGACAGGGCTCTGTTCAGTGACTGTGGTCATATGAGATTCTTCATTTCTAATGGCCACATCATGCCTTTGCTAAAGTTAATTCATCTAACAGTTATCTTTATATTACATGCCTATATGTTGTAGGTGACATTCTAGACACCTGTGATGCAGTACACCTGTGTGCACTAGGCTCCTGTGATGTACTACTGTGATGCACCTGTGTGCAACTACTGATGCACTGCTAGGCACCTGTGATGAGACCCACCTCATTCCTGCCATCATAAAATATATTATCTGATAGGAAAAAAGATATCACAGTAGGCCCCCCTTTTCCTCAGGGGATATGTTCCAAGAAGGCCCCCAGCACCCCCAGTGGATGTCTAAAACTGAGGATTGTACCGAATCTGATTCTTATCAGTCAGAACGTGTTTCTTCTGTTTATGTCTTCTACTCACAAATTTAATGCCTTTTCCATCTTAACTAGACACTTCTCTTGCAATGTGGTCATAATTTTGTAGTTTGAGGCGTGAGAGCAAAACTGGTATGATTTTCTTTTTTCTTCACAATTTCACGAATAGAAAATTTCTTACCATGTATCTTAACAACTGGTTTTTTTTCTTTCCTTATCAAGTCGAGAACTTTCACCTTTTCACTTGAAGGAAGCACTTTTCGTCTTCTTTTTTTTGTTGTTGTTTTTGAGACAGTCTTGCTCTGTTGCCCAGGCTGGAGTGCAGTGGCAGGATCTCGGCTCACTACAAGCTCTGCCTCCCGGGTTCATGCCATTCTCCTGCCTCAGCCATCGAGTAGCTGGGACTACAGGCACCTGCCACCACGCCTGGCTAATTTTTTTTTTTTTTTCATATTTTTAGTAGAGACAAGGTTTCACTGTGTTAGCCAGGGTGGTCTCCTGACCTCGTGATCCGCCTGCCTCCCAAAGTGCTGGGATTACAGGCGTGAGCTACCGTGCCCGGCCACGTCTTCTTTTTGGCATATATTAATTGCTGGTGAGAGATTTCACTGTGCTACTCAGAATGGCATGCAATTTAAAACTTAGGAATTTTTTATTTCTAGAATATTCCATTTAAAATGTTTGGAAACTGCAGAAAGTAAAACCATGGATAAGGTGGAGTTACTGATGATGCTGGCTGGACCAAAATAAGAATGCATACAAATTATTAGAGTTGAAACAAGTGCTACAAAACAAAATTAAAATGTAGAATAGAGTATGTTGTAGGACAGCAAATCGATGTTGGGGGGATGAGAGAAGTGTCCCTTGAGGAAGTCACATTTAACTGAGCCCTGAATAATGAGTAATAATAAAAGCTAACAATCAGCTATTGCTTGTTATGTGCCACACACTATTCTAGGCCTTTATTATATATTAACTCATTTCAACCTCACAACAACCCTGTGAGGCAGGTGGCTATTCTTCTCTTCATCTTACAGAAAAAATCTGGCATAGAGAGGTTAGAAAATTTCCCTGAGGTCACATAGTTAATTAGTAGCAAAACTGGGATTTGGATCCCAGACAAAATAGTCTATACTCTTAACCACTATGTGGGAAAGATCATTTCAGGCAATAAGAACCCATGTGTAAGTGTCCTAAGGCAGGAGGCCAGAAGGAAGATCAGTGTGATGGAAGTTGGTAAACTAAGATAAAATAATATAGATGAAGCTAGAGAGGGAGTTTCATATTCAGACTTCTTATGATTTTATCAGTTGGGCTTTAGTGTGAAAATATGTTGGAAAGAAATAGGAATTAATGTGAGAAGATCAGTTAAAAGATTGTTGTAGTTATCTAATGAGATGATGCTGGCTGGGCCCAGATTGTGGCAGATGGAGCAAACTATATAGATTCTAGAAATGTTTGAGAAGTAAAAATAACAGGACTCTGTTTATTTGGATTTGAGAAGGGGAGATTACTGTTTAGTTGCTAGCTAGAGCAGTTGACTGGATAGTGATATCATTTACTGAAACAGTATTAAAGGGGACAGACTTTAACAGTAAATTATAAGTTGAAGTTTGGTTGAGTTTCAGGTGACTTTTATATTAAAGCCTATAATATAGGCTATAGAAGCCTGCAGTTCAGAAGAGAGTTTTGGGCTTGCAATAAAATCTCAGAGTTTTTCAGCCTTGGGAATAGATGAGAAAACAGTAAAAAAGACCCAGAATCAAAGGTGGAGGAACTGGTAGCATTTCAATTTGGGTAGAAGAGGTAAAGATTTACAGAGGATACTGAGGGGAGGGAGCCAGATAAATGTAAGGAAAATGGACAAAACGTGGTAAGATGAAAAGCAAAGGAATGCAGCTTCTTCTTTTGGTTTTCTGATAATGTTGCCTGCTTTTTTCTTCTGGAATTTCACTGTTGTACTAAATTGCTTGGAGCTTACCTTTGCATACGCTTTTCTTTGTTAAGTAAGTAACTTGACCTTTTATTGCATGGTTTCCTTTTCTTTTTCTTTTTTTCTCATTAAGTGTTCTTTTAAAGTTAATTTTCTTTAAATTCCTGTTAAATATTCCTGCTCACCTCTCTCTCTAGCTTCATCATTTGCTATTTCATTTTATTCCTTTTCCTCTACAATTGGAATCTTTTATCTGAAAATGATAATATTCACTTATAGCATTTTTAATTTTTGTGTTTCAGATCATTCTGTATAATCCCATTTCACTAGACAGAGTAAACTTAGATAAGATCCAAGATAATACTTTGCTCCTGCACTTGACATGTCTGCCTGAACACAATTGTCCATCTCTACTTCCCCATTCAAGACCATGCCTTAATCCAATCATTACTGAACTATTTTATATACTAGATTTCTTACTCTGAACTTCCTCTTTCCTATCTTCTTCTGTCTCTTTTTTCTACCTTGGCTACTTTTTCATTTTCACCAAACCTTCATTTTACAGTTATCATTATTCGCAGTTTCTTTGCACCTTTACCTTATCTAGTCTCAGTCTTTGTGTTTTGTGTTAAACTTATTCTTTATTTTACTTAGAATCTGTTTTGCATAGATACTGACAACACTCCAACTTCTTTTGAACCAAACTCCTCAAATAACCTTGTCAAATCCCCAAAAGCTTGTAAAGCCAGTTGTACTTTTCTTTTATTCCTCTTAGATTCATTATCAAGCATCATGTTAGTGACTTGGAATAATGGATGAGGCAAAAAAAAGTATAGGCTGGCCCTTAGAACTGTGCCATCTTGATCAGTTGATCTGTTGGAAAATAAAAATGACATCATTAATGTTGATCATGTCTACCACTGTTTTATAATATTTAATCTCAACTGTTGTTCAGTTGACCCTTGAACAACATGGGTTTGGACTGCACACATCCACTTAAATATGCATTTTTTTCCCAATGAATTTATATTGGAAAATTCTTTGGAGATTTTTGACAATTTGAAAAAACTCATAGATGAACCATGTAGCCTAGAAATATAGGAAAAAATAAGAAAAAAAGGTATGTCATGAATCCATAAAATAAATGTAGATACTGTTCTGTTTATGTGTTGTCAATAAGGCTTCAAGTCAAGAGTAGGCAAATTAGTAGTTAAGTTTTGGGACAGTCAAAAGTTATAGGTGATTTTTGACCATTTAGGGGGTTGGCACCTTTAAGAACCCCCTGCGTTGTTCAAGGGTTAACAATAATTCTAGGTTGAATTTCTTTCTCTATAGTTATGATTCAGATCATTTCTACTTTTTTTCAAGTTTCTGAATGCAATTTCAAAGGTCTGTGTTTAAAACCAGAGTGTCAAGCAATCTGTACCTAGCTCCTTTTCCCTTCTTTCAAAATTCTTTATATATTCATCTAATCTTTTACTTCTTTCTTTCAATGTGTGTCAGAAGAAGGGTGAGTTATTTTTTTCCCCAAGGACAGTCTTTCCACCTATTTTTCCTGACGTATGTAAGAAAAACTCTAGAGGAAGAAAAATACAAGAGAAAAAAATAGTTATTGTTTTATTAGATGTTTATTATCCTATATACTTGGTAATAATGTAGTTAATATAGAGTTTGAAAGGCTCTTTTAAAATATTGTTATGGGTGTTATATATTAATATCATCAGTGGAGAGTATTATTTTGTTTTTAACATGTTGTATTGATAAAATATAACATGGGTTTGCTTTGTTTTTCTCAGAACGACTAGTGGTCGTGGCTGAACATTGTGAACGTAGTCTGGAAGACTTGCTTCGAGAAAGGAAACCTGTGAGGTACTGTATAGTATCAGAACAATTAAATGAAAAGCAGAACTTGGCAAACAAAAAGGCATTTTGTTTAAACTGCAGGGGTTTGGTTTCTTTTGTTACTTGTTTAATGATAAAGGTAGGTGCAAATTTTCACTTGAGAAAATTTAATTTACAGATTACATATGAATTCAACATTAACATAGTCCAGTGTTCATCTTTTGTGAGGTAGGCATTCTCTGAAATATTTCACAAAAAATTCTTCAAAAGGGGATATATGAAAATTTGAAACCTTCTTAGTACTAAGCATTTCACTAGCTGAGATTAAGATTATTTTCCTGGCCAGGCGTGGTGGCTCACGCCTGTAATGCCAGCACTTTGGGAGGCCGAGGCGGGCGGATCACAAGGTCAGGAGATCGAGACCATCCTGGCTAACACGGTGAAACCCTGTCTCTACTAAAAATACAAAAAATTAGCTGGACGTGGTGGTGGGCACCTGTAGTCCCAGCTACTCAGGAGGCTGAGAAAGGAGAATGGCGTGAACCCAGGAGGCGGAGCTTACGGTGAGCCGAGATTGCACCACCGCACTCCTGCCTGGGTGACAGAGCGAGACTCCATGTCAAAAAAAAAAAAAAGATTATTTTCCTGTATTTTTAGTATAAGAGTGGGGCTTCACTATGTTGGCCAGGCTGGTCTCAAACTCCTGGCCTTGTGATCCACCCGCCTCACCCTCCCAAAGTGGTGGGATTACAGGCTTGAGCCACCACAGTGGGCATGGTGGTGCGTGCCTGTAATCCCAGCTACCCAGGATGCTGAGGCAGGAGAATTGCTTGAACCCGCGGGGCGGAGGTTGTGGTGAGCCGCGATGCGCCACTGCACTCCAGCCTGGGCAAAAGAGCGCGACTCCATCTCAAAAAAAAAAAAGATTATTTTCCTGAAAGGATCACATTGTAACTTCAAATAGGATACTTGTATTCCTAGGGACACAGTGAACTGTGTTAAATAAAGGTCACATTAAAGAGTAGGGAGAAATATTAATCATAGCTTGGATAGAATTTAATGATACAGTTTAAATGCAATTATTTCAAAGACTCAATAAATTTACTCTCTTGGCAAGGAAAGTATGTGGTCTAAACTTTTATTAGAAATATACTATTAAATGAACTTCTTCACAGATTTCCCGAAGTGACCTTAAAATTATCAAAAATCTTTCTTAATGTATAAATCAAGTTGTATTAAACCAATAAAACATCTTGCCACGAGTGTTTATAGATTTATAATTATCCATCCTAGTTTTGAAAAATATTGTTACTCTGACTGGTTAATAATTTTCCATTACCACAATATTCTAGATGAAAAATCTTTTTCAAGGGAAGAAAAGCATTTATCTTAATAAATGGTAGTAATTTGATAGAAGCAAAACAAATAAATTGAATAAAAGTGCTATTATTGCTCCTTTAAATGATTTGGTTTTGGGTAGCCTCTAGAATGAAAAATGCAGATATCATGTATATACCAGCAGTCCCCAAACTTTTTGGCACCAGGGACTAGTTTTGTGGAAGACAGGTTTTCCATGGATGGAGGGTGGAGGGATGATTTTGGGATGATACAAGCGCATTACATTTACTGTGTACTTTATTTCTATTTTTATTATATTGTAATATATAATGAAGTAATTATATAACTCACCATAATGTAGAGTCAGTGGGATCCCTGAGCTTGCTTTCCTGCAACTAGAAGGTTCTATGTGGGGATGATGGGAGACAGTGACACCCAAAGTCTGTTGCTTATGTTCATTCTGCTCTGTAATCTCGTTTTGGTTGCTGTCACTGCAGAAAACCCTGCTTCACAAAGATAGGATGTTGGAAATGGAAGCAGGCTGAAAAGGAGTGATTTTGTGCCAATCTTGGGATATTCTGTCTTGACTTTAATCTAGAATGTATGGAGATTTGATATTGTCTAGTTGATCCTCTTCTAGCACAGATGAAGTCAATTCACCTGGTTTATTCACAAATGGGTTGCGGATCTATTCCTTCCCATTCAGGGGTCCTTTGTGGTTGGGAAGTAATGCTTAAACTCTTTTGAAAGCTGAGATAGGTGATCTGCACCAGTTGGGAGAAAGAAGGCCCTGGCTCAGCCTCTTTCAAAATCTCTGCTAATGTTTGAAACATGTCAGAAATCCCAGTGTTCACTTGCCACCCCCATAATTCCAGTTTGGCTTTGAATGCAGCCACTTTATCTGCGAACTTGAACAGAGTTGTTCTCTCCTGAAGTGACAGATTGAGTTTGTTGAGCAGGTTGAATATGTCACATAAGGAAGCAAGCTTTGTGACCTATTCTGTGTCACTGAAATGTGCTGCCAGTGGTGACTATTTTTCTAAAAGAAATCTCTGGAACAGCTCTCATAACTCAAAACTCTGGCCAGTGATCCACCTTTAGAAAGCCACCTACTTCTGTGTTTAAGAGAAGACGTGTATGCTCTGTGTCCATCTCCTCACAGAGCTGCATGAACAGATATGAGTTAAGGGCATGTACTTTTTTTTTTTTTTTTGAGATGGAGTCTTGCTCTGTCGCCCAGGCTGGAGTGCAGTGGCGTGATCTTGGCTCACTGCAAGCTCCTCCTCCCGGGTTCATGCCATTCTCCTGCCTCAGCCTTTTGAGTAGCTGGGACTACAGGCGCCCACCACCATGCCTTGCTAATTTTTTTATTTTTAATAGAGACAGGGTTTCACCGTGTTAGCCAGGATGATCTCGATCTCCTGACCTCATGATCCACGCACCTCAGCCTCCCAAAGTGCTGGGATTACAAGTGTCAGCCACCGCGCCCAGCCAAGGGCATATACTTTAATGAGGTTGATAATTTTAATCATATCCTGCAAAACGTTGTTAAGTTCAGGTGACATTTTTCAGGTAGCCGGCATTTCTGTATGGATGGCACAGTGCATAGACTCACATTTAGAAGCAACCTTTTTGACCTGAGAAGTGAAACCAGAAAGCCGTCCAGTCATGGTGGCCGCTGTGTCTGCATATACCGATGTAAAGTGACCAATTCAGTTTCTCTGATATTTAATCATTCAAAGACTTGAATAGTTCTGCAGCTTTGGTGTTTATTAGCAACAAAAGTGCACATAAATATCCTCATGCATATCCTCCTGAAAAATATATTGCACAAAAGCAAGCATTGTTGCATTGTTGTCAACATCGGTCAACTCATCAGTCTGAATTGTGTACCATGGTGACTCATTGATTCTAGCAATTGTGCCTCAATATCCTCTGTTATTTCATCAGTTTGTCTAGTTATGGTGCTAGTCGAAAGAGGAACACGTGCTACCTTTTGATCGGCATCCTCTCCTAAAATTTCATGACAGATGTCTTTAGCAGCAGGCAGGATCAAATCTTCACCGATAGTAAAGGGCTTCTTAGCTTTAGCTATGTAGTTAGTCGCTAAGAATGATGCTCTTAGTGTCAACACGTTTGATGAAGTGGTGGCTTTCAGTAATTACTTCAGTTCTTCGTGTTCATGTTTTTTTCTTTTGAAAAACTGCGAAGACTTGTCTTTTAATCAGTCTGCTTGGTCTCCATGTGACAAAGCAGTTTTGAAGGTTTTATGGCTTCATTGGATAGCTGGTCGCCACATAGCATACAAAGCATACTTGGAGAATGTGAATCATCTGTTACAATGAACCTATAATTTAAGTAGGACTGTTGGTATTTTCTTTTAAATGAAGCTTTCTTTTTGTTGGCAGTCTTAGAGTCTTCTGCTGTCTCATCATGGGGTCTTTCCCCCTTTTTAAAGAAGGTCTCCAGTGATGTTTGGTTTTTACTCATTGTGACTAGGGGTTAGCTTGTAGGCTTATCAAAACTGTGACCAAGACAAGTGTGCAGTGTGGGAAGGAGGTGCAGATGGAAGAGGTAAATAAAATAATAGGCAGGCCACGTGCAGACTAAAATAAATGTTGCATTTTGACTTAAAGCCTGCCACCAGATGCAGCTGTACACTTGAAGTACATCAACTCACTTGCCACTCAAAAGCCTACCACCAGATACAGCTTAATTGTCACTTGCCTCTCACTGATAGGGTTTTGATGAGTCTGCAAGTAATTGATTTATTATGGTCTCTGTGCAGTCAAACCTCTCTATTAATGTTAATCTGTATATGCAGCCACTCCCCAGCGCTAGCATCACTGCCTCAGCTCCACCTCAGATGATCAGGCGTTAGATTCTTATAAGGAGCCCGCAACCCTGATCACTCGCATGCATGGTTCACAGTAGGGTTCGTGCTCCTATGAGAATCAGTGCTGCTGCTGATCTGACAGGAGGCAGAGAGCTCAGGTGGTAATGTAGCGATGGGGAGCAACTGTAAATACAGATGGAGCTTTGCTGGCTTGCCTGCTGCACACCTCTTGCTGCGCAGTCCTAGGTACAGGGTCCAGGACTAGTCCATGGTGGGGGGGTTGGGAACCCCTGTTGTACACTATAGCCTTACATCCTTCCTTAGAAAAGTCTAATCTGACTATAGGTAAGAAAAATAACTTTTATATGTATTTAGAAATAGTTTAACCTTATTTAGTAAATGTGTTTTTATAGTTATAATTTTTGTAATGTCACTAATCTTTGATTTTTATTTAAAAGAATATATTATTCCGGCCGGGTGTGGTGGCTCATGCCTGTAATCCCAGCACTTTGGGAGGCCAAGGTGGGCGGATCACGAGGTCAGGAGATCGAGACCATCTGGCTAACATGGTGAAACCCTGTCTCTACTAAAAATACAAAAAATTAACCAGGCGTGGTGGCAGGCGCCTGTAGTCCCAGCTACCCAGGAGGCTGAGGCAGGAGAATGGCGTGAACCCGGGAGGCGGAGATTGCAGTGAGCCGAGATCACGCCACTGCACTCCAGCCTGGGCAACAGAGTGAAACTCCATCTCTAAATAAATAAATAAATAAAATAATATATTATTCCTTGCTCACTAGTTCAAATTTACAGTCTCCTGCTGCTAAAAAGCAATTTTCTTTAAAAGCTAGTTGACATTAAAATTGAAAACCAATTATGCCCACAACTTTAGGTAAGAAAAAATATTTTAGTTGAGCCTGGGTTAAATTTGTGTAAAGATTTACAATGCAATATGTATGATGAAAATATGCATTTACAATGCAATATGTGTGATGCAATATGCCCTAACTAGTTAGGCATCCTTGGACAAGTCTCTTAATCATTTTCCTTATCTGTAAAACAAGGAGTTTTACTGATTGAGAGATCATTGTAGCACAAGTTATTCTTAACTTAATGTTTTATTTAATATGCATCATATCTGATAATACATCAATCGTCTTTTTTTTTTTCTTTTTTTTTTTTGAGACAGAGTCTCGCTCTGTCACCCAGGCTGGAGTGCAGTGGCATGATCTCGGCTCACTGCAACCTCTGCCTCCCGGGTTCAAGTGATTCTTCTGTCTCAGCCTCCTGAGCAGCTGGGACTACAGGCATGCCCACCATGCCTGGGTAATTTTTGTATTTTTAGTAGAGATGGGGTTTCACCATATTGGCCAGGCTGGTCTCGAACTCCTGACCTCATGATCTGCCCGCCTCAGCCTCTCAAAGTGCTGGGATTACAGGCATGAGCCACCGCGCCTGGCTGATCAATTGTCTTCATAAATATAATTTGTTATATTTTTATAGACTAATATGTTAACCTACTATTGCTCTTTGTTTAAATGGTAGATTTCTTGACAGAAGAACCTATGGCAAGTCTACATTTAAAATTTCAATGCTATAAAAAAGGCTAAATTATTAATAGAAACATCTATTTTATGATCCAGCAATTCCAGTCCTAGTTATAAGGCCTCCTTAAATTTTGTACTGTAGTACTTCATTTGCCTCACTCTAGTCCCAGCTCTGTCTAGGTATTTATCCAAGAGAACAGAAAAATACATGTCCACCTATGCAAAAAGATTTGCACTAGAATATTCCCAGAAACATTCTTCATTATAGCTCTAAACTGGGTAGAACTCAAATGTCCATGGACAGGAGAATGCATAAACATGGTACAGATTGATAATTCTTTATCCATAATGTTTGGGACCAGAAGTGTTTCGGATTTGGGATTTGTTTTTCCCAGATTTTGGAGTATTTGCATTTACATAGTGAGCTATGTTGTAGATGGGACTTAAGTGTAAACACGAACTTCATTTATGTTTGAATGATAGCTTATACACATAGCCTGGGTGTAATTTTATGTAATACTTTAAATAATTTTGTGCATGAAGCAAAGTTTACACTAAATACTTATGTGTGGAATTTTCTACTTGTGGTATCATATTGTTGCCCAAAAAATTTTGGATTTTGGAACATTTTGGATTGCAGATTTTCAGATTAGGGATGCTCAACCTGTTAATCAACAATGAAAAAGAAAGAGCTACTGGTACCCACAACATGTGGATTAACCTTATAAATATTACGCTGAGCAAAAGAAGCCAGACATAGAAGATTATCGGTATTTATCTTCGGTGATAGAAAAACAGTGCTTTATTCTGTTAGAGAGTAAGGGGTAATTCAAGAACTGATTCAAAATGGCCTTGAGGGAACTTTTTAAGGGGATGAACATTTTTGTATCTTGATCAGATATTACCTATATGGTGTATGTGTGTCATAACTAAATGAAATATGCACTGAAAATGTATAATATATGCATTTTACCTATGTAAATTATACCTTAATTTAATTTTTTTTTTTGAGACGGAGTCTCGCTTTGTCGCCCCGGCTGGAGTGCGGTGGTACGATCTCAGCTCACTGCAAGCTTCACCTCCCAGGTTCAAGTGATTCTCCTGTCTCAGCCTCCTGAGTAGCTGGGACTACAGGCATACACCGCCATGCCTGGCTAATTTTTTGTATTTTAGTACAGACAGGGTTGCACCGTGTTGCCCAGGCTGGTCGCGAACTCCTGAGCTCAGGCAGTCTGCCTGCCTCGGCCTCCCAGAGTTCTGGGATTGCATACCTTAATTTTTTTTTTTTTTTTTTTTAAGAAAGGGTTGTTGAGTTATTCACTTGGCTTGAGTTCTCAATCCCTCATAGAGAAACAGTATTGTGTTGTTAATGAAGATGTTTGAGCCACTGACTTTTTTAATTTTTTGGTTTTTAGAAGAAAGAGTATGAATTAGTTATTGCTTAACAAGTTACCTCAACACTTTGTGGCTTAAAACAACAATAAAAATTTATTAACTCATATAATTCCTTTGGATCAGAACATAGGAATAGCATAACTAGATGGTTCTAGCTCAAGGTCTCACAAGATTTCAGTCAAGATAACAGCTGGACCTCCAGTCATCTGTTATAAAAGCTTTTCTGGAGTTGGGTGATCTGTTTCTAAGATGGTTTACTTATAAAGAAGGTGCTAGTTGTTGACAAGAGGCTTAATTCTTTTCTACATTGAGGGCCTTTCCACAGGCCTCTTGACATGCTCAAAGCATGGTGGTTGGCTTCTCTCAGAGTGAACAATCTAAGGAAAGAAAACAAGGTGGAAGCTACAGTGGCTTTGGTAACCTAGTGTCAACAAACACACACTGTTATTCCTGCAATGCAATATCCTGTTAGTTTACACAGGTCAGCCATTAACTGTATTCTGTGTTGGAGAGGATTGCTCAAGAATGCACATGTGAATTTCATGAGTCATGGCTCATTGGGGGCCATCCTGGAGGCTGACTACCACAAATGTCTTAGAGACCATACAAATACTTTTGAAAAAACACTCCTACAAAACAGGAGTGACATGCTAAATCAATATTAATGCTAACTGAAAAATATCTGGAATTCTTAAAATTATTCATATTTGTTTAAAGTATTTGGGGTAGAAAAAAGAAAGGATTATACACTAAGAATAGGGGGTAGAGTATTAAGGGAATATCCAGAAGTCCCACAGGTGAAATAGGGTCTTTATGGACATAGCTATGATCAGAATTGCTATACATCCTGAAAATTGATGTTATCCATGGTCTTGTGCTCCCAAAAGTTCCAGAACACCCCGAAGTTCCAGAGGACCCCATAAGCCACAAAGAGAGCAGTCCTCTGGTCATCAGTATGGTAGTCTCTTATCTCCACATTTCCCCCTCTGCCTGTATATGGTCCTTCTTTTACTTGGTAAAGGAACTGAGGCGAAAGAAGTTGGTGATTCAAAAGATAAATTTCCGTTTTCATTGTTTTACCTCAACTCTATTCCACCCCCACCCCTCCTGCCTTTTTGTTTTTTTGAGACAGGTTCTCGCTTTGTCACCCAGGCTGCTGGAGTGCAGTAGTGCGATCACTGCTTACTGTGATCGCTGCTTACTGTAGCCTTGACCTCGCTTACTGTGATCGCTGCTTACTGTAGCCTTGACCTCCTGGGCTCAAGCGATCCTTCCACCTCAACCACCCTAGTACCTGGGACCACAGGTGTGCATCACCATACATGGCTATTTTTTTATTTTTTGTATATACAGGGGTCTCATTATGTTGCCTAGGCTGGTGTTGAACTCCTAGGCCCGAGTGATCTTCTTGCCTTAGCCTCCCAGGTGTTGGGATTACAGGCACAGGCATGAGCCACCATCCCCCAACCTTTTTTAAAAATGTTTTTGAACTTTGAATTGTATTATATAAGGATACAATCAATATTGCTTTGCCAGTATGATTAAATCATTAGCTCATGAAAAGTTTTGCATTTCTGTGCTTACCATTTTTTATCTTTGTTTGAAAGACGACAAATCTTGTGGCAATGAACATCAGTGGTTTCTTCAATGATTTTGCTTTTGTCTTCATGAGGATAAAATAGTGTAGATGGAAGCACATTCTTTGAGGATGTATATTAACATGAGTAGGATTAAATGCAAAATTTACATGATCTTTTATGCCAGTTACATTTTCTTTTTTCTTTTAAATAGAACATATAGTAGCCTTAACAGGTCTTTCCATTTTTTCCATTGAGATGTATTTAAGCATTTGTGTAAATAAAGTACTATTTTTAAATTATTCTGATAATAGACTAAAAGTCAGTGTTTTCTTTGTACATTTTGGAATATAACATTCAGTACTTACTGCCTTTTAGTAGGAATGATCCTTTTAGGTTCAGTTCCAAGTTGTTATCTGATCCATCCATCTAAATTAATTTTGCTGAGAACTATTTGACTTTTCCACATATTTGGATTACATTAGTCTCCAGTAACAGAGCAGGTATATGTGTAGAGTTGATGTACTGCAATTTTAATCAATTTTATAACCTGTTTATAGAAAGTGAGAAGATGTTCTTAAGGTTTATAAATTAGTTCTTTCCTTTACTACCAAAAGTAAGCACCTGCACCTGCAAGAAGGGCTGATGTAAACAGGAAACCTATTTAGATGGGGTTGCAACTTGACATTTGTGATTTTTACTTGTTCCTTTGTCTATAACTGTTGCAAAACCATAAGCTGCCAGTTGTCTGGTCGTAATTTGCAGTTGATTTTCTAAACATAAGCATCATTCAAAGCATATATCTTACTTGATATATATTTTGAAGAAAATTTTAAATATTTGGTAAGAAATTTAAATTTAAATTTTAAATTTTAAATCTTTGGTGGGACAGGGATCAGGGGAATGAAAACTAGGAATTTAGAGAAGAGTCTGTGTCAATTTGCTGACTTTTTTTCATGACCGATTTAATATTGAATGAAACAATATTGTACTGAAATGTCATAGTAGTAATTTGCTACTACTATGGGAATAATTACAATTTAAGCCTATCGTGAAGCTCCAGATCTCACTAGAAAATCAAACGTTCTCTCTTAGTATTAACGGCCGTAAAACCCTTTTGAGAATTTATATTATAAAAGGAGAACATAAGTTTGTTTTATGAGGTGTTATCAAGTTAGTATTTTATAGACTAATGTTATTTGTGTGGATAGTTGGCTAACCTGGTTTAAAGGAAAAAAAATATTCAACATTTTCTTTACAGTCCATTCAGGCTTTAATATAAGGAATTAATTTTGAGACAGCTGCTGTCTTTCCAGTGGCTTTTATGTTATCTGTGCCATAGTTCAATCTTGCCAGCATTTCTCTTCAGTTTAAGTTAAATGATCAAAATTATTTTTTGAAAATATAAAATTGTCAAATTAAATTCCTATAGTGATTAGGTTTCAAGAAAAAAGTACAGCATTTAGATTTGTTTGAAGTCATCTCACATTTAGTGCCTATTAATCTACCTAATGCTACCCTAAAGCAAGATTCAAGAGACTGAGAAGTGGAGAAATTTAGATCTCAACTCCTCTTTGAAATGCTTTCCAGAGAATATTTAAAAAACAGATATACCTTTATCACTGCTATCAAAGCAGGCATGAGGAAATTGTTTTTCTTTTAAGTCTAGGTGCTGTATGGGAAGTATTTCCCTTTTGTGTTAGAATTATTCAGAGCATGTACTTTTGCTTAACCTATGAAAGTATCAGCAAATGTAGCTCATGGACAGATATTCAGCAGAGTTTTGGCACTTGTAATAGAGTTTCTACATTGTGTTAAGTTTGCAGGTGAATGCAGGGTGGGCAGTAGAGCCATATTCCTTTAACAAAATGTAGTTTGTCACGTTTTTAGGGTTATGGTTTTGAAAATTTACCAGAATACCATTAGTATTGCAGAAGTTATACGTGAAGACTTTGATGGGAAGCAGACTATGTCTGCAGCTGTTTACTAGCCTGATGGAAAACATGATCTGACTTACTCAAATTAGTGAGTTTTATTTTCCCCTGTTAAAACATTGCCTACTCACTGAATGAGATACTCGAAAGAATTTGGACACATTCTGGAATGTGGTCCAGAGTTGAATAATGAGCTACAGGTTGTAGTAATCAGAAATAGATGTTAGATATTCTTATTTTATAATATAAACTGATAATGGATCTTGAGGCTTTCATATCTTTTTTACTTTTGAGGACCGTAGTTTCAAAATGCATTTGAAATTATGGTAGTGAAGTCATGTGAATTAGAGATTTATATAACTGATCTATAATTCTCTTCCTGTTTTACATGTTTTGTTTAAAGAAGGAAAATAATACCGAAAGATGCTCTACATTTAGACTTGTTATCTTGCAACAAACTTTTGCTTTCTGCCTCTCTTGTACCTTATATCTTACTAATTGCCAAGTGTTGTTAATACAAACTTGGCAATAGTTCTCACATATCTCTGTCTTATACATTCTTTAGTTTAAATCTTCACTAACAAACAGCTTGGCTATTGCATTGTAACGTTCTAACTGGTCTTCCTGGCTTCAGCCATACTTCAGTCCTCCCACTTTTTCTGCTATGTTAATATTTTTGAAGATCAGTCCATTCTCTGTTCAGAAACACTTGGAGGTTCTCCATTTCTTTTTTTTTTTCCCCCAGAGGAAAAGGCATCTTATTAGCATAGGATCTGACTTCAATCTAATTCTCTCATTAAATAACTCCAATTACTACTACTGCTTCTCTAAATATTACTCTCTAACTCTCTTATTATTTCCAATGTGCCTAAATTGTACAATTAGTTTTAATTATTCCTAATACACATTGAGGAGAGTGAATGCCAAAATTTTGAAATTTACCATAAAAACTGAAATGTCTTTTTGCTCAACCCTGTTATCTCCAATCTTTAGTGCAATGTACAGCACTTCTTCAAGTAATACATCTTACTGTTTCCCTTCGTACTCTTCTTCTCAACCAAAGCAAAAATTATATTTTCCTCCTCCAAATGCCTATATTATACTGTAACCCTCTAGTAGTAAGATATCTTTCCCCCTTCAGGCTTATAATTGTTAGTCTACAGTTATAGAATTAAGGAAGGAATTGTTTATCTTCTCTAGTTAACGTTTTTGACATACATACTGTAATTTATTTATTGTCTCCTAAAGTTGTAAGTATAAAAGTTTCCATTTAGTAAATATGTGGCAAATGGACTATTGAATGAATGAATTATACTTTTAGGTTAGTCATGGAGTTTGAATATTTCCCTATTATCTTTTTTTTTAATCATGTGCTACAATTTTATTTCTCAAACAAATGAATTTTGGTGAAAGTATGATGCAAATATGAATTTCTTTATGATATTCCTAGAAATGTTTTTTAAAAATAAAATGATATGGTTAGAGGAAATGAACTCTCAATTTCTTTTCTTGTGGCTCTGGGGAAGAATTCTTCTCTAAGCTGATAAAGGTTGTTGGCAGAATTTAGTTCCTCGCAATTAATTTTAGGACTGAGGTATCTGTTTTCTTGATTACTGTGACTGAGTGCTGCTGTCAGCTCCTAGAGGCCATCTACATTTCTTGTCATGTGTTTCTGTCTCCTGCTGCCCTGTGAAGAGATTCCCTCTGCCAAGATTGTATGTTTCCTGAGGCCTTTCCAGCCATGCAGAATTGTGAATCAATCTAACTTATTTTCTTTATAAATTACCCAGTCTTGGTATTTGTAGCAATGTGAGAACAGACTAATAAAGGGGGTCAATAAAGAAATGAAGAAGGAAATTGAAAAATTTCTTGAAACAATAATGGAATGGATAATGAAAACACAATATACCAAAACCTGTGGAATACAGCCAAAGCAGTATTAAAAGGGAAGTTAACAGCTATAATCATCTACATCAATAAAGTTAAAAAAAATCAAAGAATATAATGATGCTTATTCAAAAACTAGAAAAGCAAGAGCAAACCAATCCCAAAATTAGTAGAAGAAAAAAAATAATAAAGATCACAGCAGAAATAAATGAAATTGAAACAAATGAAATAATAGAAAATATTAGTGAAATGAAAAGTTTGTTTTGTTAAAAAAGATAAA
This sequence comes from Homo sapiens, assembly GCF_000001405.40. Classification (NCBI taxonomy): domain Eukaryota; kingdom Metazoa; phylum Chordata; class Mammalia; order Primates; family Hominidae; genus Homo; species Homo sapiens. The sequence continues at coordinate 106,282,329 of NC_000004.12, read as the reverse complement.
GAAGATTTACAAACCTTTAGATAGACTAAGAAAAAAAAGAGAAGACTCAACTAATAAAATCAGAGATGAGAAAGGAGACATCACAACTGAAACCATAGAAACTCAAAGGATCATTAGAGACTTCTATGAACAACTCTATGCCAATAAATTGGAAAATCTAGAAGAAATGGATAAATTGCTAGACACATGCAACCTACCAAGATTGAACCATGAAAAAAATCCAAAACCTGAACAGACCTATAACCAGTAATGAGATGGAAGCTGTAATAAAAAGTCTCCCAGCAAAGAAATGCCCTGGGCTAGAGGACTTTATAGCTGAATTCCGCCAAACTTTTCCAGAAAAGTTAGTGCCAATTGTACTCAAACTGTTCTGAAAAATAAAGGAGGAAGGAATTCTTCTAAGCTCATTCTACGAGGCCAATATTACCCTGATACCCAAACCAGAAAAAGACACATCAAAGAAAGAAAACTACAGGCCAATATCCCTGAAAATCATTGATGCAAAACTCCCCCACAGAATACTAGCAAACAATACATTAGAAAGATCATTCGTCATGATCAAGTGAGCTTTATCCCAGGGATGCAAGGATGGTTCAACATACGCAAATCAATTAACATGATGCATAATATCAACAGAATGAAGGACAAAAACCATATGATCCTTTCAATTCATGCTGAAAAAGCCTTTGATAAAATTCCACAACCCTTCATGGTGAAAAACCCTTAACAAACTAGGGATATAAGCAACATAATAAAAGCCATGTATGACAGGCCCACAGCTATTAATAGCATTATACTGAAGGGGGAAAAACTGAAAGCCTTTTTACTAAGATCTGGAACATGGCAAGGATACCCACTTTCACTACTGTTATTCAACATAGTACCAGAAGTCCTAGCTAGAACAATTAGATAAGAGAAAGAAATCAAGGGCATGCAAATTGGAAAGGAAAAAGTTGAATTATCCTTGTTAACAGATAATATGATCTTATATTTGGAGAAAACTAAAGACTACACCAAAAAAAAAAATGATTAGAAGTGATAAATGAATTCAGTAAAGTTGCATGATACAAAATCAAAAGATAAAAATCAGTAACATTTCTATATGCCAACAGCAAACAAGCTGAAAAAGAAATCAAGAAAATAATTCCATTTATAATAGCTACAAATAAAATAAAATACCTAGGAATTAATCATGAAGTGAAAGATCTCTACAATGAAAACTATAAAACACTGATGAAATAAAGAGGATACAAAAATGGAAATATATTTCATGTTTATGGATGGGACTAATCAATATTGTTAAAATGTTCATACTACCCAAAGCAATCTACAGATTCAATGCATTCTCTATCAAAATACCAATGACATTCTTTACAGAAATAGAAAAAACAATCCTAAAACTTATATGGAACCACAAAAGATCCAGAATAGCAACAGCTGTCATGAGCAAAAAGAATGAAACTGGAGGATTCAAATTTACTGACTTCAAATTATACTACAGAGCAACGAAAACAGCTTGGTATTTGCATAAAAATAGACACATATGCTGATGGAACACAATATAGAAACCAGAAACAAATCCTTACATTTACAATGAATTCATTTTTACCAAAGGCGTCAAGAGCATAAATTGAGGACAGGAAAGTCTTTTCAGTAAATGGTGCTGTGAAACTGGATTTCTGTATGCAGAAGAATGAAACTAGACCTCTGTCTCTCAACATAAACAAAAATTCAAATCAAAATGGATTAAAGACTTAAATCTGACCTCAAGCTATGAAACTACTACAAGGAGACATTGATGAAAACTCTCTACTAGGACATCAGTCTGGGCAAAGATTTCCTGTGTAATACCCCACAAGCATAGGCAACCAAAACAGAACTGGACAAATGGCATCACATCAAGTTAAAAAGCTTCTGCACAGCAAAGGAAACAATTTAAAAAGTGAAGAGACACTCACAGATTGGGAATAAATATTTGTAAACTGTCTGACAAGGGGCTAATAACTAGATTATATAAGGAGCTCAAATAACTTTATAGGAAAAAATCTAATATTCCAATAAAAATGGGCAAAAGATTTGAGTAGACACTTCTCACAAGAAGACATACACATGGCACACAGGCTTATGAAAAGGGGCTGAACATCATTTATCATCAGAGAAATGCAAATCAAAACTACACTAAGATATCATCTCACTCCAGTTAAAATGGCTTTAATCCAAAAGACAGACAAGAATAAATGTTGGCAAGGGTGTGGAGAAAAGGAAACCCTTTTACGCTATTGGTGGAATGTAAATTCGTATAACTGCTATGGAGAACAGTTTGGAGGTTCCTCAACAAAACTAAAAATAAGGCTATCATATGATCCAGCAGTCCCACTGCTAGGTATATACCCAAAAGAAAGGAAATCAGTATATCAAAAAGGTATCTTCACTCCCATATTTGTTGCAGCACTGTTCACAATAGCCAAGATTTGGAAGCAACCTAACTGTCCATTAACAGATGAATGGGTAAAGAAAATATGGTACATATACACAATGGAGTACTATTCAGCCATAAGAAAGAATTAGAGCCTGTCATTTGCAACCACATAGAATAAACTGAAGGTCATTTTGTTAAATGATATAAGCCAGGGACAGAAAGACAAACTTTACATGTTCTCACCTGTTTATTGGAACTCATGGAGATAGAGAGGATGGTTACCAGAGGCTGGAAAGGGTAGTGGGGCTGTGGGGATGAAATAGGGGTAGTCAATCAGTACAAAAACATAATTAGAATGAATAAGATCTGGTATTTAATAGCACAACATTGTGACTATAGTCAACAATAATTTATTGTACATCTTAAAATTACTGAAATAGTATAATTGGATTGTTTCTAATACCAATAAAGGATAAATGCTTGAGGTAATGGATAACCCATTTATCCTGATATGATTATTACACATTGTATGCCTTTATCAGAATATATCATGTACCACATAAATATTTGTATCTATTGTATATGCACAAAAATTAAAATTAAAAAAATTTTAAAAAATCATCTGTGTGTAACCTCAGTGATGAATTTTTACAAGGTTCATTTACTGACTATATTTTCTGTATTCAATCAGTTCCTTCAGTTAGCGAGGAAACTTCAGTAAATTGACTCAGGTAGGAGATTAGTAATTAGGAGTTGCCCTGACTTCAAAGGAACATTTTGAATTTTATTTTGTGGTATTGTCTATATCCATAAAAGGTATAGAAAAGGTCTATATCCATTAAATTAACTAGTCTAATTTCCTGTTGGGAATTATCTGAAGAGCAGAAACTACTGAGTTAATAAATAATAAAGTGTGAGGGTAGAAGGATTACAACTAAATAAGCACTTGGAATTAGGCTACAAGAGACTCAGAGGTTTTTTTTGTTGTTTCATTTTATTTTGTCTTTTATCTTTTCTTCTTAGCTATATTTTATTTTTTGGGTTATTGCAATAGAGTTTACATTATGCATCCTTAAAATTTATAGTGTTTTATGAGTTGATTATACCCATTCACATATAAGATAGGAATCTTATAATGACATACTTCTATTTACTCCTCTCATCTTTTGGGTAGTTTTGTTATACATTTTATATTTACTTTTACATATATTATACATTTCACCATGTATCTGTACTATTTTTGGCATTAAAGTTTCTTTAAAGACTTTGAGAAATGAAGAAAAAATTCTTTTCCATTTAATTATGTATTTGCCATTTCATGAACTCTTTTTTTTTTTTTTTTTTTTTTTTTTGAGACAGAGTTTCACTCTGTTGCCCAGGATGGAGTGCAGTGGCACGATCTGGGCTCACTGCAACCTCTGCCTCCTGGGTTCAAGCAATTCTTGTGCCTCAGCCTCCCGAATAGCTGGGATTACAGGCACGCACCACCAGGCCTGGCTAATTTTTTGTATTTTTAGTAGAGATGGGGTTTCGCCATGTTGCTTGGACTGGTCTCTAACTCCTGAGTTCAGGCAATCCACCTGCCTCGGCCTCCCGAAATGCTAGGATTACAGGCATGAGGTGCCGCGCCCAGCCCATGAACTCTTTATTTCTTTGTTTTGATTCAAGTTTGATATCCTGTCCTTTCTGCCTGAAAAACTTCATTTAGTTTTGTACTTTTTTAGATCAAGTCAGATACTTACAAATTCTCACAGATTTTGGTCATCTGAAAATGCCTTCATATTACCTTATTTACTTTTTCTTGGCTATTATTTTATGAAAAAATGCAAATAGTAAAATTGAAATAATTATGCAATATACCTAGATTTTCTAATTAACATTTTAATTAAAACTAACTTTAACTATTTTAACATTTAATTGTAGCTAAATTTAACCCATCTTTATTATTTTGATGTATTTCAAAGTAATTGCTGATATGAGGACACTTCATTCCTAAATAGTTTAGCATGTATACAACTAACTACATTTCAATATGTGTTTATGTTTTAGTTTTAGGTTAAATTTACATTTGGTGAAGTACACAAACTTTTTAAGTTTACATTTGATGTGTTTTTACAAATGTATACACTTTTATAAACTAAATGCATTAAGACTAGATTACCACCATTATCTGAGAAATTTTCCTCATGTCCCTTCCCAGTAAATCTCTGCACCTCCCCTCCTGCAGTTTCCAAGCAACTACTTTTCTGATTTTTTAATCGTGGGTTAGTTTTGTTTATTCTAGCACTTTATATTATTGGAGTCATTCAGTATATACTGTTTTGTGTAAGACTTCTTCCTTCATTCAGCATAATTTCTGAGGGTCATCCATGTGGTTTCATGTATCATAGTTCATTTGTTTTTGTTGCTGAGTTGTATTGTGTTTTATAAATATATTTGTTTTTCAATTTTCTCTTGTTGAACTTCTTGGCTATTTTCAGGGTTTTGGCTATTATGACTAAAGCTGATATAAATGCCCTGTTAAGTCTTTTTTTTGTGGCCTTCTGTTTTCATTTTTCATGAGGAAATACTTTGAGCAGAATTGTTGTGTTATAGGATATTAATCATGTGTATGACTAATATTTTATAGAAACACCATTAGACCTTTTTCCAAAATGTTATACCTTTTACATATTTTCACCAACAATATATAATTTCTCCACATCCTTTCCAGGAGTTGATGCTTTTAGTCTTTTACTTTTAGCCATTTGTACAAGGTATAAAGTAGTATTTCGTTATAGATTTACTTTGCATTCCCATGATATTCAAAGGATATTGAGTATTTTTCATGTGCTTATTAGGTATTCATATCATCACATATGTATTTGTTCAATTTTTTGTCATTTTAAGTGGATTGTTTCTCATTATTGATTTGTAGGCATTCTTTGTGTATTCTCTATATTCTACATACATATTGTTAGATTTTTTTGCAAATATTTTCTGCCTCTTTGGCTTGCCATTTTATTTTATTTATTTATTTTATTTTATTTATTTTATAATGGAGTCTCACTCTTGCCCAGGCTGGAGTGTGCCTGGAACTGCACCGCCTCCTGGGTTCAAGTGTTTCTTCTACCTCAGCCTCCTGAGTAGCTGGGATTACAGGGGCCCTCCACCACGGCCGGCCAATTTTTGTTTTTAGTAGATATGTGGTTTCATCATGTTGGTTGGCCAGGTTGGTCTCGAACTCTTGACCTCAGGTGATCAACCCACCTCAGCCTCCCAGAGTGCTGGGATTATAGGCGTGAGCCACACTGCGCCTGGCCAGGCTTGCCTATTTTTTAAAGATATATTTTGATGAGCAGAAGTTATTATTATTATTGTATTTAGAGATAGGCTCTCACTGTGTTACCCAGGCTGGTCTCGAACTTCTGGGTTCAGGCAGTCCTCCTGCCTCAGCCTCCCAAATAGCTGGGACTACAAGTGTGTGCTACTGCACCCAGCTTAAAAGTTACAGTTTGTGATCAAGTCTAATGTGTCAAATTTTTCTTCTGTGGTTACTGCTTTTTATATCCTGTTTGAGAAACCTTTGCCTACTCCGAAGTCATGAAGATATTCCCATATTTTATTCTAGAATCATTATAGTTTTCGATTTTATGTTGGCTCTATGATTCATCTCAATTTAATATTTGTATATAGTGTTGAGGTTACTTTTTCCCATACTGATATCCAGTTGCCTTACCTCTGATCGTTTAAAAGAATTTTCATTTTTGATTGCATTCCTTTGGTGCCATTATTGAAAATTAAAAGGCCATATAAGTATAGATCTGTGTCTGAGCTTTTTGTATTATTTCATTGCTCTATTTTTCTGTTCCTATGCCAGCATCATAACATCTTGATGATTATAGCTTTATAGTAAATCTTCAAGTCAGTAAATATAGATTTTCCAATTTTGTTCTTCTGTTTCAAGATTGCTTTAGCTATTTTTGGTTCTTTGTATTTTTATATAAATTTTATAGTAAGTTTCTCAATTTCTAAAATTTCTGTTGGCATCTTGATTGAGGTTGCGTTGCATGTATGGATCAATTTGGAAAGAACTGATATCTTAAAAATATTGAGTCTTCCACTAGATTAACATGTTATTTCTCTCCAAATTTTTAAGTCTTCCTTAGTATCTCTCAACAGTGTTTTATAGTTTATGATGTAGAGTTCTTGCTTTACTTTTTAAAAATTTTTTCCTAAGTAGCTTATGTTTTTGATATGATTGTAGGTAAAATTTAGTTTTATTTTCCAATTGTTTGCTGCTAATATATAGAAATATGTGAATTTTTTATATTGACACTTTCTCTGTAACTTTGCTACATTATATTTACTTATTAGTTGAAATAGTTTTTTGGTGGATTCCTTAGGATTTTCTACATAAACAACCATATCATTGTTGAATAGAAATGTTTACAACTTCTTTTTTAACCTTTATGGCTTATATTTCTTGTTCTTGACCTATTTCACTAGATAGGACCTCCACTACAATGCTGAATACAAATATTGAATGGTCAATATTTCCTAGTTTTTTATCTCAGGGAAAAATGTTAAGTATTTCACCATTATATACGGTCTTAGCTGTAAGGTTTTTATATATGCCTTTTATCAGATTGAGTTAGGTACTCTTATATTTCTAATTGGCTAAGGGTTTTTAAAATCAGAAGTATTTAATGTTGTTAAATGTGTTTTTGAATCTCTATTGAGACTATGATATGATTTTTCTTCTTTAATGAATATGTAAATTGCTTTGATTTTGAATTCTTTTTTTGTGTGTATGTGTGACAGGATCCTGCTCTGTCATCCAGGTATGATCATAGCTCACTGCAACCTCTAACTCCTGGGCTCAAGCAATCCTGCCTCACCCTCCCAAGTAGCTGGGACTACAGGCACACACCACCACACCTACATACTTTAAAGCTTTTTGGTATAGATGGGCTCTTGCTGTGTTGCCCAGGCTTGTCTTGAATTCCTGGGCTCAAGTGATCCTCTCACCTTGGCCTCCCACAGCACTGAGATTACAGGCCTGTGCTACCATGCTCAGCTGATTTTGAATTCTTAAAATTGAGATGTAATTCACCTGTTAAAAATTCATGGTTATGAAAGGGAAAATTCAGTGGCTCTTAAAGAGCCACTTCACAAGATTGTACAGCCATCACCATTGTCTAATTCTAGAACATTTTCATCACTCCAAAAAAGAATGAGCAGTCCCTCGCCTTCTCTCTCCCCACCCCTGGAAACCACTAATCCACTTACTTCCTGTATGAATTTACCTACCCTGACCTTTTCATATAAATGGAATTATACAGTATATGACTTTTTGTGCTTAGCTTCTTTCACTTAGCATAATGTTTTTAAGGTTCGTCCATGTTATAGCATGTATTAGTACTTCATTTATTTGTATTGCTAATTTTCTACTGTATGTCTTTACCATAGTTTGTTTATTCATTTATGGGTTGATGGACATTTGGATTGTTTCTACCTTTTGGCTGTTATGACTAATTTTGCCATGAACATTCATATGTATTTGATTGAATACCTGCTTTTAGTTCATATTGGAATGGAAATTTTAGGTCAAATGGTAATTCTATGTTTACCTCTTTGACAAGCCATTTCCAAAGATAGCCCTACCACTTACTATCCCACTAGCAATGCACAAAGGTTCCATTTACCTCACATCCTTACCAACATTTGTTATTTTTCATCTTTTGATTGTAGACATCCTAGTGGGTATGAAGTAGTATCTCACTGTAGTTTTCATTTGCATTTCCCTAATATAAACAATAATGTATTGTTCTTTGTCCCAAGTTCCTGGCCCAGAGCTTCAAAAACCCTTGGAATTTCCTGAGTAATAGGATTGACTTGTTATTCATGATGGCTTCTTTAAGCCATAGCTGAGTATTCTGATGAGGTGACACTTGAAAGCCTCTAGCTTCAGGATGGGGGCTATTTCGAAAGACCAAACATGTGATGGAAAGTTGGAACATTTTATTAGTTTTCTATGGCTACTGCAACAAATTAGGTAGCTTAAAATAACAGACGTTTATTCTCTCTCAGCTCTGGAGGCCAGAATTCAGAAAACTTACTGTGTTGGCAGGGTCACACCCCCTTTGGAGGCTTTCAATAAAAATCCTTCTGTTCCTTTTCCAGTTTCTGGTGCCTGTTGGCATTCCTTGGCTTCTTTGGCTTGTGGCCACATCACTTCAATCTTTGCCCCTGTCTTCACATCACCTTCTTTGTGTGTCTTCTCGTCTATGTGTCTCCCTTTTATAAGAACGCTCGACATTGAATTTTGAGCCTACCTGGATAATCCAGGATGATTTTCTCAAATGAAAACACCCTTTTTCCAAATAAGGTAACATTCAGAGGTGCCAGGGGTGAGGATGTGCACAAATCTTTTTGGGGGCCTCCTTTCAGACAAGCTAACCAGCAAATAAACAAAAGATACATACTCTAAAAATATTATTTCAAATGCAGAAAAGATTTTCTGTTAGATTTCAATTCTACTTGCTGCCCCTATAAACAAAGTTCATTTTCTTTAGAAAAGAGGTCAGGAAAAAAAGTTTTATTTTGTTGTTTCAAAGTCATTGCTGTGAGGCATATATCTCATATGATTTGTATAAAAATTTATTATGTCTAAGATTTAGATATCCCAGTTAATATCAGATCTTTTCAAGAGGAACTTCATCTTAAGTTGTATTCCTTTTACATTTTGTTGTTATAGTTACAATTGTAAAGCCAAGGGTTGAATTTTCATCCATTTATCCAGACCCAGTCTTTAATTTAGTCACAAAGTTTGTGACTTAAAAATCTGTATATTACAAAAGGTGGATAGACCTATTAAAGGGCTATACTTATAGTAGTGGTTGTGGTATGGTTATCTTTATCATTGCTATTATTTTAACTGTTACTGTAGGTAGGTAGAAATACCAGGTTATTCAATGGGACCTACTAGACTATTCAGTTAAGTGAACCCATAATTGGGATTTAAATTTTAAACTTTTACCCTGTACTTACCCACGCGATTGGTTTGCTTTGCTTATATTCTATTACATCTTTGCTATATGCAAAATACCCTTAACTGTAGTTAAAAGTTAAAGAGGCCAGGCGAGGTGACTCTTGCTTGTAATCCCAGCACTGTGGGAGGCCGACGTGGGCAGATCACGAGGTCAGGAGATTGAGACCATCCTGGCTAACACGGTGAAACCCCATCTCTACTAAAAATACAAAAAAAAAATTAGCTGGGTGTGGTGGCATGCGCCTGTAGTCCCAGCCACTCGAGAGGCTGAGGCAGGAGAATGGCATGAACCTGGGAGACGGAGCTTGCAGTGAGCCAAGATCGCACCTCTGCACTCCAGCCTGGGCGACAGAGCAAGACTCTGTCTCAAAAAAAAAAAAAAAAAAAAATTAAATAAACAATGACTTTGGAGCTGAGTAAGCCTAGATATTTTCTTAGTTGAAAAAAAAATTGTCATCAGCGTCAAAAGAAATTAAGTTGATGAGTTCTTTCTATGAACTTATTCTTGGAAGAGAAAGGATGATGGGGGCTATACACACATTAAGAAACGTATGTAGCACGGAAAGAAACCAATATTTGAGTACCTACTTTATACCAGGCTCTATAAGCATGTTATATTTAAACTTTACCACATAGCTGTACTGGCGGTTATTATTACTTCATTTTAAAGATTAAGAAAGATACTTAGAGGTTAGATGACAATTAGAAAAAGATAGCCCAGGGGTTTAAACTTTGTTCTGTTTAAATCTAAAACCTATTATCTTTGTTCTATACTATACCTTCCTGTATACCTGAAAGTGAAACAGGTTCATTTATATTCGCCTTCTACGACAGCGGTTCTCAAAGTGTGGTTCATCATCATTATCACCTGGGAACTTATTAGAAATATAAATTCTTGGGACTCATCTTAGATACTATATCAGAATTGCAGGGAGTAGAACCCAGCAGTATCTATATTAATGAGCCCTTAAGGTGATTCTGTACCATTGCTTTTGATGAAAGGTTCTTAAAATTCTTCCATTGGTGGGAAACCTAGAAATCAATGTGCTCTTTGTAGAACAATATGAGATACTGACTTATACAACTTAAGAACAGTTGTTTTTTTGTTTTGTTTTTTTTTTTTTTTGGGACAAAGTCTTGCTCTATCGCCCAGATTGGAGTGCAGTGGCGCGATCTCAGCTCACTGCAACCTCTGCCTCCTGGGTTCAAGCAATTCTCCTGCCTCAGCCTCCCAAGTAGCTGGGATTACAGGCTCCCACCACCACACATGGCTAATTTTTGTATTTTTAGTAGAGATGGGGTTTTGCCATGTTGGTTAGTCTGGTCTGGAACTCCTGACCTCAGGTGATCCTCCTGCCTTGGCCTCCCAAAGTGCTGGGATTACAGGTGTGAGCCACCACTGTTAAGAACAGTTTTAAAGTATTTGAGCTAAATTAGCTACCATCTTATAGATTCTGGTTGAAATAAGTGATTGCAGATATTGCACAAGAAAACAACACACACAGGAGAACCTAAAATTAAGAATCCATATTTATTAATATTATATTTTTTGTGAATTGGTAAAAGATAACTATTCTCCAATTTTTACACAGTATTCCTGGGTCATTATGGGATTATATGGATAAGAGCTTTTTCTTACTCTTTTTTGTGAAGCTTGCTGTAATTGGTATGATCTTCCTTATATCATAGTATTGAGAACTGAAAGTCTAGTTCAAGGTTAGGTGAAATAGACAGAACTAACTAATTCAAGGTGATCTGGTTTAGGGAAAAGTATTTATTTATATAGGTAAGCAGAACTCAGAGTTCTACATTAAAATTTGGAGACAAAGCTTTGGCTATTAAAGTATTATTTTGCTTTGTCTGCCTTCCTATTTATGAATCATAGGAAGCTTATGGAGTCTAGTAGAAGTAGTTAAGAATAAAATTTGGCTATTTTTGGATTTTCTGATCTAAATATAATCACTGTATCACCCCAACTGCTGACAAATACAAGGGACGTGGTAAATAGGGTTTTTTCAGCAATCATACTGGTCATAAGTTACTTAAGACAGACCAATACTTATTTAACTGAACATTTCAGTTTGACAAACTTTTGTTTACAATATGCTGTCTTGCAGATGCTGTAATAAGCAATCCATATTATTCAGGCCCTCTCCCATTCATTATTTGAGATGGGTAGGGTGATAAATTAGTCATCTAAAATATTAGTCCACTTAAAAATGTGAATTGGTCTCAAATCAAAATTCTGAACAGTAATAGAAATTTGTTTCTCTTTTTTTCACATGGCAATATATACATTAATTTTAATTTAAAAAACAACTTTGGAATGATGCAGGGTACAGATTTAACCCACTATATGCCATGATAAGTTCTGTCTTAGAGAAAAGTTGCAGTCTTCCAACATCCCAAATGCTGCCAGGGTATGGGGAGTTGGACTTATTACCTAGTGTGTTTGCACAGCCAGAATTAGTGACTATGATGACAAAAGAGGTTTTGAAGTTTCTGTGCAAGGATAGGAAAAAATGCTTAGGAGAAGAAAACATTGATGGGGCAGAAATATGCAGCCAATCTTGAGATCCTCCAGACCTGTGTATCAAATGGTGATTTTATTCTCACAGAGAAGTTAGAAAACGGTTCTTCTGATTCAGTTATGTCAGGAGAATAGTTGGAGAACTCAACTTGCAATTTTTGTTAATTTATAGGATATATACATATGATATAACAAAATATATTGTATAGTTTCAGAAAAACCCTGGGATTTTTGAGGGAGACTTGGACTTTTTGTTTATTTTGTTTTGCTTTTAAGATGATTAAGATTCTGTGCAGGGCCGATAGCTCATTGATCTCCATTTAGCTTCTGTTTGGTGTTACATTTTTTACTTTATAAATTTGCAAATGGAGGCAGGGTGAAGTTGGAACACTGTCTAAGCATAACAAATCAGTGACAGAGCCTCCTGGCTTTATGTCTGAACCTCAAACCGCTAGACTATGTTTTCCATATGTATTTGATTTTACCAAGTTAATTTTCTGCTGAGAAGAAAAGTTATCTAGTATTCAAGTTGGAAAGTTAATTTCCCAATTTATTGTCTCCTGTTGAGAATTAGACACATTCCAGACTTACAGGGTTCTATTTTGATTATTTTGGAGTTAAAGCTAAATTGTAAAATATGCCTAGTCTCACAACTGAAAGTCAGATGGACTGATTACTTTTTTTAGACTTACTATAAAACAATCTTTAGGTAGCAGTTTATCAATGCAATTTCCATTTCAAAACATCTGAATCTGAGGCAAATACATTCTTAAATTTAGCATGGATAGTTGTGTCCTTTCAGGCTAAAACATGTGTGCCCAGTACTGAAATGTGTTATTTCCTTTTTCAATTCCAGAAACTGTTGTATTTTTCATCCTTTTTGCTCTGTTAAATATTGTGGTATTTTTTTACAAAACATCAAAATTTAGTAAGTGATAAGTGTCAAATTAAAAGCCTCAAAGACACTAGCTCATCATTGGAAACACCCTCCCCAAATTCTGGAATTATAAACTAATGAGTCTTTAAAAGTTATATACTAGCTGAGCTCTTTTGTGTTCAAGTTATAAAGGAAAGTTTCTTTGAAGATAGCACAGAATTATTCACTTGTAATATTATCTGAACATTAATCATTAGTAAGCATTTTATTTTTCCTCTCCATTTCTTAAATTACACAGTAGCTAACCATTAATATATTTCATCTGTATTTCCTCTCTCTTAACATTTTAATTCAGGCTGATACCAAGTAAGGAATGTTTTAGACCAAAAGGAAAATTTCTGTGGGAGTGATCAGGTTTTATAAGGTGAAAGAACATCTTGAACTCATAGAATGCAGAAATGTGTTTCCTCCCTTGGTTAGCTGACACTATGGGTGTTTTGGCTTGTGGAGTGGCCCTTAGAAATATCATGGATCATGGATCTGAGGAAATAGCATGTGTGGTTTTAGTTATCACTTATACATGAATGATTTCCAAATCTATCTCAGCAACCTTGACCTCTCATTCTCTTTCCTGGCCCCTATTTCTTGCAATTTGAGTAACATCTCTTCTTGGAAATGTTGCAGATACCTAAAAGAGCTGATGGTTTGAGGCCAGTAGTAATCTCTCTCAACAATTTAGTCTAATTTACAGTTTTAGACAGATATTAACAAGATTATCCTGTTACCCAGTATATCCTGATTTATTCCTGTTTCTTTCAGTAAATAAAAGACTAGAAGAGTTGTATTTTCAGCAAATGAATTTTTTTTGTGGATAGCCATTGGGTGAACTTGAGCATCTTGTGTTTTCTTGACTAACTAAAAGATTATACATTCTATCTTGAGGTGTTATTCTATTAGTGGTAGAGAATTTAATTATCTTTCCCCCTTGTACCATTGTGTGATATTATTTTATATATGTATTTTAACACCTATTTTTAATACATGCTTATTGAACATGCACATTACAGACACTGATAGATATACGGAGTCATAGTTGAATAAGCTAGTCCATACTCAAGATACAGTGGGAAAGACAAGCTTATATAGAAATAATTACCATAAAATCTAGAAACCCTCAACTGTGTACTGTCGGAAATCAAGAAAGGGAGTTCAATTCTACCACAAGGGAGAGCCATTGAATGAGAACCCATTAAGGATCTTTGCAAAAAATTATTGAAATGGCAAACCATATCTGTCAGAATAAAGAATGATGTCAAAAAGGGGCCACTTGGCTGGGGTAACAGAGGAGGCTTAGAGAACAGGGACCCCAAGGTCTTGATGAGCTTAAAGAGTGGGTCCTCAGGAATGAGGAACAGAGAAGTATAGGAGGTAGTAGTTAAAAATTTGGATGTTTTAAGTAAATATAGGTTGTGCAGTGTCTCATTGTGACAGACTATCTGTATTTGGGAGTATTGGCTGGGGTTAGATGAAAACCTGTGGCTGTGAACATACGAAGTCTTCCATTCTGCTTAAGAATTAAATCCATGATCTTGGCCTCAGTATGTTTTAACCAACAACTAGAGATGATTTATGGACGATTTAATCATGAAGACAGTAAATTGCCTTTGAAATATATCTGGAAAGGGATAAAAAAATATACTTGGGATTATACCAACCTAATAGATTTGAAAATTTATTGAGCCATGTTGAAAATCCAAATACAACCAAGTTGACTCATACCTAGAAACTATCAACATCTTTTTTGGTGATGGTGGTGGTGGTGATAGTGTTTTTCTCTTTTAGATTTTAAGCTTACTTTCCCAAGATTTATGACTTTTGTAGGTCTCTTTTGGTCTCACCAATGTTATAAGTAAATTTTTATGTTTTATTTTTCTTTGAAGACAAAGGAAAATGATGAATAATTCTTATCTGCTTAGTTAATTGCTTATATTATAATTATCAGTTTGTAAATCTGTCCTTCTAAGTATACTATAGGCTTGTTTGTAGTGCAGATCAATTCTTCTTCTTGGTAATTGTGGGCCCAAAAATTCAGTAACAAACAAATAGCCACTCAATTGATATGTTTTAATATAAGTAAAAATGTCCTCAAATGTAATCTTGCTTTATTGGGAGTTATCAATTATATTATTTTGAAAGCTACCTTTTGGTCTTATCTGTATTTATAATCACTAGGGATTCTTATGTTCAGTTGTTCAGGACAATGATGACAAAGTAAACGCTAGCCACCCAGGCCCTGAAGTAACAATAATTACTGAAAAATGTCAAAAGGAGTAGAATATTTTTTGATTTAAAGTATAATTTTACATTTTCTTGGTTACTGACGGGTTTGTCTATTTAACAAGATTCTCACTTGGGAATTGTGTAGGATAAAGTCCCATTGTCCCCTGTCAGTATCTTTTTTATATAACTGTGTGAATCTAATTCTCTTAATCCTAAATCTTCTTTTAGTGTCCATGTTCAATTAAACTGTAACATGTTAACTACTACTAGACATATGATAGTTTTACTTTGCTGTTGCATTAGCTACTTAAAAAATTTCATGACCCAAGTTATTGGTAGTATTAAAGAATATAACTTAAAAAGCTAGTAAGTACATAAAATTCTGCAAATACTGATTTGTTCTTCTCATGGTATAAAATAGCATTTTTTGTTCCTCTTTATACCTTACATTTTAAAACAAATTAAAAAATCAAATTCTGAGAATATGAAAGGACAGAAAAGCAAATCAGATTGTAATTGACATGTACTCTCAAGTAATAGCTAAGAAACGGTATGTCATTTATGTTTGAATTTTTAAAAATTATTTTGGTATGCATGTTCATCAGCTCATTTTTAACATGAATGTGCTTTTTGACATGCAAGTCTAATGTCTAATAGCTCACAATTAGCAAAAGCACAGTATAGAGAGTAGAAAATGCAGTCTATGTGTTCAGTAGTTTCAGAACTTGTTCAATGGGAAAATCACTTTAAAGGTTTGGCTTTAATTTCATGAGAAAGACATCTATATTGAAGTAGTATGCAGCTGAGGTCCTCTAGTGTCATAGCTGAATATGGCATCAGTTTTTTGTGAGTTGTGTGAGAAACAGACAAGAACAAGAGAAGCTACTCTAAAATTGACTTGTAGAGCCAAATGAGTTCATAAAACTAGGTTTACATTTTGCTAATCTCAGGGAATGTTTCTCTTTTTTTTTAAGGGGAAGACTTTGTTTTCTTTCATGTGCACATATTTATCAATGTAATTGTGCTTTTACATAAAATCTTTGCCTCTATAACTATTGATAAGTTACAAATAATTTTTTTTAAGTTTGGAATATTGCCATTTATACAGTTAGTTTATTTTTTGAAGATGTTTATGAAAACTCTGTTTATCCCAAATTATGCTTGTTTCACACATTCCCTATTTGTTTAAGACTCAGTGATATGGCACTTTAATATGGGAGAAATTATTTGATAAAAAGGAATATTTTACAGTCAATTTAAATAGCATTCTTTATAAATAGTAACCCTCATTGCTTCTTTTTTACACACATTATGGGGAATATCAGCTTATTCCTTTACTTCAAAATATGACAACCAGGGATCGGATTACCAGAGGTAATATTTGAGGTAAAAAAATAGTTCGAGAAAAACAGAGCCTGGAGATGGGGTGGAGAGGGAGTACTCACCATAGAGGAAATGAAGATAATACTCTTTTCCCAGAATTAAAAGACTTCTAACTATTCTCAGAGATACTCAAAGGAATGATGTATCCATAACCAAAGAACAGTATCTATCGACAAGGAACAACTAGAGGACATAATAGAAATGCTGGAAATTAATGGTTTGGATTTCTCTCACTCTCTCTCTGTCTCTTTCCCTCTTGCTCTCTCTCTCTCTCTTTGGATCTCTGGATCTCTCTCTCTCCTGGAATTAAGTTATATAATAGATAGGACTAAAGATTATGCTCTTAAAACAGAAAGTTAATACAACGGGATGACTGTAGTCAATAATAATTGTACATCTTAAAATAACTGAAAGTACAATTGAATTCTTTATAACACAAAGGATAAATACTTCGGGGGGACACCCCATTTTACATGGTGTGATTATTACTCATTTTGTGCCTGTATCAAAACTCATGTACCTCATAGATATATATACCTGCTATATCCTCAAAAAAATTAAATTAAAAAAATAGTTCCAGTTATCATCTGTCTACTAAGAGTTCCAACTTAGAGAAAAAGAGAGAGAAAACAGTGAAAGATGTAGCAAATCAAATTTTCCTTGTGAATATTTCTGTGTTAATGGAACATGTGAGTCTTCAGATTGAAAGTACATGCTTAATGATGACTGGCACAAATATGCCCACATTAGACATATTGGGCTGAAATATTATAACTCTAGGGATAAAGTAAAAATAATCCTCAAAACTTCCCAGGGAAGAGTGACAGGATGTCTGCAACAAAGTTGGAAACAGACTGATACTAGCCTTCTCGCCATTAATAAAGAATGCTATAAGACAATGGAGTAATTCTTTCCAAGTTTAAAGGCAAGAATAAGATATTTTCAGATGCGCCGTGCATGAAAATATTCTACTCATGCTCTCTGTATGAAACAATTTCTCAAGATGTCTTATAGCTAAACAAAAAAGAAATTTAAAAATAGTATGAGATATAAAAATTATAGTAGCTGATGATAATCTTCATAAATAGAGTTATAAAATTATGGTATCCGTTAAATCTTGATGACTGAGACATTTTCTCTTGACAGCTAGGGTTTAAGTGGCCTAGGTTTCTATTTCTTTCTGTGCTTAGTTCTACAGTAAATATGTGTTAATCATTATTATCATATGGCAATGTGCCAATCACTTCCCATCTTTCTCAGAGTAAAAGCCCAAAGGTCTTAAAGTGGCCTAAAGGGCCTTACGTCTTCTGACTCATAGCTATCTCTCTGAGCTTATCTCCTGTCACTTTAATCTTTGCTCATTCTACTGCACGCACTGAATACACTTTTGTGAGCTGCTGACTTTATACCAGTTCAGGACTTGCTTGCTGTGGCCTCTGCCCGAATCATACATTTTCCAGAGACCTACCTGTCTTTTTTACTTCTTTTAGATTTCTACATAAGTGTCACCTCAGTGAGGACTTCCCTGACCACATTATCTGTCTTCCCTACTTCATTTTTTTTTCTTCATTTAATCACTACATGTCACATTATCTATTTACTTATTTGTTTCACCTTCCAGAAAGGAGTGTAGGTTTCCTTTATCCCACTTACTGTTTGATAATGTAAAAACAATATAATGAATACAGATAAGAAGTTTGGGAAGAAAATTGGGGAAGTTGTGAAAATATGACAACTGTATCCTCTTGCAGAATGAAGAGTTAGTTATATTAAGTAAAAGTCTACCACCAGAATTGAAAACTACCTGCTGATGATTATTTGATAATGTAAAATAAAATTTGTTAATGTAAAACAATGTAATAAAAAGGACTTGAGGAAGAAAAATAGGAAAGTTGTGAAAATACGTCAATTATATCCTCTTGCATAGTGAAGAGTTAGTAAGTAAGTAAAAATCTAACCACCAGAAGAATTGAAAACAAAACCTGCTGATTCCCTCTGGAAAGTCAAACTAGGATCATAGAGGCAAATTTTAGCTTTTATCTCTGGTTATTTCTTTTGGTTTTAATTTCGGAGAGAGAATCAGGTTGCAACAATTATTTTTGTAAAAATTTTATTCAATCTAGTATTTTTTAAAGTCAGGATTATTAAGGTATAATTTACATACCTTAACATTTACCCTGTTTTATGTAAAGTTTAATGAGTTTGATAAACAAAATTATGTAACCATCATCAAAATCAAGGATAGAACAGTTCCCTCATGCCACAAAACTTTCTCATACTCTTTTGTAGTCCACCTACCCCCCACCCAAGCCCATGGCAATCTGTTAGTCCATTTTTTAACTTTTAACCTATGTCTTTTATTTAGTGCGTTTCTCATAGACTGAGTATAGCTGAGTTTAAATTCTTATCAAATCTGACAATCCTTATGTTTTAATTGGTGAATTGAGACCATTTGTACTTAATCTATTAGTCATTTTCTATTTGTTCTGTTCTTTTTTCCTTTTATTCTGCCTGTTTGTGGATTGAATATTTTTTATTATTCCATATTATCTCTACTATTGGTTTTAAAAATTATGTTTAGTGGCTATCTGCAAACACTAATTTAATTTTAGAAAAATTTAAAAAAAATGGATAGAAAGGAAAATGTTAATATTGTAGGTATGGGGAAATTTCCTATGTGAACAATTTTTGATTAAAACATTAGAGGATAATTAATAAAGCTAGGTTAATTGTATGTGAGTATTACATTTGTCTTATGCTCTGAGATTTGAACTTTTCAAAAAGAAAAGGAATGTTGACAAGAAAATATTTTAATGCAGGCACCAATGTCTGCAAATGAACAATCCATACTTTATAAAGTGTAATAATAAAAATTAAAACATGTTCCAAATCCTACTTACTACTGCTAAGTAGCAGTATTTACCCAAATACAGTACCTGTTTCCTGATAATTTGCATGAGTAGACTTGCAAATTGGAAAAAAAATTAGGGAGATGGTTGGTGAGAGAGACAAGGAGGGAAAAGGAGAAGGAAACTGGAGGATATCTGTGTGAAGGATGGCTTGTAGAGGATAGGATAAGAATTAAAGAGAAAAGTTTGCTAAATCATAAATGACCAGAGATTGCTTTATAGGTTGAATATGGAAAATAAGCTAGTGTTTGTATACCATAAAATATATTGTTACTACTTTTTTCGGGGGCTTAGGTATTTTGTATTGAGCAAAATAGTTTTTAGTGACTTAGTTCTGCCATATACTTGAAACTTAACCTGATAATTTGGCGAAGCCAAACCTGCTATAGGTTAGTTGCACTCACCACCAAAATTAAAGCCCTTTCGTGGAAGAACCAAATACTGCTATTACAGTAGCCTTTAGGAAACTGTAGGATCTTTGTCAGATTAATTCTGTTATAATCAGAAAACCTAAAATATGTAGAGGTAGATATTTTAGAAAATATATAGATTCTATTTTCTCAGAATAAAAGAGGAGCAATAAAAATATAACTTTTTGAATATTTTCACTAGGTCACATTTCACTTGTTAAAACAAGTTATTTATTTGCTTTGTAATTGATCTTTGACTTTTTGTTTTCTTTGTAGCTGTTCAACGGTTTTGTGTATAGCATTTGAGGTTCTTCAGGGCTTGCAGTATATGAACAAACATGGTATAGTACACAGGGCATTGTCTCCTCATAATATCCTGTTGGACCGAAAGGTAATTGTTAAATCATGTAATAAATATTTATATATCATTTGAAATTGGAAGCAACTGGGATCAGGGCTACTCAGTCAGAGGAACAATAGAATCAGAATATGTTTTAAGAATATTCATAATGAAAAGTCTATATGAAAGTGATGTAACTGTGGTTTTTGAATTTAAGGATTAAATAATCCTTAAATTATTTAATCTGTATATCTTTCACATGGATTATTTTTCCCACAAGACCCATTTTCTAACTTTATGGTTTTTTTATTTTACTCTTATTTCTAAAGCCTTGTGGCGTCCCAGTATACTCCTCCTCTTAATTTATTTTCATTTTTAAGAAAATGGCTCTTTTTGCTAGAATGTTATTCATATAAACCAACTGCATTGTGTTTTCTCTATTTTTCTTCTGCCTTCTTTCCTCTTCTATTTATCTCCTTATTTACCAACTGTTCATGCCTACCTCCTTTTACTATTGAAGTGCTGTTTCTCTACTGGAAATCTTATGGGGCATTAAGAAGAAGCTTGTAAACCCTTCAAAGAGAATTATGGATAGTAAGGTTATATATTTTCAGGAATAATTGTAATTTGATTCCTTTTCATAAAATACATAAAAACAACTTGGAGGAAATTTTTTCATGGGCATTATTTGCTGTGTTAGGATTATCCTTGTTCTCTGGTTCTTTTCCCAAATCAATACTTGGGAGGCTGAGATGAGAACATTGCTTGAGCCCAGGAGTTTGAGGCTGCAGTGAGCTATAATCACACCAATGCACTCCAGCCTGGATGACAGTGTGAGACCCTGTCTCTAAAAAACAAACACACAAACACAAAAATAGAAAATTGTACTCATTAGTTTCAGATTTATGGCAGTAAAGAATCATTACCTTATCAATTTAAGCTGTTTTTAAATATAAATATTTTATAATGCTTGGAAATAATGTTCTTGAGAAGACAAACCAATTTTAAGATCAACTTAATATTTTAAAGCCTTATAGATTAAAAGGGAAAAACTTAAAATATGTAAAATTATATTTATCATTTATTAAGAGCCTTATACTTATGATAGTTATTTTTGTTCTCAAACAATATAAAAAGTTATTGAAAATCTAGCAGATTCACCAAAATCTTGATGATTTTTGAACTGATCTTTTCAAGTTAAGTTTTCCTATTTCACAGTTAAATTATAACTATAAATGGACTTTCAACTCCATGGAAAAAAATTTGCTCTGTGAAAATTACCACAAAACATTCTAACCAAGGTTTCAAGACAGATGAGAATGTTTTTGCCTTTTTGTTTTGTGAAATAACTAGACAATGTAACAGCAAAAATATTAAAGAAAAATGTCATTTGTCATTTTGAGATATATATGTGTACATATGCATATATACATATTTAATGAGTATAAAGCAGACTATTGGCAGATAGTTTTTTATAAAATTATGATTTTTTAAAATCTACAGTGGCATTTTGATAAAATATTGTTATATAATGGTTTCTTTAGTTATAAAATGTATAATGATAATTTTATAATATAAATTATATGTTGCCAATTATAATAAATTATTTGATAGTGTTTTTTTTCTTTATTATCATAGGGACATATTAAATTGGCTAAATTTGGACTTTATCACATGACAGCTCATGGTGATGATGTTGATTTCCCAATAGGGTAAGGATATGTTTTCCTCTATTTTGAGTTTCTTTTTAACTTTGTAATCTTTGATAACATGTATATTTTGTTAATTATATTTGATATTCCTTTTTGATATGCAAACAGCTTTTTTAAAATTAATGCATCTCAATTTTCCATATACTTTTAAAATGAGTAGACAATGAGTTTTTCCCAGCATCCTCGTTGATGTTCATCATTCATTGAATTGGCAGAGAAGCTAACAGTATTGACATTCTTTACATTATAATATTTCCTAATTATCTGTATTTCATTCAGAATCAAATCAACTTAAGGCAAGAAGGATGACTAGATTCTCAACTAATGATAATGTGTGTGCATCAAGAGACTGAAAAACATCACTCTCACATTATTTTCAATTTAATGTTTTATGTTTAATTCCCTTTTCTCTAAGATATATATTAAGATTCAAGTTGAGTCATTGTGGATATTAGAGATAGAGATAAATTCCATACCTGAAAGTCTATGTTTAAGTTCAGAAAGGTTTATTTAATCACTTCTGTTATGGAATTGCAGATGTATGTTGCCCTCCACAAAAGAAATGGAAGGTTGTTTCATGCATATTCAAGTAGATGTTTTTGATACGGATTTCTGTGTTATATTTGTGTGGTTGCTTTTAGACATTTTCATTATTATTTTCTTTTCTGAAGATTAAGTTGAGATTGTTTTAGATAAAATAGTTACAAAAATAGTATAAAGAATTCCTCTCTACCCTTCATCAGTTTCTCCAAATGTTAACATTTCACTACATTTGCTTTTTCTCTGTTTTTTCTCCGAGCATATATGTGTGTATGTGTATAATGATTGTTTTTTATAATCACTTAAGAGTAATTAATTACATAATAGCACTTTAACCTGTAAGTACTTCAGTTTGTATTTTCTAAAAGAAGGACTTTGTTTTTTTACATGACCTCAGAACAGTTGTCAAAACAAGGAAACTAAACTTGATGCAGTATTATTATCTAACCTAGAGACATTAATCATATTTTTTCAATTGTAATGTGACTGTTTTTGATAGTATCCATTTGTGTTTTCCTCTTTGGGCTTCCTAAAATCAGTTCTATCACACCGTTACTGAGAATTGTGATATGGAGTCATGGAGTGTGTTTTTCAAACAGAATGTTACTCAAAAACTTAATTTGATTTTTTTTTTAAAGCCAGCCTCATATATAACTTGCCCTTTTTTCTTTATAACTCAAATTACAGGTTTCTTAACTAAATTTTTTAAGTTTATGACTGTGTCTTATTATTAAGACATAGATAATAATCTTAAACTTTATTCAGTGAGGAAACATTTATTGAGCAATTTCTCTTATGCCTGTTGGTTTTACAAAAATAAATAAGATAGCTTTCTGTCCTCAAGAAGCTCATTGTTTAGTGGGAGAATTTTCTGTTTTGATGGACTGCTTATTAAGGTACATAAATTCGTAGTCTTACAGTTTTGTGTATTGAAAACTTACAGGCAAAAACCAATTCTTGTTTCATAAGCATGAAAATGGTATTTTGCAAAGACAGTCTACAATTTCTTATTTGTTCAAAAAAGCCCTTTCGAATATGAAAGGGGTTTTTTATTCAACTTATAGTTGAATATAAGTTTTTAGTGAGGCTCTAGCTCCTTTGTCATGTATGATAAATGCCTTTCGAGGTGACTTTTAAGTAGCTGTAGTACAAGTGATTGCTGCTGCTTCTTTTGTCTAAATCAATTTGTGTAAGAAAGAAATCCAAAAACCTAAAAATTACTTTAAGTTTTTGATTTTTATTTAAAGGTACTTTAGGTTTCAGTGATGAATCGAAGAAAGGAGGTGATTTTTCTTAAAGCATATCAAGTAAGAGCTACACTTGAATTTAAAATGCTTGGATAGAATTGGTCTTGTGTTACCCTTTGGTCTGGCTTGCTTTGAAGTCTTAGACCCAAAGGGTCTTACCAGAAAATATCAAAGAGCAAAATGTGAAACATTAGCCAGGAAAAATAAAGTGATCAAACAGCTAAGGCATGAAAGAAAATATTTACACCAGAAGAAGCTTGCAGTTGATTCAAAAGACAAATATTAAGGAACAACAAAGTAAAATGTTACCATCTGTTTCAAAATACTGTAAAGAGTTGGAAATTGGGCATTCATTTCAGTTGGCCAGTAGCTTAATACCTTATTAAAACATCAAACAGATGATGAAAGCCACTTTATTTACCTCATCAGTCATACTCACAGCAAAGTTCTGGTAATTGTCTTTGAGTGTTAAAATGCTATGCTACAGAAGAGAAAGTTGTTGAAAAAAGATGAACTACATTAAATAACAATTCTAGAGCTTATTATTTTTTAATAATTTTCCTGTGATTAAAAGGGAAACTAAAATATTTGAAACAAAGTTTATCTCTGTCCTGTCAGAAGTTTTTGATATAACAATTTACCTGTAGTTTTGCTTGATTTTTCATTATTATTATTTTTGGGTTAGATGTGCTGGAAATCAGGAAAAAAGATGAAAACTGACTTCTGGATGTATTGTGGTGATGATAAAAGTATACCATTGCATTTGTATTAAATTTTTTATTTTTATTTAATGTCTATATATTCACTAATATTTATAACAGCTTTGTGACGTAGGCAGTAATATTCCAGTTTTACAGATGAAGAAACCCAAATCACATATAGAATATGTGGTAGAACTGAAATTAGAACACAGGTATTATAACATCTAGTCTAGTGCTGCTTCCACTAGACTTCAGCTGTTTCTAGAGATATCACACATTCATTTGGAAGAGCAGTATCATCTTAGGGTAAAATAACACAATACGAATTTGTATATGAGAGAAATACATGAGCAAATCATAAGAAGATACTGGTATCACCATCATCATTCTATTAAAATGAAAAAGGAGTTAAAAAACAAATTTACCCATTTGAATTTAAGTCACATTCCCTGACTTAATTGACTTGTATTTTGAATGTAAATAAGAAGTACTAGCAATGATAGTGTGAGGAGGTAGCTGTAGAAAAGGTAGGAAGAAAAATAGAAATAATATTTGAATGCCTACTTAATATATATTACATAGATGATACATATATTTAAATACATTTTGATTATACTTATCATTGTAAGAGGACATAATTTAATCTAACTGGTTTTAAAATCTAGATTGTGGTGCTCATGACTAAATCTGACAATAAATGACGAAAGGGCATGCACATATGTAATAAGTATGGCAAAATTTCACTCCATGTCTCTTCTAAAACGGTTCTTATTCCTTTTATTTCTAGGCACTGGGATTCAAATTTAGCAATTGCTCCTATGTCTAATTCTTATTTACTACCTGCTTCTTAAATTGTTGTTTGTAAGGCCATCCTAATGGGTATTTTTTATAGGAATTTTTTTTTTAAAGCAAAACTATACTGAGTATATCCTCTATTTAAGTCTCATTGGTAGTTGTAGAGGGTTTATAAAAAGATACGCAAGTGCCCTCAGGTATGTAGTTCTTTTTTTTCTAATTGAGATGGGAGGTTAAATTTTTGTATGTGAAATATATAGTATATAAAACAAACATGTATAGCATCATACCATGTATAGCTTTTATAAGATATAGAACAGGCAAAATAGGTACTTTATAGAATCAAATCAGGTATTGATGGCAGTGGCGGCCTGTCTGGGATGGCCACTACCATGATGCCGGCTGCAGTGTGGAGGAGGTGCTGCTGGGGCTGTCACTTCACGGAGCCTATGGGGGCCAGGAGCAGGCAGGAGCCCCACGTTCCCGGGCACAGTTGCAGCTGCCTAAGTTGGTGCTGCAGACCCAGGCCTCCCTGTGCTCTTGGGGGCCGGAAGCAGGCAGGAGCCCTGCTCTCCCAGGTGCAGCTGTAGGCTCGGAAATGTCTACTCCCACTGCCTGGCCTCTCCCGGCTCCCTGTACACACTCTGATCTTGGAGCGATGTTGGGGTCAAGCCCAGGTGCTGTTGGACCCCGGCTGGGTGTGTGCACACTCGAGGCAGCACTGACACTCCAGCCCCCTGCTGCCTTGACTCCCTGTGGACTTCGGACACCAACAAGCAAGGGAGGGAGTCTGAAGGGGGGCTGAGGGCAGCTCAGTGCTGGCGGGCAGGCGCTCCGTGGCACGAATAGCCTGGGCACCATGAAGAGTGACAGGAGTCAGACAGGTTCCTGGGTAGAAGGGGGCAGGTCCCTGGTGAAGCCCTGCCTTCAAGCCCAGGAGGGCCTGAAGCATGGGAGATGGGCTGCAGGTCCCGTGGACCTGAGTGGGAACTTGTGGTGCTTTTTCTGGGCCCACCCATGGCCGCCCATGGACCAATGGACGTGCACTTCTTCCCTCTGAGGACCATAAAAACCCTGGACTCAGCCAGACTTGAGCAGATGATGGATGGCCAGCTGTAGAGAGGAGCTACCCACCCCAGGGTCTTCTCTCTGCTGAGGGCTGAATGCTCATAGGGACACCCCACCTGAGGGGAAAAGCTATCCACCCTAGGGTCTCCTCTCAGCTGAGTGTTGGACACTCCTTGGGACACCCTGCCAGTGGAGAGGAACTACCCACTGTGGGTCTCTTTAGGTGTTCTATAGCTCAATAAATCTCTTCACCTTGCTCACCCTTCACTTGTCCATGTACCTTATTCTTCTTGGATGCAGGACAAGAATTTGGGACCTGCCAAATGTCAGAGCTAAAACAGCTATAACAAACAGGGCTGAAACAACCCCTTGCTTGCCACATTGCGGGTGGCAAGGAAAGAAGACAGAAGGAGAGAGGAGCTGCAGCCCTTTGGGGAGCCCAGACCTAGGAACTTTCTGAGCCAGGGCTGTGACACTCTCTTTGGGGCTCTGCAGTTCCTGGCATCTCCAAGTTTCCGGGCACAACCATGTTCCCTGGTGCCAGCCATGGAAGCTGCTTGCAACGCACCTGGTCCAACCACAGCCTTGCAGGAAGCCAGTGCCTATGCCAGCACCTGGACCTGCTTGCCATGCCACAGCCAGTGTGCCTGGCTGTGCACAGTGGCCAGACCCCACACTCACTCATACACCCCTTGCCACGCCATGCCTGGCTCTCCCTTGGCCGCGTGGCATCCAGGCCAGTAGCACGAGCTGAGCACAGCCTGCCAGTCCAAGTGGATGGAACGGGCCCAGTGGGTCCCAGCAAAACTCAGGCAAAGGCACCACTGGCCACAGAGGTTTCCACCTGACAAAGTGACACCACAAAATCCCGTGATATGTTCCTTTATGGAAAAAATATAAATCTTTTTGAGAGACATTATAGAAGACCTAAATAAATATGGAGATATCATGTTTATAGATTGTTAGGGTTAGTATTGTAAAGATGTTAGTTCTCTACAACCTGTCTTTATATCTTATCTATTTTCAATAAAAATTCAGTATGTGAAAGAGAAGATACTTGGCAAGATAGTTTTAAAATGTATGTAGAGAAGAACAAACACCTACAAAGAGCCTGCATTTTCCCAAAGAGAAACTAAAAGGTATGTATGTTTTGAGAGCTCTTAACAATTTTCAGTAATTATTTAATAAAATATATTTTATATAAAAATATTTTATTTAAAATAGTGTAATAGTATACTCTTAGGCAAATTGACCAAATGAACAGTTGAGGGAGCCAAGAAACAAACCTATGTATGTGTGGAGATTTGATTTAGTATACGGCTGGCACTACTTGGGGAGAAAGAGGTTTCAATAAAGGGAACAGGGCTCAATTGCTTATTTATGTAGGAAAATAAGTTGTACCTTGTCTGACATCATATGAAAAATGAATTCTAGATGAATCAAGAAACTTAAATATAAAAGGCTAAACTGAAATTTTGAGAAAATTAACAGATTATTTTGACAAAATCATTAAGTATAAGGAAAAAAGTTTAATTCAACTGAAAGATAAGAACTTCTCATTCATAAACAGATACCGTAAAGAGAAAGAAAAGACAAAACCACAGAGTGGTAGAAAATATTTCAAGTCATAATTACTGAAGAAGACATTAGTATCTGGAGTTAAAGAACAACTGTGCAGTAAAAGATTATCATAGGAAGCCTAAGACTGCTATCCTTAGAAACTAAGTCCTGCTAGCAATGTTTGCCCTTGGCTGTTGCCTTGAAACTTGGGTTGCAGAAATGTCCCCATGGATGCCTAACTGCTGAGGCTAGTTTACTGTGCTTGTAAACAACCAAAGTGGTTTATGCTGAACACTTGCTTTCCTTCTTGAGTTCTTGAATTTTTGTACATGCCAGGCAGAGAGTGCCTGTGTGACAAGTCCCAAATAAAATCCTTGGATTTTCAATGAGCTTCTCTGGCCAGAAACATCACATAACATTTGTTCTTCAAGATTGGAAAGAAGTTAAAAAAAAAAGAAAGAAAAGAAAATGAAAGATACATCACATACGTGGTGCTATATTTTTGTTGCTGGA
This sequence comes from Homo sapiens, assembly GCF_000001405.40. Classification (NCBI taxonomy): domain Eukaryota; kingdom Metazoa; phylum Chordata; class Mammalia; order Primates; family Hominidae; genus Homo; species Homo sapiens. Next base: position 106,254,012 of record NC_000004.12, on the reverse strand, counting down.
AGAAGAATGTATTCTGTGTGATCCCTGATAGGAGGGAGAGAGCATAAGGAAGCCTGTATATAGGTTCCTGGAGACTCCCTCTCTATCTTTGTCCCTTGTGATCCAGCTATGCCCTTACTATGTCACTGTAATAAATCTTAGCTGTGAGTACACTTATTTGCTAAGTCTTGTAAGTCCTTCTAGTGAATTTCTAAACATGAGAGTGGTCTTGGGGACCCCAAAACAACTAGAGAAATAAGCGAAAGTCTTGAATGGGCATATCACACAATAATAAACCCAAATGACTAATAAACATATGAACATATGCCTCAATGTCATTAATTTTCAAGGAAATGCAAAGTAAAACCACAATAGATTTTATATACCAGATTGTTAAACATTAAAAAGTCTGTCAAATATCAAGTGTTGGTGAAGAAGTAAAACAATAGGAACAGTCATTCACTGCTGGCAAGTGTATAGATTGGTATAACTCGTTTTGAAAAACATTTGGCATTGTGTAATGAAGTAGAAAGTGCACATATCCTATGGCTTAGAAATTTGGGTCTAGGTTGTTAACCTTGGGAACCTTTTGCAGATGTATACCATACATGGCATTCTGTGCAACGTTGTTCATAATGTTAATAATAAAAAGCAGGAAACAGCCTAAATGCCATTGCCATTTGAATGTATAAATAATGTTATGTTCATATAATAGAAATAAGAATTTAATGGATATAGCTTCATCCAACAATATAGATAATCTTGATTGAAAGAGCAAAAGAATACAGTCATCCTAATTCCAGTGTTATAAAGTTCAGAAATATGCTTGACTAAACAGTACATTTTTTAGGGATACAAACATGGTAAAACCATCAGGAAATGGAAGAGAATGACAAACACAAAAATTCCAGGTGTCTTCTCTGGAGGAACAGGGGTGGAGATACAATCAGGGAGAAGCACAAAGGGACTTTTGGTGATAATTTTATGTTCTTCACTTAAACTGCTTCTTGGTACATGGGTGTTCATTGAAGCTTTCTTCTTTATGCCTTATTCATATTTAATAGGCAGTGTTTTGCATTTATTCAATATTTGCTAAACCGGTTTTCAAAAAACGTTTTATGTCAGTGAAGTTGTGAGGAAATAGGCACCCTCATGTATTACTTATGACAATATAAATTGATACAACCTCCCCAAAGGGCAACTTGGTGTGGTAAATCAAAATTTAAAATGCACATACCTTACGATCTTGGAATGCCACTTCTAAGAATATATCTGTCATTTATATGCATATACTTGTGGGATATGTAATAGTCATAATATATTCATCTCATTATTGGTAATAGCAAAAGAATGGAAGTTCCAAAATGTTTTTGTTTCATCAAATTAAGTACATCAATGAAATTATTGGGAGTTTTCAAAAAGAATGAGGAAACTCTATACTTGTGTTTTTAAAGAACAATCTCTAAAATACACTTTAAGTGGAAAAAAGGTATATAGCAATATGTATAGTATTCCACCATGTGGGGCAGAGGTGATGGGTGGACAAAGTTATATATACATAAATATGTATGGATGACAGGGGTGTAGAGATAGGAGTTTTACTTTTCAATTTGTATCTTTTTTATAGCATTAACATTCTTACTACTAAAAATAAATACTTTTTTAAAAGATAAAATGCACTTTAAATATTAATTCAGCGTTAAGGGAAGATAGGCAATAAGAAGGAAGGAAAAACACTTGGAAGCCTAGAGGACTGTGTTAAAAACACAGAGAGAAGCAAATAAAGGAGCTAATGCTGGAGGGAGACATGAAGGTTTTAAAACTATTTCAGACTTGTGTATATTTTCTCTTGATTCCTTGACATTAAAGTTCTGTATTATGATGGTTAGTTTAGAATGCTTTCTAGCAACAGTTGTTAATTTAATTGCATGAGACTTTTACATAGATCTTACCACATTGATTGTAAAAATGTACTATCGCTTCTTTCCCTGTTGTAATTTTTCATTATTTTAATGTATCATTACAGGTATCCCTCGTACTTGGCCCCTGAGGTAATTGCACAGGGAATTTTCAAAACCACTGATCACATGCCAAGTAAAAAACCATTGCCTTCTGGCCCCAAATCAGATGTATGGTCTCTTGGAATCATTTTATTTGAGCTTTGTGTGGTATGTATAAAGAAATATTAATATAATAAAAGGAAATTGTGCATTTATTGGAATAATCTTTTGGAGAGGAAAGTTAATAATAGTATGTTTTTGCTGTACAAATTAATTACATATGAGGAGAAAAGGCTTAATTTGACTTAATCATGTTTGATAATTTCACATATTTTTTGGCATCTCTGGAAACATACTTTTACTAAGTGTGAATGTAAATGTTACCAGATATATATTATTTTGATATCTCTATAATGTGTATATTTTTACAAAGTTAAGATGTTTATATTAAGTTATATAAGATATATGGAGTACCATTAAAAGTTTAACAAGATATTGAAATGAAAACTACGTTTTTAGAAGATTGATATGACAGTAATGTAAGATTGAGAAGAATAGCAGCTTTTTTTCAATGAACTCTACCTGTAGTTCTGATTTGGTAAGTGTTTAAGAACATTTTTTCTTCTCTATTAAAAAAAAATCAAAGCATCTCTTTTTTCTATAAACACCAGGTAATCTTAAGCCTTTTCCTTCTAAGTTTATTTAAATGATCATATAAGCTTAATTTGTTTATGATAAGAGAAATATAATGATAGCCAACATTAATGAAGCATATTCTGCATTACATAACCCTCACCATAACCTGTGGTATATGTACAGTTAATATTTTAATTTTACAGATGAGAAAAGTGAAACTTCAGGTGGTATTAAGTAGTTTGCCAAATTTATATAACTATTTGATGGTGGAAGAGTCCAATTTGGCACACAATCATTGCTCAACTCATAAATGCTGAAGGTATAAGTGTTTGACTCCAGACCTTATACTAAGGAGCCTCCTGAGGCAGACTAGTAAGGAAATAATTAAAATATAATGTGTGCATCTTAAAATATACCAGGTGCTGTAGGAGCATGAAGGATGGCTGTCTGAAGTTATTGTGGTAAGAGGAAGGAGTGTTATGAAGTTTTTTTAATGGAGAAACAGACTAACCGAATCATGATATTTAAGTAAGAATTAGCTCGGTAGGCGAAAGAGTATAATCAGTCTTACCCAGGAGGCATCTTGGTCTCAATAAAGTAAGACTCCATATGGCCTGGAATACATCTAGATATCCAGGTATGTGTGGATCTCAAAAGTGAACAATGCTTACATCAAACTAGAATGTAATGACCCTTAGATGTATAAAATGTTTAAATGATAACTATTATGCAACACTTTCTAAAATGTTATTTCACCAGTAATTTTTCTTTAGTGGAGCTGACTTTAAAAATCCATTAAAACTTTTGGAGATAAATAAAGATGCCTGATAAAATCAGTTTCAGCTATAAGGGGAGAAAAATGCCTTCCTAGAAAAAACATGTAAATATTAATAGAAATTTCTTTTCTCATTTTATTTAGGGAAGAAAATTATTTCAGAGCTTGGATATTTCTGAAAGACTAAAATTTTTGCTTACTTTGGGTAAGTGTCGTACAATTGCTTATCTTTCAAATATAAATATAACTTACTATTAGTAATCATGCACATTGAGGATGTGTTCTTTTGAAATAGTGAGTACACTGAAATATCCTCCCTTTACTCAAGTTGCTAATGATCAGTGGTAATGATCAGCAGAACAGCATATGAGGTCCCTTCTAAAATATTACAGCAGAAATTTCTTTATTCTCTGAGGAATTTTAACCTAGATGGAAATAATCTCAGCTTTATTATCTAGCCAAGTAAATTAACTTGTGAAATCAAAATGAGAATATAAAATTGTATTTCTGTAGCAGTTTACCTTCAGACAATGTATCTTAACTTTTGGGCTATCTTTCTATTTGATGAATCATGTACAAATAACAACTCAAGAAGAATATTGATTTTTCCTTATAAAAGGCTCATATGAATTTTCATGTATGTGGATCCAAACATGTATAATTCAAATTAATAAAAATTTATGTAATCTACTTTGGAGTGGAATTAATTAAGCATGTTTGGTAATTAAGGAGAGAAAAACAGTGATAGAACACTTTATGCAAAAGAGTGACAGATTAGTATCCAAGTTAAAAACATTTACAAATAAGAATATGTACAGGAAAGTATTAGTAAACATTAAATAATAATGAATTATAAATAAATTTGCAAAAGTTTTACCAGATTTACCACATTTAATTACAAAGATTGATACTACAGCTATTAAGAAGCCTTGGAGATTCTTAAATGTGGTCTGTAACCTAAACTTTTTACTTTAAATTCCCAAATAAATGTAAGTACATTTTCCAAATTATGTACAATAAAAATAAGTTAGTCTTGTAATCATGAAAAAACAAAACAAAACTACAAAGCCTTCTTAAAAAGCGCTGTTTACATACAGTCAGTTCTTGAAGAGGATTGGTTCTAGCACCCTCACATGTACCAAAATCCATGTGTACTCAAGTTCCACAGTCAGCCCCACAGAACCCATGTGTATGAAAAGTCGGTCCTACATACATGCAGATTTCGCATCCACAAATACTGTATTTTCAACCCATGTTTGGTTGGAAACAATCCACATATAAGTGGACCTGTGTAGTTTAAACCCATGTTGTTCAAGGGTCAGCTATGTGTGTCTGCATGTGTATATTTAGAGAGAGACAGAGAGAGCTAGAGTATCTTTACCTTCCTTGTAAAGGAATTGCTCCTTTATCAAACTATTTAAGCTGGTATCTTTCAGTGTCAGTTATTCAATTAGTATTTATCTGAAGCTTTTCATTTTTATCAAAACATGTAAAGAAATTTAACAAAATGATAAAGTTTTCAGTATTTTAAGTTTCAAAATTGCATTACTCCATTAAAACATTTTTGATCAGTTTATTTTCTGGTTTGTTGGACAGATTAGAAAAATAGCATTTATTCATATAGTTTTTCTGTTTTATAGATTGTGTAGATGACACTTTAATAGTTCTGGCTGAAGAGCATGGTTGTTTGGACATTATAAAGGTTTGTCATTAATCTGGGTCTTAGTCCATTTGTGCTGCTATAACAAAATACCTGATATTGGGTAACTTATAAAGACAAAAATTTATTTTTCCACAGTTATTGAAACTAGGAAGTCCAAGTTAAAGGCACCAGTACGTTTGGTCGTCTGGTGAGGGCTGCAGTCTTCTGAGAGAGAAACACTGTCCTTACAAGGCAGAAGGGCAAGCTAGGCAATTGCTATGTGAGGTCTCACCTTTATAAGCCTCTTAATGCCATTCACCAGGGGAAGAGCCCTTATGACCTAATTACTTCTTAAAGGCCTCACCTCTTAATACCATCACATTGGCCATTAAGTTTCAAAGTTCATGAAGCCTAAACTTTGGAGGGAACACATTCAAACCATAGCAATCTGTGAATGAAAATTTATTTTACACACTTGGGATCCAGTTGGAAGCTATTTTAAAGCAATGCTTATTTCTCTTTAAGTATTTGCTTTTTCACAGTGACTAAATTTGTATAAAGTACAAATAAAAACTTTAAAAACATCAAAAACTTCTAGATTAGCAAACATTTGAATAAAGTATATTTCTAAAATTGATCATTTTAATTAATTATTTTCTCTCTTTATTTACCAGGAGCTTCCTGAAACTGTGATAGATCTTTTGAATAAGTGCCTTACCTTCCATCCTTCTAAGAGGTTGATATTATTTAGAGATTGGGATTACATTGAGATCCTTTACGCATAAGCAATTGGTTTTTTTCTTGTTTTAATATAATGGATTAAAGATAATGTACATATGGAGTAGTATATAATTGACATCAGTATCATAACTGTGAATGATGTAAGCTTTCATTTTTTGTGAATTAATGAAAAAGTAATTAAAGTTAAACTACGGTCAGAAAACTGACATACACTAAAGAAGTTACTAGTTCATTTTCAAGCTTTTAAATAGAATATTAACTAAACTATGGAATGTAGGTATTCCTAGACCCAATAATAACATCAGTGAAATGAGAATAAAAGTTTGTTGTCAATATGTATTATAGCAATGAACTTGGATCAGTGGTGTGATAAACTAACAATTGTTGACAATAAAAAAGGATTTCTTAGAAGTTTCATTAATTGACTTTGACTTGATGATGTCACTACTAGTCATACAGCTATCCCTAAATTCCTTTACTATGTAATGTTTGAAAATAATGTATACAAATTTGCCTTTAGAAAAACAACTTTATCAAGACATGTTAGAGAGAAATAGTTTTGTGTCAATGTACCACATTAAAGGACAGGAAGAAAAGCCAAATGGTATTATTATAATAGTTTGCATAAATATTATTTAATTATTTAAGATATTCAGTAAAGCAGGTGAATGCTAGTCAGGGTAAAAGTAAACAATGCAGAAGCTTTTATGGAATGATATTTTTGATACATCATGAGGTAAAGTACAACATAAGTAAAAAAAATTCAGTATTTACTCACAGTTATTTGATTATAATATAAAAGTATGCATCTAGACTCTGCAAAAGAGAGCTGTATTATTTTCTGTGCTAATGAGGTATTTAAGACTTTTATCCATTCTCTTGAATGTATGCCATTATTCTAGGAAATTTTTTATGACTTTCATTCATGCTCTGTATTTTAAATGTTCTCAAGGCCAACCCCAGATCAATTAATGAAGGACAAAGTATTCAGTGAGGTATCACCTTTATATACCCCCTTTACCAAACCTGCCAGTCTGTTTTCATCTTCTCTGAGATGTGCTGATTTAACTCTGCCTGAGGATATCAGTCAGTTGTGTAAAGGTAATGATAAATTAAAGCATAGAGAATAATATGAGCCTTGTTTTTAAAGAAGTTTCCTTGTCCTACTTTCAGTTTTGAACTTATCAACAATATATATTGGTGGGATCATGGGAATTAAGAGACAATTCTGGAAGTGATTAAAATATAACTGACTGGCTGGGTGCAGTGGCTCATGCCTGTAATCCCAGCACTTTGGGAGGTCAAAGAGGGAGGATCACTTGAGGCCAGCCATTTGAGACCAGCCTGGTCAACGTAGAGATATCCTGTCTCTACAAAAAACAACAACAACAACAAAAAACAAAGTACATGCACACACGCACAAATATATATATATAGTTAGTCAGAGCCTAACTTCCTTGGATAATATCAGAGCCTAACTGAACTGGTGAGGGGAAATAGCAAATTGCAGCCAGCTCTAGCCTTCTGTGTGGTGGTTAAAGTTAACAGAAGCATTCTGTAGTCAATCCTGTGATTAGTTCTGAATCTTTAAGTGAGCCTGTGCCTCTAGCCTTTAAACAAGTGCTTTCTTGCCCTTAAGGAGTGGCTAGAATACACATAAACACACACATTTGAGCTAACAGTTTATCCTTTCTATTTAAGTTACTGATATTCTATATAATTTATTTATAAATGATCTCTAAAAATAATATTATTGATAAGAATTATATATCATTATATTCTGCATATTGAAGAGAATATCAGCTTTTAGACTTTTAATTCTTGTGTGAAGATTACGACTCTTGGAATGTAAGGTTTAGTGACACCAGTTACCTTTATTCTGAAAAGTTGTTATGACTTAAGTCATAGCAGAAAATGGTTACTAAACATTCATTCAATTAAACATTTATTGAGTTCCTGGTATGTGTCACATACTGTATCTTTAAGTAACATTCATGCCAAATGGGAAGGCAGACAGACATTTAATTATACAATCACTGTTATAAATGAAGGTCAATATGAATATAGCACAATGGCAGCATAGCAGGAGCACCTAATTCTGTATTTCTGTCTGGGACATCAAGGAAGACTTCAGAAAAGGCAGCCAGCCGTTGCCTTGAGATATGAGGGAAGGAACAATTTGTGTTGGTTGCCTCCCCATGTGCTATTTTCTCCCCTTATTCCTTTTCCAATATAGAGTGTAAAATTTCCAATACTATGTATTCATTATAAAGGGTGAAAATTCCAGATGTTTTTTTCTAGTTTCCCTTGCTATGGGCAGTAAGCTTGTGAACTAGAGTTGGCTAATGGGATCTAAATGAAAGTGCTGGACATAAGGGCTACTTATAGGGAAAAAACAAATTTTCTTGTCAAGAAAGGTACTGCAGCATAGGTTCACCACTTTCTTCTCTTCTGAATGCAGAAAATGGTCTAGAATTTTGATAAGCATAGGCCCCTCCTGTACCTATGATTTTATTAACAGAGATGAATAAATGTCTTTATTATATAAGCCACTTTTAGTAGTATATTATTTTCAGTCGGGAGCATTCAAATTATTACAAAAATTGAATCAGAATCTGCCAGTCATGGCATACCTCCAGTAGGAGAGGGGAAATATCAAGCTCCAACTCGTTCTAGCCACCCCTTAAGGGCAAGGAAACACTTTGTCTAGAGTGACTGGCTCACTTAAAGATTGAGACCTAAATTGTAGGACTGACTACAGAATGCTTCTGTTCCCCATACCTTAACCACCACATAGAAGGCTAGAGCTGGCTGCATTTTGGTATTTCCCCTCTCCAGGTCAGTTAGGCTCTGATATTATCTAAGTGAGTTAGCCTCTGACTAACCGGTTTATCCTGAAGACAGACCTTGTTAAGAACAGTGCTCATTGTATTTCAGAATGGTTACATTTCCTCTGCCACTGCTGGAAACATAAGGGCATTTTCCTCCAATATTTACTGTGAGAACCTTGTCAGTCTCCAGACTCACAAAAGTGTGGGGCTATCCCTTTTGACTGGTTCCCTCTGGAGTTTTTAACTCTCAGACTTGTCCACACTGAGCCTCCAGTAATTTATCAATTACAGTTTAGGTTTTCCAAACTTGGCACTGGTTCCTGAGGCACTGCTCATGAATGTCTGTTCCAGAATGCCATAGCTCCCTTTATTCTCCTCTCTGTCTCCAGTCCTGGGGACAGAAGTTTGTCCTATGTCCTCACCTCTCTTACAGATCCAAGAATTGTTGATTTTTCAGTCTGTTCAACTTTTTATTTGTTGTTAGGATGGAGTAGCAAATTTCAGGCTCCCTACAATCAGAACTAGGAACTGGAAGTCTGTTCTTCAGAGTTTATTTTTTTTAGAATGGCAGCTATTACTGCCTGTTGACGTTTAATAAAAGTAGAAAATATAATACAATGATTCCTTAAATTTGCTTTTAATAGATATAAATAATGATTACCTGGCAGAAAGATCTATTGAAGAAGTGTATTACCTTTGGTGTTTGGCTGGAGGTGACTTGGAGAAAGAGCTTGTCAACAAGGAAATCATTCGATCCAAACCACCTATCTGCACACTCCCCAAGTAAGGAAAGAAACTTCTCTTGGGAATTTAAATAAATAAATACATGGTAATAATTCTATGGTAATAATAAAAAAGAAAATCGGTGTTTTTTTTTTTTAAATTGGTTGTTTTTAAAATTTTTTTGGTAGGCATCCCAGCTAAGTGATTATTGGAAGCAATTGGAATCAACACCTTGTTTGATTGGCCAAAGTTTCTAATTGCAGAGTTCCCATCAGTTGTCTTTGATCAGTAATTTGCTTTGTGACCTACTTGAAGTGAAGTTAATATTATGGAATATCTTGCAATAATTGATGTTAATGAAAAATACACAAGTCACAATAGAATATTTAAGACAGTTAACTAAAAACTAGCTTAATGTTCCTACTATGAAGAACTATGTTCTTTTTCCAAATATACTTGTAAATGTAAATGAACTCTGTGGTCTCACTGTGTGTCCTAGAGATCATTACTGTGCTAGTGTGTTGCAAAAAAATCTGCCTAACTGTATAAGAAGATATCATGCTAGAAATTAGACTGGAAGTTAAATACCTCTACAGCCTTGGGGCTAAGATTGTTATTAACATTGCTATTCATGTTTATTCATAAAAATATGAACCTAAATTTCTTGAGCTTCTACTAATACTTTAAATTTTTAATTTTAGGCTGGGCATGGTGGATCATGCCTGTGATCCCAGCACTTTGGGAGGCAAGGCAGGTGGATTGCTTGAACCTAGGAGTTTGAGATCAGCCTGGGCAACATGGCAAAACCCTGTCTCTACAAAGAAAAAAAATTAGCTGGGCGTGGTGTTGTGTGCCTGTAGTCCTAGCTACTCAGGCAGCTGCAGGTGGGAGAATCACCTGAGCCCAGGGAAGTTGAGGCTGCAGTGAGCCAAGATCATGCTACTGCACTTCAGCCTGAGTGAATGAGAGACCCTGTCTCAAAATAAAATAAAATTTTAATTTTTAGATTTCTAGACTTAGTTTTGATTATTGTAGGCAACTGTAGAAGTCATCTGCTCATCATTTTTTTCTTTACTTTTTAAACTTTTGTATTGTTTGGATTGACTAGTTTCTATTTTTTTCTCTCTTAATCTGATTTTTAAATGTTAACTTTGATTATACCATTCATACATTGAATTAAGTAGAAAGTTAGAGGTAAGATTACGGAAATTCCAAGAAGAAATGGTTTAAAGGATATGTAGATTCTTAAAAGTAATTTATTGAAATTGTAAACAAATTTTATTCATTTATTATTTAATATCCTTTCTTCTATGAGGTTACTATCCAATATGCTTTTTCTTTCATCTTCCCTTTATCTTTTTCTACACGTATAAAGTTTCTTGGGAACACATTGAGTTAATGTCAGGAGAGTACTGTTAGCATTGAAACTGCATGAACAAAGGGTTGTAAATGACACTTTTGTTTTTCTGAAATTCTCTATACTTACATTCATACCAACTCAAGAGATATTTGAAAATGAGACTTGTTTGAAGAAATCTCAATACATTGTTTTATATGCAATGTATATGTGGCACATATGTATATGTTTATGTATATGTGGCACATATATACCATGGAATACTATGCAGCCATAAAAAATGATGAGTTCATGTCCTTTGTAGGGACATGGATGAAATTGGAAATCATCATTCTCAGTAAACTATCGCAAGAACAAAAAACCAAACACCGCATATTCTCACTCATAGGTGAGAATTGAACAGTGAGAACACATGGACACAGGAAGGGTAACATCACACTCTGGGGACTGTTGTGGGGTGGGGGGAGGGGGAGGGATAGCTTTAGGAGATATACCTAATGCTAAATGACGAGTTAATGGGTGCAGCACACCAGCACGGCACATGTATACATATGTAACTAACCTGCACATTGTGCACATGTACCCTAAAACTTAAAGTATAATAATAATAATTAAAAAAACATTGTTTTATTAAACATCCAGTCTAAAGTTTAATTCTTTTTTGATGAAGGGATTGATGACTTAGAATAAACTTTACTTTCTAGAAGAAACAATAAACTGGATTTTGTGTACATATTATTTTTAAAAATTTCTTTTCAGTTTTCTCTTTGAGGATGGTGAAAGCTTTGGACAAGGTCGAGATAGAAGCTCGCTTTTAGATGATACCACTGTGACATTGTCGTTATGCCAGCTAAGAAATGTAAGAAAGATATTTTGACAGTTCTGCTTTAGGTTTTTTTCTTTAATTAAAACCTTACAGATACACAAGAAATCTTGTATGCCTCTTTGATTTCACAAAATATGGGAGAGCTTCTGTAAAATATGTGCCCCAGAGTAGAATTGCATCTGTACAACTTCAGCTTTATTACCTGATTGTTCACAAAAATGATTTTATCAGTTTATCTTTTCGCCATCATTGGGTAACTGTTCTCATTTCTTTATTTACCTGGTAACACTTTCTTTTATCACATTTTAAAAAATTGTTAATCTAATGGTATGGAAAGGTATTTTGCTGTAATACTAATTTTTAATTTCCTGATTATAGTGCAGTTGTAAGTCTTTTCACATATTCTAGCAGTTCACCTACCTCTTCTATGTATTACTAGTTCATATCTCTTGTCAGTTTTTCTGTTGAGTGATTTCTTATTGATTTGAGGACTTTTGAAACTATGTCCCTGATATCGTATCTTTGTGAGCTGTATGTCATGGAAATATATTCTAATCTGTGGCTTTTCCTTCAACTTTTTGATTCTTTTATTGAATAGAATTCTAAATTTTTATCAGTATTTTCTTTTATAGTCAAATATATTTTGATATATTTTTTCTTGTAACTTATTTAAAGTAATAGCAAGGTTATAAGTATGTTTTATAATGTTTTTATATATTTCCTTATAAAAGATTTAAATAATTGTTTCACATTTAGTTCTTTAATCCACCTAGAATTTATTTTAGATTAAGTTGTAAGGAAGGTATCCAATATCATATTTCATTGATTAAAAAAATACCCCTTGTCTCAGTACCATATATTGAATAGTTTTCTCTTCACTTTTTTGATCTATAATACCAACTTTTTCTATGTATATGGATATGTTTCTGGGCCTTGATATTCTGATTTGTTGGCCTGTTTTTCTAATTTTAGCAAATACCACATTGCCTTAATCTGTAGTTTTATGTGAACTGTTGATATCTAGCAAGGGAAGACCTTCAGTTTTTTTGTCCTCAAAATGGAGTAGGAACTCTTTAACATCTTCCTCTACTAGCTGATTTTTATAATCATCATAAAGAACTTCATAAAAAATTATAGGGTTTTGATTGACATTGCATTGAATTGATAAGTTAATTTGTAGAGAATTGATGTATTTAAAATGTAGGGTTTTATTTCTTGAACATGCTTAAATAAATATGTCATTTATTTGTCTTATTTTATATAACAATTTTATTTTTAATGTCTGTATATCAGTTATCAGATTTATTTCTAAGGTAATTTATTATTGCTCTTGTATATAGAATATATATATATATGTAAGTATGAGTATGATTTTTTCCAACATTTTATTATAAAAATTTTTAAACAGAAAAGTTGAAAAGCATTTACAGTGAACAACTTACCACCTACATCAAGCATTGATATGATCTATTAGCAAAATCAAGTCACACCTATTCATTGACCTATTATGTATAGCTGTTTTGTTCTGCATTGGCAGAATTGAGTAGTTGCGATAGAGACTGCATGGCCCACAAAGCTAAAAATATTTGTCATATGGCCCTGCATAGAAACAGTTTGCTAATCCCTGACCTAGATTCTATAATTAACATTTTACATGCTTTATCACATGTCTATCTTTCTAGCTATTCATCAATCCATCATATTTTTTGTTCTTGCATTTCAAAGTAAAATGAAGACATTACTACAATTCAGCTTACACATTAGAGTTTAAGATTTGTTTATAGTTCTTTTCTAGGCAAAATTTTCATATAGTAAAATGTATAGATCTTAAGTATACCAGTAGATGAGTTTAAAATATACATCAATAATATTTTTTCATGTAGTAAAATGTACCAAATCTTAAGTATACCAGTAGAGGATTTTAAAAAATAAATCAATAATATTTTTTAAAATACTATTTCAACTACTGTTTTGTGCATGATTAGTAACACAATTGATTTTTTTATGTGGATTTTGTGTCAGGCAACATTGCTGAACCTATTCTTTTTTAAATAATATGTCTATAGATTCCCTGTGGTTTTCTTTGTGAATTAAGGTAGGGTTTTTTCCTTCATTTCCAAATTCTTATCTACTCACTTCATCTTTTCTCATTATTTTTGCTGAGCGTCTATAACGCTATTGAATAGAAACAAATAGTGGGCACTCCTGTCTAATTTCTGGTTTTAAAAGTTTGCTTTTTATATTTCATAATTAAGTATGATATTTGTTGCATTGAGTTATAGAGGTCTTCTATTCTTAGTTATAAGTTTTGTTATGAATGGGTGTTGAATTTCACTGAGTGTTTTTACTGTATCTATTGGGATGGTCATATGCTTTTTTATGTATTATGTTAATGGATTTAATTATGTTGATGGGGTTTTTCAATGTTGAGCCATGTTTGTATTTCTGGGATAAACCCAAACAGATCATGATTTCATTTTTCCTTTTTTATACATTTGTGTTTTGATTTTCTAATATTTTGTTTAGAATTTTTGCATTTCTGTTTCTATTTGAGATAGGCCTGTGAGTTTCTTTTCTTTTACTGCACGATGCTAGTTTGGTATCAGGGGTATACTAGTCTCATAAAATAAATAGGAGAGTGTTGCCTTTTTTTTTCTATTTTCTGAAAGACTTTATATGATTACATGTATCTATTTCTTGAATGTTTCATGGGAGTTAGCTTTAAAACCATATTGTAAGGGCTCCTTATCCCTATTTGGGTGTAATCATTACTTCAGTCTGCTTAATGGTTATAAGTTTACTCAGGTTGTTTATTTTGTTTTTAAATCATTTTCTAAAGTTATATGTTTTAAGGCCTTTAAACTTGCTCTTCCCACTGCCTGTAACACTCTTCCGGTGCTTCCATTTCTTTTCTTTACATTCTCTGCTAAAATGTCACCTATTGGTGGGCTTTTGTTGGCCATCCTTTATAAAATAGCAACGCCACACCTATCCCTTGTATTCTTTATCCTGTTTTGTTTTTTTCCTCCATTGTACTTCTCTTCATTTGATGTGTTATATGTTTTCTTCCTATATAATAACTAAATGAAGGAATGAATCCTGTTATTATGTAGAAGCCCTATTAATATCATAGTAAAGTATAGGGGAGAAGTATTTTATAATCTTATCATTAAGTCCCAGTTTTTTAGTGAGCCTGTGTTCCTGGGCTGTGACCTTCACAAGGCTTCTCAGCTTCTCCCACTCCTCCTCCCCAACATGAGACAGGAAAGCTAGAGGGGCTGGAGTTGGGTATTTCTGTTCCCCTACATCAAAGACTAGAGTGGACTGGAGTTGAATATTTCCTTCCCAAGTTGGTTAGATTTCTGTAAAACCCAAGTTAGTTAAGACCTGACCGAAGAGTTTCCCTTTAAGACAGGCCTCTCAAGGAAAACAGAGTACTCTGGCTGTATTTCAGATTGGTTACTTTCCACCTCCCCCTGCAGGAAGTCAAGGGTATTTTTCTCAGATCTTCACCCTGAGAACCTGGTGGGACCTGCAGAGGTTAATCTCATGGAAGCAAGGAAGGCCTCCCTAAGGCAGGGCCTCCAGAAGTTTTTCTCTCTCGTATTAGTCTGTGCTCAGCCTGCAAGTATTAGATAATTACCTTTTAATTGATCTTAACAGACTCCAGCAGTGGCTCTGTTCCTGTTGAGCTGTGATTCCCTGTATTCGAGGGTCCCTCCAGCTTTGAGGACATCACAATGCTCTGATTCTGACAGATGTGAGACGAGTTCTTGATTTTCAGTTTGTTCAGCATTTTTCTTGTTAGAGGAAGAATGATGCCTTCTAAGCTGTTTATATTTTGTATAAGAAAGTGGAAGTCCTAGCCTTTTTATTTTTAACCATTCATAGCCAAAGCTGAAATAGGTACCTATCCTTGTTTTCTGTCTAAGCCAGCAATTCCCCTAGTTTTTTCTTTACGTGGCTTTAGAAGGGTCTTCTCCATTCTGAAGGTCTGTTATGTAGGTTCCCAAACCCTTATCCCATTATGGTCTAAATCTCTAGACCACAGTTATTAACTACTTTCTCTCTAGGCCTGGTTTTATATCTGTTATCACTGCATTTTCCTTATGTTTTAAAGCTTATCTAACCATTTAATATTTTACATGTTATATAGTAGGAGAGTATTAGAATCTCTTGTCTGCCATAATGCCAGCAACAGAAAATTAAAATATATAACTATTCCTACTCAGTACTCTGAATTTATAATCTCTTTGAAAGAAAGGATGTGGAAAGTAACAAAATAAGTAATAATACCCTGCAGCGAACAATAAATTACATCCAAAATATATGATTTCAGCTGATTTTGTTTTGCTCTTAATTTGTTTCTTCAATTTAAATATAATCCAAGTTAAATGAATGTAGGCTTCAAATCTAAATGTCTCAATTCCTTTACAGTTCTACTTGTGAAATTTAAAATACTCTTCTTCTGTAGTTATTAAGAAATATTAATTTGCTGAATCTTAAAATGATATGGAAACCATATAATAATTTTTATCTTTAGTGTTTTCATTCACCTTTTAAAAATCCTAATGTGCTAAGTTTTTATTTAGAAAAGACAGACAAGATACTTAATTAGATAAAATCTATGACATACAGTATACTGAAAACTAATCTTTAAAAAGATTTATGTGTATTAATAATGCAGTAAAACTTGGGAAAATTTTATTTCCTAACTTAAAATTTTAATATATGAAAGATATACCTAAAGGTTTTTTAAAATAGGATAAGTACATAGCACATTGATTTTTAGAGTAGAACCAGGCATAAATTCAGTGTTTGCTGAATTCTTAGTTTGAGTAAAAGATTTTTCTTAAGCTTTAAAAATTCTGGGAATAACTCACATGGGTGCACAAAGACTCTAATCAGCAGAAGATCAGTGCTTGCTGCACACACAGCTTGAATTTCTATGTCAATCCCCATAGGAGCAGACATTCTGCCTTCAAGTTGGAAGTTGAACAGCAGAGCAGCAGGCAAGATGGCATTAACTTTAATCACCTTGCTTAGGATGTGGTTAACATTTTACTTTACTACTGCCTTCCTGCTTATGATTTTGAAGAATACCTGTAATCCTGTCAGGGTTGTTATTTGGAACAACATTTATTAAAATGATTTTGTCATTAAGTGAACTCTCTCCATTGATTTATTAGCTATTTGAATCATACATGTTCAAAGTATGATGTGAGAAATATTTTGGAATCCTTTTTCTAGCACCTTTCTTTTTGACTTAGCTTGTATTATGCCAAAGCAAAAATAAATCTAAGTTGTTCTTTTAGTATATACATGGCTATATAGTACCTCTTTTTAATCATCTTTCTTCATATAACTTAAAATTTTTTTCCCATTCATTAAGTTTTATACTAGTGCTAGTAATTCTGAGTTCTGTTTGGAAAATATATCATGATAAGTGTCTAACATTTATGAGTGATACCTATAGATAAGAAAAAAATAGTTGTTTTTCACAGCCAAACCGTAATCAGTAGAGGCATTGTATGCTTGCATGTTTATGGTAAGAACTGATTTTTAGACTCTATTTTATACTTTTCTAGGTCCCTTTATAAATTTATAGTTGTTATATTACTTGTCTTTTTAAACACAGATCAGGGTTTCTGCCCAATATGTTTATACATAAATATTTTGTCTTTAAATACACAGAGATTGAAAGATGTTGGTGGAGAAGCATTTTACCCATTACTTGAAGATGAGTGAGTATATGTAGTCTCATTTTAGATTTATTTTTCTTTCTATTTATATTAGATTTATAAGAATTTTATACATTTTCTTTGAAAAATGTTTCCTAAATAGAAAATAATAACCTGAGGTTTTGGTTTATTAAAATTTTGTGCTTTTTCTGAAATCACTGTTGGTAGAGTTAGGAAAAAAAAAGAAAATTTTGTACCTTTTGTCCATTTTTTTTTTTTATTGCTTTTGTTCTCTTTTACAGCCAGTCTAATTTACCTCATTCAAACAGCAATAATGAGTTGTCTGCAGCTGCCACGCTCCCTTTAATCATCAGAGAGAAGGATACAGAGTACCAACTAAATAGAATTATTCTCTTCGACAGGCTGCTAAAGGTATGGATTCTAAAGTATAAAGTGTTAACAATAGCCCATATGGAATTTTTTTTTAATTTTTTCAATAATTCTTAGGGAATCTTGAGTAATAAGAAGATTAATTTTTATGACCTATCTTGTTCAGTTAGCTTTCTTTCATTTTAAAAATGATACATGTTCTTAGTAAGTAAAATTAAAAAGTAAAAACAAGGTGTGGTAACATATGCAAAATCATGTTAAAAAAGGAATAATGTCTTTATTTTTTAAAAGAAGACTTAAAAGTCAACAGGAAAAACATCAATATTGAAACAGAGAAATGGATAGAGTACATAATATAAATACAGCTAGTAAATCTATGCAAATTGTTCATCTTCACTGGGAATGAAAAAAATACAAATTAAAATAGGAGTGATTTTCCATACTGCATTAGCAAAGTGAGCACAGATGCAATGATATTGGAACTCTCATTCTGTTGGAATAAATGTGAATGTACTGAAACATTTTGTAAAACAATTTGAATGCATATATCAAGAACCTTAACAACATCTGTTGCCTTTGTCCTATTAATACTCTTCTAGAAATTTCTCCTAAGACACAAATTTATAAAAGTATAAATTTATATGCAAAATGCGGAAGTACTCATAATAGTAGCTTATAGTTATTGATCACTTCTCTATCACCACGTTTTTAACAGAGTGCTTTACCTGCATTATCTTATTTAACCCGTATGAGACTGGTACTATTATCCTCCATCTGACTCATTTAAAATCCCCCCAGAGCATCAAATAGAGAGGAAGGATTAAAAATCAGGTAGAATCAGCTGCTCTTCTTAATTATATAATACGAGTTTTTCAAGGTGTTAGGGATTCATTCATTCTACTGCTTATTTATGTGTATTAATAACACCAGACACAATAATTGCACATACTTTGAAATTTATTGCAAGTCACTTAAGTTTTATCATGGGTATATTCAGAACTGTCTAGACTAAAAGATGGCACTAGGTAATTTGAGACGTTTTCATTTCTTTTTTGATATCATAGGCTTATCCATATAAAAAAAACCAAATCTGGAAAGAAGCAAGAGTTGACATTCCTCCTCTTATGAGAGGTTTAACCTGGGCTGCTCTTCTGGGAGTTGAGGTAAGGAAAAAAGAAAAGGTTAGAAGCTGATTAATTATGCAAAGAAAGGATGGAGAAGGAGAGTGCTTTCCAAATATATATTTTTCTAGTTATTAGAAAATTATATAGTAAAATATAAGCATTAGAATATTTGGCAATTTTAAGTGGAAAGAATATAGGAAAACAATAGAATAGAAAAATATAATGGAGGGTTTATTAGATTATGCTATTTAATGTTTCATTTAATAGTGGTCACAGAAAATGTTTTGATTATTACCATAGAATATTTTAAGAATATATATCAGTTATAAATGGGTAGTCCTGCTTATAAAGTATGCTTGTTATAGAATATGATTGTTTATAAATGGTTCTGTCTAAATTTGGAGAAATCTTTCCATCTAATCTGACTTGTCAAAATCACTAACATAATTTAGTGACTTTTGGCACACCTATTCCACCTGGACTATGCTACCAAGAGAAATAGCACTTTCTCTGTGGTTGTGAGGAAAGATGTGTCACAAATTATGGTGGCCTGCAATACTAACAGAGAACTCCGATGACATCAATCATAATAATGGGCCAAATTCTTGCCAGATTTTTTTCATTTCTTGTCAATTTCTTTGTCATCTTGTCTTCTTATATTCTCTTATAGATAATTATCCTTCCTTTTTAAAGAATTCCAGTCTGGAATGGTGGCACATGCCTGTGGTCCCAGCTTCTTGGAAAGCTGAGGCAGAAGGATTACTTGAGCCCAGGAGTTCGAGGCTGCAGTGAACCTTGGTTGTGCCACTGCACTCTAGCCTGGGTGATAGAACTAGACCCTGACTCTAAAAAATTTTTAGAAATCCTCAACTATTTTTAATCCTTTTCAATCCTCTGTTTGAAGAATTTCCTTTCTTCATTCCTGATTCCCTTGATAAGAGTCTACAAATACCTTTGAGTTTAGTTGGTTACTTTACAAGAATGCCAATTGTTCAATATCATACATTAATCATTAGACTTGTAGAACAATATAATGCTAAAGTTCAAGAGGACTTCAGGTATCAGGTTGTCCAACTCTCATTAAATTAATGTCTCAAAGAAGTTGATAATAGCCGATATTGGAGTTTGAACCCTACTTCCTGGCTCTTTCTCTACCATGATAATAAGCCAGAATAATAATATTTTTTTCATGCTTGGTCCTATAGAACACGACCAAAATTTGTAGTCGTTCATTCAGTTATTTCTAAATTTTAACAGTCTAACTGAAAAGCGTAAATGACCTCTTTAGGCCCTAATGATTCTATCATGTAATTATAGATATAACATAACAAGGTTGTGTTATGTTGTAGGGTCTGGGAGGTTGGCCAAACATACTTA
This sequence comes from Homo sapiens, assembly GCF_000001405.40. Classification (NCBI taxonomy): domain Eukaryota; kingdom Metazoa; phylum Chordata; class Mammalia; order Primates; family Hominidae; genus Homo; species Homo sapiens. Next base: position 106,233,930 of record NC_000004.12, on the reverse strand, counting down.
CTAGCTAAGTAATTAATCCATGACATTTATGTTCTGGTATGTATAATTCAAGAGTTTGCCTCAGCAAAATGGCAAATTGTCACTTATCAGAGACCTTCATCACAGATTGTCAAAGACACAGAGAATTTCTCTTAAGATGAGTTCTACCCTGAGTTTGAATGTGCTTATCTGTAGTTGGGTAGGTTTCCAAAGATAGATATTTGTAAAAAATAGATTTCTCTATATTACTATTTGTATTAAGGATATGATAAATTAATATATCTTCTTTTATTTTTTGCAGGGAGCTATTCATGCCAAGTACGATGCAATTGATAAAGACACTCCAATTCCTACAGATAGACAAGTATGATTTAGGTTTTCTTAAGCAACCTAAGATAATTCTGCCAAATATTTAAATTTTAGGAAGGAGCATGAAGAAAGCCTCTTTCTCTCATGAATACAGAGACACTGCTGCATACATATATTGTTAGAGAAACCATAACTCTTATGCTTATAAATTAGTAAGAACAATACCTTAAAGGACTTTAGGTCAAGTTACCTTTTTAAAAATACTGTAGTTCTTCATCTGAAAAATTTGCCCTTCATTTGGACCAGATTATAAAGGAAAATATTTTTGAAAAGTATATTAACACATACATACCTTTCAAAAGAAATGGTCTAATTCTCCTGTTTAGGTATACATACAACTTCTTTAGTCTTTCCATAAGATCAATTAAAAAATTCAAAAAATTAGGCACTTAAGAAGTTGGTCTGTTTTGAAATTCATATTATAGCTTCTCCTTTTCCTTATTTAATGAACAAGGATTAAGGGTTTATTGCTGATTACACAATTACTGTTTCACCTTATTATTTTGCTATTTTAACAGATTGAAGTGGATATTCCTCGCTGTCATCAGTACGATGAACTGTTATCATCACCAGAAGGTCATGCAAAATTTAGGCGTGTATTAAAAGCCTGGGTAGTGTCTCATCCTGATCTTGTGTATTGGCAAGGTAACTTTTGTAGTCATTAAAACTCCTCTGGAGTATTAGAAAATTGTTGCATAACTGACATTTAAAAAAATTAAAATATCTAAACATCCTTGTCTTTGGGGAAAGTCAATATTGACGCTCTGATTCATTTTTTGAGAGGTTTACATCCAAACATTTTTAAAAATCTTTGTCTAAATCCTAGTAGATATCATTAAAAAACATAATATTTAATATACAAGTTGATTAGCAAAGCAGAAAGAATATTTGGAGCTGTTGTGATCTTTGTGGATACATTTTTTAAACGCCTATGCAAATTGTTAAATCAATTGGGGCTAGTTGAGATTCTTATAGTTAATGATTTCTAATTTATACTTACCATGGCTATTAGCACTTAAAAATAGTCTATCATCCTAAAGTCCTCATTTTATTTATTGTCTTTTTTTTCTTGTATCTTTAATGGTTCATATCTTTTATTTTTAGCTTTGCCATTATTATTTTTTGTGTTTGATAAAGAATGAGAAACCCATTCCAACCCTATTTTTGAATGTGTTGTTATAAGTGGCTACTTTTATATTTCAGTTCTCTATTTCTTACCATAGTTTAAATAAAGCTGTTATTTTTCTTAGCTCTGTGTATTTCAGAGCTATTCTATATCCTCCTAACAGTTGTAGGTAGATTTATGTACATTCTTTCAACATGACAATACATGCATATCATTATTATCAATAAAAGAAATGTCATATATTTGGAATCCACTTCACAATTTTTAAAGAATTTTTTTTCATAATCCCAAAGAAAAACAACATAGGCAAAACTCCATGTCCTAGATGAGAAAGTATGCCAGAAGATGTTAAGTAATTGCCAAGATTGTACATTTAGAGTCAGAGATGGGACAATATCCAAAGCATTGTAACATTCTTACATTTTTCTATTATTGTATTTCTCTTTTCAACTCATAATAATATAGATAATAATAACTGATTCATATTGGACACATACTGTGTGCTACACTATCACTCACTCCCCACAGTAACTCATGAAGTAACATATTTCTGGATGGATAATACTTCTAATGTTTAATCTACTTGGAGGTAATGCAAAGAATTGAATAAGGTATATATCTTCAATTCTACTAGATTATATTTATTTGACTTCTTTCTCCCAACCCCTCTGTGTTAGGTCTTGACTCACTTTGTGCTCCATTCCTATATCTAAACTTCAATAATGAAGGTAAGCCTCTTTAACATTTAAATAATCATTGCGCATAATATTCTAAAATATTTGATTCACACATGAAAGGTTTTTGTTTTTGTTTTAAGGCTCTTATTCTCTCCCTGGTAGATTTCTGTGAAATAATCTATTATAGACTCATTTTAGAGATGTGAAGGATTAATTTATTACTGGAGAGTTTCAGTTATGCTAAAGCTATTACTAGAAATTTAGTGGAATTTGATTATTCTAAATTCTTTAGAGATTAATTTTTGTCTAAGTATACTTTCTAAAGAATTTGTAAAGAAATCAATTATGGTGGCACTTTTCCATAACCTTGCATCTCCAAAGCCTATCATTTTGGATACCTCTTCCTTAATGAAGACTTTTCTCATTCTCCTTCTTCAGCCCATAAAGCACTTTGTATTTATAAAAATTTATCTTGTGTCTATCTTGTATTCTAATACTTATATACTAATGTTGTAATATTTTTTGACAGCCCTTTTTCAATGGCAGGTTTTTTTTTTCCTGCCCTTCTGCAATAACTTTATTATTGTAGGCTTTTCAATAAATACTAAATTCGATTAACTCCAATCCCTGAAATCACATATAGAGTGTGTTACTGTATATAGCTTGAATGTCTAGATGCCTTATCTGAAGATCTCCCTATTTTCAGATTCTATTTCATGACCGAATTTGCATCGGTTTCTGGAATTAAGTAAAAATAGCATAATCCCAGAGAAATGAAATTTTACTCTTTGAATTGTTTTTAAAATACTCTGTTCTGTGATATTCTCACTCATTAATCTAGACTAGAGTTTTTTACTATGTTTAGTTAGGCATAGCCAATGATCACTCATACTGACCCAAACATAGTCAGGGGTCTGTGTTTGAAAATGTGAATTATAACACTATTCCTAAATCCATAGTTCGTAGACTCTTGTTTGCATCAGCAGCAGTTAAGGATCGTGAGGTCCGTATAACTTACTAATAATGATCATGCTTAGAAATTTTAAGAAACAACGTTTAGGTAATAAAAGTTGTGATTATTGTGTGATAATGATTGCCATGCTAGTTTGAAATTGAAGTTATAGAATTATTATTTTTTGTTGTCTAAAATAAAAATATTTTCTATTTTAAAGCATAGAGGCTTTTATCTCTTAATTTTGTTTTTCTAGCACTTGGCTATCATAACTGTTATTTAATAGTAGTTTCAAGGAATATGTGCTAAGTGAATGCATTACTGATGGTCATCTACCCTGTTAACTAATTTTTTACATGCCTTTGCCTTATTCTCTTTTAGCCTTGGCTTATGCATGTATGTCTGCTTTTATTCCCAAATACCTGTATAACTTCTTCTTAAAAGACAACTCACATGTAATACAAGGTAAGCAAATGTCTTCCATGTCTTTCTACAGAGAAACTACTGATGTACTGGTGTGCTGATGTAATATTTGATTAAATTTAAGATTTTGACCCCAAAAATACGATGATGGTCCATCCAATAAAATCCATAAAGAGAAATTAGAAAGTTCAGTCTTTCCTCCAAATCCACAAAGAATTATGGTATTTTTCTAATGGATATTTGATATCTGATCTCATTTCAGTTCAATTGCAGGCATGCGAGTTTGAGAAAATAAGAGACTGCCGTTTGTGTTTTTCACAATCAAAATTGCTCACAAAAAGCTTCACCATGGGCAAGTCCATTGTAAATTAGTAAAAAGTTTAAATGTTTAATTGTGTAAGCAGAGTATTAAAAATACTTTACATTTATCTCATTTCCCATGCATGCATACCCAAAATATACTCCCTCTTTCTTCAACTTCCCTAAAATATACCTCCTCCTTAAGAGTTCATGTCATAGCGTAACCTGTTTGTGAATTCATTCAGGACAACTTTAGCCACATTCAAACTTGTACTATAATTTCCTGAACTCTTTTTTGGAAGTAATAGAATAGAAGTTAAAAATACGCAGATTTAGATAGAAAAAAAAATCCTAAAATTTATATGGACCCACAAAAGACCCAGAATAGCCAAAGCTGTCCTGAGCAAAAAGAACAAAACTGGAGGAATCACATTATCTGACTTCAAATTATACTACAGAGCTATAGTAACTGAAACAAAATGGTACTGGCATAAAAACAGACACATAGACCAATAGAACAGAATAGAGAACCCAGAAGCAAATCTATACACTTACAATGAACACATTTTCAACAAAGGTGTCAAGAACATTCACTGTTCTTAAAGTCTCTTCAACAAATAGTTCTGAGGAAATTAGATCTTCATATGCAGAAGAATGAAACTAGACCTCTATCTGTCAACATACACAAAAATCAAATCAAAATGGTTTAAAGTCTTAAATCTAAGACCTCAAATTATGAAACTACTATAAGAAAACACTGGGGAAGCTCTCCAGGACGTTGGTCCAGGCAAAGATGTCGAGTAATACCCCATAAGCAGAGGCAAACAAAGCAAAAATGGACAAATGAGATCACATCAAGTTAAAAACCTTCTGAACAGCAAAGGAGACAATCAACAAAGTTAGGAGACAACTCACAGAATGGGAGAAAATGTTTGAAAACTACCCACCTGATAAGAGATTAACAGCCAGAATATATAGGAAGCTCAGATAACTCTATAGAAAAAAAATCTAATAATCTGATTTTAAAAAGGGCAAAAGATTTGATTACACATTTCTCAAAAGAAGACATACACATGGCAAACAGGCTTCTGAAAAGGTGCTCAACATCATTGATGATCAGAGAAATTCAAGTCAAAACTACAATGAGATATCGTGTCACTCTGCTTAAAATGGCTTTTACCCAAAAGATAGGCAATAACAAATGCTGGTGAGGATGTAGAGAAAAAGGAACCCTCATGCACTGTTGGTGGTAATGTAAGTTAGTATAACCACTATGGAGAACAGTTTAGAGGTTCTTCAATAAACTGAAAGTAAACCTACCATATGATCCAGCAATCCTACTGCTAGGTATATACCCAAAAGAAAGGAAATGAGTGTCAGAGAGATATCTGCACTCCCATGTTTATTGCAGCACCATTCATGATAGCCAAGATTTGGAAGCAACCTAAGTGTCCATCAACAGACAAGTGGGTAAAGAAAATGTGGCACTTAATACACAATGGAGTACTATTCAGCCATAAGAAAAAATGGGATCCCGTCATTTTCAACAACATGGTTGGAACTGGAGGTTATTATGTTAAATGAAATAAGCCAGGCACAAAAAGACAGGCTTCACATGTTCTCACTTATTGGTGGGATCTGAAAATCAAAACATTTGAACTCATGGAGATAGAGAGTAGAATGATGGTTACCACAGGCTGGGAAGGGTAGTGGAGGGTAGGAGTTGGAGGATACACATTGTGAATGGGTAAAAAAAAAAAAATAACCGAAAGAATAAATAAGACCTTGTATTTGCTAGCACAACAGGGTGACTACAGTTAATAATAATTTAATTGTACATTTTAAAATAAGTAAGTATATAATTGGATTGTTTTTAACACAAAAGAAAAATACTTGAGGTGATGGATACCTCATTTTCCCTGAATGAGATTATGCATTGCATGTCTATATCAATGTATCTCATTTACCCCATAAATATATGCATGTTCTATGTACCCACAGAAATTGAAAACAAAACAAGAAAACCCACACTTTTAAAACAGAAAAGTGTTTAAAATTTAAGTTTCACTACTTATTATTTAAGTTGTGTAGGTAACATTTTTCTCATATCTACAATAAAAATATTGTAGAGGTTAAACATAATATGTAAATTTCTGGTACATAGAAATATTCAATAAGTGCTATTATTTATTTCTTAATGTTACTGTTACTGTAAGTACTAGTTTTTGCTAGTGTTATTATTGTGACATTTTATACTGTTTTATATCCTTTCAACAAGATTCTGTGTATTTTAAGGCCAGGGAATTTTCTTATAGTTTTTCTGTTCTTTTAGAGCAGACTACAAAGCTGCTCACTCTCCCATTTACTGTTTTTGTGATGCTTATCAGATATCCTTTTGATCTTGTTTTTAACTATATATAATTCTTCCTACGTTATTTTAAACAACTTGAACCTGATTCTGTATTATATATATCATTATGGTTTTATGTAATTCTCCAGTTTTCATAAGTGAAGTAGGAATACTAGATGTTGTATCTGATTCATCAAAAATTCTGAGTAAGTGGGATCTCAATTAGTAATAATTTTACTTGGTTAGAAATGAATATAAAATTAGAGTATCAGAGGTTGATATAATGGGAAAATAATTAGAAAGGAAGCAGAAAGGAAAATGTAAACTCAAAAAAGTAAAGCTAAAAGTAGGAGGAACAGAATATGGATAAATAGCTTAGCACATAAAAACATTTGTTTTTTCAGCATCATGTACCTTGAGGTATAGAGAAAAATAATTAAAACTTTTTAAAAATTTTGTGTTTACAAGCAAATTGAATCATGTGTTCATTCCTATATATCTGTGTCTACAGTGTAGATAGGAGTTAGAAATGGAAATAATGATCCATTATCTCTATGTTAATTTTGAAACGCAAAATCCATTGGCTTTTGTATTTTGAAATGGTTTGGTTTGACATAGATGTGTCCAATTCTTTGCACATTTTCTACAGTGTGGACTTGTATAAAGTTGAGATTAATTCAAGAAAGATTTTTAGAAGGTACAGCTTTTTGCTTTGACTTTTTCTAATTAAGGAGGAGTGCATTTTGTAGTGGAAGTTGTTTTTTGCTTATAGATTACCTTAATAAGGTCATTGACTTCAAGGACCATGTTATACCTTCTTCAAAATTTATGAAGTAATGTTCCATAAGGTTGTGTCCTGTACCTTATTAAGAGGGATGTGCCCCATTCTTACTAATAGCTTCCTTCTTACCCTTATCAGTGATGTTTATTATAGAATTGATAGTGTACTCTTTCAGATTTCAGTTAATAGAAAAATGAGTGGATTTAATAAAACCTTGGGTAATATCACAAGATTTCAGAAACTATGCAATTTAAATAATCTGTCAAATGGTGACCAAAGACACTGAGAAGATTAAAAGTAAAAAATAAGCAGGTTAGTATTTGTGCCGTATAAAAAGAAATTTAATAATCATCAGCTAAATATGTCAGCAATATAATGCTGTTAGTTTCAAAGCTAACATGAAATTGTAGTGTTTACTGAACTTTCCAAATATAAAAGCCCAATTAATATACAGTGTTGGGCTAAATTTCTATACTTTAGAAAGATGAAAATATTGGGGAATCCTCAAATAAGCAATAAAAACAGGACTTATAACATGAGCTGATTAGACTGTTTCTTAGATGGCTGGATGATACCTGGCTAGATGGCCACCTCTTAAAAGACCATATGAGACATCTTCTGTTACATTGATTTCTATTTCTATTTCTAGATGCCTGTTACAAAACATAGAAATTATCTTCCTCCCAAAATTTTATTTTTCTACTGTTTCATATCTCAGATACATACATTGTATATTAATAATGAATTTCCAATATGAAAAAGACAAATTTCCACACTTTCTAATTGCAGGCTTTTTTAACACACTTTTTTGATACAAGGTCTGGCTCTTTCACCCAGGTTAGAGTGCCATGGCACAATCTCAGCTCACTGCAACCTCCACCTCCTGTGCTCAAGCCACCCTTCCACCTCAGCCTCCTGAGTAGCTGAGACTACAGGCATGCATCACCACATCTGGCTAATTTTTGTATTTTTTTGTAGAGATAAGAGTTTGGCCATGTTCCCCAGGCTGATCTCAAACTCAGGAGCTCAAGCCATTCGCTCACCTCTCCCTCCCAAAGTGCTGGAATTACAGGCTTGAGCCACTGCGGCCAGCCTTAACACACTTTTAAAAGGCATACTATACAGATATGCAAGACAATGTCTTGTTTAATTTATTAAATTAGAGACTGTAGTGTACACAACATGAATTTGGAGAGACTTGTCAGAAAGGCCAAAAAAGCTGGGCGCAGTGGCTCACGCCTGTAATCCCAGCACTTTGGGAGGCCGAGGAGGGCAGATCACGACGTCAGGAGTTCGAGACCAGCCTGGCCAACACGGTGAAACCCTGTCTCTACTAAAAATACAAAAATAGCTGGGCATGGTGGCAGGCGCCTGTAATCCCAGCTACTTGGGAGGCTGAGGCAGGAGAATCACTTGAACCTGGGAGGTAGAGCTTGCAGTGAACCGAGATTGCGCCACTGCACTCCAGCCTGGGTGACAGAGCGAGACTCCGTCTCAAAAACAAACAAAAAAAAGACCAAAAAGACTGTTCTTTAGTTTGATCAATTTTATCAGTAATACATTTTAACATCCAATATTATAATTAAAAGACCTCTCAACAATTATTGATTGCTTGTTTCTCTAAGTATTAATAATTTCCTCAGTTATGATTTCTATAAAATTGCATTTGAAATCTTGAATTGGTATTTAATTTTGAACTTCTTTAAAGCCACCATAAATGTTCTTTAATATTATGCTAAAAAAAAATCAATAGACAAGGTGTTTTAAATCATTTGTCCAAATTTTATATTGACCATATGTTACATAAGAAAAAAAACAGTTTCAATTAATTTAGTCTTTCAGTATATAACTGTGCTGACACTGTGCCATGCCAAGTGCTGCTTACAGAATTGAGATTCTTTCAATAAATAACATTTATTCCTTTCCCAAAGGACTTCATACTATGATACGGTAAATAAATGTGAAAATGACTACTTATAAGTCTAGGAGACAAGTATACATACTATTATGTTAGCACAGAGCAAGAAGTTTAGGGGGTTTCAATTTTCTTGTGTGTGGTAGCAAAAAGAAGAGATAGCATTCTGGAAAGGTTTCATAAAAGGAAGATACTTGATGAATTTGAAGTTTGAGTAGGAATTTCATTGGTGAGAATAGGTAAAGACATTCTTAGGACAGGGAACAAAGAAGAGGACTGAAGTAAAAGAGTGTAAAATGGGATGATAAAATATCCACTAATCAAATCTGATCTGTCGGGTAGGAAAGAGAGATGGAAAGCTAAAGAAGGAGCTGAAACAGTACACTGTATATTGGTTACTAAAGTTTGATAGAACAGTGGTTTATTTTTCTTCAAAGTGTTTATTTTAGGCTTAGAATTAGAAATAGCTCTTATTAGTTTACTTCTTTGTTACTGTGTTTCTCTTTATTTTGTAGAGTTTTAAGCTTTACACTTCAAAGTAGTAATTGATTTTTGGTTGGCATAAATATCACATGTACACTTTCTTCTCCACAAATTTTGGGAAAAATCCTAAGTCGTAAGAAACTAATCCATTTAAAAGCCAATTGTAGAAATGCATATTTACTGAATCTTTGAATTGCCTTTCCGGAAGTTAAAAGTTTCTATGTTCAATAGCAACTTGAATTGTTCTTTGAAAAAAAAAAGTTATTATTACTATACGCTAATAGAACTTAAAATATTTTGTATTTTAAAGTTTTTTCTAAAATATATATACACTCATGAGACTCTAAAATGCTTTACCTCTTATAGATCAGTAAAAGAATGCTCAATTTAATCAAGATACCCTGTTTTTTTAAACTTAGTTCTATTGACTTGTTACCTGCAGATATATTTAAGATATAATAAATTTAATTACTTTCTGACTTAAATGAATATTTCTTATTATCGTTTGTACTATCAAATTATCACCAGAAACATTGTTATTGAGTTGACAAACTATCAATACATGGGAACATTTAAAAATAACATACTGATTATGCAACTCAGGATTGGCTGTTGAGATTATCTAAGATTATTAAAATTATTCTAAGGTTCAGAATCTTAGAGTATTAATTGTATGGAAAAAGATGGAGGAATTAGAAAGAAATCTGTTGATTAGCATTTCAGCCATATTGGAAAACAAGTTTATAACTTGCAGGACAGGTATATCTTAGGCTATTGAGGAGAAAGGCAGCTTCAGGCCAGTGAGGAACCAGGTAGACTATATTTGGCCAATGAAACTTTGGCACATTAAACATACTCTTGTAGTGTTTTGGAAGATGTGGTTGCTACAAGTCGGAAAGGTAAAGATAAGAGGAGATATCATATAAATCTGGGAAATTAGGAGAAAGTTTCCCCAATTTTCTGTTTACCTGTATATCTTTCTAAATCTTTTGAGGGAAAGAATCGTATGTTCTTCACTGTGATGTCCCCAACATTTAATATAGTACCACATATAGCTAGATTGACTGTACAACTAAATTGGGATGTTTCTGAGAGTTTAAAGGGGCACTGTACCAGATGCTGGGTCTACAGATGCCAACTGGGACTCTCTCAGGCAAACTAGGAGATAAGTTCATACTACACATATATATTCAGTAACTCTTGGAAGGAGAAAGAGGAAGACAGACATACAAAGTCTAAAGTCCAGTTGTCAAAGGTGGGGTATAAAACTCTTCTTTCCCACCAAACTGTAACAATGAGAGCGAGAGAATATGCAATTTCACTCCAAAAGTTATGTATTTAGAAAGGTAGTGCATTGTATTAGGTTGGTGCAAAAGCAGTTGTGTTTTTTTCCATTACTTTTAATATATGTGCAGCTTAGTGCACATCTTTGCTTAATGACTTTAATGATATTTGGAGATTGTAGTATATACAGTCTTGGGATTTTTAAGAATATCTTGTATCATGTGACTGAGGAGATTTTTCCTGAAACAGTAAATGTCCTACCTACCTTTACTAGAAATATTATTATGATAACTATTAAGTGGGCTCATCTGTAGATTCTTTTTTTAGCTAGAGCAAGATATGTGAGAAGGAAAGAAAGTGGTTCACAAATGTAGCTCTAAAGATTACTTTTCTCTTTCCTTTCTCTTCTTTTGAACCCCTTCTTTCCACTTAGTTATAAAAGTTGGTGCTTGTTTTTTGTGCCTTTACTAGATAGGCCAAATTTTACAGCAGAAAACTTTGTAATGGGAAGTAATTCAGGTTCATTTGCATTAAAATAACCCTGCTTTTGAGTGCAGTGAGTCAACATTATCACCAAATGGTTTGGTTTGGGCACATTCTTAGTTGACAACAGATACATAACTCCCAACCTATCTATATTTATCATCTTCATGATAGACTAGTAGTCTGATGGAAAACAACAAATAGTTATGGAATTGAGAATACCATTTCTGATGTGTGAGCTGAGGAAAACATTTGTTTTAAATCCCACCCATCATCTTTCATCTTCTTATCCTAGCTAAAAGAGTCAAAGCTGAAAAACTTTTCGGAAGGGAAAAATAAGGATACCTATATGTAGGGCTTTCTGAAATTTTGTCTCTGCATATATTTTTTGGAAAACAGATGGCTTATTTATAAACAGTTGCACAAAAATATGATAGTGTCATATAAAATTCTTACAATAAATTTATTGGGGATTGTCATGTTAATATATATAACAAGCCATTTTAAAGGAGAGAAACAAAAATTTTTAATACAGAGCAATTAGAAGGGAAGATGACAATTTATTTTCATTTTATATTTCATTGGAAAAATTAAAAGTTATAAGGTTTTACAAATATAAAATGAAGAAAATTTATATTAGATAGATTTTATACTGTAATATAATAAACTTCACTTGAAGCTTAAATGGGAAATTTAATAAGAACCTTAATTTATTTGTTTAAATAATACCATTTACCTCTATATAGGTCATGTGTAGGTTAGAAAACACTATTTTTGAAGTTAAGACTCTAGATTCATATCCTTATTATATAGTATAAATCACAATTACAGATTTTTTTTAACTTTTAGATTCAGGGTACATGTACAGATTTGTTATATATGTAAATTGCATGTCATGGGGATTTGGTGTACAGATTATTTCATCACCCAGGTAATAAGCATAGTACCAGACAGGTAGGTTTTCAATCATCTCTCTCCTCTCACCTTCCTCCCTCAAGCGGTCCTGGAGTCTGTTATTCCCTTCTTTGTGTCCATGTCAATTACAGAGCTTTAACAATATTTTAATGTCTCCTTAAAAAGAGTCAAGATTCTATGATTCCATTGAATCCTTTGTTTTATTCTGTTTTTCTTTTTTTTTTGTAACTACTCTTGAATTCTTTGATTTGCAAATCAAAAGGCATATATTTATTTTGATATTTTAAAAATTTACACCAAGGGGCTTTTAAAAGCTTTTTTGAAATAACTGAGAATATTACATAGTGCAGATTTCATCAGCTGTCACATGTGCTCCCTTTAGAGACAGAACTTTGTAAATATAACAGGCCATATTGTTATCTCATTTGAAAGCCTGTCCTGAGCAACCAAAACTTATGCTAGTTTTACAAATTATATTTGCATATATGAAGTGATATATAACATATAACTTTTAATAATACATAAAATAAATTTATATATTTTATGTCTGTGTGTGTGTGTATATATATGTATATGCAGTTATAACATATAAATCCAATCATCAGTGTTGGCCAGGCACAGTGGCTCATGCCTGCAATCCCAGCACTTTGGGAGGCCAAGCCGGGCAGATCACCTGAGGTCAGGAGTTCGAGACCAGCCTGGCAAACAGGGTGAAACCCCGTCTCTACTAAAAATACAAAAATTAGCTGGGTGTGGTGGCAGGACAGTGTTTTCATGATGGATTAGATTTCTTCAGCAGATCCTTAATTAGCCATGTAATTTTACATAGTAATTATTTTTATCAGACTCAAATAAGAATGATATTTAATAAACTGGAGCATAGCTGTGGAAAATTGCCTGAGGTGTGAATTTCTGTTTTAAAATGAAGCATGCTTTTTAGAAGTTAATAACTGTATGCTTTCATTGATATATAGTTGAATGCTTGTAATTGTTGATGTCACATATCTCTGGCTTCTGAGTAAATTGGAATTACAAACACACCACCACTAATTGGAAGGAGAAATTAAAAAGTTAAAGAAAAGTTAAACCCAGAAGTTCCCTGGGCCCTTCAGATATATTTTGGGTCTTCACTTTGATCTATAACTCTTGAAACTGATGTAAATTGTACCTTTTTTGTGCAGAGAGGAAAAGGTGAGACAATGGACGGATAGAATGCATTTTGTGGCAGTAGAATTAACATCAAGTCAAGAAAAAGTATTACTTGAGTATCTTTTTTTTTTTAAATCCAGCATGGGTAAAAGTTCACATTAAATGAGGAATTCAGCTTGTCATGGAATACAGCACCTCATCTTTTTTTCTTTTTGCCCTGAAGCTCTTCTGTGTAGGATATGTGACATGTAAGATGTTTGCTTATAGGGAAATATCTATTGTATTTATCCATTTTCATGCTGCTGATAAAGACATGCCCGATACTGGAAAAAAAAAGAGAGGTTTAATTGGACTTACATTTCCACATGGCTGGGGAAGCCCCAGAATGATGGCAGGAGGCAAAAGGCACTTCTTACATGGCAGCGGCAGGAGAAGATGAGGAAGAAGCAAAAGCAGAAACCCCTGAAGAACCCGTCAGATCTCGTGAGACTTATTCACTATTATGAGAATAGCACGGGCAAGAGCAGCTCCCATGATTCAATTACCACACCCCGGTCCCTCCCACAACATGTGGGAATTCTGGAAGATACAATTCAAGTTGAGATTTGGGTGGGGACACAGCCAAACCATGTTATCTATAAAATTCATGTGATCATTGGAAGCAAAGGATTATTTGAGAAAAGTAAGGGAAGACTACTTGTACTGATGGACTGTCAATAATTTAGTACTATTTGTTCAAATATTAAAAGCTAAAAACTTTAAAAATTTAACAAATAACAAGGCAGACATTATTTTTTGAAGATTATTTTCACCAAATAATCGGTTTTAAAAATAGATGTTACTTTACTGTAGGAGAAAGTTGTGATTATGAAGGGAAAAGTTTTATGATGTTATTGTCATTTCAATTTCAAAAAAATGAGGTTGTCACCTGTAATCTCAGCACTTTGGGTGGCCAATACAGGAGGATTGCTTGAGCCCAGGAGTTTGAGACCAGCCTAGACAACATAGCAAAACCCAGTCTATATTTAAAAAAAAAAAAGTTGAGCTCATTGAAATATGTATTAATCTTGGTTTTTTAATTAGTAAAAATATAATAGTTACTTGCCCTTGAGTAGATTGTTAGCACTATCTTGTTTAGATTAGTGCATAGTGAGTAAACTGGCAAGAATAGTAACTTTGGAAGAATGAAAAAAATGAACATATTCCTCATATTTCAACTGAACTCTATGAATTCTAATAGAATTAGAATCAACAAAATATATTTTTAATTGCCTACCGTATCTCTACTTTCTGATTAAACATGGTATTCTTATGTCTTTTTTTATACTTTTAATTTTTATTTTTATTTATTTTTTATTTTTTTATTTTTTTATTATTATACTTTAAGTTTTAGGGTACATGTGCACATTGTGCGGGTTAGTTACATACGTATACATGTGCCATGCTGGTGTGCTGCACCCACTAACTCGTCATCTAGCATTAGGTATATCTCCCAGTGCTATCCCTCCCCCCTCCCCCCACCCCACAACAGGCCCCAGAGTGTGATGTTCCCCTTCCTGTGTCCATGTGATCTCATTGTTCAATTCCCACCTATGAGTGAGAATATGCGGTGTTTGGTTTTTTGTTCTTGTGATAGTTTACTGAGAATGATGATTTCCAATTTCATCCATGTCCCTACAAAGGACATGAACTCATCATTATTTATGGCTGCATAGTATTCCATGGTGTATATGTGCCACATTTTCTTAATCCAGTCTATCATTGTTAGACATTTGGGTTGGTTCCAAGTCTTTGCTATCGTGAATAATGCCACAATAAACATATGTGTGCATGTGTCTTTATAGCAGCATGATTTATAGTCCTTTGGGTATATACCCAGTAATGGGATGGCTGGGTCAAATGGTATTTCTAGTTCTAGATCCCTGAGGAATCGCCACACTGACTTCCACAATGGTTGAACTAGTTTACAGTCCCACCAACAGTGTAAAAGTGTTCCTATTTCTCCACATCCTCTCCAGCACCTGTTGTTTCCTGACTTTTTAATGATCGCCATTCTAACTGGTGTGAGATGGTATCTCATTGTGGTTTTGATTTGCATTTCTCTGATGGCCAGTGATGGTGAGCATTTTTTCATGTGTTTTTTGGCTGCATAAATGTCTTCTTTTGAGAGGTGTCTGTTCATGTCCTTTGCCCACTTTTTGATGGGGTTGTTTGTTTTTTTCTTGTAAATTTGTTTGAGTTCATTGTAGATTCTGGATATTAGCCCTTTGTCAGATGAGTAGGTTGCGAATATTTTCTCCCATGTTGTAGGTTGCCTGTTCACTCTGATGGTAGTTTCTTTTGCTGTGCAGAAGCTCTTTAGTTTAATTAGATCCCATTTGTCAATTTTGTCTTTTGTTGCCATTGCTTTTGGTGTTTTAGACATGAAGTCCTTGCCCATGCGTATGTCCTGAATGGTATTGCCTAGGTTTTCTTCTAGGGTTTTTATGGTTTTAGGTCTAACGTTTAAGTCTTTAATCCATCTTGAATTGATTTTTGTATAAGGTGTAAGGAAGGGATCCAGTTTCAGCTTTCTACATATGGCTAGCCAGTTTTCCCAGCACCATTTATTAAATAGGGAATCCTTTCCCCATTGCTTGTTTTTCTCAGGTTTGTGAAAGATCAGATAGTTGTAGATATGCGGCGTTATTTCTGAGGGCTCTATTCTGTTCCATTGATCTATATCTCTGTTTTGGTACCAGTACCATGCTGTTTTGGTTACTGTAGCCTTGTAGTATAGTTTGAAGTCAGGTAGCGTGATGCCTCCAGCTTTGTTCTTTTGGCTTAGGATTGACTTGGCGATGCGGGCTCTTTTTTGGTTCCATATGAACTTTAAAGTAGTTTTTTCCAATTCTGTGAAGAAAGTCATTGGTAGCTTTATGGGGATAGCATTGAATCTATAAATTACCTTGGGCAGTATGGCCATTTTCACAATATTGATTCTTCCTACCCATGAGCATGGAATGCTCTTCCATTTGTTTGTATCCTCTTTGATTTCCTTGAGCAGTGGTTTGTAGTTCTCCTTGAAGAGGTCCTTCACATCCCTTGTAAGTTGGATTCCTAGGTATTTTATTCTCTTTGAAGCAATTGTGAATGGGAGTTCACTCATGATTTGGCTCTCTGTTTGTCTGTTGTTGGTGTATAGGAATGCTTGTGATTTTTGCACATTGATTTTGTATCCTGAGACTTTGCTGAAGTTGCTTATCAGCTAAAGGAGATTTGGGGCTGAGACAATGGGGTTTTCTAGATATACAATCATGTCATCTGCAAACAGGGACAATTTGACTTCCTCTTTTCCTAACTGAATGCCCTTTATTTCCTTCTCCTGCCTAATTGCCCTGGCCAGAACTTCCAACACTATGTTGAATAGGAGTGGTGAGAGAGGTCATCCCTGTCTTGTGCCAGTTTTCAAAGGGAATGCTTCCAGTTTTTGCCCATTCAGTATGATATTGGCTGTGGGTTTCTCATAGATAGCTCTTATTATTTTGAAGTATGTCCCATCAATACCTAATTTATTGAGAGTTTTTAGCATGAAGGGTTGTTGAATTTTGTCAAAGGCCTTTTCTGCATCTATTGAGATAATCATGTGGTTTTTGTCTTTGGCTCTGTTTATATGCTGGATTACATTTATTGATTTGTGTATATTGAACCAGCCTTGCATCCCAGGGATGAAGCCCACTTGATCATGGTGGATAAGCATTTTGATGTGCTGCTGGATTTGGTTTGGCAGTATTTTATTGAGGATTTTTGCATCAATGTTCATCAAGGATATTGGTCTAAAATTCTCTTTTTTGGTTGTGTCTCTGCCTGGCTTTGGTATCAGAATGATGCTGGCCTCATAAAATGAGTTAGGGAGGATTCCCTCTTTTTCTATTGATTGGAATAGTTTCAGAAGGAATGGTACCAGTTCCTCCTTGTACCTCTGGTAGAATTCGGCTGTGAATCCATCTGGTCCTGGACTCTTTTTGGTTGGTAAGCTATTGATTATTGCCACAATCTCAGATCCTGTTATTGGTCTATTCAGAGATTGAACTTCTTCCTGGTTTAGTCTTGGGAGAGTGTATGTGTCAAGGAATTTACCCATTTCTTCTAGGTTTTCTAGTTTATTTGCATAGAGGTGTTTGTAGTATTCTCTGATGGTAGTTTGTATTTCTGTGGGATCGGTGGTGATATCCCCTTTATCATTTTTTATTGCGTCTATTTGATTCTTCTCTCTTTTTTTCTTTATTATTCTTGCTAGCGGTCTATCAATTTTGTTGATCCTTTCAGAAAACCAGCTCCTGGATTCAGTAATTTTTTGAAGGGTTTTTTGTGTCTCTATTTCCTTCAGTTCTGCTCTGATTTTAGTTATTTCTTGCCTTCTGCTAGCTTTTGAATGTGTTTGCTCTTGCTTTTCTTGTTCTTTTAATTGTGATGTTAGGGTGTCAATTTTGGATCTTTCCTGCTTTCTCTTGTGGGCATTTAGTGCTATAAATTTCCCTCTACACACTGCTTTGAATGTGTCCCAGAGATTCTGGTATGTTGTGTCTTTGTTCTCGTTGGTTTCAAAGAACATCTTTATTTCTGCCTTCATTTCGTTACGTACCCAGTAGTCATTCAGGAGGAGGTTGTTCAGTTTCCATGTAGTTGAGTGGTTTTGAGTGAGATTCTTAATCCTGAGTTCTAGTTTGATTGCACTGTGGTCTGAGAGATAGTTTGTTATAATTTCTGTTCTTTTACATTTGCTGAGGAGAGCTTTACTTCCAAGTATGTGGTCAATTTTGGAATAGGTGTGGTGTGGTGCTGAAAAAAATGTATATTCTGTTGATTTGGGGTGGAGAGTTCTGTAGATGTCTATTGGGTCCGCTTGGTGCAGAGCTGAGTTCAATTCCTGGGTATCCTTGTTGACTTTCTGTCTCGTTGATCTGTCTAATGTTGACAGTGGGGTGTTAAAGTCTCCCATTATTAATGTGTGGGAGTCTAAGTCTCTTTGTAGGTCACTCAGGACTTGCTTTATGAATCTGGGTGCTCCTGTATTGAGTGCATATATATTTAGGATAGTTAGCTCTTCTTGTTGAATTGATCCCTTTACCATTATGTTATGGCCTTCTTTGTCTCTTTTGATCTTTGCTGGTTTAAAGTCTGTTTTATCAGAGACTAGGATCGCAACCCCTGCCTTTTTTTGTTTTCCCTTTGCTTGGTAGATCTTCCTCCATCCTTTTATTTTTAGCCTATGTGTGTCTCTGCACGTGAGATTGGTATCCTGAATACAGCACACTGATGGGTCTTGACTCTTTATCCAATTTGCCAGTCTGTGTCTTTTAACTGGAGCCTTTAGTCCATTTACATTTAAAGTTAATCGTGTTATGTGTGAATTTGATCCTGTCATTATGATGTTAGCTGGTTATTTTGCTCCTTAGTTGATGCAGTTTCTTCGTAGTCTCGATGGTCATTACATTTTGGCATGATTTTGCAGCGGCTGGTACCGGTTGTTCCTTTCCATGTTTACTGCTTCCTTCAGGAGCTCTTTTAGGGCAGGCCTGGTGGTGACAAAATCTCTCAGCATTTGCTTGTCTGTAAAGTATTTTATTTCTCCTTCACTTATGAAGCTTAGTTTGGCTGGATATGAAATTCTAGGTTGAAAATTCTTTTCTTTAAGAATGTTGAATATTGGCCCCCACTCTCTTCTGGCTTGTAGGGTTTCTGCCGAGAGATCCGCTGTTAGTCTGATGGGCTTCCCTTTGAGGGTAACCCGACCTTTCTCTCTGGCTGCCCTTAACATTTTTTCCTTCATTTCAACTTTGGTGAATCTGACTATTATGTGTCTTGGAGTTGCTCTTCTCAAGGAGTATCTTTGTGGCATTCTCTGTATTTCCTGAATCTGAACGTTGGCCTGCCTTGCTAGATTGGGGAAATTCTCCTGGATAATATCCTGCAGAGTGTTTTCCAACTTGGTTCCATTCTCCCCATCACTTTCAGGTACACCAATCAGACGTAGATTTGGTCTTTTCACATAGTCCCATATTGCTTGGAGGCTTTGCTCGTTTCTTTTTATTCTTTTTTCTCTAAACTTTCCTTCTCACTTCATTTCATTCATTTCATCTTCCATTGCTGATACCCTTTCTTCCAGTTGATCGCATCGGCTCCTGACGCTTCTGCATTCTTCACATAGTTCTCGAGCCTTGGTTTTCAGCTCCATCAGCTCCTTTAAGCACTTCTCTGTATTGGTTATTCTAGTTATACATTCTTCTAAATTTTTTTCAAAGTTTTCAACTTCTTTGCCTTTGGTTTGAATGTCCTCCCGTAGCTCAGAGTAATTTGATCGTCTGAAGCCTTCTCTCAGCTCGTCAAAGTCATTCTCCGTCCAGCTGTGTTCCGTTGCTGGTGAGGAGCCGCGTTCCTTTGGAGGAGGAGAGGCGCTCTGATTTTTAGAGTTTCCAGTTTTTCTGTTCTGTTTTTTCCCCATCTTTGTGGTTTTATCTACTTTTGGTCTTTGATGATTGTGATGTACAGATGGGTTTTTGGTGTGGATGTCCTTTCTGTTTGTTAGTTTTCCTTCTAACAGACAGGACCCTCAGCTGCAGGTCTGTTGGAGTACCCTGCCGTGTGAGGTGTCAGTGTGCCCCTGCTGGAGGGTGCCTCCCAGTTAGGCTGCTCGGGGGTCAGGGGTCAGGGACCCACTTGAGGGGGCAGTCTGCTGGTTCTCAGACCTCCAGCTGCATGCTGGGAGAACCACTGCTCTCTTCAAAGCTGTCAGACAGAGACATTTAAGTCTGCAGAGGTTACTGCTGTCTTTTTGTTTGTCTGTGCCCTGCCCCCAGAGGTGGAGCCTACAGAGGCACGCAGGCCTCCTTGAGCTGTGGTAGGCTCCACCCAGTTCGAGCTTCCGGGCTGCTTTGTTTACCTAAGCAAGCCTGGGCAATGGTGGGCGCCCCTCCCCCAGCCTCGCTGCCGCCTTGCAGTTTGATCTCAGACTGCTGTGCTAGCAATCAGGGAGACTCCGTGGGGTAGGACCCTCTGAGCCAGGTGCAGGATATAATCTCGTGGTGTGCCGTTTTTTAAGCCCGTCGGAAAAGCGCAGTATTCGGGTGGGAGTGACCCGATTGTCCAGGTGCCGTCCGTCACCCCTTTCTTTGATTAGGAAAGGGAACTCCCTGACCCCTTGCGCTTCCCGAGTGAGGCAATGCCTCGCCCTGCTTTGGCTCGCGCACGGTGCGCGCACCCACTTGCCTGCGCCCACTGTCTGTCACTCCCTAGTGAGATGAACCCGGTACCTCAAATGGAAATGCAGAAATCACCTGTCTTCTGCGTCGCTCAGGCTGGGAGCTGTAGACCTGAGCTGTTCCTATTCGGCCATCTTGGTTCCTCCCCCGGTATTCTTATTTCTAAATATGCCAAATTGCTAAGTCTTAGATGGAAATAAATTAGAACTGGAACAGATGCCTATATAGAGGCATATGTTTTATCTGTATATATAAACAAATTTGAGACATTATTATTCCATTTGTGACTGCTTATAAATGTTCTCCTTCATTTAAGGATCTGCTACACTTTCTGAACATTCAAGAAATACAAAGCAGATTTAATATTACCAGAGAAAATGTGCTTGTAGAGTTTAACAGGAAAACATTATTTATCATGTGTACAATTTGTGACTCAAGAAATGAACTGATAACTCTGAAGGCAGAAAATAGGTTATGACAGTTTGTTGGTGTGCTTGTTTAATAATTAGCAGTAAGTAATTAAAATAGTAACAAAACAAAATTATCACGTAAAGTATTCTCATGGAGAAATTAAATCTCATTCAATGTATAAATAAAACTATATTTGAATATAATGTTCTTGGAGTACTGTGTAAAAATGATGATTGTCTCAAACTTTGTAATTTCAGAGTATCTGACTGTCTTCTCTCAGATGATTGCATTTCATGATCCAGAGCTGAGTAATCATCTCAATGAGATTGGTTTCATTCCAGATGTAAGTACTTGGTGCATTAATAGAACATGTGGTTAAAAAAAAAAAGCAGAAATTATTAGCACAGAAGAGTGTATTTTCTTAATTTTTGTTGTCATAGTGCATATCTGAACAAGTTACTGCTACTAATTGTAGCCTTGTATTAGTAAGTTTGTGGCTACTTTCCATATTTCCACCTTAAGTAATGAAAATAAGTCATTTTTCTTAGCATAGTTGATAGTTTTGAGAAAATCATTAGTGATAGTGTTGTATTAAACTGTGCTGTGTAGGCTTTTCACTTGGATTTTATGATATTCAGGCCTGATTTTGAAGATATAGGAAGTCTATACTTAAGTGAAAGTAACTTCTGTGTTTTACTTGATACTACTTTGGGAGCTTAGATAGATTTTGGGTTTTCTTTTCTCTGTAGTCCACATCAAGCTAAAAGTCAGAGTTGAAAATCAAACGTTAGCTGTAGCGTGACTTAGCCTGTTTTTTATTTGTTGTTTGTCACATAGAATCAAGCCCTTTTTAAAGGCTGTTGAATAAACATATATCAAAACATCACATTGTATCCAATAAATGTATACAATTATTACTTATCAATTAAAAATAACAAATGAAAGTGGAGAGGAAAATAAATTAATAACAAAAGTTAGCTGCTTGGTGATGGGGATGCAAGTGGTAGCGTGGGTGCAAAGGAAATTGTTTTCTTGTTACATTTGACATTAAAAAATTTTTTTTAACACTGTGAATGTATTATTCATTCAAAAGTTAAGCTGAAGGCACCTGACCTCAAGCAATTATAATTTTTTAGGAAGATACTTTATTAAAAATTATTGATAAAAAACCAAAATGTTCACATTACATATCATTAAAGTAGGAAATGTAATTTATAAAATAATATTATGGTATTATCTCATTTTCATAAAATAGAATTTAGTGTATATGTGTATATACATAGGAAAAGTTGAAAGGCTATACTCTAGAATATTAATTATGATTATGTAGGGTTACAGGAGTTATGGGTACCGAGGGGGCTTAAGTGCAATTTTTAATTGTTTTCATTTAAGGTGTTTTTTTTGTAATGTTAAAAACTTCCTAAAACTATATTATGTGATCATGTTTAATAGAATACTATAAAGCAGTTTCTTAAAAACTGTTTATTCTCACAATGCATGGGAAGAAATACATTTTATATTGAGACCTGGGGCACACAGAATTCGAGTGGTGTTGTGTATGTGTGTATACAACTAAAATAAGTTTTACAAAACAATGTTTTCTGCCTCCTACATGTGATGCATTGTGTTATTTTTGAAAAGTCTACATTTAATAAGATGATTTTATAAACCTAAATTTGAAAAATACTTATATAAGGAATTTAAAAAATCAATAAAAACTGATTTTTAAAATTAAAGAATAAAAATAAAAGGCTGTTGGAGTATAATATCATTATAAATGTGAGGTATAATACAATATAGATCCAATCTTATGGCTAGAGTTGAAGAAGCTGTCAAGGAGCTGACTGCCAAGTTGGTAATGGTGTTAGATTTTTGAGTAAAAAAGAATATTAAGTATTTAAAATTTAGACTAAAAAAGATAATTATTTTCAAAAAATTTTTGTAAAGGCACCTAATTAAATTGTGCTCAGCACTGAACAGAAACAGAAAACATTTATGTAGACAAGTATGTTTGGAAACCAGGTGCGGTGGCTTATGCTTGAAAGGCTGAGGCAGGAGGATCACTTGAGGCTAGGAGTTTGAGACCAAAACAACATAGCAACACTTCATCTCTTTAAAAAATAATGTGTAGAATTATAAAGATAATCCAATAAAAATCCTTAGACATATTCATGAACAGAGATAATATTAAGAAAGGAAACACACAAGGACAAATAACTTTAGTTAATCAGAAAATTGAATTCTGAATGAGTATGATGTAAGAAACAATGTTGAGTTAAAAATATTGTTAAAACATAATTAATGTGAATACATATTAAATGTTTACTGTGTACCAAGCACTTTTCCACCCTCTTTAAATATTATCACTCATCAAATACTACAAGTTTATAAATCTGTGTAAAAAGTTACTTAAATATATATAAATCCACTTTGGGAAGGGCTAATAATAAGGTGAAAATAAAATTCTAAATAATAACGTGAAAGGTAAAAGTAGGTGGGAATCAGTTAAAATGTGTTCTAATGTTTTAGCATTATTTAGAGGGAATGCTCATTTTATTTAGACATTAAGTCAGGGAACCTTTCAGATCTGAGATTTGATTGTACCCTCCTTGAAAGCTTATAAGTTAGCCTATTACTGTTTTCTGGATACAGGCAGAAAATGCAAGATTCCTGGGCCAGAGACCAAGGACATTATCACTAACAGTACAGCAAGCAGCATGAACATTAGCATATTTGTGTTGGTTTCTCTTGCTCTCAAATCCTATGGAAACAACATCAAGGACCCAGATGATACCTGCATATGTAGTGGATTACATTACAAGAGAGAAACCATGAGCTTAAGGAATTGGATTTTTTTTTTGCCTTCCCTTTGTTCAAGAGAGAGAGCCTGTCTTTTTCTTCTAAGGCTATTAGTAAATCTGTCTTTTGTCTAGAAGGAGATTCCATTTCTGCTTTCCAAGGCTGTTTTTTATACAAACATATTTGAAAAGATAGTCTAGAACAAAGGACAGTAAATGTCTCTCCTCACAAGAAATTCAGAAGTTCAATAATGCACATTAAAATTTTAATTTAATGGTAATCCTGAAAAGAATAAAGAGAGAATATGTAACTTCTAAACCAATGGAGGGGTGCAGGATAGAACAAAGAAAAGACATTTAATCTTATAAAAGCAGAAAGAACATAGAAAGAATGTAAGCTAATTAAATGGCTTATTAAAGGAGATTTTCAGATATTTTTGAAAATCTATCTTGATAGTACTTATAAGAGATAAATATAAAAACTTAAAGATATTGGCCAAAGGAGATTAAAAAAAAGTCAGGCAATTAACCAGAACAACATTAGTGATATTAATAGAAGCTAGTAAAATACAAGAGAGAACACAAAACAGACCCATCCCTGTATAGAATTTGGTGATATATGACAGAGATGACCATACAATCAATTAGAAAAGAAAGCATTGTTGATGGTCCTGATTGAGTAACTATGTGGATGTGGAGGGCAGTGTAAATGAAAGCCTAACTTCATACCACACATAAAAATAAATTCTAGATCCATTAGAAGACTTAAATATGGAATATTATATTTGTATTTTTTTATCTAAGAAATAATTCTTATTAAGGTTACAGAAAGTATAAAACATAAATTTAAAAAGAGAGGATTGAAATTCAGGAGTAGTACAAAAGGGGCTTCTATTGTATTGGTCATATTTTATTTTGGTTTAAAAAATTTTAGAGTAAATGTGGCAAAATGTTAATGCTTGTTAAATCTGAGTGGAGAGTACATTGGTGTTAAGTGTGCTGCTATGCAGGGTGAGTGAATTACTCAATAACTAAATAATTGTGACATAATATATTTATTTATGCTTCCCTGTTATGATCTACACATAAAATTACTGGAGCATTATTGCTTAACTTCTTGTAAAAAAGTTCTGCAATTGTAGTGTTATTAAGAAAGTAATATTGATTTGTATAGTGACAGAGGATTTTTTCAGTGTCACTTTGCCAGCAGAGATCTTCATGGTGGGCATTGCCCCTGCCCATGTCTCACTTGGCCCTGGGCTTGCCCCACTAGGTACCCTGCCCACCTGGCCAGGCAGGCTGTGCTTGGCTTGAGCTCTGGCCCAGATCCTGCACTTGCTCTGCGGCTGAGCCAGGCATGCCATGACCTACTTCCACCTTGGGAGCCGGCGTCTGGATGAGGGGAATGCTGTGACACTTGAACAGAGGTGGGCATGTGACCCCAAAGCCCCAAAGGGGGTGTTACAGCATGCTAACAGTTCTTTCAGTCTCACATCCACAGCCCAACAAATGGAGGTGTGTGGTGCCCAGAGGTCCCTTCTCCCATTGTTTGGCAAGCAGGAGGGGTGTGCTACAGGGTTACAGCTTTGTTTGCACTTGCCGTTTGGTGGGTCCTGAGTTCTTTTCCCATGTCCAAGAATAAGGTTGTGCTGACAGCTAGCGGTTGAGTGAGGCAAAGAGTTTTACTCAGTAACAAAACAGCTCTCAGCAGAGAAGGAAGCCTGAGTTGGACAGCACCCTTACCTGAAGTTGGGTAGTCTTCCCACCACCTAAAAGTGGGTAGCCCAAAGTGTGGCTGAGCCTGGGGCTTTTATATGCTCAGAATGGGAGTGTATGTGCTAATTGGTTTGTGAGTATGCAAAAAAAGCTAAAAAAAAAAAAAAAAGGCACCACTCAAAGATGGCCACAACAGTGTAAAAAACTAATTAGGGAAGGGTAGGTATATGTAAAATAGGTGAATGGTAGGGATCAATCAGAGGAAAGTGTGCCATACGGGAGAGGTTCTCAATACATTCTGTAGATATGTATGAGACCTGTATCTTGGTTTTCAGACCTTAAACTGTCTTTGGTTTAAGATTGGATTACACTGGGGACTTGCCCCATCTGCCTAGGGATTTTTCTGCCTCCTGCTGCTATCAATGGTAGTGTGATTAGTCTTCAGAGACAGTTTTAAGTCATATGGGATGGGAAGTAATTCTTTGTGGGATAGGAATATCCAGCACATGGCAAATGCTGAGCATCCCTGACCCCCAACCACTCATTGCCACTAGCAATCCTCTAATCATCATTACAAAAAAATGCCTCTACACTCATTTCTGAGTAATTAATTCACATGTATTTCTGAATGTCCTCTAGCAAACGGTTCTGTCACTTGTTAAGAATTTTAGAGTAAACAGAAAGAAATGAGGGGAAATAATATATCTTAACCTGAAGAAGAGTCCCATCTACAACTGTTTTCTTGTCACAGAGAGTGGGCAAAGTTATTCAACAAAGAAAGCTAAAATGTTAATAGGAAGACTGTTTTTTGAAATCTTTTTCTTTGTGTTTGTTTTTTAATTCAGCTGTTTTTCAAGCCTGTGGATAATATAAAAATGATGAGGCCTTTTTTAAATTCAATTTTGTGAACAGATTTAATGTTTCAATGTAGACATTATTGACAGTGAGTACTTATGGGAGGGGCATGATGAAATGGAGGACTTTTAAAAACATTTTTTAACTCTATTAATAACATATTTTAGTTGTATTTTATTAGTTTGTGTATATAGCATTTTTTAAAAATTCTGAATGGTTGTCTTTAATGTTCTACCTTTAATTATTGAGGTAACTTTCTATGCCTCTAACAACAATACAAGCTAGATTCATCAAGTAAAAGAGTGGGTACTTTGATAATGATTTACCAAACCGAGTTTCCTACTCAAGAACTAAACCTATCAAAGTAAGCCCTCATTAATCTTTCATCATTGAAATTCAGGCTTCCATTGCAGTAGAGATTGTGATTTCTGGCTTTTTTCCTTTTGCTCTGGGTCACGGAACTCTGAATACTGAGCACTGCTAAAGCTTGAATAGTTAGAAATATTGTACACTGATGTGATGCCTAGATTATACATTTCATGGTAGTTATGTGATTTACATATAAATAGGGTGAATAATGTGTATTTGATAAAATTGGAGACAGGGTGATATTTATCATTTTTGTCTTGATATGTGTTTCTGCTTTTAAAAATATAGTAGGCCTCATTTAAAATGAGATCAGGAAAGTATGATTCATTCTTAAGGGAACTGTTTTCCTGAAATTCTGTGAATAGTATTCAGCTTGCAAATTATGAAGAGTTGTCAGGTAACCATTAAGAGAAATGATAAGGAGTGTATCAGTACTATATGTGCCTTTTCAACCTACTGTCACAGCTAAAGATAAAGCTAACAAATTCCATGATATGCTGGTAAAGCCATTGACATTTAACTACAATCTGAAAGGATGCTTATACTACTTAAAAGCTTATCACAATCATTTTCAAAATGTATATTCAGCCGAGTTTAAACTGCTCAGAAATATTTATGTATTTGTTCCTTCATTTGTTCTTTATCTTCATTATGTTGTTACGTAAATAAATTTTAGATTTTAGTCTAAAGAGAATACTGACAATGAGCTTTTCAGATTTTATCAAGATGTAATTACAGGAAAAACTAGGAATATCCACCTTATTTAGAATATCTCATAATAAGAGTCCTACTAGCCTGTTATAGTCTCTCTGAAGAGTCCTGTGATGTGTCCTCTTGTCTGGTAGCTGCTATGTCCCCAACATTAGTACAAACCCCATTCTACTGGCATTGGATCCATTAAGGCCTTTGAATACAAATGGCTTATTAAAGTCTCTCTCTCGTAGTGAAGCTTGATTACCTTTCAGAAAGTGCC
Organism: Homo sapiens; assembly: GCF_000001405.40. Lineage (NCBI taxonomy): Eukaryota > Metazoa > Chordata > Mammalia > Primates > Hominidae > Homo > Homo sapiens. The sequence goes on along the minus strand of NC_000004.12, from coordinate 106,206,381 downwards.
CAGATTTTAGAAATCAAAGTGGCTATTAATAGTATCAGGGATGATAAAATGACATTTTTGGTACTTTCTAGCCAAAAAACTATACACACAAGTTAAATATCTAGCAAGTTTTCCAATTCAGTAAATCCTCATTTGCATTACCCCCACATCTGTTTCTAATCTAATGATTCCTTATGCTGTCCAGAAACAGGTGAAAGGAAGTATGGCATAATGGAGCAGTTCTAAAACATTTTGCTCTCAGAACCCCTTTATATTCTGAAAAATTATTGAGGACCTCAAAGAGTTTTTGTTTACATGAGTTATAGCTATCGATATTTATAGAGATTTAAAATATATTTATGTATTTATAATTCATTTAAAAATAACAATAACAAAACCATTGCATGTTAACCAAAGTAACATATTTTTCTGAGAAATAGTTACATTTTTCCCCAAAAATGCAATAGTGGTATTGTTTTACCTTTTTATAATCTTTTACATTTTTATAATCTTTTTACTTGTTTAACTATATGAAGAAAATGTGACCTCACACAGACACGTTAATAGTTTCTCAGATAGCGGTAGTTTCTTAAACTTCTCAGAGCAGTGGTTTTTTTTGTTTTTTTTGTTGTTTTTTTTTTGAGACAGAGTCTCACTCCATCACTCAGGCTGGAAGTGCAGTGATCTCGGCTCACTGCAACCTCTGCCTCCCGGGTTCAAGCGATTCTCCTGCCTCAGCCTCCCAAGTAACTGGGATTACAGGTGTTTGCCACCATGCCTGGCTAATTTTTTTTTTTTTTTTTTTTTTTTTTTTTGTATTTTTAGTGGAGAGGGCTTCACCATGTTGGCCAGGCTGGTCTTGAACTCCTGACTTCAAGTGATCCACCTGCCTTGGCCTCCCAAAGTGCTGGGATTACAAGCGTGATCCACTGTGCCTGGCCTCATTGTTTCTTAAAGCTAGTTGCTATGTACAGTCTAAAACCATGTCAGTGAACTTCTCATACTCTGTTATACTAAAATCCATCACTCTATCTTGCAATTTAGATGGCTCTTTTACTCATACATAATTTTGTAGTGTCATGAATTTGTCATTGAAAAATATTGGTTGCTGAGTTACACAGATCTTCCAACTATGAAGCATTTCATTATAGAATATTTTTAAAATCACATTTATTAATATCACAACAGGTCTTCTCCAAAAAGTGATTAAGTATTGGGAACCGACCAATTTCACAGTGGCAGATATTAGCTTTCCAAAATTTTAATCTTCGCCTAAAAGCTCTCATTTTTTCTTAAAGTAACTGTTTCACTTTGTACATTTAAAAAAATCATTGTTTGGGCCGGGCGCGGTGGCTCACGCGTGTAATCCCAGCACTTTGGGAGGCCGAGGCGGGTGGATCATGAGGTCAGGAGATCGAGACCATCCTGGCTAACAAGGTGAAACCCCGTCTCTACTAAAAATACAAAAAATTAGCCGGGCGCGGTGGCGGGCGCCTGTAGTCCCAGCTACTCGGGAGGCTGAGGCAGGAGAATGGCGTGAACCCGGGAAGCGGAGCTTGCAGTGAGCCGAGATTGCGCCACTGCAGTCCGCAGTCCGGCCTGGGCGACAGAGCGAGACTCCGTCTCAAAAAAAAAAAAAAAAAAAAAAAAATCATTGTTTGTCTGTCATTCTTTCAAATAAACATAGTATTTCTTGCAGAAACCATCAATATTAGCTCACAGATGATTACCCAAGTGCTTTACCTCTTTGTACTTCAGTAGATAGCACAAGTGCTTTACACTTACTTCCATTTTATTTCACAAATTTTAAAAGAGATATTTAATAAATTTAATAATTTTTACTCCTTCACATGACCATTATTATACTTCGGTGCCTGTGCCTTAAATTGTGCTAACATGCCAGCAGTTTTATCCACCAGTGGCTTTGCACCATTAGCATAAATATCAATCCAGTAAAAAGAGCAAATCATCTTAGTATTATTACAAAAATAGCTTTGAATTGGTGGACCCCGAAGGGACTTAAGGACCGCCAGGGCCTGTGACCAAGATTTAAGAAAGCTGGTGTAGAGGTTAAGTACTCAGACACTTGTGCCAAATGGTCCAGGGTTCTAAATTCTGGCTATTCCATATACTAATTACATAATCTATTTTTAGCTTTAGTTTTAGTTTTTTCCCTGCAACCCTCTTACCATTGATGTAGATTATAATAAATTCTACCTCATAATGAAGTTTAGAGAATGCATATAAACTGTTCAACACAGCTCCAGGCACACTATAATTGTTAAGGGGTATTGTTCTTTATTTAATATTACTAGAGTTTGATCATGTTGCATTATTTCTTTTATTAGCATGATTCATATTTAGAAGAACATTATATTACAAGCTATAATGGATATATTATTTTGCTACATCAGTTAATGAATACTCTGTCAGAGGAGGTATGGTACTAATAACAATAAAGACTTTCAAGGTTGTCTGAATTGATGAGATTTTCTGCCACTTTGAATTTTAATCTTTTTAATTGCTTGATTTTAAGGTACTTCTCTATCTCAACAAAGTGCTACATAACATGTTTTATAGTCTTTCTTTTACTTAAAGTAAATTAGAATGAATTATGTTTGAAAATTTTGAAAAGTTTTTTGTAGTAATCAATGAAATAATTGAAATATATTCTGGAATAATAGCTCATCTTTCCCAAAAATGATAATGTAGATCTCAGAACCATTAAATTATCTGAGTGATTTTCTTGTAAGTTTTCAGTGTATAGTTCTTTTGTTCAATATTGTAAGCCAACTGAGAATAAATAATAAAAGGTATGTTTATACAGTTAGTTATTTTTTATTTGTTTCTTTTTTTATTTAGAGAAATCATGACCTGTAAAAGATATAACTAATATAATCTTTGGTATATAGAGGAAAAAAATTAACCATTTACTTTTTGGGTCCAAGGGATCTTTTACATTATTTTTATATGTTTAAGTCATTTTGTGAATAATTTGCAGAAGTAGAATAAAGCATAGTAAAAAACTGTATTAAAATATTAAGAATTTAAACACAACAAACCCAAAATTTTATGTCATATATTCCTTATTTTGAAAGTATATATATATATATATATATGTGAAAATATATATGTGTATATGTCCTTTGAACTTACTGCTCAGCTGTCATACATGAGCCTGAAGGATATCCATCATATAAATACTGATTCCGTATTTCAAATATGTCTCTCATAGGTTCTAGCTGATTTCTGGTTCTTCTTGCACTTGCATGGTTATAACACAGTCATCAAAATGAAACACTGACAGAGCTCATAACTTGGTTGAAGAACAGCTGTCTTTTATTCCATAATTTGAAAACATTTTCATTTTTAGATTTATGAACACAAATTAGAATAAATTTAATTTTTATTTCTATATCATCTATTTATAATTACATTGCAAACACATACACTTATAGCATTTATTTGCTTAAACTGTATCAAAAATTTTGGTGCACAAATATCATAAAAAATCAAATATTACTCTCATATATCCTTTTAGCAAAGTAAAATGGTCCAGGTTTCTTATTGCAAAATATTGTGTGGTGAGGCCCTTCACATTGAATGACTGACTGAATGAGAATTCCAGACTTATTTATTGTTTACTCTGATAGCTGTGTTTGAGGAAATTCACCTAAGAGACTGTCATCTGAGCACTCACAATTTGCAATATCACTTGTGTGACTAATTTTACCATTTGACTTGAGTTAAACTGTTGCTATCTTTTTGCATTCATCTTCTGATTAGTCCAGTAATTGTAAAACATTTTCCCCTGTTATGAAACAGTTTTCTCTTTTCTTTTTAATAATAAAGGTGGAAAATGGAAAATTCTCAATCTTTAGCTGTGTTCAATGAAAACGTAAAAAAACAACAAAAAATCTATAATGATGGTGTCTCTGTACATCTTTCATATCTTCTTGAAAGATGGTGCAATACTATGGCTAGCACAAAAAGAAAAATGAAGGATGGCATAATAGTGATGATTTATTTTAGTACTGTGCTATCCTTGTAGATGATTCCATCATTCTTCTGTTTTCTTATTAGTATTTTTAAGCATAGTTGAGAATAATTAATTGGTATTGATGAAATAATTGTTACTGATAAATAAAATATTTTATACAGTGCCTAGGAGTCTATTCTTTTTATTTTCTGCTCATGCCTCTCCTAATTTAAAAAAAAAAAAGTGTGTATCTTTTGTTATATGACTTAATGAGGTTACCTCAGAACTTTGGCTTGTTAAAATACTTTTCCATTACTGAAGATTCTGGGTGATCATTGTAACTCCTATATTTAAGTTTACTAAATGCCAGATGTTCTAGATCCATTAACTAATCTTCACAATAATCCTAAAGGTTCAAGGAGATAACTTTATCAGGTCGCAAAGTGCAGATTTTTACACATTCTTTTCTGGAATGTCTGTATATATGTTTCCTAATGTACATATAAAGAATCATTGCAAAAGCATTAAACTAATGGTCAATATGTATTACAGAGAAGGCATATAATAATTTAAATATGAAAATACTTCTGACTTAAGATAGACAATATAGTATGCTTATAAAGGATGTGGATTAAGAAAATCAATAGAAAGGGACTCCTCTTTGTAGTAGTAAAACATAATTTTCTGCTTTTCAAAATCAAGAAAATTATCCCCCTTCCTTTGTTTTTCCTATTGATGGTTCTCCCTTCCTTTGTTTTTCCTATTGATGGTTCTAAATTTGACATTACCAGACCACATGGAAGGATCTCATGAAATGCTAAATATCACTACTCTTGCTTGATATTGCTAGGGGGCAGTATTTACTTAGCTGACTGTGTAGAATAGCACTACACCAAATCAATTGTACATAATTTCATGATCTGGAGAAAATACTTAGAGTATGTATGATTTCTTTTCATTGGATTTCATTTTCTATTAAATCAGGAAATAGCTAATAATATCTCTAATATTAAATTGCTTTTCTTTTTAATCAAAACCCACCTGGTATTCAAAATTATTGTATCTTGATGTCTTTTTTATATCAGGCTATATTATGAAGCTGTGCCAATATCCTGAGTAATTATTTAAGATGAAAATATCAATATTTTAAACGGGAGAAATATAGAAAGAAAAAATAATAGACATTACTATCTCACAGAGTACATTACTTATTTATTAATCTTAATTATCCTTAATTGGTAAGAGATAACTGGTTCTGGTAAGCACCTAGGAGCTGTTATATGTTATATTAAAGATATTTATTCAACTTGAACTAATTATTACTTTTCAAATATCATTAGAATAAGCTTTGTTTTGCTTATTTTAAATAATTTTTTATAATTATTATCAAAGTATAGGTATATAACAAAATCTCAAGTTTAATTTTTTTAAATACATGCCATTATTTAATATGAAGGATTTTTCCCCAATATTAAGCAAGGAAGGACTAACTCATTTTCTCATTATTTCATATTTGTTGAAAACTTCTTAAGAAAATATATAATCTCATGACTATTTGGATCTTTTAATTTATCACTTTCATTGATTTTCATTGTGTTTTTCATTCATTCTTTCAACAAATATTTGATTGATCCTTTCAACAAATATTTGTGTGCCTATTATGTGCCAGACATTTTTCTATGCCATGGATAATATATCAGCAATAAAATAAGAGATAGACAAAAATATCTGACCTCATATTCTAGAGTAAATAGACAATAATGAAGATAAATATATTATATGGTAGGTAGTGGTAAGTTCTAATTTAAAAAAAAAAGCTAAAGCAGAGGTATGGATGTTATGTGCTCAGGTAAAGAAGAGATTGAATTTTCATTATTTATTTCTGAGACAGGGTCTTGCTCTGTCACCTAGGCTGGAGTGCAGTGGTGTGATTATGGCTCATTGCAGTCTCAACCTCTTGGGCTCAAGTAATCCTCCCTCCTCAGCCTCCCAAGTAGCTGGGACCACAGGCATGCGCCACCAGACCCATCTACTTTTTAAATTTTTTGTAGACATGAGGTCTCCCTATGTTACCCAGGCTGGTCTTGGATTCTTGGCTCAAGCAGTCCTCCCGCTTTGGCCTCCCAAAGTGCTGAGATTGTGGGAATGAGCCACTGCACCTGGCCATGAATTTTGAAATAAGTAAGGTAACCAAGAAAACCTCACAGAAAAGTTGACTTATGAATAAATGCTTTAAGAAAGCAAAGGAAAGAGCAAACCAAGCGAAAGCAGCAGCAGTTGCTACAGCCCTGATGTGGAAGCATATCAGAGATGTGGAGGAGCAGCCAGTAGACCATTGTAACTAGAGCACAGTGAACAAGAAGATAAGGTCAAATAGGTAATAGAGGGCCATATTACATAGTTTTGTTGATCATCATTAGGACTTTGGCTTTTATTGTTAGAGGTGGAAAGCCACTGATGCTTTTGAGCAGAGGAGTGATGTCTCATGTAAAGATTTTAACAAGGTCATTCTGGCTGCTATGCTGAGAAAAATCGAAGGATGGGCAAGAATGGAATCTAGGAAACTAGTCATGGACTATTGCAATAGTCTAGGCAAGAGATAATGTTGGCTCGAATCAAGATATTAGCAGTGGAAGTAGTGGGAAGTTTTTATATGCTGCATATCTTTTGAAGGTAGAGCCAGCAGGACTACTGGTGACAAATATACAGTGTGTGAGGAAGAGAGGAGTCAAGTACCTGAGCAATTGAAAGGGGATAGAGTTGCTTCTAACTGAGATTTGGAAACTACTTGGAGGTATAGATTTTGAAGGAAGTCTCAGAAGCTCGTTTTAGGATATGTGTATCTGTTAGACATGCAAGTGGAGAAAACAGGCATTTGGATATACAGTTTCAGAATTTGTAGGAGAGGTTTAGGGATGGAGCTGAAATAGGGTCCTCAAACTACACAGTTATTTGGAGAAAAATAGAAAAGAAAAGAAAAGGTATCTAAGAACTGAACCTGGGACACTCCAGGTTGAGAGTGAGAGAGAGGAAGAGGAACCAACAAAGGAGATGGATAAGGAGCAATCAGAAAGATAAGAACAAAACTAGGTGAGTATGGTGTTTTGGAAGCCAAGTGGAGGGAAAAAAATGTTCTGAAGAAGTGGGAATAGTCAACTTTGTCAAATCCTGCTGATTGGTAAAGAAAGATTGCAATTGAGAATTGGCCATTAGATTTAATGACATAGAAATTATTGATGACCAAGGTAAGAACAGTTTCAGTGGTGAGGTGGAGGCAAGAACTTGATTAGAGTGGGTTGAGAGACTATTTAATGAATATCTACTGCTCTTATTGTAAGTTCCCTGTAGCCTGGAACTATGCTTTGTTCACTGCTATAGCCTATCACCTAACACAGATCTGGCATGTATTAGGCACTTAGTAAATATTGAATTAATGAATAAATGAGTAAAATAACATTTATTCACAAGAATCCTATCATTCTCCTGCAGAGAATATGATAGGAAAGGCCATAAGCTCCTGTAACTTTGCTGCCATTACCTTATACCAGAACTTGTATTGTCGTACTTAATAGTAAAGCATTTTAGGTATCTGTTCGTATGTCTGACTCTTCTGCTAGAGTGGGACACGTGGCATTTAGCACAAAGCATTTCATATTGAATAAATGAACAAAAGCAAGCATGAATGAATGAAAGAGTGAATGAATATACCCAGAATTAAGTATAGTACAAGTATGTTGTGATAGGTAATTATAATATAAAAATGATTACCATGATTATATATAATACAACTATATTATATATGATACAAAGCATAGTGGGATAGGTATCATAAAAAATATACAAAAAGTTTTCACAGAACAAGTGGCATTTGAGGCAGGCTTGGAAAAATCTTGTAGAGCTTTGGATTGATGGAAATGATCAGGAAGGAGCATTCAAAGAAGAAAATGCAAAGTGCATCGTTAGGAAAGTAGTGTGTTCAGATCATAGTAAATCTGCCTTCTCAGGAAGTAGAACATGTGTAGGGAAGTAGTAAGGTGCAAAGAAATTTAGAGTTTCTTATACTGATATTAATAATAATACTACTTTAAATTTGCAGGTTGTTACTGTTTACAAAGCATTTTCACATATATTATTTCCACATCACACCATCTCTATGACATAGTTAAGACAGACATTAGTTTTCCTATTTCAAAAACGAAGATCTGGGATTCACAGAGGTTAACTAACTTGACCAAGGCACGCTATCCAGTAATCATCAGAGTCAAAACTCAGTTGTATGTTTTCTGACTCCAAGTCCTTGGCTTTTTCACTAATTCACAGTGGCCTTAAATGCATGAGTACAAAATTGTACTTAATTTGGTATGCAGTGGGAACATATTGATGTGGTGGAACAGAGGAATGATGTCATCACAGTTGCATATTTAGAAAAATCAATTTGGCTAAAGGAAATATTGGACCAGGTAGAACCTGAACAACTATGAAACATTTGCAGTAGTCCATGAAAGAAGAATGAGAACCAAAACAAGATTAGTTCAGTATGAATGGATAGAAACAGAAGACTGAAGAGACCTTGTAAAAATAATATCTATCAGACTTACTTTTATACCTAAGATTTTTCTACCTAAGTGACTATAATAATGGTGTTGGTAGAAAAAAGAGGCAGTTTGGGGGTGACCATGAGTGTGATTGGGTGCAGTTAAGTTACACTGAAACAATTTGATCCTTTCAAGGCTTGCTTTTAAGGTTTATTTAATGGGGCCAGAGCAGCTTGGTTTTGGAGCATAATTTTCCTCCATTACTAAAGCAATGCTCTTCTGACTACTCTCCCTAATGCCTTGTTTATAACAGTTGTGGGTGTTTTTTTGTTTTGTTTTGTTTTGTTTTGTTGTTTTCATTCTGGTTAGTGAAAAAATGAACTCTTCTTGGCATTTTATGATCTTGGCATTTTTTCACTCTGATCATTTGAAGTGGTTTCTGCCCTACTTTGTATTATATATATATATATATATATACACACACACACACACACACACACACTCAGATATGTTTTCTGTGTACACACACACACACACACACACACACTCTTCAGTAATTAGCAAAGATTTGAGGGGAATCTTCAGCAGACTTCTGGAGCTTTCTCTATGCATCTCTCTCTCTGGCAGAATCTTCCAGGACACTCTCCTGAAGAGTATAGCCACCTTGATCTCCCCAGATTTCCTACTCTGCATATTCAGCTTAGGACAACCACCAAGCTCTTTCTGGGTTCTTCCTCCCTGTCAGTGGCCTGGAACTTCTTTGCATGCAGTAAATTGGGCAATTTTAGGGTTCATTTCATTTGTTTCTCCTCTCTCAGGTACCACTCTCTAAGATGTACAAATTGTTGTTTTATATATTTGGTCTGATTTTTAGGTGTTTCAGTTCAGGAGGTAAATCTGGTTCCTGTTATGCCACCTTGGTCAGAAGCAGAATTCTTCCATAGATCTTGATGAAGCTAATTACAAAGACTAGTATAGGAGAAAGGCACTGTTAGCTAGTTGCTGAAATAATTTGAAGAAGATTCTTAATGACAGTTAGCTTTCATCAAAAAGGGAGAAGGTAATATTGATGTCGTGTCTTTAAAAGAGATGTTGAATAATAGCAATGAAACTAATTTTGCTGACTTTATTTTTTAATTTAAATTTAAATGAACAATTTATGTTTTATTGTTTTCTACAACCCTTACTCATTACAGTGAAGTCATATACCTTTGTACTTTTTCCTTTTTCCATTTATATTGTCCCTAGAAAAATGTATCTAAATGTCAGCCTATAAAAAATGATGATATGGTGGAGATGAGTGGGTTTTATTTCACATGTAGTACTTAGATTTTAATATACTTATAAAGTTCTTGACTGTCATCTTGATAGTATAAATACTCAATTGAGTGAAATGCAAAGACAATATGCACCTTTTACTCATAAATTCATAATTGCTAGGTGCTGAAATAATATTTATTTAAACTAACCCTGTAGGTAGTAAAGAAGTCTTTAATAGCAGCCTGTATTAACTCATAAAGTGAAATAAAATTAGTGCTTTTTCAGTAAATTATTGTTGATTTTTGATACTTGCTATTGACAAAGGAGATTTTTACTCTACTTTTATAAATTAAGGATGATTTGTCACTTCTAAAACCTTCTAAAATTTGAAAATGTATATGTCTATATGTGTGTATATAGAACGATATATACTATATATATAGCTATATATGTGTGTATGTATATATTTCTAGGTAGTAAACTTAGGAGAATAAATTTGTCAAATTATTAATAATGGTAATATTAGATCTTATTACTTTTAGTCTGTTATGAAGCATCCTGTTAATTAAGTGGTAACAAAAAGCACATGCTTCATAATACCTTTTATTGAGACATTTTGAACATTTAAAAAGTATCTAATTAATTCTTAAAAATACAATTAAGAGTACCTCAAAACTTATGAGGACTGTATTAGGGTTCTCTAGAGAAACAGAACCAATAGGAGATATATAAACATAGATAGAGGAGATTTATTATGAGTAATTGGCTCACACATTTATGGAGGCTGAGATATCCCACAATATGCTGTTTGAAAGCTGGATACCCAGGAAAGCCAGTGGTATAATTGAGAGTCTAGAGGTGTTTGTAATTCTGATTCCAAAGGTCTGAGAACCAGGAAGCTGGTGATACAAATCCCAGTCTAAAGGCAGGGGAAGATTAGATGAAATGTTCCGGCTCAAGCAGTGAGGTAGAAAAGAAGAGGCACATTCCTCCTTCCTCTACCTTTGTTTTGTTCAGGCTCTCAGTTGATTACATGATACCTACCCACACTGGAGAGGACAGTTTACTGAGTCCACTGATTCAAATGCTGATCTTATCTGGAAACACCATCACACACAAACACACACACACACACAAACACACACATTTAACCAGATACCTAGGTATCACCTGATGCAGTCAATTAACTAACACAAGGATCTTTAAAATCTCAGAAATATTCTGTACAAACCTGTAAAGTAAAATATACCCTTGAAATTAGTATACCAGCATTGCATTTGGATTAGCCATGGTCTTGAGTCTATCCTTTGGTGAAATAAAGACATTCTGTGAATAATCTTTGCCAAAAGAGTCATCTACATTTGTAATGTGGATAGTATCATTATATAAGAGTATTTGTAATAACTGTAATTACCTATGTTAAAAGAAAAACCTTTGACAAATTAAATTTAACAGAGTTTAATTGAGGAAAGACCAATTCATAAATTGGCAGCCCCCAAGCCAGAAGAGGTTCAGACACTCCAGCATAGCCACATGGTGGAAGATTTATGGACAGAAAAAGAAAAGTGACATACAGAAAACAAAAGTGAGGTACAGAAACAGCTAGATTGGTTACAGCTCAGCATTTGCTACAGTCTGTTTACACATCCAGTTAGATATGATTCACTATGTATGGAGAAATCTTTAGGCCGAACTTAAAACATTTAAGGAGGCAGCTTTAGGCTAAACTTAACACTACATTCTCTTTTATTTTAACCAATAAAGTAGACCAAAACATAGAACTTACATTTACCATTTAGTTTATTGGTAATCATTCTAATTATCTTTTTTATTTCCTTTTTATCCATTCCCTGTACCCCTTTTTCCACTCATAGCTCTATGCCATCCCTTGGTTTCTTACCATGTTTACTCGTAAGTATGACTTCCCCCGGTTTTTTTGATATTGTATTAGCAAAAGGACAGCCCGATGCCTCCCCATATTTTATATTTACAATAACATTGAGCAGATTTAGTAAGTATTTTTATGTGTTTCTAACATAATAGAGTTAGGTAGAAAAGAATTTCAGTTGTTCTGATCCCTGAATATCAAAGTGAGAATTCTATAAAATAAAAACCTATTGGACATTTCATGATATTTGTACAAACTCTGCCCCCCTTTGAAAAAAAATTAACTATAATATTTACATAAAGCTTATAAGGGCAACTATTACAATCAAATCAGGCTTAATTTTCAGAGATTCTTCAGTAACTTTTATTTTTTAAACTAGGATTCCTCTAGAAATTAAGCAGATTATGTGAATGCGTAATACTTTAATTTGCTACAAATATTAATAAAGTGGACATCCTTACTAATAAAATATGGTTTACATGGTAACTGTAATAATATTTGAAGTAGATATTTATGCAGTGGCCTGGAAGATATACATAGTATTGTTAATAAGAAAAAGGAAGTTACAAAAAATAGGAAGTTGCTCATAGGATTTTTGGTGGGAATTTATTAAAACAGTTGTTTAGAGAATATAATAGATACGTTATTTTACTGTACCTAAAACAACACTAAAGTTCATCTAGATAAATCTGTGAGAATAATATAACTGGAAAGTTCTGGGAAGAAATATTATGAATGGTTAATAGGGTTAAAAATATTATCTGTTTGATTATCAATTTTTTAAGATGCCTTAGGAAGCTATAAATTTTCAAAGCCAAATAAACATTTCATAAAAAGAGTTTGGTAGTATTAGCTCTGAAGTAATAGTTTTGACCATAAGGTAATAATTATAGAACTAGTAAAGTAAGTTGTTATTGTTTTAATTGTTATTTTGGTTTTTTAATTTATTTGTATTTTTATCGTTTTACAGATGTATTTCCACTACACAAAATTTTCCACCTCTGGGATACCTTACTACTTGGGAATTCCTCTTTCCCATTCTGTATTGGAGTAGCAATTCTTCAGCAGCTGCGGGACCGGCTTTTGGCTAATGGCTTTAATGAGTGTATTCTTCTCTTCTCCGATTTACCAGGTATAGATCTAAATAAATGGAGCCATTAAATGAAATTTGACTATGAAATAATGACACATTCTTAAGCCATTGGCAAAAATAACCATCCAGGCCTTCAGCATCTCTTCTGTTTGGGCCTCATCATCCTCTCTGGATTCTTTCTCTCATATACTGCTTCTTCTGCTGACCCAGCATTGTAAATACAAATCTGGGTCATACCCGCTCACTGTGATTTACTTCCATCTTGGTAATGCTACTAAATGGGTAAAATGCCAGGAAGTTGGGGGCAATATCATATTTGCTCTTTTGCTTAGGACAGGGGCTGTTTCTCTTCAGTGATGGAAAGTATAGAAAGGCCACTTGGGAAGGTGTTTAAGAATCTGTGTTTATAAAAAGATACAATTCACAAAACTTTGTTGCCTCCCAGCCAAAGCTGCTTGCTAACAATTTTACGATTTGACAAAAGGAAATACTGCCCTCTTGGGAGGACAAATCATCTATGTCATGCAATGCAGGAGAATATGTTAAGCTATATAGAGTATTCACAAGTAAGGAGTTTGTAAACCTAGGAGTTGAATGCTTAAATGTAGAAATATGGATAACTATAGTCTGAGCTTTGAAGCTATGGGTAAAAAGATGAAATTAATGTCGTTACCTAGGATGTAACTAAATCTATATTTTTGCAGAAACTTCAGTTTTTTTAGGTGAAAAAACTTCACAGTACTTTATTGACAGCATCCCTTGTGCTGTTCTCCATATTTTCAGGCAGGCCCAAGTTACTGCTGATAATAAACACACTTAAAATTATCCCAGAATCAAATTTGCCTGAAAACCAAATAAAAAACAAAAGGAAGGTCCCTTAAGATTATGTCTTTATTAATTACTCTCAAGAAAAATAAGAAACCTACTGCCAGCCCTCATTTTTATGTTTAATGGATGATCTGTACTTGGTACTTTACCGCCTCTCTGTTGAAATTTTTTATCATTTGTGGGAAAATAATAAGAAAAATACCTTGGATTTATTTAAAACTTTTTATTCCCCCTTCCCTCAAAATTGAAACTATTATCATCAGCTTTCTGACTTATCAAATTTTAATTAAAGTGAGTTATTTCTTACTATGAATGAATAGTTTAGGTCATATTTTTTTCTGGGAGATTATGAAAATCAAGTTATCTATTTTTTTGTTTTGAACAGTAATAAATAAGCTAGTTTCGCAAACTGGGAATACTGTTTATATTATGCAGATGATTTCTTGTCATTTCCAGCTTGCCAAAGTAAACATAAGATGATTGATTAGGATTAAAATACATTTTCTGGCCAGTTCTAAAAATATATATATTAGGAATGCTGATTGTACATTTTCAAATCAAGCAAATGTATTGCCTTTCCAATTCAATACATAAATGCTCCTGTTAAACACTGGTGAAGCATCTGTTTTTATACTTTATAGGGAGATTAGTGGCAACTCTGCTTGTCTGTTAAAAAATTCATGCAACTGTGTATTTTATGGTCGACTGACATATTTCTGTCTTAATTCCATAGGAAAAATTATTCTATGTCTTTAAAATTGCCTGCTTTGGGTTTACTTTACAGATGGTATAAGATTAGAATAAAGTTTCTCGATTAATTCAAAACTGAAAGGAATTGTACAGTATTCTTACTAATGATCATTCAAGAGATGTTATCTTGCTTGTTTTAGGCCTTAAAAATGAAATTCTGGTAATTTTATCCTTTCTAGTCACTATATCATAACATCTGTCAAACCTTATTAAACACTCATGTTGTTCAGAGCATGCTATTCAAATAGGAATGAAATCTATTTAGTTGATGTAGTGTCAGCTGGTACAATTGGGTTTCTTTGCTTAATTGCTCTTACTGCAAATTCATCTTTCCATGAAATAATTAATCTGTTTTGCTTATAAATAGGTTATCCTACATGCAAAGACCCAAGATATTTCATCTTATATTAATAACTCTTAAATTCAGTCCCAGCATCCCTGCTCCTAACATCTCAATGCATTGATGATAGGTCCTATTAAAGCACTTAACTGGATGAACAGGAATGACATTTTCCACATATTTTCAAAGCTGCCTAGCTTATCTATGTCTTCTTCCTTTCCATTTACATTACCACCTCATTCCTGAACAAAATATTATTTATTAGTAATAGTATAAACTTCAAATAAATAAGTTCAAATGTTCACAGTAGGCACAAATTTGATATTTTTAACTGATGAGCATTCTATCTGTTAAAAGTATGTATGAATAATACTATTTTCATTTTATAGCAAGATATTCAGTGAAATACAAGTTCAGTCATCCCCCGGTATCGATGGGGGATTGGTTTCAGGACTCCCCCAGATTCTGTAATCCACAAATGCTCAAGTCCCTTTGCATGTAACCTATGCACATCCACCTTTATACTTCAGATCATCTCGCGATAACTTCTAATGCCTAATACAATGGAAATGCTATGTAAATAGTTGTTATACTGTATTGTTTAGGGAATAATGACAAGAAAAAACGTCATGCTCAGTACAGACACAGACATTCATTTTTATTCCCCAAATATGTTCACTGAGCAATTGGTTAAATCCATGGATGCAGAACCCATAGATATAGAGAGCTGACTATTTAAGAAAATTTTGTATGTACTTAAAAGTTCTTCTTACCAACCTGGCTAACATGGTGAAACTCTATCTCTACTAAAAATACAACAAATTAGACGGGCGTGGTGGCAGGCGCCTGTAGTCTCAGCTAGTTGGGAGGCTGAGGCAGGAGAATGGCATGAACCCAGGAGGCGGAGCTTGCAGTGAGCCGACATGGCGCCTCTGCACTCCAGCCTGGGCAACAGAGTGAGACTCTGTCTCCATAAAAAAGAAAAAAAAAAAAGTTCTTCTTCTTCATATGTTTAGATTGAATGTGTTCTGCGTGTATTTGGATAAGTAGGACAAGAATCTGGTGACCTCTGATTTTATTTTCACACTTATATTTTATGTAGCATAGAATTTGAGAGAATTTATTTGGTCTCTTAAAACAATAAGGCTTTGAGTTTACTTGAAGTAAAACTTATTTTAGTCAGAGATATAGTGTAATTGTGAAGTTTTAGCTAAAACAAATGTTCATATTCATCTAAGCAGCAGTTATATTTTCATGAAATGCTTAACCAAAGCAAAGAAAGCAGGTATCAATGTTGTGGTTCAATATCACCATCAGATGAGTGGACAGTTGACTACTATAACTTTTCCATTATTCAGTACTTATCTTAATAAAGCAAAAGTGCTGCCAAGTAAATTTAGTTATACTACATTTATATCCAAAGTTTTTAAAGTATTTTAGAGATGTTTAAGTATATAAATGGGAAACAATTTGGGTTTTCAGTCAATAGTTTTTTATTGTAATCTAGGGATAAATATAAATTAAATAGGGTTACTGTAAGATTTATGTGTAATCTTTCCATTATAAACAGTGGCTTAGATTTTTGAAACTATAAGACTTAATCAAATAGCTTATTATAGCCAGTAGGCTACTAATTTGTGACCTCTTTGTTAAATAGTTATCATGGTGATGAATACTGCAGAAAACAATAGGAGTTTAAAACAGGGAGTTAGGCAGTTTTTCTTAAGTAAATGATACCTAAGATAATATTTGAAATTATTTAAGTGATATTGGGGAGTGGGGAGTGGAAAGAGAGGAAAATCTTGTAGACAGAGGGAATAAAATGCTCAAAGGCCTGAAACAGCTGAAGGAAGTTGGAGCAAATGGGAAAGTGGAGAGGAGTGGCTAGAAAAGTGAATGGAGAGGTAGACAAAGAAGGATCATGCAGCATCTTGTAGGCCACATTAAAGATTTTTAAAAATATATTTGTTGAGATATTTTTTCAGTATTTTTGAAGTAATGAAATAAGTATTTAAAATAACATCAGGTACCAAAATACGAATGCTATAATTGATATTAATATTTGTAGAGCTTTCTGATCTCTCTACATTTTTTTCAAGGTGATCTATCATGAGTGAAGCAAAGGATTCTTAACATAAGTGCTCCCAATAGTTATCCATCATTTTTTCTCCCTGGCTTATAGCCAGATATGGGATGGAGAAATGATTTGTGAAAGAGTAGAGCAACTGTAGTACACAGTTGTTCAGTGAAAGTTTTGTATTGTCAAGCCTGTAAGATTGATGCCACTTTACCTGAAGCTGAGAATTAATTATTCCCATTTTCTGCTTGTAGCTACATGATATTCATGCATGTCATGCATGTCTATTTTTCTTTTTTTTTTTTTTTTTGAGATGGAGTCTCACTCTGTCACCCAGGCTGAAGTGCAGTGGCACAATTTTGGCTCACTGCATGTCTGTTTCTAAGTACACCTTGGAATTGCAAAAGGACAATCAAAATGGAAATTAAATTTGGAGGTTTTAGCAGTGGTCCTTCTCTCCCCCACCCATCTGTAAAAATTACATATAAACATTAAAATCTGGATGGCATATTAAAGTCTTGTGAGTTTAAAATTAGTTAAGGATAAGTGAGAAAGTAGTTAATTTGTTTATATTGGCATGGTGTATAGTCACTGAAATAAAACTTTATGAAAAATTACTTTTAAAACCTCAGGTTATGTCAGTCTTGTTTGTGGTGGAAATACTGCATTATTTTATGGAAAAGGGGAAAATTTAAAAACAGATATTACAATACATCACCTCCAAGCTAATAAATGGTCATGAAAATAGCAGCCAGGAGCATGACTGATGAAGACTCTGAAATTGTAACGTGATTCTAGGAAGCTGAAAGAATTCACATAACACTAACCTAATTGTTGCTCTTGAAGCATACAACTAATTTTGCAACATGTAAATACTTTATAAAGTTTAAAAGAAATATTTCGTACGTATTGGGAACTGTAATGAAAAATAATGTTAGAGGTGATCAGAATTTTTACTTATCTTGAAAATTTAGAGTAGATCTGAGTTCTTATACATCTTAAACCTGGTCCCAAATTGTCAAGAATCTGATAGGAAGGCCTTTCTCTATAGCAGAGCTGCTTGTTTTATGGTTGATAAGGGTTTCTGGTTTGTGAAAGGATTCCTGCTTTCTGAATTTTTTGAGCAGTCCAAAAATTATCTTATAGTTTAGATCAGTGTTATTAAGCATATTTTGTTTCAAGATACCAATGATGGCATTAGGTTTATATTTGCTTTACTATTGAATGTTTATATGTGCCTTAGATTTGCAAAACAAAATATATAGAGCATTTTTCACTTTTGAAGTAGATTAAAAGTAATTAACCTCAAAAACCTTTAAAAGTCAGAAACTGTTTAAAATATCCCTACATATACTGCTGATAGATATTGCAATAAGAATGTAAGGACCAAAATGTATTAAATTTAAGAGAGAGATTTAAGGCATCAAAAGAATATACCTTGAAATAATAAGAGCCATCTGTGAGAAACCAACAGCCAGCATGAGGCTGAATGGGCAAAAACTGGATGCATATTCCCCTTGAGAATTTAAACAAGACAAGTATGCCCACTCTCACCACTCCTATTCCACATAGTACTGGAAGTCCTAGTTACAACAGTCAGGCAAGATAAAGAAATTAAAGGCATCCGAATAGGAAGAAAAGAAATCAAACTGTCTCTTTTCACAAGTGGTATGATTTTATGCCTAGAAATCCCCATAGCCTCTGCTCAAGAGCTCCTAGATTTGATGAAAACTTTAGCCAAGTTTTAGGATAAAAAATCAATATATATAAATCAGTAGCACTTCTGTACACTGTGTCCAAGCTGAGAGCCCAATCAAGAACACAATCTCACTTACAATAGCCAATAAAAAAATACATTACTTAAGAGTACATCTACCCAAAGGAGGTGAAAGATCTCTACAACGATAACTACAAAACACTGCTTAAAGAAATCATAGATGGCTGAGCACAGTGGCTCATGCCTGTAATCCCAGCACTTTGGGAGGCTGAAGTGGGCAGATCACAAGGTCAGGAGTTCGAGACCAGCCTGATCAATATGTTGAAACCCCATCTCTACTAAAAATACAAAATTAGTTGGGCGTGGTGGCATGCGCCTGTAATTCTGGCTACTCAGGAGGCTGAGGCAAGAGAATAGCTTGAACCTGGGAAGCAGAGGTTTCAGTGAGCCAAGATAGTGCCACTGCACTCCAGCCTGGGCAACAGAGCAAGACTCCATCTCAAAAAAGAAAAAAAGGAAAAAAAAAAATCATAGATGACACAAACAAATGGAAAAACATTCCATGCTCATGGATCAGAAGAATCAATGTTGTTAAAATGGCCATATTGCCCAAAGGAATTTATAGATTCAGTGCTATTCCTATCAAACTACCAACAACATTTATCACAGAATTAGAAAAAAATATTCTAAAATTTATATGGAACCAAAAAAGAGCCCGAATCACCAAAGCAATCCTAAGCAAAAAGAACAAAGCTGGAGACATCACACTACCCAATTTCAAACTCTACTACAAGGATACAGTAAACAAAACAGCACGGTACTGGTACAAAAACATACACATAGATCAATGGAATGGGTTAGAGAACGCAGAATTAAAGCCACACACCTACAGCCATCTAATCTTCAACAAAGTTGACAAAAATAAGCAGTGAGGAAAGGATTCCCTATTCAGTAAATGGTGCTGGGATAGCTAGCTAGCTGTATGCAGAAGATTGAAACTGGAGCGCTTCCTTTCATCATATATGAAGATTAACTCGAGAGGGAATAAAGGTTTAAATATAAGACCACAAACAATAAGAATCCTAGAAGAAAACTTAGGAAACACCAATCTGGACCTGGGCCTTGGGAAAGTATTTATGACTAAGTCCTCAAGAGCAATTGCAATTGCAACAGAAACAAAAATTGACAAGTGGGACCTAATTAAGCTCTTTAAGCTTCTGCACAGCAAAAGAAACTATCAACAGAGTAAACAGACAACCTACAAAATGGGAGAAAATATTTGCAGACTATTTATTTGACAAAGGTCTACTATCCAGAGTCTTAAAAACAACTTAAACCAACAAGGAAAACACAAATGACCCCTTTAAAAATGTAAAAAGTACATGAACAGACACTTCTCAAAAGAAGACATCTGTATGGCCAACAAGCATATGAAAAAATGTTCAACATCACTAATCATTAGAGAAATGCAAATCAAAACCACAATGAGATACTATCTAATACCAGTCAGAATGGCTATGATTAAAAAGCCAACAAATAACAGATGCTGGTGATGTTGCAAGGAAAAGGGAACCCTTATACACTGCCTGCGGGAATGTAAACTAGTTCAGCCACTGTCAAAAGCACTCTGGAGATTTCTGAAAGAACTTAAAACAGAGCTTCCATTCAACCCAACAATCCCATTACTAGGCATATACCCAAAGGATTATAAATCATTCTGCCATAAAGACACATGCATGTGTATGTTCATCACAACACTATTCAAAAATAGCAAAAACATAAAATCAACCTAAATGCCCATCAATGGTGGACTGCATAAAGAAAATTGTGATACATATACACCATGGAATACTACACAGTCATAAAATGAATGAGATCATGCCCTTTGCAGCAATATGGATGGAGCTGGAAGCCATTATCTTTAACATACTTATGCAGGAACAGAAAATCAAATACCACATGTTCTCACTTATAAGTAGAAACTAAACATTGAGTGCACATGGACACAACGAAGAGAACAATAGACACCAGGGCCTACTTGAGGATGAAAGATGGGAGGAGGAAGAAGATCGAAAAAATACCTATTGGGTTCTATGCTAATTACCTGGGTAATGAAATAATCTATACACCAAACCTCTGCAGCACGCAACCTACCCATATAACACACCCATACATGTACTCCTTGAACCTAAAATTAAAGTTGGAAAAACAAGAATGAAAGAAAGGGTGCTTCCTGAACCCAGGCTGCTGCTCACAATGTTGTGATCCTTTTCCTTTCTCTAGGTCTCAGTCTTCCCATTAACATGTGAGGGTGTTGTTCTAGAATCATCATGGAATCTTTTAAAAAATGTAAGTTCTTGTCACAGGAACAAATACAGCATGATTCCACTTATATGAGCCATCTAAAGCAGAATTATAGAAGCAGAAATAGAATGATTAAACATGGGTAGTGGGAAATGGGAAGTTGTTGTTCAGTGAGTATAAAGTTATACAAGATATAATTTCTAGGGATCTGCTGTACAACAATTAATATACAGTTAATGATATGGTGTGCACTTAAAATTTCGTGGTAAGAGGGTGAATCTCATGTTGTGTTCTTACCACACACATACACTAGACATATGGACACATACACATAGACTAGATAGGAGAAAAGAGAAATAATATACCAGAGTATTTATAGAAATAATATACCAGAGTGTTTATAGCATAGAGGGAATGACTAGAATATTTTTATTACAAGAAAGCACATTTAATTACTTAAAATTTCAAGCCATTTTAATCCTTCTGTGCAAATTATCAATCATACGAAAACTGCTTATTGAACTTGGAACAAGGTTCTACTTGCCACAAAAATCAAAGACTCCTGTTTTGTTCTGATTCACCGTGAAGTGTAAAAGAAAGAGAGAAAACGATGGCTGCAACTGACCTAGTGCTAAATTTTCCAAGCTGCTGCAAATACCTGCTCTATAGGTAGAGTAGATACAGATACTTTGCATCAAAGTATCTACCTACTCAACTGTTAACTCATTAAGACAACTATGTTAAGAATAGAAAACAGTTTACCCATATATCAGTAATGTATTGCATTTCCTATTTATTTCTCATTTCATTGTAGGTATTAAACAACAGAAATGATAGATGCTTAGGAAAATGTGCCAGTAATTGCATGCACATATACCAGAGTTGAAAGGCTGGGTGAATTATATCTGGAGCCCGGTAACATATTGTACCATCCTTTTCTCCTTAGACATTAACTAAGAAGATTGTGTTTTAAAATTATATTCATTTATTTAAATATCTGTTGACTTCTAGGAGTGGGTGTATCTATATATATAAAACACATGTATCTCTATATATGTATACGACTAGTCTTATTGGTGGTTTATTATTTCTTTGTACCAGAACAGAATATTCATGCATAATTATTTAAAGATGATCCAGTGGTAATCTGTAAGTGTGACTGATACTTCTAACTTGGGTTATCTTAATTATTAATACATAGGGTATTACTCCCTTGTCCTGGTAAGTCACTTGACTGCCTTGTGTATTAGTTCTCTAATATTTTCAGTTAGATAATTCAACTTCCCTTTTAGAATTTCTCTATAGAATCTCCAGTGGAATGTTTAGTGTATGGAAGTATTCCTTATATTTTAATCAAGGTGGGTAATGGGAACATATTAGGAAATGAGTGAGCATGGTACTGACAAAGATAGTGAGTTAAGTTTTAGATACATGCTTAAGATATTACGGGGCAGCTAGATTTAGAAGCTGAGGCACTGTTAGAGATTTTTAGTGACAAAATGACAAGTATAATTTCAAGATCTTACTTGTCAGAGTCTAAAGTTTCCTGTAGTCAGTTAGGCTTTGGTGAAGCCCTAGTAAGTTAGGCTGTCATAAAAATATTTCACTTATTAGGGAGAATTATAATGCTCTTGGCATATTTAGAATGGCTCTTTTTTTCCTCAATACCTGCTAGGAGCATAAAGGGATTTTTTGTGATCTTGATGATGTTTGAAGCATGAATCAGCTAAATACATGAGAAGGATCATAACAAGGACAAATAATGCAAAAATGTTGTATAGATTACTAATGGTGTCAGTGAGACTAAACTGCAGTAAGTGGGACTTGTGAAAAATACTATGTTTGGAACAAAAAAGCAAAGCAAGATTGTAATTACTTTTGGAAAACATCCAATAATGTTTAGCAATAAGAAAACTCACCAACTTTCTTTAGTGTTTTTGAGATGTGAAGCATACAAATTGTGTGAACTGCTGGTCAGGAAATTGTGTCCACTTTCTATGAGACCTATGTAAGTTTACTCACTGATTACATGTTTAATAAATACTATATGACAGGCACAGTATTATGCACTGGGGCCATAAAAATAAATAAGACATAGTGTAGCTCTGTAGTAGGATGGAGAGAAAGCATTGGCAGCTTAGAAAATAGTATAAGGATAACACAGATATGTGAGGCTCATGGCTGTCTTATTGTAAATAGGATGTTAGTAGAGGATAGGTTGAGAGAGAGAAACCTGAAGTGGATGGGCTGGGGTGGTGGTACTGGTGGTAGTGATAAAAGTTGGTAAAATAGGTAGAGGAATGGTTATGGGGGCCTTGCATGATATGCTGAGGAAATTGGATATTATTTTATATGCAATTGGAAAGTTTTAAGCACAGAAATGACATGATCCTATCTATATTTTAGAAAAATGATTCTGGCTGTAGTATGGAAGATGGATTGGCCACCTGAAATGCTATGATTCTAAGCAGTAGAAAGAGAGCAGCTGTCCAGGGATAACTTCAAGAATGTGGTAAAAGAGTATTATTGAATTTAGCTCTTTACCAAAATAAATTATATGACAAAGTCCTGAGAGATTTCTAATATTTTAGAATTCTCTCTTAAGTAATAACATTCTATGCTGTATTCCTTGAAGTGTAGTTGATACTTACTACTAACAGTCCTTAAACGTGGATCAGTGAGTTACTCAAGGTTATTAATTCTTTGTTGGAAGACTAATTCTATGCCATTTCTATCCACTATAATTTTATTTTATGTCAGTACATTAAGTAGTGATAGATGTGCTGTCAACTTGAAGGTGTCAGAGTATTGTCCTTAGACCTTACCTTACAGAGAGTGCTTCATAATATGCATATTTTATTCCCTCTACTTTCTTCTCCACTAATAAGATAAGGAACTTTATAATTTTCAGTCTTCTTCTACAGTGATAATTTCATTGTGTTATTGTTGGGATAGTTCGATGTCATAAGACATTATAAGACAGAACCAATGACAAAAACCACATGATTATCTCAATAGATGCAGAAAAGGCCTTCAACAAAATTCAACAGCCTTTCATGCTAAAAACTCTCAATAAACTAGGTACTGATGGAATGTATCTCAACATAATAAGAGCTATTTGTGACGGACCCACAGCCAATATCATACTGAACGGGCAAAAACTGGAAGGATTCCCTTTGAAAACTGGCACAGGACAAGGATGCCCTCTCTCACCACTCCTATTCAACATAGTTTTGGACTTTCTGGCCAGGGCAGTCAGGCAAGAGAAAGAAATAAAGGGTATTCATATAGGAAGAGAGGAAGTCAAATTGTCTCTGTTTGCAGATGACATGATTGTATATTTAGAAAACCCCATCATCTCAGCCCCGAATCTCCTTAAGCTGATAAGCAACTGCAGCAAAGTCTCAGGATACAAAATCAATGTGCAAAAATCACAAGTATTTCTGTGCACTAATAACACATAAACAGAGAGCCAAATCATGAGTGAACTCCCATTCACAATTGCTACTAAGAGAATAAAATACCTAGGAATCCAACTTACAAGGGATGTGAAGGACCTCTTCAAAGAGAACTACAAACCACTGCTCAAGGAAATAAGAAAGGACACAAACCAATGGAAAAACATTCCATGCTCATGGATAGGAAGAATCAATATTGTGAAAATAGCCTTACTGCCCAAAGTAATTTATAGATTCAATGCTATCCCCATCAAGCTACCAATGACTTTCTTTTCAGAATTGGAAAAAACTACTTTAAACTTCATATGGAACCAAAAAAGAGCCCACATAGCCAACACAATCCTTGGCAAGAAGAACAAAGCTGGAGGCATCATGCTTCCTGACTTCAAACTCTGCTACAAGGCTATAGTAACCAAAACAGCATGGTACTGTACAAAAACAGATATATAGACCAATAGAACAGAACAGAGGCCTCAGAAATAACACCACACATCTACAATCATCTGATCTTTAACAAACCTGACACACACAAGCAATGGGGAAAAGATTCCCTATTTAATAAATGGTGTTGGGATAACTGGCTAGCCATATGCAGAAAACTGAAACTGGACCCCGTCCTTACACCTTATACAAAAATCAACTCAAGATGGATCAAAGACTTAAACGTAAGACCTAGAACCATAAAAATCCTACAAGAAAACCTGGGCAATACCATTCAGGACATAGGCATGGGCAAAGACTTCATGTCTAAAACACCAAAAGCAATGGCAACAAAAGCCAAAATTGACAAATGGGATCTAATTAAACTAAAGAGCTTCTGCACAGCAAAAGAATCTATCATCAGAGTGAACAGGCAACCTACAGAATGGGAGAAAATTTTTGCAATCTATCCATCTGACAAAGGGCTAATATCCAGCATCTATAAAGAACTTAAACAAATTTACAAGAAAAAAGCCAAGAACCCCATCAAAAAATGGGCAAAGGATATGAACAGACACTTCTCAAAAGAAGACATTTATGCAGCCAACAGACATATGAAAAAATGCTCATCATCACTGGTCATTAGAGAAATGCAAATCAAAACCACAATGAGACCATCTCACACCAGTTAGAATGGTGATCATTAAAAAGTCAAGAAACAACAGATGCTGGAGAGGTTGTGGAAAAATAGGAATGCTTTTACACTGTTGGTGGGAGTGTAAATTAGTTCAGCCATTGTGGCGATTCCTCAAGGATCTAGAACTAGAAATACCATTTGACCCAGTAATCCCATTACTGGGTATATACCCAAAGAATTATAAATCATTCTACAAAAAAGAGACATGCACACATACGTTTATTGTGGCACTATTCACAATAGCAAAGACTTGGAACCAACCCAAATGTCCATCAATGATAGACTGGATTAAGAAATTGTGGCACATATATACCATGGAATACTATGCAGCCATAAAAAAGATGAGTTCATGTCCTTTGCAGGGACATGGATGAAGCTGGAAACCATCATTCTCAGCGAATTATCACAAGATAGAAAACCAAATACTGCATGTTCCCCCTCGTAAGTGGGAGTTGAACAATGAGGACACATGGACACAGAGAGGGGAACATCACACATTGGGGCCTGTGCGGGGTGGGGGCTAGGGGAAGGATAACATTAGGAGAAATACCTAATGTAGGTGACGGGTTGATGGGTGCTGCAGACCACCATGGCACATGTATACCTGTGTAACAAAACTGCACATTCTGCACATGTAACCCAGAACTTAAAGTATAATAAAAAGAAGGAGGAAAAAAAACATACTACTAGAGAAAATCACCTAACCACAAAGGAAGACTTTAAGAGAGGATAAAAGGAAGAAAGTGTCTACAAAACAAGCAAATAGCAAGTAATAAAATAACAGTAGCAAATTCTTACCTATTATTAATAATCTTGAATATAAATAGGTTTAATTTATCCAATTAAATTAATTATCCAATAAAAAGAGCTAGAATGGCTGAATTGATTTAAAAAAAAAGACACAACTATATGCTGTCTACAAGAAACTCTACCTTTGAAGACATGCAGAGACTAAAAGTGAAGGGATGAGAGAAGATTCAGAAACTATAGAGAGAGCTGAAGCAACTGTACATATATCAGATAAAATAGATTTTAATTCAATAATAGTTTTAAAAAAGACAAAAGAAGTCCATTATATGATGATAAAAGTCAATATAGCAAGAGGATATAACAATTATATATACACCCAACCAACTCTGGAGCATCAGAATATAAAACAAATATTAATTAACCTAAAGAGAGAGATTGAGTGCAGTGTTATAATAGAAGGGGACTCAGCACCCCACTTCTAGCAATACACAGGTCATCCAGACAGAAAGTCAACACAGAAACACTGGAGTTAAACTGTACTGTAGACCAAATGGACCTAACAGACATTTACAGAACGTTCCATCCAACAGCTGCAGAATACACATTTTTCTCAAAAGCACATGGAACATTCTCCAAGATGGACCCTGTGTTCACGAAACAAGTCTTAAATTTTCAAAAATCAAAATTATATCAAATTTATTTTTAGATCACAATGGAATAAAATTAGAAATCATTAAGAAAAGGAACATTAGAAACTACAGATTTATGGAAATCAAATGATGTGCTTCTGAATAGCAAATGGGTCAATGAAGAAATTATAAAGGAAATTATAGTATTCCTGTATTTAACAGAAAATGTGCAAATGAAAATGGAAATATACCAAAATATATGGGATACAGCAAAAACAGTTCTAAGAGGGTAGTTTATTGCAGTAAACACCTGCATCAGAAAAGTAGAAATAATTCAAATAAAGAACTTAACAATGCACCTCAAGGAAGTAGAAAAGCAGGAACAAACAAAACATTGGTAGAAGGAAAAATAATAAAGAGCAGAATAAAAACGAATGAAATTCAGGCTAAGAAAACAATACAAAAGATCAACAAAAGGAAAAGTTGGTTTTTGAAAAGATTAGCAAAATCAATAATCCTTTAGCTAGACTAGCAAAAAAGGGACTAGGCCCAAATAAATAAAATCTTATGTAAACTGAGACATTTTACTACAGAATGCAGACAAATTATACTACAGAATTACAAAGGATCATTAGAGACTATTATGAACAACTATACACTAACAAGTTGGAAAACCATGAAGAGATGAATAAATTTCTGGACACATACAGCTTAGCAGGATTGAACCATGAAGAAATAGAAAACCTGAACAGATCAACAATTAATAACAAGATAAGCAGCTGTAATAAAAAAGTCTCCCATCAAAGAAAAGTCCAGCAGTGGATGCCTATGTTGCTGAAAGAACTAATGCAAATTCTCTCAAATTCTTAAAAAAAAAATGAAGAGGAGAGGATACTTTCAAACTCATTCTAAATACCAATATCCCTGATGGACATAGATGAAAAATTCTCAACAAAAATACAAGCAACTGAATTCAACAACACGTTAAAAAAATCATTCACCATGGTCAAGGGGGATTCATCCCAGGAATTCAGTGATGATTCAACATATGCAAATCAATAAACATGCTACATCACTTAACAGGATCAAGAACAAAACCCATATGATTCTTTCAATAGATACTAGAAAAGTATTTGATAAAATTCAACATTCCTTCATGATAAAAATTCTCAAAGAACTGGGTATAAGAGGACCACACCTCAGAACAATAAAGGCCATATGTGACAACCCCACAGCTACTACACTGAATAGGGAAAAACCAACAGGCTTTTTTGTAAAATCTAGAAGAAAAAGATGCCTCCTTTCACTACTTTTATTCAACAGAGTACTGGAAATTCTAGACAGAGCAATTAGGCAACAGAAAAAAAAATTAACACATTCAATTGGAAAGAAAGAACTCAAATTATTCTTTTTCACAGATGACATGACCTTATATTTGGAAAACCCTCAAGACTTCACCAAAAAACTGTTAGAACAGATTTGCGAATTCAGTAAATTGGGATACAAAATCAACATATAAAAATCAGTAGCATTTCTTTAAACCAACAGTGAACAATCTGAAAAAGAAATCAAGGAAGCAGTTCTGCTTGAAATAGCTACAAATAAAATAAAATATGTAGGAACAAATTTAACAAAAGAAGTGAGAGATCTCCACAATGAGAACAAACACTAATGAAATAAATTATAGAGGGCAATAAAAAATGAAAAGATATCATGTGCTTATAGATTAGAAGAATTAATAATGTTAACATGTTCATGCTACCCAAAGTGATCTACAGGTTCAATGTAATTTCTATCAAAATACCAATGACACTCTTAACAGAATTCGAAAAAATAATCCTAAAATTTTTATGGAACCACAGAAGACCCCAAGTAGCAAAAGCAATCTTGAGTAAAGGGAAGAAAACTAGAGGCCTCACACTAATTCCCAAATATACTACAGAGCTGTAGTAACCAAAACAGCATTGTACTGACATAAAAACCTGCACATAGACCAATGAAATGGAATAGATAACTCAGAAATAAATTCACACATTTACAGCCAACTTACTTTTGACACAGGTGCCAACAATATACATTGGGGAAAAGACAGGTTTTTTTTAATAAATGGTGCTGGGAAAACTGTATCTCCATATGCAGACTAATGAAACTAGACCCCTGTCTCTCACCATATGCAAAAATTAAATCAAACTTTATTAAAGACTTAAATGTAAGACATGAAACTACTAGACCACGTTGTGGAAATGTCTCACAACATTGATCTACTAGGCAAGGATTTTTGAGGTCAGACCACAAAAACACAGGCAACCAAAGCCAAAGTAGACAAATAGAATTACATCAAGCTAAAATTCTTCACAGCAAAGGAAACAATCAACAGAGTGAAGAAACAACCTACAGAATGGGAGGAAATGTGCAAACTCTTCAACCAACAAAGGATTAGTAGCCAGAGTACATAAAGAACTCAAATGAATAGCCAAAAAACAATCCTATTTAAAAAACGGGTAGATGATCTGAATAGACATTTCTGAAAAGGAGACATAGAGACAGATGTGATGGTGTATACTTGTAGTCCCAAGTATTCAGGATGCTGTGATATAAGATCACTTGAGCCCAGAAGTTTCAGGCTTGTCGTAGGTCATAGTCTATGATCATGTCTGTAGTCATTACACTCTAACCTGGGTAACTTAGTGAGACCCTGTATTTAAAAAAAAAAAAAACACTTAAAAATGGCCAACAAGTATATGAAAAAGTACTCAATATCACTAATTATCAGAGAAATGCAAATCAAAACCCCAATGAAATTTTATCCAAGTTTAAAAGGCTATTACGAAGAAGAGAAAAATAATAGATGGTGCAGAAAGTGGGATGTTAGTACACTGTTAGTGGGAATGTAAATTAGTATAGCTACTATGAAAAACAGTATGGAGGTTCCTCAAAAAAGTAGAAATAGAAGCACCATAAGATCCAGCATTCCCACTGCTGGATATATGTCCAAAAGAAAGGAAATCAGGATATCGCAGAGATGTCTGCACTCTCATGTTTATTGCAGCACTATTCACAATAGCCAACATACAGAATCAACTTAAGTGTCTATCAATGAATGAATGAATAAAGAAAACGTACATAAAAACACAATGAATTACCATTCAGCGATAAAAGGCAATGAAATCCTGTCATTTGCAACAACATGGATGTAATTGGAGGTCATCACATTAAGTGAAATAAGCCAGGCACAGAAAGACTATGTCATATTCACAGTATCACATATTCTAACTCATACTTGGGAAACTAAATAAGTTGAGGTTGAGAGTAGATTGATAGTTGCTAGAGGCTAAGAAGAATGGGCTGGGGGATGGGGATGAAGAGAGAGGTTGGTTAATGGATACAAAATACAGTTAGACCGAAGGAATAAGCTCTGTTGTTCAATAGACAGCACAGTAGGATGACTATAGTTAACAATAATTTGTTATATATTTCAAAATAGCTAGATTTAAAATGTTCCCAACATAAGAAAATAAATATTCGAATTGGTAGATGTTCTGATTACCCTGTTTTGATCATTACACATTGTATGCATATAGCAAAATATCACATGTATTCCATATTTAATTAATACATAAACTATGTACAATTTTATGTATTAATTTAAAAATAACAGTAAAGTAGAAAAACCAAGCCATCTTCATGTTTTGTTCAAGTCTTTATAGGCAAAGTTTGGACCCTAGTCAAAAAAGGGCTCTAAGGAGCCTGGCTAGACTTTGGTTAAGGAGAGCATCTTTGTCAATACCCAGAAGTTACTTCAGATAACAAAAATATGACCTATTAAACCAAAGTAAATATGTTCAGCTTACTCTTAGTTATATGTAGAGCATGCACAGCCATTGTAATGTTGCCCAATATCAAGGAAGTATAATGGAGAGAATTTGGTGTAGAAAGAGGCAGCATTCTTCATTGTTGTGGTTGAAATATTTTTACTTTGTCAAATTTTACAAAAGTGACCATTTTAATGGTAAATATGGAGAGGCATTCTCTGGAGTAGTAGAGTCACTGAGTCTTGAGACTCAGAGCCAATAGGCATAGCAGAGAGCAGGAGTGAGTGAATGTATATAGTTATACAGGCCCCTCCTATGGTCATATCTGGGAAGGCTGGCAAGGATGAGCTTAGAAGATCAGAGAATTATCTGGAAAAACTCAATGTTCCCAGAAGGAGAAATATCTTACTTAGGAGTCTTCTAACAAAATAACCATGTCCCCAAATTACCTTATAGTTAATCCACCAGTCACTAACCCCAGCCCACATAAAAAAAAAAAAAAAAAAATTCAATCTGATTTTTGGTGCTGTTCTTGTAAATATGTAGAATCAAAGATCACAAAATCTCTGAGGAAAGCTTCCAATTAAGATACAGAATAGTATAAACTGAAAAAATAATTTATTCAGAAAGATAACTATGAGAAAATTAACTATGAAAAAACAGAACTTTTAAACATAACAATGAAAATTGTTGAAAATCTGGAAATTGATTTTTTTTTCTTTTTTTTTTTTTTGAGAGAGTCTTGCTCTGTAGCCAGGCTGGAGTACAAGCGTGATACAGGCGTGATCACTGCTCACTGCAGCCTTCACCTCCCAGGTTCAAGCAATTCTCGTGTCTCAGCCTCCTAAGTAGCTGGGGTTACAGGTGCACTCCACCACATTTGGCTAATTTTTGTATTTTTGTTTAGTAGAGACAGGGTTTCACCATGTTGGCCAGGCTGGTCTCAAACTCCTGGCCTCAAGTGATCCTCCTACCTTGGCCTCCCAAAGTGCTAGGATTATAGGCATGAGCCACCGTGCCTGGCCTGGAAATTGAAATTGATATAGAAATGCAATGATGTTTGTGATGAAAATGTAAGATGATAAAATTTAGGAAATCTCACAGAGTATGAAACAAAAATACACGTGGAAAGTAAGAACAAAATGACAAAATTATTAGAAATTAAATTCAGGAAGTTCAAGATTCTTATAGAATAGAAGATTTAAAAAGAAACAAATTATCACAAACATCAAAAACATACTTTTTGTGTAACTGAAGGACTACTCAGGGATCCACCAAATGCCCAGCACAATGAAGTATATGCGTAAGTATATCACCATGAAATTTCATAATACAGGGATCCTAAAACTTAACAGAGAAACAGAAAATCATGTACAAATAATCCTAAATCAGAATTTTATCAGACTTCTCAGCAGCAGACATTGGAGCTCTACCTTTAATAACTCAGAAGAAAAAAATTCAACCCTAGAATGCTGTATCTGGTCAAACTATCAGTCAAGGGCAGATTAATGATATTCATTGAAGGTTTTTGAATAGTTTACCTCCTGTGTACTCTTTCTTTGTAGCTGCTGGATAATGTGTTTCATCAAAATGAGAAGTAAATATGAAAGAGTGGTAAATAATGTCTTACCCAAAAAGTTAGGAATCAAATATAGGGGATAGCCTAAGAGAATTGGATAATGGTAAAGAGAAGTTCCAGGACAATAGCTATGCAATAAATTTCAGAAGGAATTTATAGCCATTAAAGTGAGAGAAGAGCAGGCTCAGGAAAGCTGTCTTTTCCATCTATCCTTGCCCAAATGGTTGTGTTTATCATATTGAAAATAGTTCAGTATTTCTGAAAGATCTAATACTAATGGGTGCCAATGAAGAAATTAATAGATTTAGAGAAGTTATTTTACCCAGAGTTGCAAAATACCTCATGGAGCTTTAATTCAAACCTGGGAAACCATAATCCATGTTTTATTCACAATGCATTGTCTCAATAATTATAATGCAAGGTTAAAAAACAGTAGTGCCATGTAATGAGAGATTACTTTGTAGGAGTAATTGTGCATTTTAATGTACACTTCACAAAGTACTTTTGCATTATATTTTGATTATGATAATGTGCTTTGGAAGGGTTTTGAGATGAGAGGTGACATGAGTCAAGTGAAATGGAAAATGAGATATCTGTTAGAACTAACCATCAGGGTAGAATCGGGATGGATGCCAGTACATCATCAAGATTCACTGTAAACCTTTTATGGTGTTGATGGGATGTCTTGGAAGCAGATAAAAATAACTTTTCCAATGCCAGTGATTGAAGGACTGCACTACAACCTTTACTCTAGATCACTGACTCACCTTCAAACTTTGCTGGTGACAGATGTGTCAAATTGATTTGAGCCCTGCAAATACAAAATCTATGGACTGAAACCCTTTCCTTTGGAAACTAAACTGTGTTAAGTAGACAGACTTTAGATGGTTGAGTATTTTCTCTCATTAGCTGCCAAATTTTTATCTTAACTATTTGAATTGAAAGTTTTCTAAAATGAATTGTGCTATCTCTTTTTTCTTAAACAGGCTAGAGAAACCTGTCTTAAACCTTGATTTTTCTTCTAGTTTGTGTTTGTATTTTCTTTGTGAAATAACAAGTTGATATTGTTAGAGAGCTTCACTATATTATCCATTGCCCAAATAAATAGGCCCATGCCTCAAAGCTTGTTTCACTCTGTTTTATAGTTTTTATATTAGGAATAGCATATGAGGTGATGAAATCTGACCTCTTTTTGTAGCCATGGAAGTAATGAGCTGTGAAGTTGGTAAACATCACTAAGGAATGCCTAATTGAGTAACTGGTCTTATCAGACTATCTTTTCATATTCCAAATCTAAGTTAGGAAGTAACAAAAGATGCCTTATAACCTTATAGTAACTTCAGACTTCTACTCATAGTAACATACTTAACAAATCACTTAACTTCCTTGTGTCTTAGTTTCTTTGTCTTTAGCAGAAATAGAAGGTGGGAAGAAGAATTACGATACCTGTCTTTAATAAAATCATTGTAAGAATTAAATGGATTAAGTGAAAGTATACAATACCTGTCACATAATAGATGGTCAGTGTTACCTTCTTTTTCCCTCTTCCAGATTTCTTCACCTTACCACAGCAGATAACTCTAAATGATTACTCATGCACTATCCACAGAATTTACTTAATGCCTATTTCCTTTTCCCCTTACAAGCCCTTCATTTCAAAAAGAGGGGGAGAAAAAAAGAACTTACCACTTTCTGACATGTAATATATTTTTCTCCATTGCCTGCCTGAGCCCGACACTTGGACTTTTACAGAGGAAATGAGAATATATGCCATTTGTACTTTTAGAAATATGGAAAGATAAAAACTAGTCAGTGCTAAACTCCATCACAGTCAACTTCTTGAATTTCTCCGCCTTTCTGTGATCTTTCTACTTTCGCCATAGAGGACTGGCTAACTTCTCATCAGGACTGTTGGCCTCCTAAAGAGATACAGTCTCATCCAAAACACAAACAATATAGAGTTGTAGTAACCTTTCTATGTATATTACCTCTGCATTAAAGATGCTTACATTTCAAACATGAGAAACAAAAGGAAATCTAATATGAAAGTGTTTCTATTTTATCTTTTAGTCAAGTGCATTTAAACCTTACTTGATTAAACTTTAAAACCTTTCTTCATTTAACTCAAGAGATTATTAAAGAATGGAGAAATGCTAGTTGGGCATGGTGGATGATCCCTGTAACCCTAGAATTTTGGGAGGCCGAGGCAGGTGGATTGCCTGAGGTCAGGAATTCAAGAACAGCCTGGGCAACATGGCGAAACCCCATGTCTACTAAAAATACAAAAAATTAGCCGGGTGTTGTGGCATAGGCCTGTAATCCCAGCTTCTAGGAAGGCTGAGGCACGAGAATTGCTTGAACCTGGGAGGCCAAGGTTGCAGTGAGCCGTGATTGCACCACTGCACTCCAGCCTAGGAGACAGAACAAGACTCTATCTCAAAAACAGGAAAAAAAAAATTGAGAAATGCTGAATTGAGATTCTGAAAAATTTTTTCTGATAATTTTATATCTTATTTAATGGCAGTAAAACTGTCAGTTCACTTTACTAGAATTCATTCTGAATCAGCAATCAACATCTTCTAAATCTTTTGTCTACCTATTCCCAAATTGTATTCTCCCCCTATAACTTTTGTTTCACATTGGAAAAGTGGAAACATCAGCATAAATTTGGCAGATTTTTAAATAAGGAGATGTGTTCTATTCTGTGGCATTTAAATAATGATACTCTGAAATATATACATATGTATATGTAGATAATTCCAAGTAAAAGACACACATGAAAACATAAGTAGATACATTTACAAATATATATAAGCAAATTATACCAAATATTTCCATCAATCCAGTCATAAATATGCTGATTAATATATACATTGTTTTTTTTACTGACATTTTTTCTAATAACTTATCATCTTAGCCATATTTAGATATATTCACTTAGGAGAGATGGTGTTTATTACATTAAAAGAGCAATCTAAATTCTATACATTTGCTTTTTTAAAACATTTCTATCTAGAAATTGACATTGAACGCTGTGTGAGAGAATCTATCAACCTGTTTTGTTGGACTCCTAAAAGTGCTACTTACAGACAGCATGCTCAACCTCCAAAGCCATCTTCTGACAGCAGTGGAGGCAGAAGTTCGGCACCTTATTTCTCTGCTGAGTGTCCAGATCCTCCAAAGACAGATCTGGTATGTATTTGCGGATTTAGTTTACAAACTCTAAAAGGAGATGGATGTTAAAATTAATATACCCTAGTATCTTTATTGTTCTTAATGGTGTCATTTATGTCCTTTTAATGTAGATATTTTCTAACACATGATTTGATTCATAGAAATATTCCAGAAAACCATTATATCTATTTGGTTATAGAGTTAGGAAGATTATTTTGACGTACTCCTCCAGGTAGCAAGTTTTGCTTTTTTTGTATGCATTTGTAGTATCTGTTTATATATCAATTGGTTATATAGTGAGAGATTACAGAAGCAAAGAAAGAATTAAAAAAATAGAAAAAGAGTTGTTAATAGAGCAGGAACTTATTGTTGGTTGACAGAAGAAACAGCATTTGTAAAACTATGCCATGTAGGTGTTTCAACATTATCATTCTTACTAAACACAGTTTATAAATATGGTCAACAAAGCTTTCAGTTATAATAATTCATACATTTCGAATATTCTAATATTATCATAGTATCATAATTATTTCCACGAAATTGAATTTCTGTTAATATGTATGTATTGCTTTTCAGATATGGCACTTTCTATGATTTTATTTATGTCCCCAAATATATGGGTACATTCATTTGTTCATATATTTCCATCACAATCAAATTATATTAAGGTCACTTATAAACATGACCCTGCTTATGATTGAATACAGAGCAATTTCAATAATTACAATCTCTGCCTCTAGATATACAGATGATAGAGAGGGAAACAGCTAAATGAATATATATATGAAAGATTATAAGATATTTCTAAAATATCCTGAGAGAGAAAAGAATAAGAACCCACACTTATAAATAAATATTTGCATTATAGTTTTCCAAAAGTAGTAGTTGTCTTCTGCCTGCCTGGAAGAAAGTAAGTTCTCAAATACTAGAAATATTCAGCTGAAGATATTTCCATGTAATGAATTTTGGTGAGAGAACTAATTTGTCAGTAAATGGTAAATGTTGTTCTAGATCAGGGATCCCCAACCCCCAGGCCACAGACTGGTACCAGTCACAGGAACCAGGCCATACAGCAGGAGGTGAATGGCAGGCACACCAGCAAAGCTTTATCTGTATTTACGGCCACTGCTCCCTTACTTGCATTACCACCTGAGCGCTGCTTCCTGTCAGATTAGCAGCAGCATTACAGTCTCATAGGAGCACAAATCCTCTTGTGAACTGCGCATGTGAGGGATCTAGGTTGCATATTCCTTATGAGAATCTAATGCCTGATGATCTGTCACTATCTCCCATTATCCCCAGATGGGACCATTAAGTAGCAGGAAAACAAGCTCAGGGCTCCCACTGATTGTACATTATGAAGAGTCATGTAATTATTTCATTATATATTATGATGTAATAATAATAGAAATAAAGTACACAATAAATGTAATATGCTTGAATTATCCCAAAACCATCTGCCACACCCTGGGTCCATGGAAAAATTGTCTTCCATGAAGACAGTCCTTGGTGCCAAAAAAGTTGAGGAACACTGTTCTAGATGACCTGTAAGATAGCTTGAAACTTTGAAATTCAGCAGTTCTAAATACAAACTTATTTAATAGTTTCTTTGTTTCAAATTTTGAATTATATCCTCTTTATAGCAGAAAAACATTTGTTAAAAAGACTGACTTTTCCATTTTATTGCCTTTGTTCCTTTCACAGATTAGTTGGTTGTATTTATGTGGGTTGATTTCTGAACTCTCTATTCTTTTTCATTGATGTTTGTCTGTTCTTTTGCCAATACTATGCTGTTTTGATTTATAATTTGTCTTGAAGCTCAGAAGTGTCAGTCCTCCAACTGTTCTTTTTAATACTGTGTTGGTTATTCTGAGTCTTTGTTTCCAAATAAACTTTAAAATTAGTTTGTTGATACCTACAAAATAACTTGCTGCTATTTTGATTGGGATTACATTGAATCTACATATCAATTTGGGAAGAACTGTTGACAATACAGGTTGATTGTCTCTTTTCAAAGATGCTTGGGACCAAAAGTGCTTCAGATATTTTATTTGTTCTGATTTTGGAATATTTGCATTATACTTACTGATTGAGCATTCCTAATCCAAAAATACAAAATCCAGATTGCTCCAATGAGCATTTCCTTTGACTATCATCTTGGTACTCAGAATGTTTCCGATTTTGGAACATTTTGGATTATGGATTTTGGAACTAGAGATATTCAACCTTTATTGAGTCTCCTATCCAGGAAATGGAATATTTTTTCATTTATCTAGTTGTTGGATTTCTTTCATCAGATTTTTATAGTTTTTCTCATTTAGATCTTATATATATATAGTTAGACTTATATCTAAGTATTTGATTTTGAGGAATGCTGATGTAAGTGGTATTATTTTTTATTTCAAATTCCATTTGTACATTGCAGGTATACAGGAAAGCGTTTGACCTTTTATATTAACTTCGAGTCCTGCTACCTTGCTGTAGTTACTTATTAGCTCCAGTTTTTTGCTCAGTTCCTTCAGATTTTCTACATATATGATCACATTATTTGAAAAATGGACAGTTTTATTTCTTCCTTGCCAATTAGTACACCTCTTATTTTCTTTGTTTGTGTTATTGCATTAGATACAACATCTAATATAATGTTAAAAAGAAATGGTGAGAGGACATCCTTACCTTGTTCCTGATCTTAGCAGGAAGGCTTCTAGGGTGTCACCAGAAAGTATTGTGTGAGCTGTAGGTTTTTGTAGATGTTTTTTACAAGTTGAGTAAGGTCTCTTTTATTCCCAATTTGCTGAGAGATTTTTTATCATGAATGCATGTTGGATTTTGTAGAATGTGTTTCCTGTATCTATTTGTATGATCATGTGAATTTTCTTCTTTAGCTTGTTGGTGCAAGAATTACATTAATTAATTTTCATATGTTAAAACAGCCTTGCATGCCTGGGATAAATTCTACTTGTTCATGGTATATAATTTGTTTTATACATTGTTGGATTTGACTTTGATAATATTTTGTTGAGGATTTTGGTATCTATGTTCATGAGAGATACTGTTTTCTTGTAATGTCTTTGTCTAGTTTTAGTATTTAGGGTAATACTGGCCTCATAGAATGAGTTAGGACATATTCGTTTTGCTTCTGTCCTCTCAAAGAAATTGTAGACAGTTGGCATAATTTCTTCCTTCAGTCTTTAATAGAATTTACCAGTGAATTCATCTGGGTCTGATACTTTCTGTTTGGAAATGTTCTTAATTATTGATTGAATTTCTTTAATAGATGCAGGCCTATTCAGATTATCTAATTCTTCTCATATAAGTTTTGTCATATTGTGTCTTTCAAGCCATTTTATCCAGGCTATCAAATTTATGGGCATAGAATGGTTCATAGTATTCCTTTGTTATCATTTTATTGTCTATGGGATCTGTACTGAGATCTCTTTCATTTCTGCTATTTGTAATTTGAATAATCTTTTTTTTCTTAGCTGGTTAAAGGCTTATTGATTTTATTCATCTTTGCAAGGAGCCAGCTTTTGGTGTCATTGATCTCTTTGATTTACTGTTTTCAATTTCATTGATTTCTGCTCTGATTTTTATTTTTCTTCTACTCACTTTGAACTTAATTTGCTGTTCTTTTTCTAGTTTTCTAAGGTGGAAGCTTAGATCATTGATTTTAGAACTTCCCTTATTTCTAATATATACATTCAAAGCTGTACATTTTCCTCTGAGCATTGTTTTTGATGCATTCCACCAATTTTGATGTTGTGTTTTCATTTCCATTTAGTTAATATTTTGACCTATGTGTTAATTAAAGGTGTTCTGTTTCGTGTCTAAGTATGTTGGTATTGATTCTCTAAGACTAATAGCTTGTAGCGAATTCAACCAATTGTATATATATATAAATATATATATATACAGTTCTATATATATATATACAGTTCTATATATACAGTTCTATATATATAGTTCTCTCTCTCTCTCTCTATATATATATATACAGTGTGTATATAATACACACACACACACCCCTATATATATGAATAAGTTTATCTCTTTCTTTCAAGTTATTATGTTTCCAATTGTTTATTGTCTATTGCTTTGGACAGAACCTCTAGTTTAAGAGTAGGTAGACTTACTTGTTCCCGAGTTTAATGAAAATGCTTCTAATTTCATCATTTAAGTTTGACGTTTTTTATACTCTTTATTGAGACAATTATTGTACCATCTTTTCTGTATTTGAGTGTTTATCATGAATGTTAAATTTTATCAAATGCTTATTTTGTATTAATTTGGGATTATTTCATCTTTTATTGTGATAATGTATTATATTATTACAGTTTCTTATATTTAATGGTCATTACATTCCTGAGATAAAGTCTACTTGGTCACTAACAAAAAGACATACTGGCTATATTTGATTTGCTAGTTTTTAAAAAAATTTATGCACCTATGTTTATAGATTAGATAAGTCTATAATTTTCTTTTGCTTTTTGTCCTTGTCAGGCTTTGGTCTTAAGATTATATTACCTATTGGGTACTGTGGTCACTACCTGGCTGACAGGAATCACCCTAAACCTCAGCATCATACAATATACCCTTGTGACAAACCTGCACATGTACTCCTAAATCTAAAATAAAAGTTGAAATTATTTTTTAAATTTTATTTATTTCTCCTGTCTGCTATTTAATCATTTTCTATAAAAGGAATTACCTCTTTTACATAAATTGAGGAAACTTGTCTGAAAAACCACTTCTGTAAGTTCATGTTGTTTGAAAAGTATTTCTATTTAGTTAACATGTTTATTTTCTCAAAATTTTTTCTAAAAGTACCTATTTTGTTTAATTTTTTATGTTTATAGAATTCTGTACATAAAATATTTTTGATTTTTGTTCTTTTTTATCTGAAATGTCTACATTTTTAATATTGTTTATTTGAAGGTTCAAATATATTAGTATAATAGAAAGCAGATACAAAAATAATGTATGCATGCTGTAAAAAGAATATTTATTAAAATTAGCATAATCAGAATTCAGGTTCATATTATATATTCTTATGTCTGAGTCAAAAACAGATTTTAAAAGCGGCTTTTATAAACTGAGATAAATTGTACTCTATTACTAGTAGAATGGAAGGTTAAAAGTGGATATTAGAAGAAAAATCAATTTTACTTTCATTTCTGCATGCATCTATTGTATTTATTCCCTGAAGCAGAGTTTTATAATAGAAAAAGCATGAGCTTTGCTGTTAGATGGACTTGGTTTCAAATTTCAAGCCTGTTCCTTTTTCTTCATATAATCTTGAATAATTCACATAACCTCTCTAGTTCCCTATTTGTAATCATTAGCATACTTAAAATAATACCACCCTGGCAGGGTTACTTTAATAATGATATACGTAAAGCTCCTAA
This sequence comes from Homo sapiens, assembly GCF_000001405.40. Lineage (NCBI taxonomy): Eukaryota > Metazoa > Chordata > Mammalia > Primates > Hominidae > Homo > Homo sapiens. Next base: position 106,165,707 of record NC_000004.12, on the reverse strand, counting down.
TTCAGTGTCTAGTACATAATAAGCACTCCAAAAGAGTAAAAAATCATTATTACAAGTTTAGTAATTAACAGTTAATTTTTTTTACTTTGCAGTCTGCCCAAGAACTTTATGACAGTCTTCTATATCTAAATAATCTGTACAAAGGACATGATGTTCTAGTATTCTGTTTTTCCTCAGCTATGTTAGCTCATTACTATCACTTTACATTTAGAAACCACTATAAAAACAGTGTGGAGAGTAAGGATTAGGGAGGCTGGCTTTTCAAAGAAGGAATCTTTCTGGCAGTTTTACCTCAGTAAATTCAGTTTAAAATTTCACTTTGACCTTTACTTCTTAGTCTTAATACTATTTTCATCCCTAAACTAAAGAATTGCCAAAATAATTATTTCATCTAGTGCCAAAGTCTTTCCCATCAGTTTTCTCTTAAATAGCTAAAACTGCTTGAGAATTCTGACTGAAGTTTATTAATTGAAGAAAATAATAAGTAAAGATATGTAATCTTGGTTAATAGATTGAATGTTTTTGAACGGAATGTATTTTGGGAAAATCTCTACTTAATCTTTGATTTTTTAAAATCTATTTCTTTGTTAAATTTTAATCACATATTTATGACTGGTATTACTTACATGCAGTATGTAAATGAGCAATAATTATTGTTAAGTTCTTTGAATACCTCATTATGAATACATATACTAACCCAAGATTTTATTAAATTAATTTTTTTATTTACATAATGCTAACTGCTTGTATATACTATTACCATAAAAATGATAGCATTTATTGCATTACCTTCAGTTTATAAGGTATGCTTTCAGTATAGATTAAACATGAGTTTACTGTAGATAAAATCTTATTTAAAGCACATTTTTATACTTTTGGTTCAAATAGTTTCCAAAATTCAAATATAAATGCCAGTCTACAAAGTTTCATCTCAATAATAACAACACTACTTTTTAGATTATGAACAGTTTAAAAATAACACCACAGTGCTTTATGATTTTCAGGTACCCAGATACATTATTTTTATCTCCCCCTAAACAAATCTCTGAGATGTTTGATCCCCATTTTAGAGGTAAAGAGACTCAGAAACCTTACTTAATACAAGTTAACTTATAAATTGCCATTTTATCAGTACTGTAAATGTGTTTTTCACTCTTATTTATTGAAACATATATATTAATATATATCATATCCTACTGTACACTTGGCTTTTCAAGCATTTTTTAATTTTTCTCTATTTCTCTAGAAAATACATTAACATATACTCATGCAATCATCTGCATACCTACTCTTAAATAAGAAGAAATCTTTTTACAGTAAGTATAAGGAAAAGTACAATTATGTATCCTTTTTTTTGCTAACATATTGAGGGTAAAATGTTAACCTAAAGGAGAACTAAACACTGTCTGCTGAAATTATTTAGAGCAATAGATGCATTGAAAACAAAAAGGTTAGCTTTGCATCTGTTCTTTTTACTGGTTCAATTCTTCTGCCATTATCTAATGTTCTGTAGGCAATTTTAGAGCTATTATGATAGGCACAATTTTAGTGAAAGATGAAGACTAGAAACCCTGGCAGCTACATGTAGGGGTAAAATGTATCAGCCCTCTAGAAGTTAAGTAGAAGACATTTTATAGAAAATCATATCTTTTGAAATTTGTTTTTCCATAGTAATGTATAATCTTATTCTACCATTGGCCCAAAAAATAAGCAAATAATAATAATAATCCAACATAAGAAAATAAGGGATAGTTGGATTTGGGGATAGGATATCAAAAGACCTTGATTTCCTGGATTAAAATATGAATTTTTCTTTCTATATTCCAAGTGTAGAGAAGAAGAAAGGCAAACAAATTCCCAGACAGAGATTGATATGGTTTGACTGTGTTCCCACCCAAAGTCTGATCTTGAATTGTAGTAATTCCCATGTGTCAAGGACAGGACCAGGTGGAGTAATTGAATAATAGGGGCAATTTCCCCTATACTGTTCTCATAATAGTGAGTGAGTTCTCATAAGATCTGTTGATTTTCTAATGGACTTTCTCCTTTGCTTGGCTCTCATTCTCTTTCTTGCCACCAAGTAAAGAAGGACATGTTTGCTTCCCATTCTACCATGATTGTAAGTTTCCTGAAGCCTGCCAAGCATTGCTGAACTGTGAAACCTCTTTCCTTTATAAATTACCCAGTTTGGGGTATGTCTTTATGAGCAGTATGAGAACAAACTAATATATTAAATAGGTACTGGTACAGTTGGGTGCTGCTATAAGGATACCGAAAATGTGGAAGTGATTTTGGAACTGGATAACAGGCTGAGGTTGGAACAGTTTGGAGGGCTCAGAAGAAGACATGAAAATGTGGGAAAATTTGGAGCTTCCTAGAGACTTGGAATACTCAGAAGACAGGCAGATGTGGGAAAATTTGGAACTCCCTAGAGACTTATTGAATGGCTTTGACCAAAATGCTGATAGTGATATGGATGATGAAGTCCAGGCTGAGATGGTCTCAGATGGAGATGAGGAACTTTTTGGGAACTGGAGTAAAGGTCACGCTTGCTATGCTTTAGCAAAGAAACTGGCAGCATTTTGCCCCTGCCCTGGAAATATGTGGAACTTTGAACTTGAGAGAGATGATTTAGGGTATCTGGCAGAAGAAATTTCCAAGTGGCAAAGTGTCCAAGAGGAAGCAGACCATAAAAGTTTGGAAAATTTGCAGCCTGATAATGTGAAGAAAAGAAAAACCCATTTCCTGGGGAGAAATTCAAGCCAGCTGCAGACATTTGCATAAGTAATGAGGAGCCAAATGCTAATCACCAAAGCAATGGGGAAAATGTCTCCAGGGCATGTCAGAGACCTTCACAGCAGCCTCTCCCATCATAGGCCTGGAGACCTAGGACAGAAAAATGGTTTCCTAGGCTGCTGCTATTCTGTGCAGTGTCAGAACATGTTCGCCTGTGTCCCAGTGACTTCAGCTTCAGCTGTGGCTGAAAGAGGCCAAGGCACAGCTCAGACCCTTGCTTCTAAGGGTGTAAACCCTAAGCCTTGCAGTTTCCCACATGGTGTTTGGCCTGTTGGTGCATAGAAGTCAAAAATCGAGGTTTGAGAACCTCCACCTAGATTTCGGAGGATGTATGGAAATGCCTGGATATCCAGGCAGAATTTTGCTGGAGAGGCAGAGCCCTAACAGAGAACCTCTGCTAAGGCAGTGCAGAAGGGAAATGTTGGGTCAGAACTCCCACACAGAGTCCCCACTGGGGCACTGCCTAGTGGAGCAGTGAGAAGAGGGCCACCATCCTCCAGACCCCAGAATGGTAGATCCACCAACAGCTTGCACTATGCATCTGGAAAAGCTGCAGACAGTCAACACCATCCTATGAAAGCAGTGGAAAGTGGGGCTATATCTTGCAAAGCCACAGAGGCGGGGCTGCCCAAGGCCATGGGTGCCCATCTCTTGCATCAGCATGACCTGGATGTGTGACATGAAGTCAAGGGAGATCATTTTGGAGCTTTAAGATCTGGCTGCCCTGCTGAATTTTGGACTTGCATGAGGCCTGTAGCCCTGTTGTTTTGGCCAATTTCTCCCAATTGGAATGGGTATATTTTTCTATTGCCTGTACCCCCATTGTATCTAGGAAGTAACTAACTTGCTTTTGATTTTACAGTCTCGTAGGTAGAAGAGACTGCTTTGTCTCAGATGAGACTTTGGACTGTGGACTTTTGAGTTAACCCTGAAATAAGGCTTTGGGAGACTGTAGAAAAGGCATAACTGTGGTTTGAAATGTGAGGACATGAGATTTGGGAGTGGCTGGGATGGAAACATGTAATCTAACTTTTAAATAAATGGAATCATAGCATTTGTGTTGTTTCATGTTTCATACTTGCATCCTACAGTTACCATGGCTTCCGGTTATTAGCTCCAGCCCAAACTTCTCTCTTTTTTTGCTTAGCAATATGTCTTGAAAGTCTTCTTACATACACACATACACACACACACACACACACACACACACAGACACACCTAATTCTGGTTAACAAGCTGCAAACCATTCCTTGGTACAGAAATGTTATCATGGTAGTAATACTTAATATTATTTGTATATCTCAAATGCAAATAGCTGAGCTAATAATGTCTCCTTAGTTTACAACACATTACAATTATTGGACTGGGTCAGACACTTTCTCCTATTTCCTTTTACTTCTTTCTTTCTGCCCTGACCCTCACTCCTTGGTCTCTCTGCACAATCATTTATAAAACAGTGGTTTGCAAATGTTGATGTATATTATCCTCTCCAGGAAAGCTAAGAAAAAATGAGGCCCCTCTTGTTTAAAAGATAGGCCCTGAGCCTTTGTGTTTTTAGCTTGTTCTCCGTGAATTCTAATACTGGTTGCTCTAATATAGTTTATATAGGTTTCTGAATATGTACAAACCCTTTTAAGTTAAATATATATGCATTTATTTGTATTTGTAGGGATCTTTTCTAATTTTTTTATTGTGATAAAAATACACACAACGTAAAATTTACCACCTTAACCATTTTAAGTGTACAGTTAGTGGTATTAAATACATTCATAATGTTGTGCAACCATCACCACCATCTATCTCCATAACTCTTTTCATCTTGTAAAACTGCACCTCTGTACCCATTCCATTGTAATTCCTTATTCTCCCCTCCTCTCCACAACCACAATTCTACTTCTGTCTCTATGATTTTGACTACTCTAAGTACCTCATAGAGTTGGAATCATATAGTTTTGGTCAGATTTTTTTTTTCTTCTTAAGGCTAAATAATACCTATTTTGTATATATACCACATTTTGTTTATCCATTCATTCATCAGTAGACACTTGGGTTACTCCCACATTTTAGCGATTGTAAACAATGCTGCTATGAACATGGGTGTATAAATATCTCTTCAAGATTCTGGTTTCAGTTCCTTTTGGCATATATCCAAAAGTGGAATTTCAGGATCATATGTTATCTATCTTTAGTTTTTTGAGGAACTGCCATACTGTTTTCTACAGCAGCTGTATCAGTTTACATTTTTACCAACAGTGTGCAAGGGTTGGTTTCAGTTTCTTCTCAAACTTGCGAACACTTTTCTATTTTGATTTTTTTTCTTTTTTTCTTCTTTTTTTTGAATAATAAATGTGCAGTGGAATCTCATTGTAGTTTTGATTTATATTTCCCTGATGATTAGTGATAGTGAGCATCTTTTCATGTACTTCTTAGCCATTTGTATATCTTCTCTGGAGAAATGCCCTATTCAAGGTCTTTTGAGTTGTTTCTTTTTTTGTTGAGTTTTAGGAGTTCTCTATATATTCTCAATATTATTCTCATATTAAATATATGATTTGCAAATATTTCATTCTGTAGGTTGCCATTTTACTCTGTTGAGTGTCTTTTGATGCACAAAATATTTTATTTCACAAAGTTCAATTTGACTGTTTTTTCTCTGTCACCTAGGGCTTTGGTGTCATCTCCTAGAAATCAAGTGCCAACTCCAGTATCATGAAGCTTTTGCCCTATGTTTTCTTCTAAGAGTCTTAAAGTTTTTGGCCATACATTTAAGTCTTTGATTTATTTTGATTTAATTTTTGTATATGTTATTAGGTGAGAGTTCAGCTTCATTCTTTTGCATGGAGATATACAGTTTTTCCAGAAACATCTGCTGAAAAGACTGTTCTTTACCCCACTGAATGGTCTTAGCTACCCTTCTCAGAACTTATTTGACCATATATAGGAGGGTTTATTTCTAGCTCTAGTCTGTTGGTCTATATGTCTGTCTGCCTTTATGCCAGTATCATACTGTTTTATTACAATAGTTTTGAAATAAATTTTGCAATCAGGAAGTCTGAGTCTTCTGGCTTTGTTCTTTCTTTTCAAGATTGTTTTGTCTATTTTAGGTCTCTTGAGATTCCATATGAATTTTGGGATAGGTCTTTCTATTTCTGCTAAAAACATCATTGATACTTTGATAAGAATGTGTTGAATCTGTAGGTGGCTTTGAGTAATATTGATATCTTAACAATATTATATCTTTCAATCCATAAACGTGGCTTGTGTTTTCATTTATTTATGTCTTTCTAAATTTCTTTCAGCATTCTTTTGTTGTTTTCATTGCACAAGTCTTTCACCTCCCTGGTTAATTCCTAAGTATTTTATTCCTTTTGATGCTATTGTAAATCAAATTGTCTTCATTAATTCCTTTTCTGATTGTTCATTGTTAGTATATAGAAATACAACTGATTTTTGTCTATTTTTTTCTGTATCCTGCTACTTTGTTGAATTCCATTATTAGTTCTAACAGTGTTTTGTGTAATGTTTAGGGTATTTTTTAGATATAAGATCACATCATCTGCAAACAGATTATTTACTTCTTACTTTTCAGTGGATGGCTTTTCTTTTTCTTGCCTAATTTCTCCAGCTAGGACTTCCAGTACTATGTTGAAAATACATCCCAAAAGCAGGCATCCTTGTTTATTCATTATGTCAGAGGAAAAGCTCTCAGCCTTTCACCATTGAGCATGTTTTCTGTGGGTTTTTCATATATGACTTTTATTGTGTTGAGGAAGTTTCCTTCTATTCCTAGTTATTAAATGTTTTTATCATGAAACAGTTTGATTTTGTTCTTTTTTTGGTATCAATTTAGATGATCATGTGGTTGTTTTTTTTTTTTCTCTCCATTCTGTTAATGTAATGTATCATATGGATTGATTTTCCTGTGGCGAAACATCCTTGCATTCTAGGAATAAATCCCAATTGATCATGCTGTATAATTTTAATATGCTTTTGAATTCAGTTTGCTACTATTTTGTTGAAGATTGTTGTTTCAATATTCTTAAGGGACATTTGTCTTTAGTATTCCGTTTTTGCAGTGTCTTTGTATGGCTTTGGAATCAGGGTAATGCTGGGCTTACACAATGAGTTAGGAAGTATTCCACCCTCTTCAGCTTTTTAGAAAAGTTTGAGAAGGATTTGTGTTCTTTAGATATTTGGTAGAATTCACCAGTTAAGCCATCAGATCTAGGACTTTTCTTTCTTAGGAGATTTTTTATTACTGATTCAATTTCCCTGCTAGTACTAGATCTAGTTAGATTTTTTAACTCTTTCTGATTTTAGTCTTGGTAAGCTTTGTGTTTCTAAGAACTTAACTACTTCATTTAGGTTAGTAGCTTCATTTTTGACTCCTGCCTTACCTTCCAAATTTAGTCAATCAAAAACTTTTGTTTATTAATCTGTATACTTCTCTCCAATTCTGCTGACAATATTTTACTCATGTTCACCATGATTACAGGCATGTGCTACCACACCCGGCTAATTTTGTATTTTTAGTAGAAGCAGGGTTTTACCATGTTGGCCAGGCTGGTCTCGAACTCCTGACCTCAGGTGATCCACAACCTCCCAAAGTGCTGGGATTATGGGCATGAGCCACCACGCCCGGCCTGTTGTACAATTTTCTGACTGGTCTCTCTGCATCCATTCTCATTTATCTTTAATCCATTTTTCAGACTTCAGCTACCATAATCTTTTTTAATCAAAATGTTTACCAAGACTCTTATTATTATACTGACAATAAAATTCAAACTTCTAACATGGTCTAAAAGTCCCAATGTAATATTTCCCTTGACAACTTTACCAAGATTTTCTGTCAGTATTGTTCCCTCTAATTTTTCTATGCTGTAGCACAGAAATTAGATTTCGTTCAGTTTTAGGTATACCCTATACATACTTCTGCTTTAAGGCCTCTATGTCTGCCTTCATCTTCTCTTTTAACATAAATTCCTAAAGATCAAGAACTGTATCATAGATTCTTAAATGAAATGATAGGGAGGGGGCAAAGTAAGATGGCCAAATTGAAGTCTTCACCGAGCATGTCTTCTGCACAGACACCAATTTAACAACTGTCTACACAAGCAAAGCACCTTCATAAGAACCAAAAACTAGATGAGCACTCACAGTACCTGGTTTTAACTTCATGTCACTGAAAAAGGCACTGAGGAGGGTAGAAACAGTCTTGAATCACCAATACCACCCCTTGCCCACCCCCCAGCAGGAATTGTGACATTGCATTGAACTCAGTGATATCCTGTTACAGCAGAATGCAAAACCAGGCTGCACTTAGCTAATGCCCACCCTCAGAGAAGATATTTAAACCAACTCTAGCCAGAGGGGAATTGCCCATCCCAGTGGTCCAAACTTCAGTTCTGGCAAGCCTTATCACCCTGGGCTAAAGTGTTCTGGGGCTCTAAATAAACTTCAAAGGCAGTGTAGGCCACAAGGACTGCAACTCTTGGGGAGTCCTAGTGCTTAACTTAGATTAAAGTGAGTGGACTAAGGAGGCACGTAACCTGTTGAGACACAGCCAGAGTGGCTAAGAGAGTACTTGCACCACCCCTACCCCAAACCCAGGCTGCACAGCATGGGGCTCCAAAAAAGACACCTTCTTTCCACTTAAGGAGAGGAGGGAGAAGAATAAAGAGGTCTCTGTCTTACATCTTGGAAACCAGCTCATCCACAGTAGGATAGAATACCAGTCAGAGTCATGAATCCCCCTTTCCAGGACCTAGCTCCCAGACATTTCTAGACACACCCTGGGCCAGAAGGGAACCTGCTGCCTTGAAGGGAAGGACTCAGTCCTGGCAGGACCCATCAACTACTGAATAAAGTGCCCTTGGGCCCTGAATAACCAGTAGAAATACCCAGGTAGTATGCCACTCTGAGACTTGCTGGCTTCAGGTGAAACTCAGCACATTACTAGCTATGATGGCTATGGGGAGAGACTATGATTGAGAACATTAGAGGGAAAAGTAAGGGAGCTTTGTCTTACACCTTAGGTACCAACTCAGCCACAGGGAAGTAGAGTACCAAGCAGGCTCTTGTGGCCCCCAATTCCAGGACTTGGCTCTTGGACAGCATTTCTGGACCTGCCGTGGGCCAAAGGGAAACTACACTGAAGAGTGAGTCCCAGGCCAGGCAGCATTCACCACAAGCTCGATGAAGAGCTCCTGGGCCTTAAGAGAACATCAGCAGTAGCCTAGCAATACTCTCCATGGGTTTGTGATGGTGGTCATAGGGTGAGGCCCTTCTGCCTATGGAAAGCAGAGGGAAGAATGGGAAATACTGTGTCTCATGATTTGAGTGCCAGCTTAGCCACAGTACAATAGAACACTAGGCACACTTCTAAGGTTTTTGACATAAGTCCCTGGCTCGCAGATGGCACCTCTGGACCTGCCTGGAGGAACTTCTGCCCTGAAGGGAAGGAAAAACCCTGGCTGGCTTTACCACCTAATGATTGTACAGTCCCAGGACCTTGAGTGAACACAGGCAGTAGCCATGATAGTAGTTATGACAGCAAGCCTTGGGCGAGACCCAGTGCTATGCTGGCTTTCAGTCTGATTCAGTGTGGTACCAGTGGTGGTGGCCACAAAGATGCTTGTGTCACACCACCCCAAGCTCTAGGTGGCTCAGAATAGAGAGAAAGAGGCTCTATTTTTTTTTAGGAGAAAGTAAGGGGAAAGAACAACAGTCTCTGCAGAGAATTCTGGATCTTATCTAAGACCATGAACGCAGTACCTCTACAAGTCTGCAAGAACAATAGTGTTACTGGGTTTGGGGTGTCCGTTAATACAGATATAGCTTAGATCACAACACTCAAGTCTTCTGAGTACCTGAAAAGCCTTGCAGGAAATACAGGTTCAAATTAGCCCAGACTGTGAAGACTACAATAAATACCTAACTCTTCAATGTCCAGACACAGATGAACATCCACACACATTAAGATCATCCAGGAAAGCATGACCTCACTAAATGAACTAAATAAGCCACCAGGGACCAATCCTGGAGAAACGGAGATATGTGACCTTTTAGACTCGAAATTCAAACTAGCTGTTTTAGGAAACTCAAAGAAATTCAAGATGACACAGAGAAGGAATTCAGAATTCTACCAGATAAATTTCATAAGAGATTGAAATAATTAAAGAGAAACAAGCAGGAATTCTATACTTGAAAAAGTGCAATTGGCATACTGAAGAATGCATCACAGTCCTCTAATAGAATGTATCAAGCAGAAGGAGTTAGTGAGCTTGAAGACAGGCCGTTTGAAAATACACAGTCAGAGGAGACAAAAGAGAAAAGAATAAAAAACAATGAAGCATACCTATAGGGTCTAGGAAATAGCTTCAAAAGGTCAAATCTAAGAGTTACTGGACTTAAAGAGGAGAGAGAAACACAGATAGGGATAGAAAGTTATTACCCCTTTGAATAAAAAGGATGTTAATGAGTGATAATTATTACAGAGAACTTCCCAAATGTAGAGAAAGATATCAATATTCAAGTACAAGAAGATTATAGAACATCTAGCACATTTGATTCAAAGAAGACTACCTCAAGGCATTTAATAATTAAACTCTGAAAGGTCAAAGATAAAGAAAGGATCCTAAAAGGATAAAAGAAACAAATAACATACAATGGAACTCTTATATGTCCGGCAGCAGACTTTTCAGTGGAAACCTCACAGGTCATGAGAGAGTGGCATGACATATTTAAAGTGCTGAAAAAAAAAAAAATTTTACCCTAGAATAGTGTATCCTCCAAAAATGTCATTAAAACATGAATGAGAAATAAAACTTCCCAGACAAACAAAAAGTGAAGGATTTCATCAATACCAGACCTATCCTACAAGTGCTAAAGGCAGTACTTCAAACAAAAAGAAAAGACTTTTAATGAGTAATAGATTATCTGAGGGTTAAAAAAAAAAACTCACTAGTAATAGTACACAGAAAAACACAGAATATTATCACACTGTGACTCTGGTGTGTAAACTACTCTTATACTAACTAGGAAGACAAAATGATGACCCAATCACAAATAATGTATTTGCCCATTCTCAAACTGCTATAACTGTAATAAAATACCTGAGACTGGGTAATTTATAAAGAAAAGAAATTTAATTGACTCACAGTTCCACTGTACAGGAAGCAAGGCAGCACCTGTCTGCCTTTGCGGAGGCCTCAAGGAAATTTTTCTCATGGCAGAAGGCAAAGTGATAGCAGGCATCTTACGTGGCAGAAACAGGAATAAGAGAGGGGGGAGATGCTACATACTTTACACAAGAACTCACTATTGCGACGACAACACCAAGGACGGTGGTGTTAAGCCATGAGAAATGACTCCCATGATCCAATCACCTCTCACCAGGCCCCACATCCAATATTGAGAATTACAATTTGACATGAGATTTGGGTGGAGAGACATGTCCAAATCATGTCAAATAATAACTACAACAACATTTCAAGACATTGACAGTACTTTAAGATATAAACAGGAAAAACAAAAAGCTAAAAAGTAGGGGAACTAAGTGTAGAGTTTTAATTTTCTTTTTGCTTGTTCATTTGTTCTATGCAAACAGTGTTAATATTATCAGCTTAAAATAATGGATTATAATATATTATTTGAAAGCCTCATGGTAACGTCAAATCAAAAAACACACCACAGATACATAAAAAATAAAAAGAAATTAAATCATATCACAATAGAAAATCCCCTTCACTAAAAGGAAGACAGGAAGGAAGGAAAGAAGGAAGAGAATATCTCAAAACAACCAGAAATCAAATAACAAAATGGCAGGGGTAAGTTCTTATCAATAATACTGAAAGTAAATGGAATAAACTCCTTAATGAAAAGATATAGAATGGTTGAATGGATTAAAAAAGCAAGACCTAATGATCTGTTTGTTACCTACAAGAAACACACTTCACCTATAAAGACACATGTTGACTAAAAATAAGGGGATGGAAAAAGATATTGCATGCCAATGGAAACCAAAAAAGAGCTGGAGTAGCTATATTTACATCAGACAAAATAGAATTCAAGGAAAAAAAAAACTCTAAGAAGAGACGAAGAAAGTCATTATATAATGGTAAATGGGTCAGTTCAGCAAGAGGATATATAAGCAGTGTAAACATATATGAATTCAGTACTGGAGTACCCAACTTATTAGCACTAAAGAGAGAGATGGAACCCATACAATAAAACCTGGAGACTTCAACACTCTTGTTTCAGCACTGGATACATCTTCCAGACAGAAAATCATCAAAGAAGCATTGAACTTAACCTGCATTATAGACCAAATGGACCAAATTTACAGAACATTTCATTCAACAGCCACAGAATACATATTAATTTCCTCATCACATGGATTATTCTGAGATAGACCATATGTTCTCTATCCAGAGATAGACCATATGTTTAAGACAAAGCAAATCTTAAAACATTCAGAAAATCGAAATAATATCAAGCATGTTCTCTGACCACATGGAATAAAACTAGAAATCAATTACAAGAGAAATTTATGCAAACACATGGAAATTAAACAGCATGCTCTTCAATGACTAGTAGGTCAATGAAGAAATCAAGAAGGAAATTGAAAATTATTTGGAAATGAATTATAATGGCGACACAACATAAAACCTATGAAGTACAGCAAAAACAGTACTGAGGGAAGTTAATAGCTATAAGTGCCTACATCAAAAAAGAAGAAAAACATCAAATAAATAACCTAATGATGCATCTTAAAGAATTAGTAAAATGAGCAAACCAAACCCAAAATTACTAGAAGAAAAGAATAAGGAAAAGAGCAAAAATAAATTAATTTGAAATGAAGAAAACAGTACAGAAGATCAATGAAACAAAGAGTTGGTTTTTTTGAAAAGTTAAACAAAATTAACAAATGTTTAGCCAGACTAACCAAAAAACGAGAAGATCCAAATAAACAGAGATTTAAAAGGAGACATTACTACTGTTATTGCAGAAATTCAAAGGATTAGCAGCTGCTGCGAGCAACTATATGCCAATAAATTGGAAAATCTAGAAGAGGTGGACAAATGCCTAGATACATACAACCTACCAAGATTGAACCATGATGAAGTCCAAAATCTGAATAGATCAACAACAAGTAATGAGAGTGAAGCCATAATAAAAATTCTACCAGCAAAGAAATGACAGGACCCAGTGGCCTCACGTCTTAATTCTATCAAACATTTAAAGAGAACGTGTACCAATTCTATTCAGACTATTCTGAAAAATAGTGGAGGGAAGATTTCCAAACTTATTCTATGAGGCCAGTATTACCCTGATACCAAAACCAGATAAACACAAATCAAAAAAAGAAAACTGTAGGCCAATATTACAGATGAATGTTGATGCAAAAATTCTCAAAAAAAATTTAGCAAACCAAATTTAACAACACATTGAAAAGATCATTCATCATGACCAAGTGGGATTTATCCCTGGAATGTAACGATGGTTCAATATATGCAAATCAATTAATGTGTTATGTCATATCAATAGAATAAGGTACAAAAACCATATGAACATTTCAATTGATACTGGAAACACATTTGATAAAATTTAACATCTTTTTATGATTAAAAAACCCTCACAAAACTGGGTTTAGAAGGAACATACCTCAGGACAATAAAAACCATACATGACGGACCATAATGAGCATGATGTTGAATGGGGAAAAACTGAAAGCCTTTCCTCTAAGATCAAGAATGTAACAAGCATGGCCCACTTTAACTACTGTTATTCATCACACTACTGGAAGTACTAGCCAGAGCAATTAGACAAAGAGAAAAATAAAGGGCATCTAGATTAGAAAGAAAGAAGTCAAATTATCCTTGTTTGAAGATGACATGATCTTTTATTTGGAAAAACCTAAAGACTCCATAAAAAACAGTATTAGAAGTGATAAATTCAGCAAAGTTGCAGGGTAAAAAGCAACATATATAAAAATCAGAAGCATTTTTATATGCTAACCACAAACAATCTGAAGAAGAAACCAGGAAAGTAATCCCACTTACAATAGCTACAAATAAAACAAAATACTTAGGAATTAACCAAAGAAGTGAAAGACCTCTACAGTGAAAACTATGAAACATTAATACAAGAAATTGAAGAGGATACAAAAAAAGGAAAGAGATTCCATGTTCATGGGTTGAAAAAATTAATATTGTTAAGATGTCCATGCAACGCAAAACAATCTACAGATTTAATGCAATCCCTATTAAAATGCTGATGGCATTCTTCACAGAAATAGAAGAAACAATTCTAAAATTGTTTAGAATTGGTTGTTATATGCAACCACAAAAGACCATAAAGAAGAATGACATTCTGTCATTTGCGACAACACAGATGGAACTGGAGGACATTATTTTCAATAAAATAAGTCAAGCACAAAAAGACAGACTTTGTGTGTTCTCACTTATTTGTGGGTGATAAAAATTAAAATAAATTGAACTCATGGATATAGAGAGTACAAGGATTGTTACCAGAGGCTGGGAAGGGTAGTGGGGGTGGGGTGTGTGTTGAGAATTGGGAATGGTTAATTGGTACAAAAAAATAGTTCAAAAGAATGAATAAGACCTAGTATTTGCTGGTGCACAGGGTGATTATAATCAAAAGTAATGTAATTGTACATTTTAAAATAACTAGAAGTGTATAATTAGATTTTTTGTAACACAAAGGATAAATGCTTGAGATGATGGACTCCCATTAACCTGGATGGAATTATTATTATGCATTGCATGCTTATATCAAAATATCTCATGTAATGCATAAATATATTTACGTACTATGGACTCACAAAAATTAAAAAATGAAAAATAAAAAATAAAAGTTTTGAAAAGCAAACATACATACATAAAAACCTACCTTTCTTTCTTCACTGGTAACTTATGGGTGCATTAAGGAAAGGACTGTTCTTATCATTGGACCCTCAGAGCTTAATTCAAAGCTCTGAGAAATAGTATGTTCTCAATATATTTGTATTTATTTGATGTAGTTACTACAAAAAAGGTTATACTAGTGTTAACTCTCATTTCAACAAAGCATTCAGTTAATTTAGTCACAGTTCCTTATTCATCAACTATGCTAGCTCTTTCTACTTTGTCTTCATGGCATGGATTATAATTACATACTTATCTTTGTGTTTCTTTTATCATTTATTCCACATCCAGGCACAGGGGAGAGATTGGATCTTGTTCACCCCTGTACCCCCAGTGCTTATCTTAGCCCCTAGCATATAGTTGGTATTGAATAATTTTTTTAGTGAATTAACAGAAAGTTCATTCCAGCTAATGTTTTACTCTATTTTCTGTAAAGCAATGTATCTGAAAAATGGTCCTCAAAAATCTTCTATAATAGTTGTTGAAAGTGCATTTTTAGGACTCGATGCACACATCATATCTACTAAATCAGTGATTGAGGGGTATCTCCTGTAACTTATGTTTTTACTAAAGTCCCTATGTGTTGCTTAACAACATGTGCATACAGGGTTCTCACAACTCATATCTTTGTAACTAAACAAATGATTATTCATATGGGGGAAAATATCTCAATAAGGCATTCATATTTGTGATCATAGTGTTATTTTTGTGCTTTTGTGTGTATTTTTATACTAGTCTACTTGTTTTATTGTTATTATTCTAACCTTTTGCCGCAAGTTAACTTTTTCTTCATGAACAAAAGCAACAGCCCTTTTCACTATTCAACAATCTCAGCCTACTCACTCTCTAAGCCTCTCTTTTTATTTTTACTGCCAAAGGGCAACTCTCTTTTAATTCTGTCTCCCTGACTCCCCCACTCTTCTTACGCCATTTTGTGAAAGCAGTTTCTAAACAGGAACAACAGAATTTCTAAAGTCATTCATGTGGAAATAAATTAGAGTGAGAAATCTATCCAGGACTCAAAAAAGTTACATTCCCTGCTTTATGTTTTCTTTCTTGAAATCAGTAAAAGGTAAACCCATTACTTCAACTTAGAAGATATGCAGTAAAGGCACACTTGAGTTTGTTTTGCTTCTCATCACTGCACTTTCACTGTTATTGCTGTTTTATACAAATTAAAAGTTGGTAGTACCCTTGTATCATGCAAGTCTAATGGAGCCATTTTTCTAACAATATGTGCCCACTTTGTGTCTTTGTGTCATACTTTGGTAATTCTTGCAATATTTCAAACTTTTTCATTATTATTATATCTGTTACGGTGATCTGTGATCAGTGCTCTTTGATGTTGCTATTGTACTTGTTTTGGTGCACCACAAACGGAGCCCATTTAAAATGGCAAACTTAAGTGATAAATATGTGCGTTCTCATTGCTCCCCCAACCAGCCATTCCTCCATTTTTCTCCCTCTTCATGTGTCTCCCTATTCCTTGAGAAACAAAGATATTGAAATTAGATCAATTAGTAGCCCTATAATGGACTCAAAGTGTTCAAGTGAAAGGAAGAATCACACATCTCTTACTTTAAATCAAAAGCTAGAAATGATTAAGCTTAGTGAGGAAGGCATGTCAAAAGCCAAGATAGCCCAAAAGCTAGACTTCTTCTACCAGTTAGGCAAATTGTGATGCAAAGGAAAAATTCTTAAAGGAAATTAAAAATGCTACTCGAGTGAACAACAGATGATAAGAAAGCAAAGCAGACTTCCTGCTGATATGGAGAAAGTTTTAGTGGTCTGGATAGAAGATTGAGTCAGCCACAACATTCCCTTAAGCCAAAGCCTAATCCAGAGCAAAGCCCTAACTCTCTTTGGTTCTGTAAGGCCATGAGAGATCAGGAAGGTACAGAAGAAAAGTTGGAAGCTAGCAGAGGTTGGTTCATAAGATTTAAGAAAAGAACTGTCTTCAAAACGTAAAAGTACAGGGTGAAGCAGCAAGTACTGGTGGAGAAGCTGAAGGAAGTAATCCCAAAATCTAGCAACTATACAGCAGATTTTCAATGTAGACGAAGCAGCCTTCAGTTGGAAGAAGATACCATCTAGGGCTTTCATAGCTAGAGAGAAGAGATCAATGCCTGGCTTCAAGGCTTCAAAGCTTCAAAAGATAGGCTGACTCTCCTGTTAGGGGCTGATATAGATGGTGACTTTCAGTTGAAGCTAATACTCATTGACCATTCCAAAATCCTAGGGCTCTTAAGAATTATACTAAATCTACTCTGCCTGTGTTCTATAAATGGAACAACCAAGTCTGGATGACAGCACACCTGTTTACAGTGTGGTTTACTAAATATTTTAAGCTCACTATTTAGACCTACTGCTCAGGGAAAAAGATTTCTTTCAAAATATTACTGCTCATTATAACAGTGCACCTCATCACCCAAGAGCTCTGATGGATATGTACAGGAAAATAAATATTGTCTTCATGAATGATAACATAATATATTGGGGAACCTGCCCTGATAGTCATGTAGGTTCTTTTCTATTTTCCCTAAGCGTCAGCTGGTTTGAGAAATAAAGGGACAGAGTACAAAAGAGAGAAATTTTAAAGCTGGGCATCCGGGGGAGACATCACATGTCGATAGGTTCCGTGATGCCCCACAAGCCGCAAAACCAGCAAGTTTTTATTAGGGACTTTCAAAAGGGGAGGGAGTGTGCGAATAGGTGTGGGTCACAGAGATCACGTACTCCACAAGGTAATAGAATATCACAAGGCAAATGGAGGCAGGGTGAGATCACAGGACCACAGGACTGGGGTGAAATTAAAATTGCTAATGAAGTTTCGGGCACCATTGTCATTGATAACATCTTATCAGGAGACAGGTTTTGAGAGCAACTGGTCTGACCAAAATTTATTAGGTGGGAATTTCCTCTTGCTAATATGCCTGGGAGCGCTATGGGAGACTGGGGTATATTTCACCCCTACAGCCTCGACCATAGAAGATGGCCACGCCCAGGGGGGCCAGTTCAGAGGCCCACCCCCAGGCGCATGTTCTCTTTCCCAGGGATGTTCCTTGCTGAGAAAAAGAATTCAGCAATATTTCTCCCATTTGCTTTTGAAAGAAGAGAAATATGACTCTGTTCTGCCTGGCTCACTGGTGGTCAGAGTTTAAGGTTATCTCTCTTGTTTCCTAAACATTGCTGTTATCCTGTTCTTTTTTCAAGGTGCCCAGATTTCATATTGTTTAAACACACATGCTCTACAATTTATGCAGTTAATGCAATTATCACAGGGTCCTGAGGGGACATACATCCTCCTCGGCTTATGAGATGACAGGATTAAGAGATTAAAGTAAAGACAGGCATAGGAAATCACAAGGGTACTGATTGGGGAAGTGATAAGTGTCCATGAAATCTTCACAATTTATGTTTAGAGATTGCAGTAAAGACAGGCATAAGAAATTTTGAAAGTATTAATTTGGGGAACTAATAAATGTCCATGAAATCTTCACAATCCACGTTCTTCTGCCATGGCTTCAGCCGGTCCCTCTGTTTGGGGTCCCTGACTTCCCGCAACAATAATATCCATTCTCCAGTGCATGGATGAAGCAATCATTTCAACTTTCAAGTCTTACTTTTTAAGAAATACATTTTGTAAGGCCATAGCTGCCATAGATAGTGACTTCTCTGATCAATCTGGGCAAAGTAAATTGAAATCCCCTGGAAAGGATCCACCATTCTAGATGCCTTTCAGAACAGTTGTGATTCATGGAAGGAGATCACAATATCAATATGAAAAGGTGTTTGTAAGAAGTTGATTCCAACCCTCATTGATAACTTTGAGGAGTTCAAGACTTCACTGAGGTAGTGATTGCAGATGTGGTAGAAATAGAGAACTAGAATTAGAACTGGAATGTGAGATGTGACTGAGTAGCTGTAATCTCATGGTAAAACTTGAATGGATGAGGAGTTGCTTCTTAAGAATGAGCAAAAAAAGTTTCTTAGAATGGAATCTACTCCTGGTACAGATGCTGTGAGCATTGTTGGAATGATAACAATGCATTTAGAATATTATGTAAACTTATTTGATAAAGCAACAGCAAGGTTTGAGAGGAGTGAATATGGAGAGAAGTTCTTTTGTGGGTGAAATGCTATCAAATGGCATTGCATGCTACAGAGAAATCTTTTGTGAAAGGAAGAGTCCATTGATGCAGCAAACTTCACTGTTGTCTTATTTTAAGAAGCTGCCGTAGCCACAGCCACCTCAGCCTTCAGCAACCATTACTTTGATTAGTTAAAAGTCCTCAACATTGAGGCAAGACCGTCCACCAGCAAAAAGATTATGACTTGCTGGGGGCTTAGATGACCGTTAGCATATTTTAGCAATAAAGTATTTTTTAACTATTATTTTAGGTTTGGGGATACATGTGAAGATTTGTTACATAGATAAACACGTGTCACAGGGGTTTATACATATTATTACATCACCCAGGTATTGAGCTCAGTACCCAATAGTTACCTTTTTTGTTCTTCTCTCTCTTTCCACTCTCCCTCCTCAAGTAGACCCCAGTGTCTGTTTCCTTCTTTGTGTTCATATGTTCTTATCATTTAGCTCCCACTTATAAGAGAACATGCAGTATTTGGTTTTCTGTTTCTGCATTAGTTTGCTGAGGATAATAGCCTTCAGCTCCATCCATGTTCCCATAAAAGACATGATCTCATTCTTTTTTGTGGCTGCATAGTATTCCATGTATATGTATATGTATTACATGTATATGTATATGTATATGTATTACATGTATATGTATATGTACCACATTTTCTTTATCCAGTCTGTCATTGATGGGCACTTAGGCTGATTCTAGGTCTTTGCTATTATGAACAGTGCTGCAGTGAACATTTGCATGCATGTGTCTTTATGGTAGAACGATTTATATTCTTCTGGGTATATACTCAGTAATGGGATGGCTGGGTTGAATGGGAGCTCTGCTTTTAGCTCTTTGAGGAATCACCCTACTGCTTTCCACAATGGTTGGACTCATTTTTACTCCCACAAACAGTGTGTAAGTGTTCCCTTTTCTCTACAACCTTGCCAGCATCTGTTTTTTTGACTTTTTAGTAATCGCCATTCTGACTGGT
Organism: Homo sapiens; assembly: GCF_000001405.40. Taxonomy (NCBI): domain Eukaryota; kingdom Metazoa; phylum Chordata; class Mammalia; order Primates; family Hominidae; genus Homo; species Homo sapiens. The sequence goes on along the minus strand of NC_000004.12, from coordinate 106,145,857 downwards.
GTGAGATGGTATCTCATTGTGGTTTTGATTTGCATTTCTCTAATGATCAGTGATATTAAGATTTGCTTCATATGCTTATTGGCTACATATGTGTCTTGTTTTGAAAAATATCTGTTCATGTCTATAAGGAACTTAAACAAATTTACAAGAGAAAAACAACCCCATTAAAAAAGTGGGCAAAGGACATGAACAGACACTTCTCAAGAGAAGACATACATTATCTTCTTCTAGATCATGTTTTCGCACATCTAATAGATTATAGTATAAACAACTTCTATATGTACTGGGAAATCAAAAAAATTAAGTCCCTAATTTTACTGCAATATTCACTTTTTTGTCATGGTTTAGGACTGAACCCTCCATATCTCCAAGGTAGGCTTGTTGTAATTACATGGTGTTAATATGTGAATATGTGTGAGCATGAGTATAAACACAGTTGTTATATGCCATGGAAAGCACCACAAATTGAAATGTTCTTTCTCCTGAAAACTTAAAAATATGAACAAGTTTTTTTGTTTTGTTTTGTGGTGTTGCTGTTTCTGAGATGGAGTCTCACTGTCTCACCAGGCTGGAGTGCAGTGGTGTGATCTTGGCTCACTGCAACCTCCACCTCCTGGGTTCAAGCAATTCTCCTGCCTCAGCCTCACAAGTAGCTGGGACTACAGGCTCACGCGACCACTCCCAGCTAATTTTTGTCTTTTTAGTAGAGACGAGGTTTCACCATGTTGGCCAGGATGGTCTCAATCTCTTGATTTCCTGATCTGCCCCCCTAGGCCTCCCAAAGTGCTGGGATTACAGGCATAAGCCACCGCACCTGGCCTTTTTTTTTTTTTTTTTGACACGGAGTTTCACTCTTGTTGCCCAGGCTGGAGTGCAGTAGCGATCTCAGCTCCCTGCAACCTCCGCCTCCCAGTTCAAGCGATTTTCCTGCCTCAGCCACCTGAGTAGCTGGGATTATGGGCGTATACCACCATGCCTGGCTAATTTTGTATTTTTAGTAGAGACGGGGTTTCTCCATGATGGTCAGGCTGGTCTCGAACTCCCAACCTCAGGTGATCCACCTGTCTCGGTCTCCCAAAGTGCTGGGATTACAGGCGTGAGCCACCATGCCCAGCCCAAAAAAATATGAACAAGTTAGAGGAGAAATGTAAAGAAGCAAGAGAAAATATTGCTTGAGATTAAGGAAAAGCCAAAAGAAAGATAATCATTTTTTTAAAAAGAACAGACTTACTTTTCCTTTTGTCCCTCTCATAATTTTAAAAGAATTTTGACTTAAGTTTTATTCATTCAGCATTTATTGTACACCTACCATGTGCCAGGCACTTTTCAACACTTCAGCTTGTGAAGGGCTTTGCAATTACAGAGAGGTCTTCAGAGACCCCATTTCATAGTAGCATGGACTGCATCTTTTCCAATTACCTTGGTAATTGAGGGTACATGAGGAGAGGTGTCTGGGAACATATCCTCAATTCAGACAAAGGAGAATAAGTTGAGCAATGCCCCTGCCATGCCCCCTACAACTGTGCTGTTTATTTTCCAGACTCAACTTACTCAACTTTTATTCGAAACAGAGCTCTTCAATTTACAGTTAACAAGATTTTTATCATTTTATATCAATTTCCTTTCCCACAGTATATCAGTTCCAAATTTGGGACATAATTTAATTCAAACACCAGAAAGTAAAGGCAGGATTTTTAAAAAATGTATTAGATTGTTTGGAAGGGTATACTAAGTCAATAGTTGTCTGAAATCCTTTATGGAAAGAGGCAGAGTATAAATAAGTAAGTGTAACACAGTAACTTAAGGATAAGTCTCTATTTCCTGGTCCAGAAACTGTTAATTAGCGATGCATGGTTACCATTTCTTTTACTCAGTGATTCTTCATATGTTAGGTTGGTGCAAGAGTAATTGCGGGTTTTGCCTTTACTTTTTTTTTTTTTTTTTAGACAGAGTTTCGCTCTTGTTGCCCGGGATGAAGTGCAATGGCACAGTCTCGGCTCACTGCAACCTCTGCCTCCTGGGTTCAAGCGATTCTCCTGCCTCAGCCTCCCGAATAGCTGGGATTGCAGGTGTGCACCACCATGCCCGGCTAATTTTGTATTTTTAGTAGAGACGAGCTTTCACCATGTTGGTCAAGCTGGTCATGAACTCCTGACCTCAGGTGGTCCGCCCGCCTTGGCCTCCCAAAGTGCTGGGATTACAGGGGTGAGCCACGGCACCCGGCCTGCCTTTACTTTTAATGACAAAGACTGCAGTCCCTCTTGCACCAACCTAAATATTTCTGATTTTAAAAATCAAATTTTTTTTCACTGCAGCAGTCTGAAGCTTAGAAAATAGAAAATTTACATGGTAATTTGCCACTATATTTAAAGACATTTACTATTTTCCTTTTTTGTGACATTATCTTCGGGAAATCATAATTTGTACTCGTATAGTAAAAATGTTTTCTTCCTCTAAGTTATAGAAATCTCTGGGTTTTCTCATCCTAAATCATCAAATGAGTAAATGCCACTTTTCTCAATGTAGAAATTGAAGTATGCACAAGTGTCTTCTGAATTGAGCAGTGCCCTGTAAGCACAACAAGTGAAAAAGGGGCAGGAAAAACACCCAGAGCCAGATAAGAGTTGCACTAGAGTATTTCTAGAATATATTGTATTGAGGAAGATTTGGGGTTTTTTGGTGGGTTGTGGGGAAGAAAAGAAAGAGATATTTAGAAATTTGGGGTAGAAGAATGTTGGGATGGATTTCTTGATGAGAAACACAAAAGAAGAAAATAAATATGAATTATTGTTATCGTTGGTAAAAATAACATTGTCATGATATAGGATATAGTATTTCACTTAGGATTGTCCCAAGCTAGTAGCTGAACTGATTTGAAACAAAGGCACGCTTCCTACAGACATCAGGGCTATGCCTTGACACAGTATTAACATATTCACATTGCAGTTGCTAGGAAGGTTATGCTGGTGACAGTTTTTATTTCTTTGCAGCCTGACTTAACTCAGTATTGATTTGAGACAGCTCCTGTAGTGATGTTTTTCCACCAGAAAGTCTATAGAATATATTTTCTTCATGAAGAGTGATGGGCACAGATAGGGTAATTCTAACTTGCTAATGAAGATCTGGGGTCTTGCACTGAGATCTTCCTTATGCAGCCTTAAAGTTCAAGGATGTCATTTCATGTATCTCTGACATCCTTGGCATTTAAAGAGAAATGGATTTTGGCACAATTCTACGGAAAGGCTAGCAACAACAGACACAGTTGTTATATAAAGGATTCAGTGAGTCTACTGATTTTAAAATCCTAGTATGTAAATGCCCTGTTTATTCCAGCCCTTCTCTCAGGATTTCCTATAAAATGTGCAAAATAAATAGGCCATGTTATATGAGATTCAAAAATTACATATAAACTTACTGCTAAAAATTCAGTTTGTCAACCTGCTTTGTACAGGTGCTAACACAGAATTTAATAAAGCAAGGTACATAATGAAAAAGGAAAAAGAAGCTTTTATCTGCAGCATTGTCACATCTGTTAGAGAATTACTGCTAAATGTTGTTTCATCCTTTGTTCTCCAAACCAAAAATGAGCAACTTAAAAACCCTGCTAAACTGAAGTTTTTCCAAAATACATCTATCTGAATTATAGATTATTGTTTAGATATCCTACAGAAATTAACTAGAACACTTAGCAAAGCGAAGCTAAATAGTCCTGACAGATTTGACTTAATTAACAAATTTTAAACTTTTATACTTATCAAATGGATATTTGAATTAGTTAATAAAAATAATCTTTATTTTCTTGGATAACCCATTGATTCTAAATATGGTTTTATGATAAACTAGATTCCCACATGTATTTTGCTATTTCTTTGTCCTTTTTTCGGTTAAAATGATATTTCTTAGTTTATTACTTTTCTAGTACCAAGAGTTAAGATTATAATTATACCATGTGTTTGGTGCTGTGTTTCTACATAAATTGTAGAATTAGCTTTCTTTTTTCTTTATCCCTTGGGAAAAATTATTTTAGTATTGTGATTGAATTAAACTTATAGCTAAATGAAGAAAATTAACCTATGGCATGATTATTTTTTCCAAAAACAGGGTATGTCTTTCCATTTAAGGTCCTCCTTTTTAGGATCCTCTGTGGAATTTTAAGGTTTTCTAGATAATTCTTTTCAGGGTTATTACTAGATATTTTAGCCTTTTGTTGTTATTATTGGGATATCTTATTTCATTACATTTTATTTGATTGTTTTTGATACATAGAAAGATTGTTGATTTCACCAACAGTTTGATATAGTGATTAAGGACATAGACTCTTAAACTTTTGAATCACAGCACTGCCACACCAGCTGTGTAACCTTGAACAATTCTCTTGACTTTTCTGTGCCTGTTTCCTTGTTCATAAAATGGTGATAATAATATTATATACTTCAGAGGATTATTGGGAGGATTGAGTTAATATATGGAGAATATTTATATATACTGCTGGTATATATAAATACTCTGCAAGTTTTCACCATTACCATTATTACTTTTTATCAGCCATATTACTGTTCTCTCATTATTTGTAATTATTTTTCATTTGATTCAAATTTTCTATTTATCATCTACAAATTATAATTTTACCTTTTTCAATTTTATACATCTTATATCTTTCTATTATTTAATTGCTTCACCTTTTTCTCTAGAACAATATTAAATAACAATGGTAATGGTGGACATCTTTATCTTACACTTACATTAAATGGCAGTGTTTCTATTGTTTTGCTGTCTTTTTGCTTGAGAGATAAATTTTATTATGTCATAAAAGTATCATGCATTCTGATTTCTTGAGAGTTTTATCATATATCTTATCAACACACTGTCTGGTATTCAATAGGAACTAAATATAAGCCATGACTATGGATTACTGAGCTTTGCCATTTTAGACTATTTTGATTTTAGAGCCAGCTTTAAATCTAGGCTCTGTCCTAATTTCTATTTATGTGGAGGGCCTTGATCCTATCAGAAACTACCAAACTTTCGGTTTAAGTCAAGGGTATATTTAAAGTCTCTGATCACCACTGGGTGGAGATATTACAGAAATTCATAGAATGAGCAATCCTGTGATTTGAGAGGGAATTAGAAAAAAAAAAAATTTAACTAGACTTGAAAAACAATGAAACCTTACTGAAAATTTTTCAGCCAAAGTTAAATAATAAATTTCAGTTAAATTTAAAACTAAGACATTATTTGTACCTGGATTGTTTGGAAAGGTGATTGTTGTTTCTAGTGATACACAATAATAAGTACTCTTAAATTTTCTTTCTTGAGAGGCTAGTACCAACTTGTGGCTTTATATTCCCATTTGTCATTTGTTGGTTAATTCTTGATTATATGTAGTTTTTTTTATTTGTAGCATTATTACCATTTCAATTAAAGTAGCCTCATGTGTTTTAACCAATAAATTTATCATCTGGTTTTGCAATAGAATAGCTATTTTATTTTATTTATATGAAAAATGCCTGTAAACACATTCAAATATCTCTGGCAATGTGGCCAGAAATGCAAAAGAACTTAAACTTTTTTTAAATAAAATATATGTGTTGAAATGTATCTGTACATTTTATAGACACTATAGTATTTTAAAGATTTACTTCACCACAATAAATATTGCCCATAACTCCATTTATCAAATACTTTTTCTTGTCTTAGATTACCTTTTATTGCATATTAAAGTAAACCAACAGGAAGATATGAAGACCTTTTTTAATTTAACAACTGTAAAATTGAATATATCTACAATAAATATTATTGTAATTCATCTATTACAATTCATCTATTATATACATCTATTACAATTCACTTATTATATAGCTGATAATTTTAATTCATTATAACTGCTATTATATTTAACAGGCTTTTTGTACATAAAATAATTTGTTATATTTTCTTGTAGAAATCCTGTACTTGTTCATGCCCAATTTGTGTTTCAGAATGTAGAACTTTATTCAGAGCTTAAATGAATAATTAGCTTACCCCTGAGATGCTTTTATTTTCAATAAGAAAATATGAAAAAATGTGTACCAACCAATTTAATGTTATAGAAAGGAACCATTCAAATTTATGAGTTCATATTCCATAATATATGTCATACTATTACAAACTCAAAGTACATCTCTATGATCTCTGGTTTTAAGGTTGGCTGTGGCATGTACATAACCTTTCTGATCTCATAAAAATCAGAATTTTTTCTCCTATTTAAAAGAAGTTTGCAGTATTCACAGCTAAACACATTGTAGACATTGATGCTTCTGTAGCTATATTCTTGTAAGAATCATCTGGGATGATTTGTGGTGTGTTAAAATAAATGATTAAAGATTAGAGACAGCTGAATACTCTTCCTTCTCATTTAAAATGTTAAACAGTCTTTTGTGTTTATTGCTGAAACTTTTGAATTTTCCTTTATTTGGGACATCTTAATTGCATTCAAATGTAAATGGTTGGCTGATGCATGATATTAGCTGAATATTTCCCAGAAATCAATCATGGCAATAACAGTTAATATCACAAGTACTTTAGAGACCTTGTTTACCTTGTATTTGGCACAGCAGTGAGAATGAAGAGAGGCAGATCTCCAGACTTTCTTCCTCAGGGAATAAGTGTCTGGCCAGAGAGTATTTTGATCATTTAGTTGACATCCTTTGGTTATCTAGTGAGGAGAGTGATGTGGGGGCAAGGAGAATATTCCAAGTGACAAGGAGGACCAGAGCAAAAATGCTAGCACTAATCACTTTAGTATACAAGGAAGAGGATAAGGGTGAGAGTGAAGGGTAATATAGTCAGCAGCCCAATTCAAGATTGTACCTTGGAAAATTAGAGTTTGAGATGAAAACATCAGTTCTACTAACTAAATTACTGTGACCTCTTGTCACCAGCTGACTCTACTCACTGAAACTCCAGATCAGTATTGCCATTGAAACTTGACCATAACGGTGCTGTGTGAATAGCATCTCTATCACATTTCAGAAGAAAATTATCAAAAGTTCTACCTTCAGAAGTTATCCAGCTAAGTAGGGCTGCTCTCATTAACTTTTTCATATTGTTCACCTGAGTGTAGGAAACTTACCTGGTTCTGGTTTTATTTTAAATAATTATTTCTGGATATTAATAGAAACGTATATCCTAGTAGCAAAGCAACACCAACACCAACACCACCCTACATTGCCACTTTGACCCTGTTTTTGCCTTATAAGTCAGTGACACTAGAGTTCTTCACTTACTGTAACCTCTTCCACTTAAACTGTATGAAATATTTCCCAATTATTTGTCTTTTCAAATAAACAAGTTCTTATTGATCTAAGATTATATAAGCATGCCATGTTCATGAACAACACTTAACTGAGTCTCATAATTAGAATCACTTCTGAATCTCCTTAAATAGAAACTCCAGTGGAGTCATTAAGTATTATGTATTGGTTTTTAACTTTTGTCTCAGAAAGTAAGCAAGAGTTTTGGGACCTTTTGCCAGTTGAATATAAATTTAAAAAATAAGGTAATAGAATTATATACTTAATAGAAAATACAGTCATGCAGCACATAACAACATTTCAGTCAACAACGGATTACATACATGACCGTGGTCCCATGAGATTATGATAGAGCATATACAGAAACCTGATATATAGCAATTGATACTGGCATTACAGATCAACTAGAGGAAATAATTGATATTCAGTAATGGTTCTGCGACATTTGGTTTTCCATATTAAAAAATACATGAAATAAGTATATATGCCATCTTTGTTTGTGTAAATACACCCTATGATGTTTGCACAACACACTTGCCTAATGACACATTTCTTAGAACATATTCCCTTTGTTAAGCAACACATGACTGTACAAATACTGTCTACTCCTGCCCATCATTTGAGAAAACTGAGGCCCAGAGAGATAAAATGTCTCCAGAATGATACCGTATAGCAAAGAAAAAATTACTCTCTTTACAGAAGCTTAGCTTGTACACAATTTTTCCAGAGTACATCTGTGAACGTTTTAGCATAAAGTCTCTAATCACTGAAAAAAAAAATCTGTCTCTACTTTTCTTTATATTTCATATTCATGTATGTTGTCTCTCTTCTGTTTGAGGGGAGGAGATTCTCTCTAGTGTGAGAGCTATACTATGCAGCTTTCAGAGTATGATAGTTATTTCAAACTCCACATCAGATGCTGTATTTCTAAATTTTATGAATAGAAACCTCTTCCTATTTAAAACTAAGAGGGAGAAATGAAAACTTGAAAATGTCACTGAAACAATTTATTGTTTTAAATATATGGATCAAAATGATATTTGTAGATTGATAGTTTTTGAAGGTAACTTTTCTTGTTAAAATTCCTTTGAGAGTGATAGTCTGTGCCATTTACAAAGCCTGTACCCCCTCTTGCATGAGCTTGAAATACCTACCACTATGAAATTAGAGTCTGTTTATTGTAAACATTTGGAAAAATGAGAATTGATTAATATTACCCTAAAAATCTCAAATTTATGTTTTTACAAGTCTTATTAATATTATACAATTTAAGATTTTTCTCAGCATTATATAGATTGCCTGCCAAAATTGAGATATTTGTCAATTTTTTTTCTTTTTTCTTTAAATTGTTTATCCTTTCTCATAACCTAAACTGCAATTTCTATGCTGATCATTCCAAGAATATGATATTCTAACCATGACTTCTTCCAGATGCCACTTTTTATCTCTAACCACATCTTTGACAGTGACAAGTGTCACTGTACCATCTCAGTTTCACATATCTAGATTTAAACATATCTTCCCTTTATCTGCCATCTGTCACTGTTAATATCTTTTTTTCTAATCAACCATGTTCAAAACTTAAGAGCCATTATTCACTCATCCTTGACCTTTAACTCCTGTATATTTTCTCTTTCTGTATTTTCCTATACAGGCTCTCATACATCTATCTTTCTTTCTTTATCATTTCATTAATCTAACCAATTTTACTGAATAGCTACTGAGTTCCAGGCTCTCTGCTGGGCAATGGAGGTATGAAAACAGGAGCTCATGGTATATTGAAAGAGACCAGTGGCAGTGATTTATAGAGTAGGGGCTATAAACCTGAGAAACTTTGATTGGCTATTTGTGAACTAAGCTTCAGGAAATTAGGATTCAAATTAAAATAGGATGCTGACTGAACTTTCTGCATCATTCATACCAGGTTAAGTTGGTGGGGGAGGGGGAGAATAAAAAGACTTTAAATGAGAGGATTTCTTCAGCATACCTCCTAAAGGTAGAACCAGTGCCTTAGAAATAGAATCGAAGTACCTTCCCAATTTCACACAGAATACTATACTTGAAAACCCCCAGTTATTTATACGGCAAACTCCTATTCATCCTTTCAATCTCCACTGAAATATTACCTTTTCAAAGAAGCGTTCCCCAGTTTTCCACTTCTTTTCTGGCCAAATGAACTACTCCTCCTGTATCATGACAGAAACCAAGTTGCAGTGAGTTCAGGAGACAATGGTAAGGAGAAAATAGAGATGAGAAGGAGGTAGAGAGGTAGTAGCTTGGGAGTGATTCACTCCTTGAAGAGTAGTTTTATTATTTATTGTTTTAATTTACCTTCTGTTTACTGTAGATGGATGGAATTGCATGTATTTATAGACCAAGGAAAAATAACAGAAAAGGAAAAATAACAGTAAAGGAAAAACTGAATAAAAAAAGGAGATAAAGAATTGAGCAAAGCTCTCGATTACCAATGCCATCACTTAATCTAGATATTAATAAAATACACTTTCTAGCAAGTCTTTCTCCCTTTAATTTTTCCCATTTCTATTTCATTCTTGGAAAAACAGCCAAATTAATATTCCTAAGATACTGTTATTACTATGTGACACATTCCTCGAAAAATCCTGCAGTACATATCTGTAAGTTTGATCTATATCCTCAGACTTCTCTGTCTTTCAGAGATCTCATAATCTGGCACTTGTCTACCTATTCAATACTATTTTCTCTGATTCTCAGGATGGATGGTCAATTCAGTGAGACTAGTCTCTCCATTGTCATTTTTACACCCATTGACTTTAACTTTTATAAGAACAAGTATCTTTGTTTTGTTAATTGAAATATCCCAAGTACCGTGAGTGGTACCTAATAGGTATTCAGTAACTATTTATCAAATTTTTCTGCGCTCCTCCAGAGCTTTTATAGTAACCCACTTCTACAACAGTCTTCCTTCTCTTTTCTTCTTTTCCAAACCCTACTTGGTTTTCCTTACTCAAGTGCCACTTACTCCACCAATATATTACTAACTACTTCTGCCCATATTGTGTTTCACTCTTTCCCTGAGTTCTCATAGTATGCACCTTTGGTTCCATACATGGAATCTTACAAGAGAGGCAGGGTAGTGATGTGGTTAAGTGTACATTCTCCAGAGCCAGACTGACCAAATTTGAATCCTGATTCTGTTACTGTTATATTGCCTTTGGCAGGTTTTTACCTTCTCTGCACCTGAATTTCCTTATCTATAATATGAATAAAATAATAGAACCTCCCTCAGGATTATTGTAAGACTTAAATGAGTAAGTAAATGTATACAAGTATACATTTATTATATATAAAATATCTATATATTTTCTATTATTATTGTATAGTTTTATTACTAATTCATTCCTGTTAGTCTTGCCTTCCCAACTGGATTGTGGAGTCTTTGAGGTAGAAATGATATTTCATCTTTCTCAAAATGGCCAGCACAGGCTAGTTCATCAACTATTTGTCAATTAATGATTACCCAACATTTAGATGATATTAAGACGATTTTATCAGGAAATTAAACCTGCTTCATTTGGGATCCAATTTTAATAACATTTTATGTAAAGATCTACAGTCTACCAAGCACTTTAGATTGACTGTACTGGTTGATTCTCACAGTATTTTTGTGAGGTAAATAGAAGAGCAGCATCATTCTCATTTTACAGCTTAGGAAAGAAAAGTCAAGAAGGTAGGTGCCTACCACCCACTCTGTCAGTACTACCATCTCTCTCCCTACTTCTCACCTGCTCAGAGAGGTACAAGGTAAATTAATGTCTTCTGCTGAAGTAGACATTCCACTGCAATGTAGAATGTCACCCATGCCTTATTTTAGGTATGCCCAAATCTCTACAATGATTGTCCTGGGAACTACACATTTGCCTTGCAAGGGGAGAATTTGAGTGGCTAAAAATGCCCACTACTCTAACCTATAGTTTAGGAATGGAAGTACATCGTATCTTAAATACTGTGTTTTCCACAAAGTCAATTCCCCACTTCCCCAAACCTATCTCCTTATAAAGGATAGGAGGAGAAGGGATGTTGGGGTGACAGTCAGAAGTAGTAGAGTCACTCTGTCCCTTCTCAGTTAGTCCTTGGACAGATTTTGTTGGTAGCTTCACTTATAGCAGACTAGCATAGTATAGCCTTTTAGGGACAACATCACTCAGCATGCTTTTATACATACATTCATTTATCAAACCTTTTAGCACCTTCTCTGTGCAGGATGCTATTATAATTACCACAGAATATGCAAATGAAATATAAGGAATTTAAGCTGTTGGTGTACCTGGCTCTCTGTGGTCATTAGCATGTTTCTATTAATCCAGTTTCCCTCCTAGAAACATTATACGTCACTTTAAAAAAAAATCTCAGAGTTTTACTTTTATACATTGTCCTCAAAACAAAAAGTGTACTGTCATTATGTTGAAACAAACTATTTAGTACCTAGTCAGCTATTTGAAAGATGTTACCTGCCTTACCAATATGCCTACTTTGGCTTTTTGTTTTGTTTTTTTTTTTGTTTTTGTTTTTGTTTGAGACGGAATCTCACTCTTGTTGCCCAGGCTGGAGTGCAGTGGCATGATCTGCATTCACTGCAGCCTCCACCTCCCAGGTTCAAGCAATTCTCCTGCCTCAGCCTCCTGAGTAGCTGGTATTACAGGCACCCACCACCATGCCCGGCTAATTTTTGTAGTTTTGGTAGAGATGGGGTTTCATGTTGGCCAGCCTTGTCTCGAACTCCTGACTTCAAGTGGCCAAGGCCCACATCGGCCTCCCAAAGTGCTGGGATTACAGGCGTGAGCCATCACGACCAGCCTAAATATTCTTACATGTAGCCAATGGGCCCTTTTCTCTAAATTCTAAATATGTTTTGTGAAAATGTAGATAAACATCAGTTTATTTAAAAATTTCTTCATGTAAATGGTAGAGTAGGCCTTACCAATGAAACATTTCAGTGAACCTAAAACATTTTTTATTGACTTGTGTATGTTATCTTTTGTGTGTTTTCCAGCCTTGAATGCATGAAAGCCTGTCCTATTTAATGATCTCTTTTTATCATTTTTGGACTTTTTCTGTGTATTAGTCTGTTCTCAATCTACTAATAAAGATATACCCAAGACTGAGTAATTTATAAAGGAAAGAGGTTTAATTGACTCACAGTTCCATTTGCTGGGAAGGCCTCACAGTCATGGTGGAAGGTGAATGAGGAGCAAAGTCACATCTTACATATCAGCAGGCAAGGGGAACTCCCATTTATAAAACCATCAGATCTCATGAGACTTATTCACTACCATGAGAACAGTATGGGGGAAAGGACCCCCATGATTCAATTATTTCCACCTGACCCCACCCTTCACACTTGGGGATTATTACAGTTCAAGGTGAGATTTGGGTGGGGACACAGCCAAACCATATCATTCTGTCCCTGGCCCCTCCCAAATCTCATGTCCTCACATTTCAAAACCAATCATGCCTTCTCAACAGTCCCCCAAAGTCTTAACTCATTTCAGCATTAACTCAAAAGTCCACAGTCCAAAGTCTCATCTGAGACAAGGCAAGTCCTTTCTGCTTATGAGCCTGTAAAATCAAAAGCAAGTTAGTCATTTCCCAAATACAGTGGGGGTACAGGCATTGGGTAAATACACCCATTCCAAAGGGGAGAAATTGGCCAAAACAAGAGGGCCACAGGTCTCATGCAAGTTCAGACTCCAATAAGGCAGTCATTAAACTTTAAGTTCCATAATGATCTCCTTTGACTCCATGTCTTACATCCAGGTCACATGATACAAGAGGTGTGCTCCCATAGCCTTGGGCAGCTCTGCCCCTCTGGCATTGTAGGGTACAGCCCCACTCCCAGCTGCTTACATGAGCTAGCATTGAGTGTCTGTGGCTTTTCCAGGCTCACAGTGCAAGCTCTCAGTGGATCTACCATTCTCAGATTTGGAGGACTGTGGCCCTCTTCTCACAGCTCCATTAGGCAGTGCCCTACAGAGGTCCTCCATGAGAGCTCTGCCCCAGCAGCAAACTTTTGCATGGACGTCCAGGTGTCTCAAACATCCTCTGAAATCTAGGCAGATATTTCTAAACCTCAATTCTTGACTTCTGTGCACTTCTGTGCAGCACAGGCCCAACACTACATGTAAGCCACCAAGGCTTGGGGCTTGCACCCCCTGAAGCAAAGCCTTGAGCTGTACATTGGCCCCCTTTAGCCAGGGCTGGAGCTGAAGCAGTTGTGTTGCAGGGCACCATGTCATGAGGCTTCATAGAGCAGTGGGGCCCTGGGCCCCACCCACAAAACCATTTTTTGCTCCTAGGCCTCCAGGCCTGTGATAGGATGGGCTGCCATGAAGGTCTCCTACATGCCCTGGAGACATTTTCCCCATTGTCTTGGTGATTAACATTTGGTTCCTCATTAGTTATGCAAATTTCTGCAGCTGGCTTGAATTTCTTCCCAGAAAATTGGTTTTTCTTTTATCACATTGCCAACCTTCAAATTTTTCAAACTTTTTTGCTCTGCTTCCTCTTGAATGCTTTACAACTTGGAAATTTCTTCCACCAGATACCCTCAATCATCTCTATCAAGTTCAAAGTTCCACAGATCTCTAGTGCAGGGGCAAATGCTGCCAGTCTCTTTTCATAGCAAGAGTGATCTTTACTCCAGTCCCAAGAAGTTCCTCGTCAACATCTGAGACTACCTCAGCCTGGACCTTATTGTTCATATCACTATCAGCATTTTGGTCAAAGCCATTCATAAGTCTCTAGGAAGTTCCAAACTTTCCCACCTTTTTCCATCTTCTTCTGAGCCCTCCAAACTGTTCCAACTTCTGTCTGTTACTCAGTTCCAAACTTGCTTCCACATTTTTGGGCATCTTTACAGCAGCACCACACTCTACTGGTACCAATTTGCTGTATTTTTATTTATTTATTTTTTGAGATGGAGTTTTGCTTTTGTTGCCCAGGCTGGAGTGCAGTGATGCGATCTTGGCTCGCTGCAACCTCCGCCTCCTGGATTCAAGCAATTCTCCTGCCTCAGCCTCCCAAGTAGCTGGGATTACAGGCATGCGCCACCATGCCCAGCTAATTTTTGTCTTTTTAGTAGAGACGGGGTTTCTCCATCTTGGTCAGGCTGGTCTCAAACTCCCAACCTCAGGTGATCCGCCCGCCTTGGCCTCCCAGAGTTCTGGGATTACAGGCATGAGCCACGGCGCCTGGCCTACTGTATTAATCTCTTTTCATGCTGCTAATAATGACATACCCAAAACTGGGTAATTTATAAAGGAAACATGTTTAATTGACTGACAGTTCCACATGGCTCGGGAGGCCTGTCATGGTGGAAGGCAAATGAGGAGCAAAGTCATATCTTACATGGCGGCAGGCAAGAGCTTGTGCAGGGGAACTCCCATTTACAAACCCATCAGATCTCGTGAGACTTACTCACTACCATGAGAACAGTATGGGAGAAACCACCCCCATGATTCAATTATCTCCACCTGGCCCTATCTTTGACATGTGGGGATTACTACAGTTCAAGGTGAGATTTGGGGGGGACCCAGCTAGTCCATATCAATCTGAATTTAAAGATAATATTTATTATCTTTTTAACATCTCTGCATGTTTTTCAGTGCCAGATCTATTACCTATTATAAGTATAGTCATGACTTCTCATTTGGAAAGTCTTTTTACATTGCTGTAAACATTTCATCAGAATTATCTTAAAACAATTAGATTCATAGTTATGAAGTATTTAAGAGAGTTTAATAATGCTGATTGAAAACAAGTTGCATATTTTTATGTTTTTAATTATTCAAAAGTAGCTCATCATTAATGAATAAAACCTAAACACAGAAAATCAGGAAGAACAAAAATAAAATTAATTCCACTACTCAGAAATAACCACTTTTGCAGTTTCTGTGTGGTGTGTGTGTGTGTGTGTGTGTGTGTGTGTGTGTGTGTGTATTTAGCGCAAAAGTGGTCCATAATTAATTTATAGTATTACAGGGTCTTTTTTCCCTTGATAATATATAATATCCCCTTAATAATATATCCTGAACATTTTCTTCATTAGGAAATATTTTTTGTAAACATAGTTTTAATTGGTGAATGGGATTTCTTTACATGAGTTCAGTGCTATTTATTTGTTCTATCCTCTTTTATTGTGTATTAACATTATTTTTGTTTTTCACAATTTAAGAAAAACAGTATGTTTGATAAATGTTTTTTCTGTGCAACTTTTTATAATCTGTGACTGTCCATAGAACAAATTTCTAAGAAATTTCTAGATTAAAAGATGTGCATATTTTAATACATATTACACATTTTTCTCCAGAAGTTAATGTTGATTTATACATTCACTAGGTATCTCTTTCCATCACCAATAATTAGTACCCTCAAATTAGGACACTTAAAATGAATTTATTTAGAGATGGTAATTACAAGATGGTACTTTGGGGGGAAATGAAAGCAGTAATGGAGTAAATTATGGATATTAGCTACAGACCTGTTACCACCCCTAGTTAAGGGAATAAGTGGTTACCAGAAGATAGATAAGAGAGGCAAGTAGAGAGCACTGTCTTCAGAAGCACAGTGACCTTTGGTCAAGGGACACAGCCAAGCCAATATACTAGGGGAATGAATACTGTGACCTCACTCTTCCTATTGTCTGTACCCATTTTAAAGCAGAGGATTGAAAGTCCCTCTTGACGCAGTCTAAACAGGTTGCCACATAGGGCAGAAAGCAAGGTGGAGACCAGTGGAGAGTGAATCTGGAGGGACAAACAGAAGATAACCAGAATACTTACCTACTTTTTGTATTTCTATGACTGTAAATACTTCTTTATATTTCTGTGATTATTAATGACGTAAAACATTTTTATTACCTATTTGTGTTTCTTCTTTTGTCAAGTATATGTTTATATCTCCCCTTTTTTTTGACAAAGCAGGATTTTTATTTGTTACAAGAAGGACATCTTAAATTTGTATTCTTCACATACATTACTCTTCTTTAAGAATTCATCTTTGCTATACACGTAAATGTTTCAAGTCATCAATACTTTTTCTTGTTCTTTTGTAATTTCATTTCTTTATACTTAAGAAGTGCTTCATCTAGCTGTAAGCCATTATCCTCAGCAAACTAACGCAGGAACAGAAAACCAAACACCGCATGTTCACTTATAAGTGGGAGCTGAACAATGAGAACACATGGGCACAGGGAGGGGAACAACACACACTGGGGCCTGTCCAGGGGGCGGAGAGAGGGAGAGCATCAGGATAAATAGCTAATGCATATGGGGCTTAATACCTAGGTGATGGGTCAATAGGTGCAGCAAACCACCATGGCCCTCTTTCCTATGTAACAAACCTGCACGTCCTGCACATGTATCCTGGAAATTGAAATAAAATAAGTGCTTAGTCTATATAAATCATTTTTCTGTATTATGTAAGATAGAAACACAGTTTTACTTTCTTCCAGTTAACAAGTTATCCCAGTACTATATTCTAAATAATAAAGAACAAAATAAAAGAATAGAATGATGCCATTTCAAATCATCACCCAGTGATTTGACATGACATCCTTTTCTTTTCCAAATATTTATATGTATTTGAGTCTGCTTCTGTGCATTCCATTATATCCAATTAATCTTTTGGTCTTTCCTGATGCAATATCATACGATGTTAACTTTGTACATTTTTAATATATGACAGTGTGTTTTATTTATTATTTTCCAATATTTTCTTGGCATTTTTGTCTAGTTTGTCAAATAAACTTCAAAATTTAAGTTTCAAAATAGAAAATATGATTTATTTTAGGATTTTGATTATACTTATATACATTACCCTAAGGAAAAATAAAGTTTTTATAATATTGAATCTTTCTAGAAAGCATCTAATATCCCCTCTCCTTATTTTTTCAAATGTCTTGCCTGAAACTATTTCATTTTCTTTAAATATAAGGTTAATTCTAGGTAGTTTATTTTGGATGAATATTGTGATATCATGAATGTAAGCTTTTGTCTATTATATTTTCTGCCTACTGCTGCTGTATAGAAAAGCTAATCATTTTGTTGTGTGTATGTTGTAACTAAACCCTAATGAAATTCTTTGCAGTTTTATTGGATTTTCCTCGGATTATTCTGGGTTTTCTAGGACTATATGCATCTTGATTTCAGTAACTCTGCTTCTAGTGATTCATTGATAAGTAGAATGTCAAATGTTTAAGATAAAGAATAGCTGTCTCAAAAAACATGTTTCATTCTAATTAAGTGTTCTTCTGGTATGCTCTACAATGGGGTTTTCTTTTTCTAAAATTGGGAGTCGATGTGAATTTGTATCACATCTGGCCTTATGTAACTTATAGTGTTGATTACATATTTGTATCCTTTGACCAATTAAGTTGATGAGCTATATTTAAAATTTTCCTAATATTGAATCATCTTTCATTCCTGAAATATGTCCTAAGTCATTTTTATGGAAGTATTAAAAACTGCTATTGCATTCAGCCTCTAGAGTTTTTAGAGTTTTAAAATCTGTTTTTCTAAGGAATACTGGGTGGGGGTGGTGTGTGCACGCATGTGTGTGTACGCGTGTGTGTGTGTGTAGTGCTATCCTTGTCAGATTTAAATATTAGCTTAAGGCAGCTTCATAAATAAAATGGCCTGGGGCACTTTTTCAATTTTTTTTGCCTTTGAGCAGTTATTATATCATGAGAATTCCCTATACTTTGAAAATAAGATAGAATTGTTTGGAAAAAAATTGTGCTTGGCATCTTTCTTCAGCGTAATCATTTGAAAACTTTAAAATTTTAGCTATATTTAAAAAGGCCTATTGAGGTTTTCTATGACTTTCTGACTTTTGAACACATACACACACACACACAAACATGCACACACACACATGAACACACCCCAGTTGATTCAGGTGTACTTAGGCCTATGAACATGTAGGTTTTCTGAGGTTTTCTACTATTTGGGGAATATTTGGATCAATATTTTTTAATGTATTATAGAATTGTACAGAGTATTGTATTTTTTAAATATTTCTGTATGCTTATATATGTTCTCATAATATGATTAAAAATGAGAAAGAAAAAGAATATAAAAACACAGTTTTTCTGATTTGTAATTTCTCTCCCTCTCAGACACATGCACGCACTCAGTCCATTTACAGATTTTTGAACTTTGTTTACCCCAAAATGTCAACACTAATATTTGTCTGTTTTTCTCTTCGTTGATATATTTATTAAATTATTTTGCCTATTTTCCTAAAGATGGTTTAGGATTTTTTGTTTATTTTTGGTCTCCTTTATATTCACCTAACTTCTTTTTTTTTTTTTTTTTTTTTTGAGACGGAGTCTTGCTCTGTCACCAGGCTGGAGTGCAGTGGCACGATCTCAGCTCACTGCAATATCCGCCTCCTGGGTTCAAGCGATTCTCCTGCCTCAGCCTCCCGAGTAGCTGGGATTACAGGCACATGCCACCACACCCAGCTAATTTTTGTATTTTTGGTAGAGATGGGGTTTCACCACGTTGGCCAGAATAGTCTCGATCTCCTCACCTTGTGATCTGCCCGCCTCGGCCTCCCAAAGAGCTGGGGAATACAGGCATGAGCCACCACACCCAGCCAACTTCTTTCAGTTAATTAGAGCACAGTTTTGAAAGCTTTAAATGGTAGCAACTGTCATCTCCAGTTTTTCAGTTGAGGAAACAAAAGATGACTTTGTTGACAAATTATTGAGGCAGACATACATTTTAGTGTTCTTTATTAACCATCATGGTGCTCAGATGCCAGAGAGCATGTGATGACTTTGCCATCCCTGAAGAGTTTGTCTGATAATCCAGACATAAGAATTGATTCTGCTCTGCAGAATCATTTAATCATATTTTTATTCACTCATTCATTCATTCATCAAATATCCATTGAGTTTTTTTGTTGCAGACCTTGTGCTAGCTTTTCGAGATACAAATATGAAAACACGTGGAACCTCCATTCAAGGAGACTGTAAGTCAAGTGGAGAAATAGACAATATCTCACAAATAGTAATTACTATAATAGAGGTACTTGCACAGTTTTCGTTACATATACATACCTCATAGCACAATGTTACTCATGAACAGTAGATGATTTGGAAATACTATTTTATTCCTTTATAATCAATATATATATATCTTAATACTTTCTGTGTGTCAGATAATACACTGGGTCCTGAGGAAAATAAGGTATAAAAATAATTTTTTCATGCTTGAGAAGCTTTTAGTCTAGTGGGAAATGACTCATCTCATTATAATAAAGATGTATACCAGATACCTGTGAAGACATAGAAGAGAAACTTTGTCAGTCAGGAGTTAAAAAGAAAGGCCTTCTTCACAGAGAAAGTAGTGTTTGAACTGAGATTTGAAAGGCAAGCAGGGATTTATTAAATGCACAGGTTGTGGCTTTCTAAGCGAAGGAACAACATGTGCAAAGGCACAGTGGCGTGAAAAGGCAAGTAGTGTGCTAATGCTAAAGCATAAGGGACAAGATGGTGAGGGGTGAGAAAAGAGGTATAAGATAAAAATTTATAGAGCACATATCTTGCCAGACGCCATTCTAAATACTTTATATAGATTTACTCCATAAGTCTTTATCGTTGCTTTGTGTTGGAAATATTTCAAATCTAGCTCTTTTGAAATACACAATAAATTATTGTTAACTATAGTCACTCTTCTGTGCTATTGAGTACTAGAACTTATTCCTTCTATCTAACTGTATTTCCATATTCATTAACCAGCCTCTCTTCATCCCCATCTCCCACAACACCACCACCTCCACCCCACCACTCTCCCCCTATGTCCCAAACCCACCCTGTCCACCTTTCCCAGCAACTACTGTTCTACTCTCTACTTCCATGAGATCAACTTATTTAGTTTCCACATACGAGTCAGAACATGCAATATTTGCCTTTCTGTGCCTGGCTTATTTCACTTAACATGATGACCTCCAATTCCATCCATTTTGCTGAAAATGATAGGATTTCATTCTTTTATTTTATTCATTTATTTATTTATTTTTGAGATGGAGTTTCGATCTGTTATCCAGGCTGGAGTGCAGTGGCACAATAAAATAATGGGATTACAAGCATGGGCCACCTCACTCGGCAGGATTTCATTCTTTTTTAATGGCTGAATAGTAATTCATTGTGTATATTAATAAATATATATTTTCTTTATTCATCCATTGATAGACATTTAGGTTAGTTCTGTATCTTGGCTATTGTGAATAGCGCTGTAATGAACATGGGAGTGCATATTTCTTCGATATCCTCATTTCCTTTCTTTTGGGTATATACCCAGCAGTGGGATTGCTGGATCATATGGTGCAACTGCTTTTAGTTTTTTGAGGAACCTCCATGCTGTTTTCCATAGTGGCTATACTAATTTACATTCCCACCAACAGTGTACTAGCATTCTCCTTTCTCCACATCCTTACTAACGTCCATGCTTTTTGCCTTTTTGATAACGGCAATTTTAACCCAGGTGAGATGATATCACATTGTGTTTTTTTTTTTTTTTTTATACTTTAAGTTTTAGGGTACATGTGCACATTGTGCAGGTTAGTTACATATGTATACATGTGCCATGCTGGTGCGCTGCACCCACTAACTCGTCATCTAGCATTAGGTATATCTCCCAATGCTATCCCTTCCCCCTCCCCCCAGCCCACAACAGTCCCCAGAGTGTGATATTCCCCTTCCTATGTCCATGTGATTTCATTGTTCAGTTCCCACCTATGAGTGAGAATATGCGGTGTTTGGTTTTTTGTTCTTGCGATAGTTTACTGAAAATGATGATTTCCAATTTCATCCATGTCCCTACAAAGGACATGAACTCATCATTTTTTATGGCTGCATAGTATTCCATGGTGTATATGTGCCACATTTTCTTAATCCAGTCTATCATTGTTGGACATTTGGGTTGGCTCCAAGTCTTTGCTATTGTGAATAATGCCGCAATAAACATACGTGTGCATGTGTCTTTATAGCAGCATGATTTATAATCCTTTGGGTATATACCCAGTAATGGGATGGCTGGGTCAAATGGTATTTCTAGTTCTAGATCCCTGAGGAATCGCCACACTGACTTCCACAATGGTTGAACTAGTTTACAGTTCCACCAACAGTGTAAAAATGTCCCTATTTCTCCACATCCTCTCCAGCACCTGTTGTTTCCTGACTTTTTAATGATTGCCATTCTAACTGGTGTGAGATGGTATCTCATTGTGGTTTTGATTTGCATTTCTCTGATGGCCAGTGATAATGAGCAATTTTTCATGTGTTTTTTGGCTGCATAAATGTCTTCTTTTGAGAAGTGTCTGTTCATGTCCTTCGCCCACTTGTTGATGGGGTTGTTTGTTTTTTCTTGTAAATTTGTTTGAGTTCATTGTAGATTCTGGATATTAGCCCTTTGTCAGATGAGTAGGTTGCGAAAATTTTCTCCCATTTTGTAGGTTGCCTGTTCACTCTGATGGTAGTTTCTTTTGCTGTGCAGAAGCTCTTTAGTTTAATTAGATCCCGTTTGTCAATTTTGTCTTTTGTTGCCATTGCTTTTGGTGTTTTGGACATGAAGTCCTTGCCCATGCCTATGTCCTGAATGGTAATGCCTAGGTTTTCTTCTAGGGTTTTTATGGTTTTAGGTCTAACGTTTAAGTCTTTAATCCATCTTGAATTGATTTTTGTATAAGGTGTAAGGAAGGGATCCAGTTTCAGCTTTCTACATATGGCTAGCCAGTTTTCCCAGCACCATTTATTAAATAGGGAATCCTTTCCCCATTGCTTGTTTTTCTCAGGTTTGTCAAAGATCAGGTAGTTGTAGATATGCGACGTTATTTCTGAGGGCTCTGTTCTGTTCCATTGATCTATATCTCTCTTTTGGTTACTGTAGCCTTGTAGTATAGTTTGAAGTCAGGTAGTGTGATGCCTCCAGCTTTGTTCTTTTGGCTTAGGATTGCCTTGGCGATGTGGGCTCTTTTTTGGTTCCATATGAACTTGAAAGTAGTTTTTTCCAATTCTGTGAAGAAAGTCATTGGTAGCTTTATGGGGATGGCATTGAATCTGTAAATTACCTTGGGCAGTATGGCCATTTTCATGATATTGATTCTTCCTACCCATGAGCATGAAATGTTCTTCCATTTGTTTGTATCCTCTTTTATTTCCTTGAGCAGTGATTTGTAGTTCTCCTTGAAGAGGTCCTTCACATGCCTTGTAAGTTGGATTCCTAGATGTTTTATTCTCTTTGAAGCAATTGTGAATGGGAGTTCACTCATGATTTGGCTCTCTGTTTGTTGTTGGTGTATAAGAATGCTTGTGATTTTTCTACATTGATTTTGTATCCTGAGACTTTGCTGAAGTTGCTTATCAGCTGAAGGAGATTTTGGGCTGAGACAATGGGGTTTTCTAGATATACACTCATGTCATCTGCAAACAGGGACAATGTGACTTCCTCTTTTCCTAATTGAATACCCTTTATTTCTTTCTCCTGCCTAATTGCCCTGGCCAGAACTTCCAACACTATGTTGAATAGGAGTGGTGAGAGAAGGCATCCCTGTCTTGTGCCAGTTTTCAAAGGAAATGCTTCCAGTTTTTGCCCATTCAGTATGATATTGGCTGTGGGTTTGTCATAGATAGCTCTTATTATTTTGAAATACGTCCCATCAATACCTCATTTATTGAGAGTTTTTAGCATGAAGGGTTGTTGAATTTTGTCAAAGGCTTTTTCTGCATCTATTGAGATAATCATGTGGTTTTTGTCTTTGGCTCTGTTTATATGCTGGATTACATTTATTGATTTGTGTATATTGAACCAGCCTTGCATCCCAGGGATGAAGCCCACTTGATGATAGTGGATAAGCTTTTTGATGTGCTGCTGGATTCGTTTTGCCAGTATTTTATTGAGGATTTTTGCATCAATGTTCATCAGGGATGTTGGTCTAAAATTCGCTTTTTTTGCTGTGTCTCTGCCAGGCTTTGGTATCAGGATGATGCTGGCCTCATAAAATGAGTTAGGGAGGATTCCCTCTTTTTCTATTGATTGGAATAGTTTCAGAAGGAATGGTACCAGTTCCTCCTTGTACCTCTGGTAGAATTCAACTGTGAATCCATCTGGTCCTGGACTCTTCTTGGTTGGTAAACTATTGATTATTGCCACAATTTCAGCTCCTGTTATTGGTCTATTCAGAGATTCAACTTCTTCCTGGTTTAGTCTTGGGAGAGTGTATGTGTCGAGGAATTTATCCATTTCTTTTAGATTTTCTAGTTTATTTGCGTAGAGGTGTTTGTAGTATTCTCTGATGGTAGTTTGTATTTCTGTGGGATCGGTGGTGATATCCCCTTTATCATTTTTTATTGTGTCTATTTGATTCTTCTCTCTTTTTTTCTTTATTAGTCTTGCTAGCGGTCTATCAATTTTGTTGATCCTTTCAAAAAACCAGCTCCTGGATTCAGTAATTTTTTGAAGGGTTTTTTCTGTCTCTATTTCCTTCAGTTCTGCTCTGATTTTAGTTATTTCTTGCCTTCTGCTAGCTTTTGAATGTGTTTGCTCTTGCTTTTCTAGTTCTTTTAATTGTGATGTTAGGGTGTGAATTTTAGATCTTTCCTGCTTTCTCTTGTGGGCATTTAGTGCTATAAATTTCCCTCTACACACTGCTTTGAATGTGTCCCAGAGATTCTGGTATGTTGTGTCTTTGTTCTCGTTGGTTTCAAAGAACATCTTTATTTCTGCCTTCATTTCGTCATGTATCCAGTAGTCATTCAGGAGCAGGTTGTTCAGTTTCCATGTAGTTGAGTGGTTTTGAGTAAGATTCTTAATCCTGAGTTCTAGTTTGATTGCACTGTGGTCTGAGAGATAGTTTGTTATAATCTCTATTCTTTTACATTTGCTGAGGAGAGCTTTACTTCCAAGTATGTGGTCAATTTTGGAATAGGTGTGGTGTGGTGCTGAAAAAAATGTATATTCTGTTGATTTAGGGTGGAGAGTTCTGTAGATGTCTATTAGGTCTGCTTGGTGCAGAGCTGAGTTCAATTCCTGGGTATCCTTGTTGACTTTCTGTCTCGTTGATCTGTCTAATGTTGACAGTGGGGTGTTAAAGTCTCCCATTATTAATGTGTGGGAGTCTAAGTCTCTTTGTAGGTCACTCAGGACTTGCTTTATGAATCTGGGTGCTCCTGTATTGGGTGCATATATATTTAGGATAGTTAGCTCTTCTTGTTGAATTGATCCCTTTACCATTATGTAATGGCCTTCTTTGTCTCTTTTGATCTTTGTTTGTTTAAAGTCTGTTTTATCAGAGACTAGGATTGCAACCCCTGCCTTTTTTTGTTTTCCATTTGCTTGGTAGATCTTCCTCCATCCTTTTATTTTGAGCCTATGTGTGTCTCTGCACGTGAGATGGGTTTCCTGAATACAGCACACTGATGGGTTATTCTAGTTATACATTCTTCTAACTTTTTTTCAAAGTTTTCAACTTCTTTGCCTTTGGTTTGAATGTCCTCCCGTAGCTCAGAGTAATTTGATCGTCTGAAGCCTTCTTCTCTCAGCTTGTCAAAGTCATTCTCCATCCAGCTTTGTTCCGTTGCTGGTGAGGAACTGCGTTCCTTTGGAGGAGGAGAGGAGCTCTGCGTTTTAGAGTTTCCAGTTTTTCTGTTCTGTTTTTTTCCCATCTTTGTGGTTTTATCTGCTTTTGGTCTTTGATGATGGTGATGTACAGATGGGTTTTTGGTGTGGATGTCCTTTCTGTTTGTTAGTTTTCCTTCTAACAGACAGGACCCTCAGCTACAGGTCTGTTAGAATACCCTGCCGTGTGAGGTGTCAGTGTGCCCCTGCTGGGGGGTGCCTCCCAGTTAGGCTGCTCGGGGGTCAGGGGTCAGGGACCCACCTGAGGAGACAGTCTGCTGGTTCTCAGATCTCCAGCTGCGTGCTGAGAGAACCACTGCTCTCTTCAAAGCTGTCAGACAGGGACATTTAAGTCTGCAGAGGTTACTACTGTCTTTTTGTTTGTCTGTACCCTGCCCCCAGAGGTGGAGCCTACAGAGGCAGGCAGGCCTCCTTGAGCTGTGGTGGGCTCCACCCAGTTCAAGCTTCCCAGCTGCTTTGTTTACCTAAGCAAGCCTGGGCAATGGTGGGCGCCCCTCCCCCAGCCTCGCTGCCGCCTTGCAGTTTGATCTCAGACTGCTGTGCTAGCAATCAGCGAGACTCTGTGGGCGTAAGACCCTCCGAGCCAGGTGCGGGATATAATCTCGTGGTGCGCCGTTTTTTAAGGGGGTCCGAAAAGCGCAATATTCGGGTGGGAGTGACCCGATTTTCCAGGTGCATCAGTCACCCCTTTCTTTGACTCGGAAAGGGAACTCCCTGACCCCTTGCGCTTCCCCAGTGAGGCAATGCCTTGCCCTGCTTCGGCTCGCGCACGGTGCGCGCACCCATTTACCTGCGCCCACTGTCTGGCACTCTCTAGTGAGATGAACCCGGTACCTCAGATGGAAATGCAGAAATCACCCATCTTCTGCGTCGCTCAGGCTGGGAGCTGTAGACCCGAGCTGTTCCTATTCGGCCATCTTGGCTCCTCTCACATTGTGGTTTTGATTTGCATTTCTCTCTTTATTAGTGGTGTTGACCATTTTTTTTTCCATGTACCTTTTGGCCATTTGTATGTTTTCTCTTGAGAAATGTTTATTCAGATCATTTGCCCGTTAGTAAATTAGATTATTTTATTATTGCTATTGAGTTCCTTATATATTCTGGTTATTAATCCCTTGTCTGATGGAGAGTTTGCACATATTTTCTCCCATTCTGCAAGTTGTCTCTTTACTGAGTTTATTGTTTTCTTTGCTGTGAAGAAGCTTTTTAGAATGTTGTAATTCTATGTCTAGTTTTGCTTCTGTTGCCTGTGCTTTTGAGGTCTTATCCAAACAATCATTTCCCAGACCAGTGTCCTGAAGCATTTCCACAATGTTTTCTCCTAGTAGCTTTATAGTTTCAGGTCTTATATTCAAGTCTTTAATTCATCTTTATCTGATTTTTGCATATAGTAAGAGATAGGGGTCTAGTTTCATTTTTCTGCATATAGATATTCAGTTTTTCTAGCACCATTTATTGAAAAGACTGTCCTTTCCCCTACTGAAAGTTCTTGGTGGCTTTGTCAAGAATCAGTTGGCTGTAAATACATTGATTTATTTCTGGGTGGACATCTAAGTTTAACATGCAGTGTATGTAAAGGCTTTTGGGCAGAAATGATAAATTGATGGACATTTCCAGTGTTGTTTTATAATTATCCTAAATCTTGTCCATTACCTGTAAACAAAGTCTCATGAATTTGAAACCCCCATTCACATAAGGAAAATGTGATATAGACACACAATATCTATAATACTAAATAAGACAAAAGTTGTACAGTTTTACTTTTATGCCTCTAAGTGGAAATTTTAAATGACTAGTAAATTTGCTTATAAAAGTATGAAAAACTAAATTCTCTGTTTTTAATATTGTAATTATTTTCTTCATAAAGCAAAGTAGTATAATTTTTTCTAAATTTAATTTACTAATCTCCTAAAATTCATTTGCAGAAGAACTTGTATACATTAAAGTTCTTTACACATACACATTCACAGAAGTTTAGAACATTTAAATTTGTCAGCAATTCCTCTCCTTCTCTTCTTACCATTTCATATAGCAATACTCTTTCCTTTGAAAAACTCCTCCCATATGATACATTTGATTGGAACTAATGCTTAGGTCAAATCTTTATTTAAACCACTCAGTTCTTCATAAAGAATACTTTGGACAAATCCTCTTCTTAGTCAGGGCACTCTTTTCACTCAGGTGAAACTTCAGTTTGAAATGCCGCATTCATCACAAAATGACTAAAAGTGGAACTGGGCTAATCAAAAAGTTCTTTATTTTATCTTCATAAATGTATGACTTCATGTGAAGGCTGGAAAAAATACCTGTAGAGATTGCAATCTAATGAAAAAGGAGATGGAAGCATTGATTGTATGGCTTGCTGATTTCAAAACCCTTTAATCTTTCTGAAGCACTTTTAATTTCAGGATGTTTAAGTAGCTTTAATTCTTAATATTAAAAAATTAAGATTCTTAATGCCTATTTTTTATTAAAAGCTATAAACCCATAAAGCTTAGCAATTTCCATTTCTATTTAAAAGTTAATGAAGTAAGAGAACAAGTGCTTTACCACTGAAAAATTCAGAGTACAACTGGGGAAACCCAAGGGGTGAGAGCTGACATGAAACTCCAATTGAAAACCATTTTTTTAAATAAATCTATCTGGTAAATGATTTATATGGTTTATTTTTTGTTACCTACAAATTCTAAATTGGATATTCTAAGTGTAGAATTCCACAATGTAACTGAGAAAAAAGAGAAAATGAGTAAACGAGATAATTATTAGACTCTATTTTGATAACTTATGAAACATAAATTAAAAATTTTTTGAATCCTCATATGTTAATCACTTGATTTTTTAAAGTGTTTGTGTGTTTTTTTGTTTTTTTTTTTTTTGAGACGGAGTCTCACTCTATCACCCAGGCTGGAGTGCAGTGGCACTATGTTGGCTCACTGCAAGCTCCGCCTCCCGGGTTCACGCCATTCTCCTGTCTCAGCCTCCCAAGTAGCTGGGACTACAGGCGCCCACTGCCACGCCCGGCTAATTTTTTGTATTTTTAGTAGAGACAGGGTTTCACCGGTTTAGCCAGGATGGTCTCCATTTCCTGACCTCGTAATCCACCCACTTCAGCCTCCCAAAGTGCTGGGATTACAGGTGTGAGCCACCGCGCCCAGCCTAAAGTGTTTAAATTCTCAAGTCATGTCACATAAGATTTCAAGAGATCACTAGTGCTCAATAAATTTATGTTGAATTTAGTTGTGTTGTATTGCATTGCCTATTATGGGGAAAGGCTCATCCTTCTTCTACTAAGAAACATAGAGAATAATTGTAAATAGCCCTTAGTCTGAATCATTTTTATGCAATATCATAGACACAAACCAATGGATGGGTTTGATAGCCTGGAGTCTTAAGTTACCTCCTTCACAGTTAAGACACATTGTTAGTTTGGTTTACTATTTAAGAAAGCATTAGGGTGCTCTTTATTCATCTCTGAGAATCAAGTTTCCACTCAACCATTTATATATAACATAAATTATATTATAAAAGTCCAACACATATATTAGAACCAGTTTCTTTAATTACTATGTATGCCTAATTACAGTGCAATTTCTCATATTACCTGAGTTAAAATTAATGCAATTCAAAACAACAGTAGTTTATATTTAAAGAAAAGTGAAATGTACTTAAAGGAGCTGTTTTTTTTAAAGCACTCTCATAAGGAAATCTTTGCCTCATCTCTTTCTACATGTTTGACCCAGGAGCTTGCAGTCAATCAAAACAATAATGCTTTCCTATAAGTGTAAATAACAAAGAAGTAAACCTCAATAGTAAGGTATCAGTTACACCAGCGGTCCCCAGCCGTTTTGGCACCAGGGACTGGTTTCCTAGAAGACAGTGTTTCCATGGACTGGGTTTGAGATGGGGGGGGGATGATTTCAGGATGAATCAAGCACGTTACATTTATTGTGCACTTTATTTATATTATTATTACATTGTAATATAAAATGAAATAATTATACAACTTACCATAAGCTAGAATCAGTGAGAGCCCTGAGGTTGTTTTCCTGCAACTAGATGATCCTATCTAGAGGTGATGGGAGACAATGACAGATCATCAGGCATTAGATTCTCATAAAGAGCTTGCAACCTAGATCCCTCACATACATAGTTCACAACAGGGTTTGTACTCCTATGAGAATCTAATTCCACCACTGATCTGACAGGAGGCGGAGCTCGGACTATAACGGAGCAATGGGGAACAACTGTAAATACAGCTGAAGCTTTGCTGACTTGCTTACCATTCACTTCCTGCTGTGTGGCCCAGTTCCTAACAAGCCATGGACCAGTACCAGTCCATGGCCTGGGGGTTGGAGACCACTGAATTACACAATAGACTGTGAAAATTAGATAGTTTCCTCTTCTCTTATATGCTGTATTGTTTGGTATCAAGATATTCTATTACTGGGGATAATTTGTTTTTCTATAATATTCTCAATATTTTTTTTTGTACATTTTTTTTTTCAGTCAAGAGAATCCATCCCATTAAATGACCTGAAGTCAGAAGTATCACCACGGATTTCAGCAGAGGACCTGATTGACTTGTGTGAGCTCACAGTGACAGGCCACTTCAAAACACCCAGCAAGAAAACAAAGTCCAGTAAACCAAAGCTCCTGGTGGTTGACATCCGGAATAGTGAAGAGTATCCTTTGCATATGCTGTTTTAAAGGGTGGTACTGCTTATTTGTATTGCATCCTTTCATTTAAGTGTTGTGTGGTTAAAAAAAAAAAATTCTGGGATTCTTCTGAATTCAAGTAGTTAAATTACTCTCAAACTGGATGCCAGAATGGTCTTGCATAAGGTTTTATAAGATAACATTACATACCAGAGACCTGATGATATTTTCCAAACAATGCCAGAATATTGGGATATTTTGTTGTTTTTTGTGTTTCTCTGGTGTATATTGCTATTCTTGAAGGCATTTGAATCCTTCATGCTGTAGATAGGAATTGTGGCAAAGATAAAGAGTAAGTATACACCTGTTTTACCTCATAGCCTAGAGAAAAAGTTTGCTACATCTCAACACTGACCTTGTGTTCATTATAATTTTCAAAACACTGGCTTACATAGAACATGTATTTTCACTAACTACAAAATGTTATTTACGAAGATTTTACTATTGAACATACTGTAACATCCAGTGGGTTTGATTGGCATTAGAGTATGAAGAGTTACAAAATAGTAACAGTTCAGTCTCTTCTCCTTCTATTTTCATTATCTTCAGATTCTTTGATTGTGTATTTTCTAGAATCTAGATAAATGGTTTTCACTTTGTTTAAAAACAGAGCAACTTTTAAAATCTTTCTTAGAAACTCAATATATAAAATATAAATGAATGTTATAACTAATTTGCTTCATAAGTTCAGATTTATAACATTTACTAACTATAAATGCTATAAATGAGGGTTAGCAGGTTAATGGTTTCTTATATGCTAAAATTGGCATATACAGGTTGAGTATCCTGTGTCCAAAATGTTTGTGACAGTATTTCAGGTTTCATATTTTGTAGGATTTTGGAATATTTCCATTATATGTATATACTTACCAGTTCAGAATATCTAATCCAAAAGGCTCTAATGAGTATTTCCTTTGATCCTGATGTTGTTGCTCAAAAAGTTTGATTTTGGAGCATTTCAGATTTTAGATTTTTGGATTAAGGATACTCAATCAGCAATAAGTTTTCATGTTAATATTTTCAATTCCAATTTTTGAAATGAAATTCAAATTACACATTTACAGACTTTATTAAGTAATTCATAGAATCTTAGGTTTCTGACAGTACAATTGGAGAGCTCACAATTTCAAATGATATATTCTTATCATTTTGTGAAAAGTTGCTACTTTCTATTTTTCTGAGTTTGGAGAGAGTATAAATGTTGATATCCCTGGTTGTTAGGGTTTCAGCAATACTAGAAACTCTTTGCAGAGTGGATGAGTGGACTCCCGAATGAGGCATTAAATTCTATTTAACTGGTCAAGAACCCCTAGTCTGGAAGTTCTTCTGATCTTATACTTCAGGAGTTTAGAATCTGTTTAATGTTTTTAACTTTTTAATTTGTATTTCTTTTGCTTGAGTCTTTATTCATAGCAATTCTCCCATAAAACCATAAAAAATAACATTATAACACCCTATTTTAATCTTAAAGATATTTCTTCCATTCTGTAGGTTGTCTGTTGCCAGGTCCAATCTGCAGACCCTGGCCGAACAACGGATGTAAGAATGCAGTCAGACGCAGGTATCCAGTGAAAAAGCGGGCTAGAGGACCTGGCTGCTTATAGACCCCGAGCAGGGTGCTGTAAAGAGTCAGCAGCTGTAGCCCTGACAAGCTGGTGCTGCAGGCATTTATTTAGTTACAGATTTAATGACAAAGGCTTTGAGTCAACACACTTTTGCGTAATTAACATAGTCACCCTGCCCGGAGATAGCAGTCATGCATGGGGATGATTAAAGGCCAGGTTCCAAGTTAAACTAACTTACCTAGATCAATTCCTTTATATCTCTTTGCTATCTAACCTTTGCTCTCAAGGTCCAGATAAGAGGGTTTGGCTACCTTCAGCCAAATCCATTTCCGAAGCTGTTGTAAAACCTCCCCGCCTTCCAAGAAGGTTTGCATCTTTCTACAATTTTTCCCACCACCCTGACTGATCTCCTACATCTCCCCCTTTTCTGTTTTTAGCATCAGGTTTTGTTGATTGAAGAGTACAGATGTGTGCAGCAGCAGGTTTGTCAGGTGTGGCGGGCACTGCTCGCATTCCGGCTTTGCATCCTAGAATTAGTAAATAATAGAAGACAAATATGAGTATAATTAGCCACATTCTTTTCCAATTAAGGAGTGACATGTAGTGTTACTTGGCATCTTAGTCCAATGTGTGCCGTTATTGAGGAACCCCACTTGGGGCATGTCATTCCCTCTTAGCCAAGCAGTCGTGTTGTTAGAAGCTGAGAAGGGGGTGTTTGTTTAAATAATAGGGCTGAAGAAAGGCGTATCTAAGAGATGGGCCCAATAGAGAGTAGCAGGTGAGGGTTGCAGGTAAAGTGAAAGAATTAAAAAGGTTAATAAAGCATAGGAAGGAACAAATTATCTGGAGTGAATGGTGTCTGTGTCCAGAGCAGATTCGCTCAGTCTTCTGACTTCTCTTCTTCAGCGTCCTGTCCAGGGCCTATGTCGTCCGAGGAAGCCACATTTTCTGGGGCTGTAGGTCCTATAGGGTCATTTTCTTTATTTCTGGTACCAGGTTGGGTCCTAGCCATGCTATGGTAAGGTTTGATGGATCGTGCTGGAATCCAAAGAGGACCTGAGGGGGTGTGAACACAAGCATATCCTCTCCCACATGTTAACAATTCATTTGGACCACACCGTACATTACTGTTTACATCTTTCCATAAAACTGCAGGTTTTATGTCTTGAGAGGTTTTAGCAAAGTGCTTTTCTACAGCTAATTGAAATTTATCATCTAAATTTTCAAAATTAAGGGTAAATAAGGCTTGTGCTAGTAGTGTTGCAGGGTCCTTACTCATATTCCCCCTTTTTTGTTTTCTGAGCATATTTTTAAGGATAGAGTGAGTATGTTCTACTATGGCCTCTCCTTGGAGGTTATAAGGGATGCCTGTGGAATGTTGGATATTCCACTGTGACAAAATTGTTGAAATTGTGAGCTGGCATAAGCCAGACCATTATTAGTTTTAATTTTTGTAGGCCACCCCATAAATGCAAAAGTTAAAAGACGATGTTTAATGACATATCGGGTGGACTCTCCAGGAAAGGCATGAGCGCTAATTGAGAATTGTTATTAATGGATACATGTACATATCTTAGTTTTTCAAATTCAGGCACATGTGTAACATGGTGTTTGCCATAACTGATTAGGTTCTAGTCCTCTAGGGTTAACACCTGTATAAGGAGGGAACGTGCCTGTGAGCTGGCAATCTGGGCATTGCCGGTTAATTTGTTTAGCTAGTCTCTGGGTAAGTTGAAATTGTTCAGATAAGTTTCTCCAGTTTTGGTGGAAAAATTGATGTGACTGGGTGGCTTGGTCAAACAGTGATGTTCTAACTTGTACGTCTGCTTGATCATGGTCATAAGCCAGTGGGCCAGGCAGTGAGCTGTGGGCTCAAATATGTATGATAAAAATAGGATGTGTATGTTGATCTAGCAAATGCTGAAGTCGGAGAAAAAGTGCATACAGGGTGGGCTCCAGAGTGGACTTAATGAGGGCCCTCTCAAGGTTCTGCAATAAATAAACAGAGTAAGCAGACTCACTAACAATATTGATGAGCTGAATGGAAAAAGTTTCCAAGGCCAATAGTAAGGCTCCAATCTCAGCCCTCTGAGCGCTAGTAAATCCAGAACAAGTGAGGGAATTACGTGATTTCCACCAGAAAGTGACTTTTCCATGTTTACCAGAGCCATCAGTAAACACTGTTAAAGCATTAGATATGGGGGATTGAACTGTTTTAGTAGGCAAAACCACAGAAGTACAAGATAAGAACTGAAGGAGTTTGTCAGCAGGAAGGGCATGCTCTATATGGCCTTTGTAATCAGAGAGTGCTATTTGCAGGTCCATAGATAAGGCAATACTGCCTTGAATTGCTTTTTACTTAAAGGAATCCTGATGATATCAGGGTCATAACCTAGCAACTGATTGCATCATCTGCATCCTGAATAAATGACTTTACTGACTAACTGGATATAGGGAAAGAGTGTTTTAGTCCCGGTATGTGAGCAAAAAACCCATTCTAGGAAGCGTAGCCCTGGGGTCATCTGTAGGGGAGTGTTTAGTGGGAAAAACAAATAATTGAACTGAATACCATGTATCAATGCAATCTAGTTGTCTCTGAGAAATAGCTTGCTCTATCTCTTCAATTTCCCTTTGTGCTGCAGGAGTTAAATACCTAGGAGAGTCTAGGGCAGCATTGCCTTTTAAGATGGAAAACAAGTTCTGTAACTTATCAGTAGTTATGTCCAAGGTGGGGCAAATCCAGTTAATATTACCTAGTAATTTCTGATCATCATTTAAGGTATGTAAGTTGCTAGTATTTAATTTAACCTTTTGAGGTCTTACTGACTGGGAAATTAGTATGTACCCAAGATATTTCCAAGGAGAAAGACATCTGTACTTTTCCAGGTTCTATGATTAAACCTCTTAACTGTGTATTCTTTACGACAGAGGCATGTGACTTGAAAAGTACTAGCTCTGTTGGGGCTGCTAGTAAAATATCATCTGTAAAATGAGTAATCCTGCAATTAGGAAATTCTTTTCTACTGGGGAGCCAAGCTTGATTTACATGATACTGACACATGGTAGGACTGTTCAGCATTCCTTGAGGAAGCACTTTCCAATGAAATCAGTGAGCTGGCCTTTCATTATTGATAGCTGGTATTGTAAATGCAAATTTTTCTCTGTCCCGTTCTGCAAGGGGAATAGTATAAGAGCAGCCTTTTAAGTCAATAATGATTATAGGCCAGTCTCGAGGAATTGCCACGTGGGAGGGGAGCCCCTGCTGAAGGGGCCCCATAGGTTGCAAATTAGCATCAATAGCACGTAAGTCATGCAAAAGTCTCCATTTACCAGACTTTTGGGGAATGATGAAAATGGGCAAATTACAAGGACTGTATGACGGTTCTATATGGTCAGCTTTTAATTGCTCCTCGGCTAATTCATGGGCTCTTTATAATTTCTCTCCCTTTAAAGGCTACTGTTCTACCCAAATAGGATTTTGAGAGAGCCACGTTAGGGGTAGGGGAGAAATAACAGTGGCCATTGTTAGAAAGAGGTCTGCAGAGTGGCCTCAGTTAACCCTCTTGTAAATGGGCTAGTGGCTCCGTTTTCTTTAATGCTTTTTTTTTTTTAGCTCTTTATAAGCATTAAAAGAAATGATTGCCTTGTTGATCTTGCATTACCAGGCAGGCTAAGAGCTCCCCATCTAATGCTGCTTGCGTAAGACAGCATATCCCTTGTCTTTTTTCCAATTTTTTGGATGAGGGGCCTCAGGCAAAACCTCCATTTCCTCTTTGTTATTTTTTCCTGGAGACAGCGGGGCTGAGGGAGATGGAGGCAGTAAGGTAGGTGACAGTTCTTCCTCCCTTCCCTTTTTAGGCTCTTCTGTGTAGAGTAGGACCAGAGCCACCCTAACTAAAGCCCATAACGTTAAAGATGTTATTGGGACCCATTGCCCTTGTACATCATGTTGTTTAAGATTTCTACCCACTTGTTCCCAGATCTCCAAGTTTAGTGCACCTTCTTTCAGAAACCATGGGTTATGGGAAACAGTAGTTTGCATTAGGTCTCTTAATTGAGCCTGCGAAACCAAGGCTCTGCTACCTTTAAGCAGCTGTTTCAATGCTTTTATATACTGTTGCTGTTGAGCTGATAACTGTTGTCCTATGATGAAACCCTAGCCTGAACAGTTCTCTCCAACTTGGAAATCCTGAGTGGGCACCAATGACTTACTGACTTACTGACTGCGCAGTCTTTTCACCTTCATTTTTGAGGGTTCTATCGCAGTCCATTGCAGCATTCCTCATGTGGAGCACCACCTGCTGGGTCTGACCCATAGACCCTGGCTGAATGATGGATGAAAGAATGTACTTAGACACAAGTATTGAGTGAAAGAGTAGGCTAAGGGACCAGACCGCTGACAGAAAGAGTTGTAGCAGCCGCAGCCCTGACAAGCTGGTGCTGCTGGCATTTATTTAGTACAGATTTAATGACAAAGGCTTTGAGTCAACACACTTGTGGGTAATTAACATGGTCACCCTCCCTGGAGAGAGCAGTCCTGCACGTGGATGATTAAAGGCCAGGTTCCAAGGCCTAAATAAACTAACTTATCTAGATCAATTCCTTTATATCCCCTTGTTATGTAACCTTCGCTCTCGGGCTCCGGATAAGAGGGTTTGGCTGCCTTCAGCCAAATGCTTTTCCAAAGCTTTTATAAAACCTCCTGGACGTCCAAGAAGGTTTGTGTCTTTCTACAATTTTTTCCACCACCCTGACCAATCTCCTACAGTCTGTTTACTCTGTTGATAGTTTCTTTTGCTGTGCAGAAGCTCTTAAGTTTAATTAGGCCCCATTTGTCAATTTTTGCTTTTGTTGTGATTGCTTTTGGTTTCTTTCATGAAATCTAAACCCATTCCTAGGTTTAGGATGGTATTGCCTAGGTTGTCTTCCAGGGTTTTTATAGTTTTGGGTTTTACATTAAAGTCTTTAACCCACCTTGAGTAGATTTTTGTATATGGTGTAAGGAAGGGGTCCATCTTCAATCTTCCGCATATGACTAGCCAGTTATTCCATCACCATTTATTGAATAGGGAGTCTTTTTCCCATTTCTTGTTTTCTGTCAGCTTTGTCAGAGATCAGATGGTCATAGATGTGTGGCCTTATTTCTAGGCTCTCTATTCTGTTCCATTAGTCTATGTGCCTGTTTCTGTACTACTGCCATGCTGTTTTGGTTACTGTGGCCTTATAGTGTAGTTTGAAGTTGGGTAGCATGATGTCTCCAGCTTTCTTCTTTTTGCTTAGCATCGTCTTGGATATTCGGGCCCTTTTTTGGTTCCATATGAATTTTAAAATAGTTTTTTCTTGTTCTGTTAATGTCACTGGTAGTTTGATAGGAGTAGCATTGAAACTGTATATTGCTTTGGGCAGTACAGCCATTTTCATGATATTGATCCTTCCGATCCATAGCATGGGATGTCTTTCCATTTGTTTGTGTCTTCTCTGATTTCTTTGAGTAGTGTTTTGTAATTCTCATTGTAGGGGTCCTTCACCTCCCTGGTGTGCTGTATTCCTAGGGAGTGTGTGTGTGTGTGTGTGTGTGTGTGTGTATGTGTGTGTCAGTTGTGAATGGGATTGCCTTTCTGATTTTGCTTTCAGGTTGGTTGTCGTTGGTGTATAGGAATGCTAGTGATTTTTGTACATTGCTTTTGTATCCTGCAACCTCACTGAAGTTGTTTATCAGCTGAAGGAGCTTTTGGGTCAAGACTGCATGTTTTTCTAGATATAGAATCATGTCATCTACAGAGATAGTTTGACTTCTTCCCTTCCTATTCGAATGAGCTTTATTTCTTTCTCTTGCCTCATTGCTCTGACTAGGACTTTCAATAGTATGTTGCATAGAAGTGGTGAGAGAGGGCATCCTTGTCTTGTGCCAGTTTTCAAGGGGAATGCTTCCAGCTTTTGCCCCTTCAGTATAATGTTGACTGTGGTTTTGTCATAGATAGCTCTTATTATTTTGAAGTATATTCCTTCAATAG
This sequence comes from Homo sapiens, assembly GCF_000001405.40. Lineage (NCBI taxonomy): Eukaryota > Metazoa > Chordata > Mammalia > Primates > Hominidae > Homo > Homo sapiens. Next base: position 106,108,589 of record NC_000004.12, on the reverse strand, counting down.
CTGGTTTATTGAGAGTTGTCAACGTGAACAGATGTTGAATTTTATCAAAAGTCTTTTCTGGATCTGTTGAGTTAATTATGTAGTTTCTGTCTTTAGTTCTGCTTATGTAATGAATCACATTTATTGATTTTTTGCATGTTGAGCCAATCTTGCATCCCGGGGATGAAGCCTACTTGATCATGGTGAAGCAGCTTTTTGATGTGCTGCTGGATTCAGTTTACAAGTATTTCATTGAGGATTTTTGCATCGACATTCATCAAGGATATTGGCCTGAAGTTTTCCTTTTTTACTGTGTCTCTGCCAGGCTTTGGTATGAAGATGATGCTGGCCTCATAGAATGAGTTAGGTATAAGTCCCTTCTTCTCAATTTTTTTGGAATAGTCACAGTAGGAATGGTACCAGCTCTTCCTTGTACATCTGGTAGAATTTGGTTATGAATCCATCAGGTCCTGGGTTTTTTTTGGTTGGTAGGCTATTTATTACTGATTGAACTTCAGAGATCATTATTGGTCTGTTCAGGGAATCAGTTTCTTTCTGGCTCAGTCTTCGGAGGGTGTATATGTCCAGGAATTTTTCCATCTCTTCTAGGTTTTCTATTTGTGTACATAGAGCATATGGTTATTTTCATTTCTGTGGGGTCAGTGGTTACATTTCATTAGTCATTTCTAATTGTGTTTATTTGGATCTTCTTTCTTCTTAGTCTAGCTAGTGGCCTATCTTGTTAATTTTTTCAAAAAACCAACTCCTGAATTTATTGCTCTTTTGAATAGTTTTTCATGCCTTGATTTCCTTCACTTCACCCTGATTTTTGTAATTATTTCTCAGTTCTATTAGCTTTGAGGTTGTTTTGTTCTCACTTCTCTAATTCTTTCCATTGTGAAGTTAGGTTGTTAATTTAACATCTTTCTAACTTTTTGATGTGGACATTTGGTGATATTGTATTTCCCTCTTAACACTGCCTTAGCTGTGTCCCAGAGATTCTGGTATGTTGTATCTTTGTTCTCTTTACTTTAAAAGAACTTCTTGATTTCTGCCTTTTATTTTTTACCCAAAAGTCAATCGGGAGCATGTTGTTTAATTTCTATGTAATTGTATGATTTTGAGTGATTTTTATTGTGTTGACTTCTATTTTTATTTTGCTGTGGTCTGAGAGAGTGTTTGGAATGACTTCAGTTCTTATACATTTATTGAGGATTGTTTTATGTCCAGTTATGTGGTCGATTTTAGAGTATGTGCCATGTGGTAATGAGAAGAATGTATATTCTGTTGGTTTGGGGTGGAGACGTCTGTAAAGGTGTGTCAGATTCATTTGGTCCAATGCTGAGTTTAGGTCCTGAATATCTTTGTTAATTTTCTGCTTCAGTGATCTGTATAATACTGTCATTGGAGTGTTGAAGTTTCCCACTATTATTGTGTGGGAGTCGATGTCTCTTTGTAGGTCTCTAAGAACTTGCTTTATGAATCTGGGTGCTCCTGTATTGGGTTCATATATATTTAGAATAGTTAGGTCTTATTAAATTGAACCCTTTACCATTATATAATGCCCTTGTCTTTTTTTTTAAATCGTTGTTGGTTTGAAATCTGTTTTATCTGAAATTAGGATTGCAATCCCTGCTTTTTTCTGTTTTTTATTTTTTTGGTAGATTTTTCTCCATCCCTTTATTTTGAGCTTATAAGTGTGTCATTATGTGTGAGATAGTCTCTTGAAGAGAGCATATTATTGGGTCTTACTTTTTTATCCTGTTTGCCACTCTACCTTTTAAGTGGGGTATTTTCACCCTTTACATTCAAGGTTCATATTGATATGTGTGGATTGGGTTTTGTCATTGTGCTGTTAGCTGGTGGTTATGTTGGCTTGTTTGTGTGGTTGCTTTACAGTGACGTCGGTCTGTGTGTTTAAGTGTGCTTTTGTATTCACTGGTAGTGATCTTTCTATATTCAGTGCTGCTTTCAAGATCTCTTGTAAGGCAGGTCTGGTAGTAATGAAGTCCCTTAACATTTGCTTATCTGAAAAGGATCTTATTTCTTCTTCACTTAGAGAGTTTAGTTTAGCTAGATATGAAATTCTTGGTTAAAGATTTTTTTTCTTTCAGAACATTCAATATAGGCCCCTAATCTCTTCTGGCTTTTAGGGTTTCAGCTGAGAGGTCTGCTGTTAGCCTGATGGGAATCCCTTTGTAGGTGACCTGCCCGAGTTCTCTCTAGATGCCTTTAACCTTCTTTCTCTCATTTCGACCTTGGAAAATTTGACAATTATGTGTCTCATGTATGATCTTGCGTAGAATCTTGCAGGAGTTCTCTGTATTTCCTGAATTTGACTCTTGGCCTCTTTAGCAAGGTTAGGGAAGTTTTCATGGAAGATATCCTGAAATACATTTTCCAAGTTGTTTGCTTTCTTCCCCTCTCTTTCAGGGATGCCAATGATTCATATATTCAGTCTCTTTACATAATCCCATAATTTTCAGAGGCTTTGTTCATTCCTTTTTATTCTTTTTTTTTTTATTTTAGTCTGACTGCCTTACTTCAAAGAACCAGTCTTCGAATTGTGAGATTCTTTCATCGGCTTGGTTTATTCTGCTGTTAATACTGGAGATTGTATTGTGAAATTCCTGTGTTTTTCATTTCGATTATCTTTGTTCCTGTCCATATTCTGAATTCTGTTTCTGTCATTCCAGCCAGTTCGGCATGATTAAGAACTCTTGTTGGAGGACTGATGCAGTCATTTGGAGGACACATGATACTCTGGCCACTTTAGTTACTGGAGTTCTTGCATTGGTTCTTTCTCATCTCTGCATGTGGGTGTTCCTTTAACTGTGGTGTAGATTGAGTACAGTCAATAGACTTATTTTCTGGATATTTTCACTGGGATGAGTATTTGTATAGAGTCTTTATTGGAAGCTGACTGACTGTCTCTGGCTTTAGAGTGGGTTACGTTAGTGAGGTATTTTTTGTGTTGAAGCTTTGGGGTTTATCCAGCAGGTGACACTTAGCCTTATTTGTCAGTTGGTAGACTTTTGTTCAGTAGTGTGGCTCCCTTATGTTTCCTCATAGTTGCAGCCATGTTCCCTCTCAGTGCTCTGAAAGTGTGGGCTCCTCTCCCCCTTGAGTGCCTGCTATAGTTCATGACTTGGCACTCCTGGGCTGCCCACTGCAGCTCTGGGATGATCTCAGAGTTTATATTCCTTCCCCAGCTTAGAGGCAGTAGAGGAAGAGATCTTAGTAGTGGTTGTGGCCAAGGGTCATTTTTTTTTGACTCCTGGGGGCTCCGCCCCAGAGAGATGCAGGTCATCAATCACTCAGCGAAGTCAGCCCAAAATGGAGGTTTGTTCTGTGGGCCCAAGCCAGGAGTTTCCTGTCTGGTGATGAGTTTTGGGGAGTGTGTGGGACCTGTGGGAGATGGACTGGCCTCCTCTCCTTGGTTCAACTGCAGCTTGTTGGAGGTATGGATAAGACAGTTAAGGTCTTTGCTTCTTCATTAGTTCAAGGGTGGCTAGGGCAGTTCCACTGCAGAGACAGTGGCAGAGAGGCTTTTATTTGCCCCTGTAGGCTCTGGGCAGGGAGTTGCTGAGTTCGCACTGGCTCGATAGCTCTGGTTGGGGTGGCTGGAACCCCAGGCCTGGAGGATCTGCCCAGTAAGGAGATGTGGGAACAGGAACCCATGTAATAGTCTGCCCACTTTTCTGTAGGGCTGCTGCAGTATGCTTGGGGCCCACTCTAGGCCCTAGTCATCTCGGATTTTCCAGAACCTGGAGGTGTCACCAGTGAAAGCTGTGAAACAGCAAAGATGGCGGCCTGTTCCTCCCTCTGGGAGCTTTGTCCCAGGGAGGTATGGACCTGTTGGTGGTTTAAAGGCACCTATACCAAGTGTCTGGAGACCCTGGTTGGGAGGTCCTGCCCAGTGAGGAGGAACAGGATCAGAACCCGCTTAAAAAAGCAGTTTGTATTCTGGCCACATTTTGGTAGAGCATCTATGCTGTGCTGTGGGATTCCTTCTGCCTTGAGTCAGCTCAGACTGTGGTTTAAAGGCACTTGTACAAAGTGGCTGGAGACCCTGGTTGGGAGGTCCTGCCCAGTGAGGAGGAACAGGATCAGAACCTGCTTAAAAAAGCAGTTTGCATTCTGGCCACATTTTGGTAGAGCATCTATGCTGTGCTGTGGGATTCCTTCTGCTCTGAGTCAGCTCAGACTGTCCAAAGCCTGAAGGCTGGAATGGCTAAGGTGTCTGAACAGCAAAGATGGCAACCCACCCATCTCCCTGGGAACTCCTTCTTAGGGAGGTGCAGTGCCACTGCTGGTAGCTGGCTGGATCCCAAGCCAGTAGGTCTTATCTTGTGAGGTGCCATGGAAGTGGGGCCTATGGGTTGTTGCTACTCAGCCTTCTGGATTCGGCCTCTTTCCTACGGGTATGTACAGGAGTCTAACCTTCTACTTTGCCAAAGCTGCAGCTACTTTTGCCAGAAAGCCCAATAATAATCTAAGGCTTCAGGGTCTCCACCTATGCCTGAGCAGTTGCTCTGCCAAGACTTCATGTAGCTCTGTCCGTCAGACTGAAGACTGAAGGCCCTGGTGGAGTGGGTTCACAAGGAGATCTCCTGACCTGAGGGTTGCAAAGACCTGTGAGAGAAGTGTGTTTTTCTGGGGCCGTTCATTCACTCACCACTTCCCTTGGGTGGGGGAGTATCCCCTGGTTCCATGTTATTCCCAGGTGGGTCGTTGTCCTGTCTTACTTTTCTTCATTCTCTAAAGGTCAAGTTGTTTCCTTGATTAGTCCCACTGCAAATACCTGGATGTTTCAGCTGAAGGTGTGGTATTTACTTGCCCCCTTCTGTTTTTCTCCATGAGAGCCACACACACTAGCTGCTTCTAGCCACGCACACTAGCTGCTTCTTGAATAGATTGAAGTAAATTGACTTCTAATAATAGCAGTCTTTAAGTTCTTACACTGTACCAAGCATGGTGCTAGTCCTATGCTGTATATACTGTTGTTATCTCTGTTTTACTGATAAACTGAAGTTTAAAGAGGTTAAGCAACTTTCCCAAGGCCATATAACTAGTAATTGCAGAGCCAGTCTTGTGCTTCTAAATTTTACACTATTTTACAGGTGCCTATCTGGTCTCTGCATAGGGACAGTTAAGCATAAACAAGATTGAAACAAATGAGTTAATAGAAATTAATGAGTCAGTGAGACATGCATTGATTCCTCTACACTAGATATATTCATTCAGATGTTATACACATTTCTTCAAATCTTACACACAAAATAAGCTATTACCTTCAGCACCTGTGTGTATAAGAGGACTAATCCCAGATACCAACTGAACAAATCTACCTGTGGTTATCTTTATACAGATGTAGCCACAGAATCGAGGAAAACTGAAGTATTTCAAATTTTAGAAAGCAGTATTGCAACACTTTGAGGGAGGAAACATGATAGAAAGATCCTTCCCTATTATATTGACTTAATTTATAATATTTAATTCATTCAAAATCTTTTTAATAAAAATTTCCCTAAAGCTACTAATATGCTGATGTTTTTTAAAGCCCATTGAAATTTTAATAATATTTTTAAAGTAATTATCTTTGTACAGTAACTCTTAATGCTTACCAAGGTAAATCTTCGCAATTAAAGTCTAGGATTTATGTGACTTTAACAATCTGTTTAAGAAGTGATTACATATTTAATACTAGGATATTTTTGAAATAGTTTTATTTCTCTCTTGCCGCAAAATGTGACCCTGTACAATATGGAAAAAAAAGAAACTTTCTCTAACACCTTTTCCTTCCCTAGAGGAAGCAAATTATTTTTGAAATGTTGTTCAAATTATTTATAATGTCCCTGTATCATGTTTATCTTCTGTTTTGCTTTTATACATCATTTAAATGGGAAGTCTTTGCCTAACACAGTTCTTACATCTTCATTATAGGTGAAGTTTTTTTTTCCTAAATTGTGCTTCCAGGAGATTTAATGTCTAAAAATATATTTCATCTCGTCTTTTTTTTTAACCTATGTAAAATGATTTAAGTGGTTGCTTATGACAGGGAGGGAGGCAATCTTATCCACAGGCAAAATAAGCTGTCTACCAATAAATTTAAGGGACAGCCTCACTACTACCACCAAGCCCCCTTCAGAACCTTCACTTGATGCCTGAAACGCTACTGTTGAGGCTTCAGTCATTTAGCTTGTGTTATGAATAGTCTCAGTTAAAATACAAAAAGCCTGCAGGTGGTAATATTTTAATCTATGTTCAGTTTTTGTGATTGTAGGAGACAAGCAGCACATTAAGGTGCCAGCAATCTTAGGGAACTACCCAAACCCCAATGTGGGCCAAGGGAATGGAGAATACAGAAGAAGAAAGCTGAAGGACATGAAGACAAACTTTACCCACTTAACAATAAAAACATAATCCCAAAACTTTAGAATAAGAAGAAACCCTAATATAGTCTAAACTCTTAATATTAAAGCCAAAGGCTCAGAGAGGCAAAACAACAGTTTTTGTTGAAATCACGTTTTTTTGTTTGCTTTTAGAAGATAGAAACATGAAATGTTAATCTAGGTAAAAATCAAGTCAGATATATTTGTTCTTCAGTATATTTTGAGAATTTCAAAGCAAACAAAAATTGCATTTTATAAGGAGGCAATAGAAAATGTTTTCATGTAGTGACATGAATTTCAGAAGTGATGTTAATAGTTTCCATGGTAATACACAAGCAAACTCTTGTTTTCTTTAATAGTTGTAAATATTTAGGGTTTCAGTTTTCTTGGAAGTTCATATTAAGAGAGGTCTTAGTCATGTAATTGTGGATCCAATTTATTTTATCTGTAAACAGCAATACTTTAAAGGAATGTTACTCATTTGCTTGAAATCAAGGCTGAGTTTTTGCTCAAGGCTGAGCTTTACTTGTAAAACTCTTACCTTTTGATTTTTAAAAAAAAGTTAGTATCTAAAACTATACCAAAGACAACCTCAGGCTTAAATTTGTTTTTTGAAAAACACATAAACCCAGTTGTATTCATTATTTCATTATGGCACATTCATCCTTAGTGAACACTAGTATTACTCTTGTCTCTTTGTCCTTAATAATTGATTTATAAAAACTTCTTCAAAGCAATTTAAAGATACTCATGAGCAGAGCAGGACAGATACTGATGAGAAGGTTTAGTAAGGTTTTTTTCATCTCATTTGGGCTTAGGTTCAATCTATCTAAATTAAAATTTCCATCCAATTGTATTCCCATATTTGAGTGGGCTTTGTATAATGTGGGAGTATATGATAGCAACTGCTGAGCAATGTCTTCATGTCTGGATTGCTAGTTATGAAAGGTGTATTAGCTGTTAAAGAGCTCCGATTTGCTGTGAGAACCATCCATGACCCCAGTTCCTAGAGTGCCATACAGTCTCATTCAATCAGCCAGCCAGTCCTGTTTGAGGACCTGCTTTGCCAGGCAATGGGGATATAGAGTTTAGTTATAGCACCCCTGCCCACCAGAAGCTCACAGTCTTATAACTAAAATAGATACATGAAATAGATAATTGCAGTATAATATGAAATGGCCTATGTCTGAAGCATACCCAAATGTCATGGAAATATAGGATGGGCACCTAAACCAGGTGATGTCTGACATGATTCTTAAAAAACAAGTAGAAGTTAGTAACCTAACAAAGAAAAGAGAGAAAGCATTGAAAAATCACATTGTTTGAGGCCCAGAGAAGGTGAGACAGACACATTTAGGAAGTTACAAGAATTGTGGATGAGCATGTCTGGAATATATGAGAATTAGTAATGAAACTAGAGTAGGTAAAAGTAGCCTCATTGAAAATGTCTCATAACATGCTAAGAAATTTGGGTTTTATTCCAAAGGCAGTAAGAAACTTAAAAAATTCTAAACAGGTAGGTGCCATGCTCAGATTTTTATTTCAGAAAAATTACTTTAATGCATTGTAGAGGATGGATGAGGGTAGAGATAATCTTGCAGGCAAAATTAGGATTGAATTATCCAGAAATTTGATGTGTATAATCATTCATTCATATCCTGTCATAAAGAGTGAGGTCCCTAGCTTTTCCCTAAATAAACCGGTTTTAGTGAGCCTATGCTGAAGAAGATTGAGAGAAATTACTTTTGTTGCTGTTTCTTTCCCTTTTCTCAAAGTGTGTGCTGACAAAGGGAAATTCTATATCGTTGACACTTGCAAGCATTGTTAGATACTGGTGCCACTGGTTGGGGTGGCCAGAAGGCACCTTAGCATATTTGCTGCCGATACTAGTTACTCCAGGTTTGGCAAAATTCTGAAATTCATTTACTCACCAAATATGTAAGTGATGTTCTAAGCATTCTATTAATCCTTGCAAGAGATTCAAAGACGAAATAAATATAATACACATTGTTCCTATCAGTTGTTTAGATAGAAGTCATTTTCATTAGAAAATTTTATATAAAATCAAATTGCTGTTATAAGATATGTACAGATACTGTGGGAAGGGAAACTTTCATGGATGAAACATTTGAAGGATGGATGTTTGAATGCGCAAAAATGAGAAAAAGATATTTGGGCAGAGAAAACTACAGGAGATAGAAAACATATTGGTAACAGTGCATGATTTAGTTTGGTTGGAATTAAAGTAGTTAGGTTCTATTCATGAGGACTGAACTGAGAAATATGGGCTTTGTCCTATAGGCAGTCATAGAAAGTTTCTCAGAAAGGATACAATAATCAGAACACTTTGCTTTTAAATTTTTTCTCTGTCAATATTGTAAATCAAGTGTATTTCCAAGAGAAAAGACAAAAGTTGGAGAAAACAGTTACTACAGTAGTTTAAGCTCAAGACAAATCAATATCTGAAATAGGCAAGGGGTAATGGGAATAAAAATGTGAGTACAAGATTTATTAGAGCTGTAGAATATTGGATGTTGCTACTGATAAGATGTTGGAAATGAGATTTTTGACTGGTTGATTTGGGGGATGGTGATGCCATTCAGACTATCAATAGATTTAGCAAAGAAAATCATGATATCTAAACATCATTTTTATATCAGTTAATGCTATTTAGTTATGGTATATATGAGAGAACTGTGGGTTTAATTTCATATTTCTTTTTCGCTGTTGATATACTAAAGGTAAAACTTTCAGTTTGGGCTGAAAGGTCTATAATACTAATTATAATTAGTTAACCCAGCAGACAAACAGCCAAAAAACAAAGGTAGGTAGATCTTCTTGAATGGTTTGGTGAAATATTGGTGTGTGTTGTCTTTAAAGATACGATGTCACTAAGTGTGGCATCCAGCAAAAATGCTGTGCTCTTTTAGGATGTAAAAAAACATGAGCTGGTTTCTGTGCTGAATTTTAAACAATATTTTAAAGGAATTTTCAAATCTTTTTGTAAATTGAAGAGTCTTTCTGAACATACTTGGTTAACTACCATGTAATTTACCTATACACTGTACCTATATTCTTATACCTGATTTTTTTCTGTTTGATTGAAGTACAGCATATCTACTTACAGCATTGTTTTGTAGACTGAATTATGAATACAGGAAAGTTTTAATATCTTAGAAACCTAGAAGATAATATACATCATCCCTACCTGTTAATGCTATTCTGATAATCCAACTTATTTATCAGAAGTTTACAGTAATTTTTTAAATCTGTCTGTGCATTGGGCTATCAAATTCTGTTTAATGCAAATTTTTGATTTTGTTCTTAGCACACATTCAAATACTTTTGGTAGTATCTGCCAAATGGAATATTGAGCTGAATGGCTTATTTGCAGGGAGGGGTACAACTTACTCCAAGACAGGGTAAGATATATAGTGTAAGGTCACCATATGCCAAAGAAAATTCATATGTTTACTGGAATATATCCTGTAGTGCATTCAGCATAGTAAACAACCATATCCAAACACGTGGTAAAGTGACTGCTACAATAACTGGATGCTTTTATGCTTTCATAACTATTATTATTCCAGTCTAGAGATTTCATTGTAATTACTGCTGACTTCTGTAATGATGTTTTTTATCTTTTAACGCTTTCAAGTATGTCATAAAAAATTCTAATTTCCTATGAACACTGGAAGTTAAAAATTAGTGTTTATGGATACCATTGCCACTTTTGCCAAAACCTAACCAAAAATTGTAATGTCATTGTTGGGATTACAGTATCATGATATATATGTGATTGGGGCTAATCACCCCATAAGTACTTTGGCTACTATTTCCTTAATAGTAATATTTCCTCTGAACTGGGTTCTTTGAAGCTGTAGCTTTTTAAACTCTTAGTTTATAAAATAGCATAGTGACTGACTGTTGAGTATTACACTCATTATAGAACCTCTTTAAGTGTGGTTATTGTTTACCCCATATCTGTGTTTATGTAATGAGAAAGGCCTTTTTAAAATGTAAAACATTAGTGTAGAGGATTCAGATTTTTATCTATATTATACAGAAAGCAGTAAAGTGACAGTCATACTTCAAAAATATGTAGTGTTGCGTGTTCATCTCTAACCCTACCTTTGTGTGAAGGTCCTATGTATACTTGTTTTCCACTGTAATACAGTGAAATAAAACCAAAGTTCTTAGAGCATGGAAAAATGTGCTTATCTCAACATATTCTCTATCATGTCTCTTTCCTTGCCAGATTTTACTCATGACTGATGATAGTCAACTATGGTCATTCAGAGTCACCATATGTCAAAAATTTTCTTCTATTTTCCTCTTTATTTATTTATTCTTTCTAATAAAAAATATACAGAAATCTGTTGTTTGCTCATTTTCCAAATACCTCATATTTTATTCTGATTATGAAGTACTCAACAAGTGAAAAAAGTATTCACCTACCTAGATTTACAATATAATCTGACCACCTCTCAAATGTCTAGAAGTTGCCTAAAGCAGTTCTATTTCACCTAATGCTGTCTGTGTCACATGGGAAATTGTATTGTAGGCCATGTAAATACTTTCCAAGGAAACAAGAAGAGATTTCTAAATAACCAAAGTTGTCTTCATTATCCAACTTATATAAACAACAGGCTATTCATTATAAATATACTTATTTATAACTAGGCCAATCTCATTCTCCTCTGTTTTTTGCCAGTAATACATTCTCCTCTGCTGTTTTCCAGTAATGATAGACGATTTAGAGGTTTGACCACCATGTCTACAGACATTCATGCTTACCCAATCATTTTTGTGCTATAAGTTTCATGACAAGAGTGTTCTTGGATGAGTGTTCTTAGATATTATCCAGGACATTTTGGTTGAAGTAGATTAAGAATAAGGAAAGTGTGGTTTAAAACTCTGTTTCTTTTGTGCCTTATTTTCCAAAGTGTAGCCTAAAAAAGGTTTGGAATCATTTTGTATTTTGAAAAACTTTCTCTTTCAAAAAAGACTCTGTTGCCGTCATATTTTGTGAAGCATTTTAATATTTAATCTAGATTTTTTAAACAAATAATAAATCACAAGGATAATAGGATAATAACTTTATGACATACTTTTAGTAACTGAAAGGAGTTTAGATTAAAATCTTCTTTAAAGGCACATAATAAATAGGTGATATCGAGCCTACAAAATCACCTTAATACTTATCTATGATTATAGATATAGTTACTAGGTATGGTTATTTAGATATAGATGGGTACTTTTTTAACCAAATACAGTATTCACTGAATGTATCTATTAAACAGTTCTTCTTTTAGAGTCAGGGTCTTCTAATTTTCTAATACGTGGCTGAACAAATTTTATGGATGGCTGAACAAATTTTATGGAAGAGGCACTTAAAGGTGATTTTACATGTAAAGCTTAACACAGTCTGAGCATTATCTTTTATGTCTTTTATTTCTGATTTTCAAGGGAGAGAATCTCATTGGCTCAGCCTGCATCATATATCCACCATCACCCTCCCCTCCACCATCCTGTCAGTCATGGTTGTAGCAGGGTCATCTGATACCAACACGACAACCTAGGCTCACCCTTTCCTCAGGGTCAGTGGTTGGTGCTCTTCCAAACAAGAAAACAGCAGGTGGGCAGGCAGCCCAAACATGTCTGCTACAGCATTTCACCAGGATAGATTTGTATTGCTTTTGCTACTCTAAACACACTAAAAAAAGGAAAGATGTTCATAGTTGAAAAGGTTGTTTGATAAATATGGAAACACTCTCTGGCAACTGATTCAGGCCTCACAGATGTAGATATAGGTGCTGAGAATATATGAGTTGTTTGTTAGGTTCTTAGTATGTGTTATAAAAAATTTTCATTTTAAGTAGATCTTTACTGAAAATAAAAGTACTTTCAGTTTTTTAAAAAAGTACCATCAGAGTAATTATATTCTGAGAGAAAAGTCATTACTCTTCAGGAAAACTGCAATTGGGAATATTGAATAATTAGAAATGTTTGAGAAACTAATGCTGATGAAGTTCAAAGGTAATCTACCCATGATCATAAATTCTCTGCCCATTCTAGAAAACTTCAACTAAACAATGCCTACTGGAATGTTAATGTTGATTCTCTCTCCTTTCATTTTTCAGAACTTATTTACAGTTCTTTCTCTCATTATTAATGTCATACCCTTTTCTTTAAAAAAAAAGATGAAGCAGCAGCTGACTAGAAAATTTAAATTGTAAGATATGTAGTCCATCTCCACCATCTCCACTCTTTATAGAACCTCTTTAAGTGTAGTTATTGTTTACCCATATCTGTGTTTATGTAATGAGAGATGCTTTTGATGTAAGATCCTTTTATATCTTTGGCTAGTCATCTTCCTTTCTCTTTTCTACTTCATTTTCAAATTTAACTTTTTTTTTTCTCCTGGAGGTGCCTTACTTCATTTAGATAAAATACTCACATAAGCTGGAAGATGTTTAGTACTATCTTCTGGGAGTCACTTAGCTCTGTGAGTTTCCCTCAGACACTCAGGATTGCACACAAATAAATGTTTTCCTTAAACTTTCCTTCTCAGCTTTATTCGTGGTCACATTTCAGGAAGCATCAACATTCCATTCAGTGCTGCCTTCACTGCAGAAGGGGAGCTTACCCAGGGCCCTTACACTGCTATGCTCCAGAACTTCAAAGGGAAGGTCATTGTCATCGTGGGGCATGTGGCAAAACACACAGCTGAGGTAAGTATATTCAGAAATGTCATATGTACATATGATGAGTGATTTACCTGCCTTCTATATGAAGGTTATCTAAAAGTATATTTCTTCAGGAGTTGGTCACAAATACTATGAGCTTTGAAGATTTGTCTGTGTTCTTATATGGAAGAGTTTGTCTGCCTTTAATTGAAGCATTTTTCCTTCAGTGTTCAGCATCAGAATCAACAGTAACCTTAAAAAATCAAAATAGCCTAAGGCTGTTTTTTTCTAACTGCTTTCTGAAATTGTAAAGAAGTAGCTTGAATTCCCTCCACTGGAGAAAAACAGTAGTGTTCAAGTGTAGGCTCTGAGAGCTGGTCATGATGAGATTTGTTAGATTTAGAAATTGTGTTTACTAGAGACTCAAAGCTTTTTAATGATAGAGAATTCAGGGAGAATGTCAACTGTCAGACATGAGAAGTACATGAAACAATAAAATGGCTTCCTTCTTCCATGGCTATGTTCTAAGCAAATTGAAAAATAAAACAAAGAGTAGCATATGAAGGCCAAAAATATCTTTATTTTTTAATAAAAGACAAGTTGAAGACTGTAGCTTAGTATGAGAGCCAAATGGACTTACTTAAAAACAAGCAGCCAGAGAAGGTATCTAGATATAGGCAACGTTGAACGAGTACAGGATCTTTCTCTAAAAGGGAAGAATCTGCTCCTAGAAAAGTAGCAGAGGTAACTTGCTCCCTGCAGACAGCTTTTTTCTAAAAGGAAGATAAGCAGGACTGAGCCTTCCCAAATTTACCAATCAAATAAATCCTTCAACCTCCCAGGGCACAGAGAATAGAGGGACAAAGAGAAAGGCCAGGAATATGCTTAGGAAAATTCTGTCATCAGGGAAATCAGGAGTGGAGACAAAATATTTGCCTTGATTGTACATATTCCTTTGAGCACTCCTGAAATGTGGTCACTGAAAATTTCAGATTAGAACTTTAAAACTTTATTTTTTTTTTACTCTTAGTAATCAGAGAAATAACCTAAAATGTCTTTTATTATAAAAACTAATAACCACACTTTGTTGAACACTTGGAAAATATAGAGAGACCAAAAAAGGAAATAAAAAGTATGCATGATTTTACCACCTGGGAGGCAAAAAACACTTCTTGAATTTTTTTATTGGAAAATTATAATTCCTCCATTCAATTCAATTCTGATATTGGCTAAAGGTAACCCTCCCATCCCCACCTGCACATACCCCATACTGATACAAACTCAGAAAAAAGGAAACATGAAAATACTTTGCTCTTTTATTCCTAGAGCGAGTGTGTATGAAGTCCATGAAAACAACATGTAAGGGTTACATTTAGAGAACTATGCCATATGATTTCATAGTAAGGAACTAGGCTATTGATTTTTCCAAATTTGATGCCTTCACTATAATTTTTAAGTCTTTTAAGTTTTTGCTTTTCACAGAGCAAAATCGAGAGGAATAGAAATTTCCCATATACCACTACCCCACACATGCACAACCTTTCCCATTATCAGCCTCCCCCATCAGAGTGGTACATTTGTTACAACTAATGAACCTTCATTGACACATCATTATCATCCCAAGTCCACAGTTTACATCAGGGCTCACTCTTGGTGTTGTATATTATTTTTAATTTGTAATAAATTTTTATTAACTTTTATTTTAGGTTCAGGGATACATGTGCAGGTATGTTATATAGGTAAACATGTCATAGGCATTTGTTGTACAGGTTATTTTATCACCGAGGTACTAAGCCTAGTACCCAATAGTTATTTTTTCTGCTTCTCTTCCTCCTCCCACCCTCCAGCCTCAAGTAGGGCCCAGTGTCTGTTTTTTCCATCTTTGTTAGAAATTTAAAACTGTAAAAGTCAGATTAGAACTTTAAGACTATTGATCATAAACCATTTTAAGCATCCAACAATCCATGTCTCAGAAGTACAGGACTGATAGCAGCATTAACTTTTTGTTTGTTTGTTTGTTTGAGACGAGTCTCGCCCTTTCGCCCAGGCTGGAGTGCAGTGGTGCAATCTCAGCTCACTACAAGCTCCATCTCCCAGATTCACACCATTCTCCTGCCTCAGCCTCCCGAGTAGCTGGCACTACAGGCACCCACCACCACGCCCAGCTAATTTTTTCGTATTTTTAGTAGAGACGGGGTTTCACCATGTTAGACAGGGTGGTCTCAATCTCCTGACCTAGTGATCTGCCCGCCTCGGCCTCCCAAAGTGCTGGGATTACAGGCGTGAGCCTCCGCACCTGGCCAGGATTAACTTTTGACACTAAATGAAAGTCATTCTTAATGATGAAACTTAACTAACCATACTAAAGAAGTATGCAAGTGGATATTACTTCTAAGTTATAAATCACTCACCTATCTTTTATATAACTGTATCTACCATCCAACAGAGAACAATCTCAATACACCTATTTCAGAGAAAGTCAGAAAATAGTAACACACATGGTTTGGCTATTTGTCCCCTCCAAATCTCATGTTGAAATGTAATCTCCAATGTTGGAGGCTGGCCTGGTGGTGAGAGGTGACAGCATGCTGGCAGCCCTTGCAGCCCTCGCTCACTCTTGGCACCTCCTCGGCCTCAGCACCCACTCTGGCTGCACTTGAGGAGCCCTTCAGCTCGCCACTGCACTGTGGGAGCCCCTTCCTGGGATGGCCGAGGCTGGAGCCAGCTCCCTCAGCCTGCGGGGAGGTGTGGAGGAAGAGGCACAGGCGGGAACCGGGACTGCGCACATTGCTTGCAGGCCAGTTAGAGTTCCAGGTGGGCGTGGGCTTGACGGCCCCGCACTGGGAGCAGCCGGCCGGCTCTGGGCAGTGAGGGGCTTAGCACTCAGGCCAGCAGCTGCGGAGGGTGCGCCAGGTCCCCCAGCAGTGCTGGCCCACCAGCGCTGCACTTGATTTCTCACCGGGCCTTAGCTGCCTGCCCGCAGGGCAGGGCTCGGGACCTGCAGCCCACCATGCCTGAGCCTCCCCCCAACCCACCGTGGGCTCCTGCCCGGCCCAAGACTCCCCAACGAGTGCTGCCCCCTGCTTCACAGCACCTGGTCCCATCGACTGCCCAAGGGCTGAGGAGTGTGGGTGCACGGTGTGGGACTGGCAGGCAGCTCCACCTGCGGCCCCAGTGTGGGATCCACTGGGTGAAGCCAGCTGGGCTCCTGAGTCTAGTGGGGACTTGGAGAACCTTTATGTCTAGCTAAGGGATTGTAAATACACCAATCAGCACTCTGTATCTAGCTCAAGGTTTGTAAACATACCAGTCAGCACCCTGTGTCTAGCTCAGGGTTTGTGGATGCACCAATCAGCACTCTGTATCTAGCTAATCTGGTGGGGACTTGGAGAATCTTTATGTCTAGCTAAGGGATTGTGAATACACCAATCGGCACTCTGTATCTAGCTCAAGGTTTGTAAATGCACCAGTCAGCACTCTGTGTCTAGCTCAGGGTTTGTAAATACACCAATCAGCACTCTGTATCTAGCTAATCTAGTGGGGAGGTGGAGAACTTTTGTGTCTAGCTCAGGGATTGTAAATGCACTAATCAGCACCCTGTCAAAACAGACCAATCAGCTCTCTGTAAAACAGACCAATTAGCTCTCTGTAAAATGGACCAATCAGCAGGATGTGGTTGGGGCCAGATAAGAGAATAAAAGCAGGCTGCCCCAGCCAGCAGTGGCAACCTGCTCAGGTCCCCTTCCACACTGTGGAAGCTTTGTTCTTTTGCTCTTTGCAGTAAATCTTGCTACTGCTCATTCTTTGGGTCCACACTGCCTTTATGAGCTGTAACACTCACCACGAAGGTCTGCAGCTTCACTCCTGAACCCATCAAGACCACGAACCCACCGGGAGGAACGAACAACTCCAGATGTGCCGCCTTAAGAGCTGTAACACTCACTGCAAAGGTCTGCAGCTTCACTCATGAGCCAGCGAGACCACGAACCCACCAGAAGGAAGAAACTCCAAACACATCCGAATATCAGAAGGAACAAACTCTGGACGCGCTGCCTTTAAGAACTGTAACACTCACCACAAGGGTCCGTGGCTGCATTCTTGAAGTCAGTGAGACCAAGAACCCACCAGTTCCGGACACAGTGGGAGGTGTTTGGTCATGGGGGCAGATCCTTCGTGAATGGCTTGATGTCCTCTCCATGGTAATAAGTGAGTTCTCACTCTGTTAGTTCACATGAGAGCTCGTTGTTTAAAAGTCTGGCTCTTCCTCCTTTCTCTTGTTCCTGCTCATGCCATGTGACATGCTGGCTCCCTGTTACCTTCCACCATGATTGTAAGCTTTGTGAGGTTTCATCAGAGATAGATGTCAGCACCATGCTTTCTGTAAAACCTGCAAAACTGTGAGCCAGTTAACCATCTTTTTTTAATAGATTGCCCAGTCTCAGGTACTTCTTTATAGCAACACAAGAACAAACTAACACAGATAATTGGTACCAGGAGTGGGGTGTTGCTGTTAAATACCTGAAAATGTGGAAACAGCTTTGGAACTGGGTAATAGGCAGAGGTTGAAAGAGTTTGGAAGGCTCAGAAGAAGACAGGAAAATGAGTAAAAGTTTGAAACTTCTTAGAGACTGATTAAATAGTTATAACCAAAATGCTGATAGCTGTATGGACAATAAAGTCCAGGCTGATTAAGTCTTAGGTGGAAATGAGAGAGTTATTGGGACCTGGAGTTAAGATTACCCATGTTACACCCTGGCAAAGAACTTGACAACAGTGTGTTCATGTCATAGGGATCTGAGTTTAAACTTAATTATGATGACAAGATACCTGGCAGAAAAAAAAAATCTAAGCAGCAAAGCATTCAAGAAGTGGTATGGCTTCTTCTAACACCCTAAGTCATATATGGAAGCAAATAAAAGACTTAAAGTTATATTTAAAAGGGAAGCAGAGCATAAAAATTTGGAAAACTTGTAGCCCAGCCCTATGGTAGAAAAAATCCAAGCAGGCTACAGAGCAACCATTTGCTAGAGAGATTAGCGTGACTAAAAGGGAGCCAAGTGCTAATAGCCAAGACAATGGGTAAAAGGCCTTGAAGGCATTTCAGAGTTCTTAGGGACAGCCCTTGTCATCACAGGCCTAGAGGCCTAGGGAAGAAGAATGGTTTCAGTGGTCAGGCCCAGGACCCCACTTCCCTGCACAGCCTCAGGACAGTGCTCCCTGCATCGTGACCACTCAGGCTCCGGCCACAGCTTAACTGGGCCAAGGTAAAGCTCAGGCTGCCACCCTAGAGGGAGCAAGCCGTAATCCCTGGCAGCTTTCATGTGATGTTCAGCCTGCAGATGCACAGAATGCAAATGTGAAGGAAGCTTCGCAACTCCCACCTGGATTCCAGAGCACGTGTGGGGAAGTCTGGATACCCAGGCAGAAGCCTACTACAGGAGCAGAGCCCCCACAGAGAAACTATACTAGGGCAGTGCCAATGGGAAACGTAGAGTGGAGCCCCTGCAGAGTCCCCACCAGGGAACCGGCTAGTGGAGCTTTGGGAAGTGGGATGCCACCCTCCAGACCTGAGACTGGTAGAGCCATTGGAAGCTTGCAACCGCAGTATGGAAAAGCCATAGGTACTCAACTCCAACCTGTGACAGCAGCCATGAGGGCTGCACCTTGGAAAGCCACAGGGACAAACCTGTCCAAGGCCTTCATAGCCTACATCTCACACCATTCTGCCCAGGATGTAGGACATGTCAAAGGAGATTGTTTTGGAGCTTTAAGATTTAATGAGTGTCCTGCTGAGTTTCAGACTTGTGTGGGCGTATTGCCTCTCTTTTGGCCAATTTCTCCCTTTTCAAATGATAATGCATACCCAATATCTGTAGCACCATTGTATATTGGCAGTAAATAACTTGTTTTTGATCTCACAGGCTCATAGGATCAATGGACTCATCTCCAGATGATACGTGAGACTTGACACTTGGCACTTGAGACTTGAGTTAATGCTGAAGCAGGTTAAGAATTTGGTGGACTATTGCAGAGGCTTGGTTGTATTCTGATATGTGAGGAGGACATAAGACTTAGGGGATCAGAGGCAGAATGATGTGGTTTGGATGTTTGTCCCCTCCAAATCTCATTTCAAATGAGATAACATAATCCCTATGTTCAATGTGGAGCCTTTTAAGGAGGTGTTTGGATTATGGGGGAAGATCGCTCATGAATGGTTTGGTGCCCTCCCAGTGGTAATAAGTGAGTTCTTGCTCTGCTAATTCATGTGAGAGTTGTTATGAGAGTTGATGGTTTAAAGGAGCCTGGCTCCACCTCCTCTCTCTCTTGTTCCCACTCTGGCCATGTGACATGCTAACTCCCTGTTGCCTTCTGTCAGGATTGTAAGCTTCCTGAGGCCTCACCAGAAGATGTTGGTACCACACTTCCTGTAAAGCCTACAGAACCATGAGCCAATTAAACCTCTTTAATTTCTTCTATTAAAAAAAAAAAGGATACATGTACAGAACATGCAGGTTTGTTACATAGTTATATGTGTGCCATGGTGGTTTGCTGGACCTACTGACCTGTCCTCTAAGATCCCTTCCCTCGCCCACCAGCACCCAACAGCCATGGGGTGTATTGTTCCCCTCTCTGTGTCCATGTGTTCTCAATGTTCAACTCGCATTTGTGAGCGAGAACATGCGGTGTTTGGTTTTCTGCTCCTCTATTAGTTTGCTGAGGATGATGGCTTCCAGCTTCATCCATGTCCCTGCAAAGGACATGATGTCATTCCTTTTTATGGCTTCATAGTATTCCATGGTTTTCTTTATCCAGTTTTATTCCAGATTTTCTTTATCCAGTCTATCATTGATGGGCATAAATAGTGCTGCAATAAATATACATGAGTATGTGTCTTTATAATAGAATGATTTCTATTCCTTGGGTATATACCCAGTAGTGGGATTGCTGGGTCCAGATGGTTTTTCTGGTTCTAGATCCTTGAGGAATCACCATACTGTCTTCTACAATGGTTGAACTAATTTACATTCCTACCAACAGTGTAAGTGTTCCTATTTCTCCACACCTTCAGCAGCATCTATAGTTTCCTGACTTTTTAATAATCACCATTTTGACTGGCGTGAAATAGTATCTCATTGTGGTTTTGATTTGCTCTGATGACCAGTGATGTTGAGCTTTTTTTCATGTTTGTTGACTGTGTAAACGTCTTCTTTTGAGGAGGAGCTGTTCATATATGCTTTGCCTACTTTTTGATGGGATGGTTTGTTTTTTTCTTGTAAATATGTTTAAGTTCCTTGTAAATTCTGGATGTTAGACCTTCGTCAGATAGGTAGATTGCAAGAATTTTCTCCCATTCTGTAGTTGCCTGTTCACTCTGATGACAGTTTATTTTGCTGTGCAGGAGCTCTTCAGTTTAATTAGATCCCATTTGTCAATTTTGGCTTTTGTTACAATTGCTTTTGGCATTTTTGTCATGAAGTCTTTGCCCATGCCTATGTGTGAATGCTATTGCCTAGGTTTTCTTCTAGGGTTTGTATGGTTTTGGGTTTTACCTTTAAGTCTTTAATCCATCTTGAGTTAATTTTTGTATAAGACATAAGGTAGGGCTCCAGGCCAGTTCCAGTTTCCTGCATATGGCTAGCCAGTCTTCCCAGCACCATTTACTGAATAGGAGATCCTTTCCCCACTGCTCGTTTTTGTCAGGTTTGTTGAAGATCAGATGGTTGTAGACATGTGGTATTATTTCTGAGATCTCTGTTCTGCTCCATTGGTCTGTATGTTGGTCCTGCTCCGTTGGTCTATATGTACAAATACCATGCTGTTTTGGTCACTGTAGCCATGTAGTATAGTTTGAAGTCATCTAGCATGATGCCTCCAATTTTGTTCTTGTTTGCTTAGGATTGTCTTGCCTATATGGGGTCTTCTTTGATTTCATATGAAATTTAAAATAGTTTTTTCTAATTCTGTGAAGAATGTCACTGGTAGTGTGATGGGAATAGCACTGAATCTGTAACTTACTTTGGGCAGTATGGCCATTTTCATGATATTGATTCTTCCTATCCATGAGGATGGAATGTTTTTTCATTTGTTTGTGTCCTGTCTTATTTGCTTGAGCAGTGGTTTGTAGTTTTCCTTAAAGAGGCATTCACATCCCTTGTTAGCTGTATTCCTAGGTATTTTATTCTGTTTTAGTGATTTTCAATGGGAGTTCACTCATGATTTAGCTTTCTGCCTGCCTATTGTTGGTGTAAAGGAATGCTTGTGATTTTTGCACATTGATTTTTTATTCTGAGACTTTACTGAAGTTGCCTATCAGTTCAAGAAGTTTTGGGGCTGAGATGATGTGGTTTTATAAATATAAAATCATGTTATCTGCAAACAGAGACAACTTGACTTCCTCTCTTCCTATTTGAATACCCTTTATTTCTTTCTCTTGCCTGATTTCCCTGGCCAGAACTTCCTATACTGTGTTGAATAGGAGTGGTGAGAGAGGGCATCCTTGTATTGTACCAGTTTTTAAAGGGAATGCTTCCAGCTTTTGCCCATTCAATATGAAATTGGCTGTGAGTTTGTCATAAATAACTCTTATTATTTTGAGATATGTTCCATCAATACCGAGTTTATTGAGAGTTTTTAACATGAATGGATGCTGAATTTTATCAAAGGCCTTTTCTGCATCTGTTGACATAATCATGTGATTTTTGTCTTTGGTTTGGTTTATGTGATGGATTACATTTATCGATTTGCATCTGTTGAGCCAGCTTTACATCGCAGGGATGAAGCTGACTTGATCGTGATGGATAAGTTTTTTGATGTGCCACTGGATTGGGTTTGCCAGTATTTTATTGAGGATTTTCTCATCAATGTTCATCAGGGATATTGACATGAGATTTTCTTTGTTTGTTGTGTCTCTTCCCGGTTTTGATATCAGGATGATGCTGGCTTCATAAAATTAGTTAGGGAGGAGTCCCTCCTTTTCAGTTGTCTGGAATAGTTTCAGAAGGAATGGTACCAGCTCCTCTTTGTATTTCTGGTAGAATTCAGCTGTGAATCCATCTGGTCCTGGGCTTTTTTTGGTTGGTAGGCTATTAATTACTGCCTCAGTTTCAGAGCTTGTTATTGGTATATTCAGGGATTCAACTTCTTCCTGGTTTAGTCTTGGTAGGGTGTATGCATCCCAGAATGTATCCATTTCTTCTAGATTTTCTAGTTTCTTTGCATAGAGATGTTTATAGTATTCTCTGATGGTAGTTTGTATTTCCGTGGCATCAATGGTTATATCCTGTTTATCATTTTTATCCTGTCTATTTGATTCTTCTCTCTTTTTCTTCATTAGTCTAGTTAACAGTCTATTTTGTTAATTTTTTCAAAAAAAAGCTCCTGGATTGATTTTTTTGGAGGGTTTTTCATGTCTCTATCTCCTTCAATTCTTCTTTTAGTTATTTCTTGTCTTCTGCTAGCTTTTGGATAAGTTTGCTCTTGCCTCTTTTGCTCTTTTAATTGTGATGTTAGGGTGTCGATTTGAGATCTTTTTAGCTTTCTGATGTGGACATTTAGGGCTAAAACTTCCCTCTTAACAGTTCTTTAACTGTGTCTCAGGGATTCTGGTGCATTGTCTCTTTGTTCTCATTGATTTCAAGGAACTTGATTTCTGCCTTAATTTTGTTATTTACCCAGGAGTCATTAAGGAACAGGTTGTTCAATTTCCATGAAACTATGTGGTTTTGAGTGAGTTTCTTAATCCTGAGTTCTAATTTGATTGAACTGTGTTCTGAGAAACTGTTATGATTTCAGTTCTTTTGCATTTGCTGAGGAGTGTTTTACTTCCAATTATGTGGTTGAATTTTAGAATAAGTGCCATGTGGCACTGAGAAGAATGTATATTCTGTTGGAGTAGAGAGTTCTGTAGATGTTTACTAGGTTTACTTGAT
Organism: Homo sapiens; assembly: GCF_000001405.40. Lineage (NCBI taxonomy): Eukaryota > Metazoa > Chordata > Mammalia > Primates > Hominidae > Homo > Homo sapiens. The sequence goes on along the minus strand of NC_000004.12, from coordinate 106,085,597 downwards.
CCAGAGCTGAGTTCAAGTCCTGAATATCCTTAATTTTATGTCTCATTGATCTAATACTGACAGTGGGGTGTTGAAGTCTCCCACTGTTATCGTGTCAGAGTCTATGTCTCTTTGTAGGTCTGTAAGAACTTATTTTATGAATCTGGGTGCTCCTATATTGGGTGAATACATATTCAGAATATAGCTCTTCTTGCTGAATTGTTCCCTTTACCATTGTGTAATGCCCTTCTTTGTCTTTTATGATCTTTGTTGGTTTAAAGTCTGTTTTGTCAGCGACTAAGATTGCAACCCGTTTTGTTTTGTTTTGTTTTGTTTTGTTTTGTTTTTCTTTCCATTTGCTTGGTAAATTTTCCTCCATCCCTTTATTTTGAGCCTGTGTATGTCTGCACATAAAATGAGTCTCCTGAATACAGCACACCAATGGGTCTTGACTCCTTATCCAATTTGCCAGTCTGTGTCTTTTAATTGGGGCATTTAGCCCATTGACATTTAAGGGTAGTATTGTTATGTGTGAATTTGATCCTGTCATCATGATGCTATTTGGTTAATTTGCATACTAGTTGATGCAGTTTCTTCATAATGTCATTGGTCTTTATTTTTTGGTGTGTTTTTGCAGTGGCTGGCACTGGTTTTGTTTTGTTTTGTTTTTTCCATTTTTAGTGCTTCTTTCAGGAGCTCTTGCAGGACTGACCTGGTGGTAATGAAATTCCTCAGCATTTGCTTGTCTGTAAAGGATTTTATCTCTCCTCCGCTTATGAAGCTTAGTTTGGCTGGATATGAGATTCTGGGTTGAAAATTCTTTAAGAATGTTAAATATTAGCCCCCAGTCTCTTCTGGCTTGTAGAGTTTCTCCTGAGAAGTCCGCTGTTAGTCTGATGGGCTTCCCTTTGTAGGTTACCTGGCCTTTTTCCCTGGCTGCTCTTAACAGTTTTTCCTTCATTTCAACCTTGGAGAATCTAATGATTATGTGTCTTGGGGTTGATCTTCTCGTGGAGTATCTTAACGGTGGTGTTCTCTGTATTTCCTGATTTGCATGTTGGTCTGTTTTGCTAGGTTGGGGAAGTTCTCCTGGCTAATATCCTGAAGTGTGTTTTCCAGCTTGTTTCCATTTTCCCTGTCTCCTTCTGGTACTCCGGTCGATCATAGGTTCAGTCTTTTTATTAAGTCCCATATTTCTTGGAGGTTTTGTTCATTCCTTTTCATTCTTTTTTCTCTATACTTGTCTCTGTGTCTTATTTCAGTAAGGTGGTCTTCAAACTCCAATATCCTTTCTTCCATGTGGTCAGTTTGGCTGTTGATACTCATGTATTCTTCACAAAGTTCTCATGCTGTGTTTTCCAGCCCCTTCAGGTCGTTTATGTTCCTCTCTACACTAGTTATTCTAGTTAGCAATTCCTCTAACCTTTCATCAGTCTTCTTAGCTTCTTTGCATTGGGTTAGAACATGTTCCTTTACCTCGTCATAGTTTTTTATTACCCATCTTCTGGAGCCTTCTTCTGTCACTTTGTCCATTTGATCCTCCATCCAGTTCTGCACCTTGGAGAGACACTGCGATCATTTGGAGGAGAGGAGGCACTCTGGCTTTTGGGGTTTTCAGCATTTTTTTGTTGATTCTTTCCCATCTTCATGAGTTTGTCTAGTTTTGGTCTTTGAGGCTGCTGACCCTTGCATGGGGTTTTTATGGGGGTCTTTTTGTTGTTTTTGGTGCTGTTGTCACTTTGTACTTGTTTTTGTTTCAATAGTCAAGTCCCTCTTCTGTAGGGCTGCTGCAGTTTCCTGGGGGTTCACTTCCCTATTCATCTTATTTGCTCCTGTGCCTGGAGATGTCACTCAAGGAGGCTGGAGACCAGCAAAGATGGGTGCCTGCTCCATCTTCTGGGACCTCTGACCTTGAGGGGCACCAACCTGATGCCAGTAGGATCACTCCTGTATAAGGTGTCTGATAACCCCTGTTGGATGGTCTCACCCAGTTGGGTGGCACAGGGAGCAGGACCTGTTTAATGAAGTACTTTATTCCTTGTTCTAGAGGGTGTGTTTCACTGGGGGGAAACCCACTCGTCTGAGCTGCCTGGATTCCTCAGAACTACCAGGAGGAGAGGCTAAGTTGGCTGGTCTGCAGAGACTGAGGCCACCTCCCCGATCCCCCAGGGGCTCTGGCCCAGGGAGATCTGAATTCTGTCCCTGAGCCTCTGGCTGGAGTTATTGGAGATTGTTCAGGGAAGCCCCGCCCACTGAGGAAGGTGGGTCAGGGTTAGACCTGAAAAGGCACTTTGGCCGCAGACTGCCACAGCCGGTGTTTTGGGCTGTGGGGACAAGTCTTGGGACCAAGTGGTCCAGCCTCCCTTGCTCCAGCAGGGAAAAAGCCCAGCCTGGAGCTATACAAATGGGTGCCACGCTTCCCCTGCCCAGGGAGCTTAGAGTGTTAGGTAGTTGCTAGTCCCAGGGCTGGCTGCTGCCCCTTCCCCAAGGAGCTCAAATGGCTTAGACAGCAGGTAGCCGCAGCCAGTGCTGGTCGCCTCTCCCCGCAAGAGTTAGGTGGGCTTAAGCAGATTCCAGCTGAGAGGCTGTGAGAATCTGCACATTCTAGGGTTGGGACGCTAGGCCCTGGTGGAATGGGTTCGCAAGTGTATCTTCCAATCCATGGGTTGCACAGTTCAATTTGAAAAGCACAGTTTCCCCTGGCTGGGTAGTGTGCTCACTCACTGCCTCCCTTGGCTTGAGGGAAGTTCCCCTTCCCTGTGTGGATCACAGGTGGACCGCCACACCACACTGCTCTTCCTTCTCTCAGTCAGTCATGCCAGCCTTCTAGTCAATTTTGATGAGAGAACCTGGATACCTTGGTTGCCAGTGAAGGATTCACAGGCTTATTATGGTTTCTTTCCTATGCGAGCCTCGGAATGCTGCTGCTTCTAGTCAGCCATCTTGGCCCTGCCCCCTGAACTTCTTTTCTTTATAAATTACCCAGTCTCAAGTATTTTTATTTTTTTCTATTTTTTTTTCTATTTTTTTAAGTTGAAGTTCTAGAGGTACATGTACAGGTTTGTTAATAAATTTTATGTTGCTGATCCTTCGTGTACAAATGACCCCCTCATCCTGTGTAGTGAGCATAGTACCTGACAGGTAGCCCTAAAAACCATGTCTCTCTCCCCACCATTCTTCCTCAAGCAGTCTTTAATATCTATTATTCCCTTCTGTGTGTCCATGAGTACCCATTGTTTAGCTCCCACTTATAAGTGACAACATGTAGCGTTTGGTTTTCTGTTCCTGCATTAGTTCACTTAGGATAATGGCGTCCAGCTGCTTCCATGTTTCTGCAAAAGATATGACTTCATTCTTTCTGTGGCTGCATGGTATTCCATGGTATATATGTACTATTCAGTCCACTGTTGATGGGCATCTTTGTTGACTCCATGTCTTTGCTATTGTGAATAGTGCTACAATATATATCCACATGCATATGTATTTTTGGCAGAAGAATTTATTATCCTTTGGGTATATATCATATAGTAGGATTGCTAGGTCAAATGGTAGTTTTAAGTTCTCTGAGAAATCTCCACACTGCTTTTCACAATGACTGAACTGATTTACATTTCCACCAGCAGTGTATAAGTGCTCCCTTTTCTATGCAACCTCACCAGCATTTCTTGTGTTTTGACATTTTGGTAATAGCCATTTTGACTGATGTGAGATGGTATCTCATTGTGGTTTTGATTTGCATTTCACTGACGATTAGTGATGATGAGCATTTTTTCATATATTTGTTAGTGGCATATATTTCTTATTTTGAGATGTATTTGTTCATGTCTTTTGCCAGTTTTAAAACTGGGATATTTGTTTTTTGCTTTTTGATTTAAGTTTCTTATAGATTCTGGATACTAGACCTTTGTTGGAGGCATAGTTTGCAAATATATTCTCCCATTCTGTAGATTAAGTTCCAGGTTACATACAGGATGTGCAGGTTTGTTACACAGGTAAGTGTGTGCCATCGTTGTTTCCTGCATAGATCAATCCATCACCTAGGTATTAAGCCCAGCATCCATTAGCTATTCTTCCTGATGCTCTCCCTCCCCCAGCTCCCCCAACAGGCCCCAGTGTGTGTTGTTCCCCTCACCACCATGTGGCCGTGTGTTCCCATCGTTCAGCTCCCACTTGTAAGTGAGAACATATTTGGTTTTCTGTGCCTGCATTAGTTTGCTGAGGATAACAGCTTCCAACTCCTTCCATGTCCCTGCAAAGGACATGATCTCATTCCTTTTTATGGCTGCATAGTATTCCATGGTGTATATGTACTACCAGTCTATCATTGATGTGCATTAAGGTTGATTCCATGTCTTTGCTATTGTGAATAGTGCTGCAGTGAATATATATGCACATGTATCTTTATAACAGAATGATTTATATTCCTTTGGGCATATACCAAGTAATAGGATTGCTGGGTCAAATGGTATTTTTGCTTCTAGATCTTTGAGGAATCGCCATACTGATGGCAATTCCAGTTAGTTCCACAATGGTTCAACTAACTTACACTAACACCAATGTGTAAAAGTGTTCCTTTTTCTCTGCAACCTTGCCAGCATATGTTGTTTGACTTTTTAATAATCTCCATTCTGACTGGCATGAGATGGTATCTCATTGAGGTTTTAATTTGCATTTCTCTAATGATCAGTGATGTTGAGCTTTCTTCCTTACGTTCGTTGGCTGTGTGAATTTCTTCTTTTGAGAGGTATCTGTTCATGTTTTTTGTCCACTTTCTAATGGGTTTTTTTTTAATTGTGAATTTGTTTTAAGTTCCTTATAGTCTCTGGATATTAGACCTTTGTCAGATGGATAGATTGCAAAAATTTTCTTCCATTTTGTAGGTTGTCTGTACACTCTGATGATATTTAAATATTTGGTTGTGCAGAAGCTCTTCAGTTTAATTAGGTCCCATTTGTCAATTTTTGCTTTTGTTGCAATAGCTTTTGAGGAATTAGTCATAAATCCTTTCCTGGCCACTGCCCAGAATGGTATTGCCAAGGTTTTCTTCTAGGGTTTTGATTGCTTTCGGTCTTACATTTAAGTCTTTAATCCATCTGGAGTCAGTTTTTGTATATGGTAAAAGGAGGGGATCCAGTTTCAATCTTCTGCATTTGGCTAGAATGTCCCAGCACTATTTATTGAATAGAGAGTCCTTTCCCCATTATGTATTATAGTTGACTTTGTCAAAGATCAACTGGTTGTCAGTATCTGGCTTTCTTTCTGGTTTCTCTATCCTTTTCCATGAGTCTATGTCTGTTTCTGTACCAGTATCATGCTGTTTGGGTTACTATAGCCTTGTAGTATAATTTGAAGTCAGGAAGTGTGATGGCTCTTTGTTTTGCTTAGGATTACTTTGATGATTTGGACTTTTTTTTTTTTGGTTCATGCCAACTTTAGAATAGCTTTTTCTAATTCTGTCATAAATGACATTGGTAGTTTCACAGGAATAATGTTGAATCTGTAGATTGCTTTGGGCAGTATGGCCATTTTATCAATCTTAACTCTTCCCAATATGGTTTGAATTTGTGTTCCCAGCCAAATCTCATGTCGAATTGTTAGAGGAGGGGCCTGGTGGGAGGTGATTTGATCATGGAGGTGGATTTTCTGCTTGTTATTCTTGTGATAGTGAGTTCTTAGAAGATCTGGTTGTTTTAAAAGTGTGTAGCACCTCTCTCTTTGTTGTCTTCCTCCTGCTGCAGCCATGTACGATGCGCCTGCTTCCTCCTCACCTTCCATCATGATTGTACATTTCCTGAAGCTTCCTCAGCCATGCTTCCTGTATAGCCTGCAGAACTGTGAGCCAATGAAACTTTTTTTCTTTATGAATACCCAGTCTCAGGCAATTATTTATAACAATGCAAGAACAGACTAATACACTTCCTTTTCATGAGCATGGAACATTTTTCCATTTGTTTATATTGTCTATAATTTCTTTCACCAGTGTCTCATAACTCTCCTGGTAGAGATCTTTCACCTTCTTAGTTAGATATATTCCTAGATATTTTTGTTTGTGGCTATTGTAAATGGATTTATGTCCTTGATTTGCCTCTCAGCTTGAATGCTAATGATATATAGAAATGCTACTTATTTTTGTACATTTATTTTGTGTCCTGAAATTGCTTATTGGTTATAAAAGCCTATTGGCAGCATCTCTAGGGTTTTCTAGGTATACAATCATATCATCTGTGAAGAAAGATTATTTGACTTCCTCTTTTCCTATTCGATCTCTTTTCTTTCTTTCTCTTGCCTGATTGCCCTGGCTAAGACTTCCAGTGCTATGTTGAATACCAATGTTGAGAACAGGCATCCTTGTCTTGTTCCAGTTTTCAAGGAGAATGTGTCCAGCTTTTGCCTGTTTATTATGATATTGGCTGTGGGTTTGTCCTAAATGCCTCTTTTTATTTTGAGGTATGTTTTTTTGATGCCTAATTTGTTGAGGATGTTTAACATGAAGGGATGTTTAATTTTATTGAAGACCTTTTCTACATTTATTGAGACTTTCACATATATTAAAGACCTTTTCTGCATATACTGAGATGATCATGGTTTTTGTTTTTAATTTTGTTTATGTAGTGAATCATATTTATTTAGTTGCATATGTTAAGCCAACCTTGCATCCCAGGAATATGGCCTATTTAATCTTAGTGCATTAGTTTTTTGATGCACTGCTGGATTTGGTTTGCATGTATTTTGTTGAAGATTTTTGCATGTTCATCAGAGATATTGACCTGAAGTTTCCTTTTTTCATTGTATCTCTGCCAGATTTTGGTATGAGGATGATGCTGGCTTCATAGAATGAGCTGCAGAAGAATCTCCTCTCCTTGATTTTTTTTTTTTTGAATAGTTAGAATAGGACTGACATCAGCTCTTCTTTTTATGTCTGGGAGAATTTGGCTGTGAATCCATCTGGTTCAGGGCTTTTTTTGGTTGGTAGGCTTTTTATTACTGATTCAATATCAGAACTTGTTATAGGTCTGTTCCAAATTGTAATTTCTTCCTGGTTCAATCTTAGAAGGCTATGTGTTTCCAGGAATTTATCAATGTCTTCTAGATTTCCTAATTGTGTGCATAGAGGTGTTCATAATATTCTCTGGTGAACTTTTGTATTTTTGTAGGGTTGGTTGAAATGTCACCTTTGTCACTTCAGATTGGGTTTATTTGGATCTTCTTTTTTCTTTATTAATCTAATTAATTAGCAGTTTCAATCTTGTTTCATCTTTTGAAGAACCAACTTTTGGGGGCATTGATACTTTGTCTGGATTTTCGCATCTCAGTTTTATTCAGTTCAGCTCTGATTTTGGTTATTTCTTTTCTTCTGCTAGCTTTGGGTTTGGTTTGTTCCTATTTTTATAGTTCCTCGAGGTATAATGCAAGATTGTTAATTTGAGAGCTTTCTAACTTCTTCACGTAGGAGTTTAGTGCTATGAATCTTCCTCTTAATGCAACTGTAACTGTGTCCCAAACTGGTATGTTGTGTCTGTTTTCATTCATTTCAAATAATGTTTTGATTTCTGCCTTAATTTTGTTATTTACCCAAAAGTCATTCAAGAGTAGGTTAACATGTAATTGTATGGTTTTAATAGATCTTAGTATTGATTGCTGTTTTTACTATGCTGTGGTCTGAGAATGTGTTTGGTATGATTTCAATTTTTTTAATTTGTTGAAACTTTCTTTATGGTTTAGCATGTCATTGATCTTAAAGTATGTGCCATGTGCAGATGAGAAGAATATGTATTCTGTTGTTGGATGGAGTGTTCTGTAGTGTCTATTAGGTCTAATTGGTCAAGTATTGAGTTTAAGTCCAGAAAATATTTGTTAGTTTTCTGCCTTGATGATGTAACACTGTCAAGGTGGTGTTGAAATCTCCCATTGTTATCGTGTGTTTGTCTGTATTTCCTCATAGATCTCTAAGAACCTTTTTTATGGATCTGGGAACTCTAATTTTGGGTATGTATATATTTAGAATAGTTAAGTCTTCTTGATGGATTGAGCCCCTTATTATTATGTAATATTTTTCTTTGTTCGATTGTTGTTGCTTTAATGTTTGTTTGTCTGGTATAAGAATAGCAACCCCTGCTGTTTCTGTTTTCTATTTACCTAATCAATCTTTCTCCATTCCTTTACTTTAAGCCTATTGCTGTTACTTCTGAGATGGATCTCTTGAAGACAGCAAACATTTGGGTCTTGCTTCTTTATCCGCCTTGACACTCTATACCATTTAATCGAGGCATTTAGCCTGTTTACATTCATGGTCGATATTGCTATGTGAGGATTTGGTCTTATCATCACGCTTTTAGCTGGTTGTTATGTAGACTTAATTGTATAGTTGCATTATAGTGTCAATGGGGTATGTTCTTAAGTGTGTTTTTATGGTGACAAATATTGCTCTTTCATTTCCATGTTTAGCACTTCCTTTAGGAGCTCTTGTAAAACAGGTCTACTGCTATCAGATTCCCGTAGCTTTTTTGTTTTTTTAAGGTACACTCTTGCTCTATCTATCTCCCCAGCTGGAGTGCAGTAGTACAATCTCAGCTCACTGCAACCTCTGCATCCTGGGCTCAAATGATCCCACCTCAGTCTCTTAAGTAGCTGGGACTACAGGTGCATGTCACCACACCTGGGTAATTTTGTATTTTTTTGTAGGGATAGGGTCTCTCTTTGCTTCCCAGGCTTGTTTCAAACTCCTGGGGCTCAAGCAATCTGCCCACCTCAGCCTCCCAAAATGCTAGGATTATAAGCATGAGCCACTGCAGTCAGCCTCCCTTAGCTTTTGCTTGTCTGGAAAGAATTGCGTTCTCTTTTGCTTATGAAGCTTAGTTGGTGGGCTATAAAATTATTGCTTGGGATTTCTTTTATTTAAAGATATTGAAAATAGGCTCCCAGTCTCTTCTGGCTTGTAAAGTTTCTGCGGAAAGGTCTACTGAGCCTGACAGAGTTCCCTTTGTAAGTGACCCGCCGCTTCTCTCTAGTTACCTATACGATTTTTTCTTTCACATCTACCTTGGAGAATCTGATGACTGTGTGTCTTGGGGATGGTTGTCTTACATAGTATCTCACAAGGGTTCTCTGCATTTCTTGAATTTACATGACAACCTCTCACTAAAGCCATAGTGTCTATATTATTTTGATGTAAGTTGTTAAATTATTATTTTTTACTGCTACCACAATACTGCTGCTGTTGCTGCTGCTACATTAATTTATGTTGCTATGTCATTCCAGTGAAAAATCTCAACTTTCAATTATAGTGCAGATACACTATGTAAAATCACATGTTTAGGTTCCAAGTAATATATGGCCTAAAGAAATCCCAAAAATGGTAATAATCCCAGTCATGGATGCCATACACTTCTAACCTGCAGCATCCCCACTCAAGAACTGCCTGCCTATGGTGCCTCCCACTGGAGCACTTCCTACCCACAGCACCTGAGCTGCCACTGCCAGGGCACCTACCTATGGCCCCCTGCCATCCTCTACAGAGCTATTGTTTTATACATCTTACACATTAGAAAACTTAGACTCAAAGTTAATCTCATTTGCCTGTGTCAGAGCCAGGATTGAAACACCAGTCTGTATGACTCTATAAATCACACCCTTAACTCAGTGAGCTCCGAAGGCTTTTGAGTGTGAATGCTGCCACATATCCTGTTTTCTAAAACAGGCTTATTCTGACTTTCACAGATCACAGTGTTCTCCCAGTGTGTGAAAGCAAGACCTGAAATAAACTTTTATGCTGTATGTGCTAACATGCTTAGGGCTCTATTTTCATAAAACATTAACAATTTTAAAGATGATATCTAATAAACAGACCTTGTATAATTATCTTTTTAAGATTGCCAAATGTTTTCTAATATCTTACTCATTGTACTAAACCCTAGGCTTCTGTTCATTTTAATTTTACCATAAAGGTAAAAACATATATATAAGTCAATAGGTAACTCATTTCTTTCATTAAATAATCAATTAAATACGTCATCTATGATGTACAAGGCATTGTATAGAACACTATATTGCCAATCAAAGTGCTAGTAAAAATAAAAGTTTAAAATGTGAAGGCAATCTCGAAGCATGACTATTCAGATTATTTATTGCTACTAGTATCATATATTTTTATTAAAGAGCCATCACATTCCAAATAAGTCAGTCAATATCATACTTATCAGAAACCAGATGCTATGATAAATAATTCTTTCTTCTTCACGTCCTCCATACTCAGGCATACTTATAGACAATTACTGAACAAATTATATGCTCAGCTAGTATGCTTCAATCCAACATTAGGAAATCGTTTCAAGAAACTGTTTTAAACATTTTTATAGCAATGTATCTTTAATACTTTTCTCAGCATGGGGCAGAAGAGAACTTTACATATTTACTTGCATGTACTTTACATCTTTTTGTCTGCTGTACAGATCTGTAGGCCTATTGTTTTTCCTTCCCACTAATTTTGAAGTGTCTCAGTTTAAAGCATATTTGTTGGAATTATATTATGTATCCATGGTTGTCCTGGATACCTTTTCTTTGCCCCACCTCCCATCATAGATCTATTCTCCATCCTTTTTTACCTTATTCACCCCAGGAAGCTAACTTCCATGTCTCCTGGCTTCCAGTTGTTAACCAGTCGGGAGCTCTGGCAAGCTATAGGAGAGAATGGGGACAGAATATTTCTCCTGCTGTGCCCTTCCCTCCAGAATTATGTCAGGTTGGCTTGTCCCTCTGTTGAAGGGTAACACTTCTCTCCAGGAAGCCTTCTCTCCACAACACATTTACCAACAACTGGTCCCTCTGGCTGTAGGGATGGCAACAGCTCTGCTTTTGCTAGCCCCAGGTAACTGCACTATCTCTTATGATTCTCTTATATAGCACCTGTACCTTCATAATTAATGTCTTTATAAGTGAGCCCCCCTCAGTTTATTCTTAGGGCTAATTTGTACCTGGACTGTTATTTGGATAAGGGTAGTATCTAAATACATGAATCTTTTAGTCAACCTACATTGGTTTCTGTGTTCTATTTCTTACCAGCTGTGTTAATTTGCACAAATTATTTATTCTAAGTCATCATAAAAGGGGCTAAAAATACCTACCTCACAGAATTCTTGTGAAGATTTTAGATTAGGCATATATGGTTCATCACAGAGCCTGATACTAGTGAGCACTCAGTTAACATCAACTATTAATTTTGTTTTCTAGTACTTATTTACATACATGTAAATTTAATAAATACTATTTTATCTTATGTATGATGATAATAAAAAAGTTCTAGAATTTGAGCCAATCTTCCATTCCTTCATAGAAAGTTTTTTTAAAAAGTAGAAAATGTACTATGTTGGAGGTCTGTTCCAAGATGGCTGAATAGGAACAGCTCTGGTCTGCAGCTCCCAGTGTGATCAATGAAGAAGACAGGTGATTTCTGCATTTCCAGCTGAGGTACCTGGTTCATCTCATTGGGACTGCTTGGACAGTGGGTGCAGCCCATGGGCAAGCTGAAGCAGGGCAGGGCATTGCCTCACCTGGGAAACGCAGGGGGTTGGGGGATTTCCCTTTCCTAGCCAAGGGAAGCCATGACAGACCGTACCAGGAAAATTGGGACATTCCAGCTTAATACTGCACTTTTCCAATGGTCTTAGCAAACGGCACTCCAGGAGATTATATCCTGTGCCTGGCTCAGTGGGTCCCATGCCCATGGAACCTTGCTCACTGCTGGCACAGCAGTCTGAGATCGAACTGTGAGGCGGCAGCCTAGCTGGGGGAAGAGTGTCCACCATTGCTAAGACTTGAGTGGGTAAACAAAGCAGCCAGGAAGCTCAAACTGGGTGGAGCCCACCGCAGCTCAATGAGGCCTACGTGCCTCTGTAGACTCCAGCTCTGGGGCAGGGCACAGCTGAACAAAAGGCATCAGAAACTTCTGCAGACTTAAACGTCCCAGTCTGACAGCTCTGAAGAGAGCAGTCGTTCTCCCAGCATGGTATTTGAGCTCTGAGAATGGAAAAACTGCCTCAAGTGGGTCCCTGACACCCGTGCAGCCTAACTGGGAGATACCTCCCAGTAGGGGCTGACTGACACCTCATACACCCAGGTGCCCCTCTGATACGAAGCTTCCAGAGTAAGGATCAGGCAGCAGTATTTGCTGTTCTGCAGTATTTGCTGTTCTTCAGCCTCCGCTGGTGATACCCAGGCAAACAGGGTCTGGAGTGGAACTCTGGCAAACTCCAACAGACCTGCAGCTGAGGGACCTGTTAGAAGGAAGACTAACAAACAGAAAGGAATAGCATCAACATCAACAAAAAGGGCATCCACACCAAAACCCCATCTGTAGGTCACCATCATCAAAGACCAAAGATAGATAAAACCACAAAGATAGGGAGAAACCAGAGCAGAAAAGCTGAAAATTCTAAAAACCAGAGCACCTCTCCTCCTGCAAAAGATTACAGCTTCTTGCCAGCAACAGAACAAAGGTGGACGGAGAATGACTTTGACAAGTTGACAGAAGTAGCCTTCAGAAGGTCAATAATAACAAACTTCTCCAAGCTAAAGGAGGATGTTCGAACCCATCGCAAGGAAGCTAAAATCCTTGAAAAAGGATTAGACGAATGGCTAACTAGAATAAACAGTGTAGAGAAGACCTTAAGTGACCTGATGGAGCTGAAAACCATGGCACGAGAGCTATGTGACACATGCACAAGCTTCAGTAGCTGATTCGATCAAGTGGAAAGAAGCGTATCAGTGATTGAAGATCAAATTAATGAAATGAAGAGAGAAGAGAAGTTTAGAGAAAAAAGAATAAAAAGAAACGAACAAAGCCTCCAAGAAATATGGGACTCTGTGAAAAGACCAAATCTCTGTTTGATTGGTGTACTTGAAAGTGACAGGGAGAATGGAACCAAGCTGGAAAACACTCTTCAGGCTATTATCCAGGAGAACTTCCCCAACCTAGCAAGGCAGGCCAACATTCAAATTCAGAAGATACAGAGAACACTACAAACATACTCCTTGAGAAGAGCAACCCCAACACACATAATTTTCGGATTAACCAAGGTTAAAATGAAGGAAAAAATGTTAACAGGCACCAGAGAGAAAGATTGGGTTACCCACAAAGGGAAGCCCATCAAACTAACAGCAGATCTCTCGGCAGACACTCTACCAGCCAGAAGAGAGTAGGGGCCAATATTCAACATTCTCAAAGAAAAGAATTTTCAACCCAGAATTTCATATCCAGCCAAACTAAGTTTCATAAGTGAAGGAGAAATAAAATCCTTTACAGACAAGCAAATGCTGAGAGATTTTGTCGCCAACAGGCCTACCTTACAAGAGCCCCTAAAGGAAGCACTAAACATGGAAAGGAACAACCAGTACCAGCCACTGCAAAAACATGCCAAATTGTAAAGACTATCGATGCTAGGAAGAAACTGCATCAAATAATGGGCAAAATAACCAGCTAGCGTCATAATGACAGGATCAAATTCACACATAACAATATTAATCTTAAATGTAAATGGGCTAAATGCCCTAATTAAAAGACACAGACTGGCAAATTGGATAAAGAGTCAATACCCATCACTGCTGCATTCAGGAGACCCATGTCACGTGCAGAGACACACATAGGCTCAAAATAAAGGGAAGGAGGAAGATCTACCAAGCAAATGGAAAGCAAAAAAAGGAAGGGGTTGCAATCCTAGTCTCTGATAAAACAGACTTTAAACCAACAAAGATCAAAAGAGACAATTAAGGCCATTACATAATAGTAAAGGGATCAATTCAGCAAGAAGAGCTAACTATCCTAAATATATATGGACCCTATACAGGAGCACCCAGATTCATAAAGCAAGTCCTAGAGACCTACAAAGAGACTTAGACTCCCACACAATAATAATGGGAGACTTCAACATCCCACTGTCAGTATGAGACAGATCAACAAGACAGAAGGTTAACAAGGATATCCAGGACTTGAACTCACCTCTGCACCAAGCACACCTAATAGACATCTACAGAACTCTTCAGCCCAAATCAACAGAATATACATTCTTCTTGGCACCACATTGCCTTTATTCCAAAATTGACCACATAGTTGGGAGTAAAGCACTCCTCAGCAAATGCAAAAGAACAGAAATTATAATAAACTGTCTCTCAGACCACAGTGCAATCAAACTAGAACTCAGGATTAAGAAATTCACTCAAAACCACACAACTACATGGAAACTGAACAACCTGCTCCTGAATGACTACTGGGTAAATAATGAAATGAAGGCAGAAATAAAGGTGTTCTTTGAAACCAATGAGAACAAAGACGCAACATACCAAAACCTCTGGGACACATTTAAAGCAGTGTGTAGAAGGACATTTATAGCACTAAATGCCCACAAGAGAAAGCAGGAAAGATCTAAAATCGACACCCTAACATCACAATTAGAAGAACTAGAGAAGCAAGAGCAAACAAATTCAAAAGCTAGCAGAAGGCAAGAAATAATTAAGATTAGAGCAGAACTGAAGGAGATAGAGAAACAAAAAACCTTTCAAAAAATCACTGAATCCAAGAGCTGGTTTGTTGAAAAGGTCAACAAAATAGATAGACCACTAGCAAGACTAATAAAAGGGATATCACCACCGATCCCACAGAAATACAAACTACCATCAGAAAATACTATAAACACCTCTACACAAATAAACTAGAAAATCTAGAAGAAATGGATAAATTCCTGGACACATACATCCTCCCAAGACTAAACCAGGAAGAACTTGAATCCCTGAACAGACCAATAACAGGCTCTGAAATTGAGGCAATAATTAATAGCCTACCAACCAAAAAAAGTCGAGGACCAGATGGATTCACAGCCCAATTCTACCAGAATTACAAAGACGAGCGGGTACCATTCCTTCTGAAACTATTCCAATCAATAGAAAAAGGGGGAATCCTCCCTAACTCATTTTACGAGGCCAGCATCATCCTGATACCAAAGCCTGGCAGAGACACACACACAAAAAAGAGAATTTTAGACCAATATCCATGATGAACACCCATGCGAAAATCCTCAATAAAATACTGGCAAACTGAATCCAGCAGCATATCAAAAAGCTTATCCACCAAGATCAAGTCGGCTTCATCCCTGCAATGGAAGGCTGGCTCAACATACACAAATCAATAAACGTAATCCATCACATAAATAGAACCAAAGACAAAAACCACATGATTATCTCAATAGATGCAGAGAACACCTTTGACAAAATTCAACAGCCCTTCATGCTAAAAGCTCTCAGTAAACTAGGTATTGATGGAACGTATCTCAAAATAATAAGAGCTATTTATGACAAACCCACAGCCAATATCATACTGAATGGGCTAAAACTGGAAGCCTTCCCTTTGAAAACTGGCACAAGACAGGGATGCCCTCTCTCACCACTCCTATTCAACATAGTGTTGGAAGTTCTGGCCAGGGCAATCAGGCAGGAGAAAGAAATAAAGGGTATTCAATTAGGAAAAGAGGAAGTCAAATTGTCCCTGTTTGCAGATGACATGAATGTATATTTAGAAAACCCCATCGTCTCAGCCCAAAATCTCCTTAAGCTGATAAGCAACTTCAGCAAAGTCTCAGGATACAAAATCAATGTGCAAAAATCACAAGCATTCCTTCACACCAGTAACAGACAAACAACCAAATCATGAGTGAACTCCCATTCACAACTGCTACAAAGAGAATGAAATACCTAGGAATCCAACTTACAAGAGATGTGAAGGACCTCTTCAAGGAGAACTACAAACCACTGCTCAACAAAATAAAAGAGGACACAAACAAATGAAAGAACATTCCATGCTCATGGATAGGAAGAATCCATATCGTGAAAATGGCCATACTGCCCAGGGTAATTTATAGATTCAATGCCATCCCCATCAAACTACCAATGACTTTCTTCACAGAATGGAAAAAACTACTTTAAAGTTCATATGGAACCAAAAAACAGTTGGCATTGTCAAGACAATTCTAAGCCAAAAGAACAAAGCTGGAGGCATCATGCTACCTGACTTCAAACTATACTACAAGGCTACAGTAACCAAAACATCATGGTACTGGTACCAAAACAGAGATATAGACTAACAGAACAGAACAGAGGCCTCAGAAATAACACCACACATCTACAACCCTCTGATCTTTGATAGACCTGACAAAAACAAGAAATGGGGAAAGGATTCCCTATTTAATAAATGATGCTGGGAAAACTGGCTAGCCATATGTAGAAAGCTTAAACTGGATCCCTTCCTTACACCTTATACAAAAATTAATTCCAGATGGATGAAAGACTTAAATATTAGACCTAAAACCATAAAAACCCTAGAAGAAAACCTGGGCAATACCATTCAGGACATAGGCATGGGCAAGGACTTCATGTCTAAAACACCAAAAGCAATGGCAACAAAAGCCAAAATTGACAAATGAGATCTAATTAAACTAAAGAGCTTCTGCACAGCAAAAGAAACTACCATCAGAGTGAACAGGCAACCTATAGAATGGGAGAAAATTTTTGCAATCTACTCATCTGACAAAGGGCTAATATCCGGAATCTATAAAGAACTTAAACAAATTTACAAGAAAAAATCAAACAACCCCATCAAAAAGTGGGCGAAGGACATGAACAGACACTTCTCAAAAGAAGACATTTATGCAGCCAACAGACACGTGAAAAAATGCTCATGATCACTGGTCATCAGAAATGCAAATCAAAACCACAATGAGATACCATCTCACACCAGTTAGAATGGCGATCATTAAAAAGTCAGAAAGCAACAGGTGCTGGAGAGGACGTGGAGAAATAGGAACACTTTTACACTGTTGGGGGTGTAAACTAGTTCAACCATTGTGGAAGACAGTGTGGCGATTCCTCAAGGATCTAGAACCAGAAATACCATTTGACCCAGTGATCCCATTACTGGGTATATAGCCAAAGGATTATAAATCATGCTACTATAAAGATGCATGCACACGTATGTTTATTGTGGCACTATTCACAATAGCAAAGACTTGGAACCAACCCAAATATCCATCAATGATAGACTGGATTAAGAAAATGTGGCACATATACACCATGAAATATTATGCAGCCATAAAAAAGGATGAGTTCATGTCTTCTCTAGGGACATAGATGAAGCTGGAAATCATTCTGAGCAAACTATCACAAGGACTGCAAACCAAACACCACATGTTCTCACTCATAGGTGGGAATTGAACAATGAGAACACTTGGACACAGGGCAGGGAGCACCACACACTGGGGCCTGGTGTGGGGTGGGGGGATGGGGGAGGGATAGCATTAGGAGAAATACCTAATGTAAATGACCAGTTAATGAGTACAGCAAACCAACTTGTCATGTGTATACATATGTAACAAACCTGCACGTTGTGCACATGTACCCTAGAACTTAAACTATAATAAAAAATAAAAAATAAAATAAAAAGAAATTGAATATCTAAATAGATAGACATCCCATGTTCATGTGTTGGAATAATTGTTTTGATGACAATACTACCCAAAACAATGTGTAACTTCCATGCAGTACCTATAAAAATCCCAATTGCATTTTTTAATTAAAAAAATCCATACTAAAATTCATATTAAATTTCTAGGGACCCATAATACCCAAAACAATCTTGAAAAAGAACAAAGTCAGAGGACTCATACTTCTTGATTTGAGAATTTACTACAAAGCTATAGTAATCAAAACGATACAGGCATAATGATAGACATATAGACCAATGGAATTAAATTGAGAGCCCAGAAATAAACCCTCACGTCTATGGAAAATTGATATTTGACAAAGGTGCCAAGACCATTTAGTGAGAAAAGATAGATTATTCAACAAATGGTGCTGGGAAAACTGAATATCCACACGCAAAAAATGAAATTGGACCCTTACATTAAACCATATATAAAATTTAACTCAAAATGGACCAAAGACTAAATTTACAATCTACAACTATAAAACTCTTAGAGGAAAATGTGGAGATAAATCTTCATAACCTTGGATTTGACAGTGGTTTCTTACATATGACACCAAGAGCACAGACAACAAACAGTAAGTTGGACTTCTAAAAGTAAGAATTTGTGCTTCAAAGGACACTTTGAAGAGAGTGAAAAGACAACCCATAAAATGGGAGAAAATATTTGTAAATCATATGCCTGATAAGGACTTAATACCAGAATACAAAATCAATATGCAAAAATCAGTTGTATTTCTATTCACTAACAACTCCTACAGCTCAACAACAGACAACGATATTAAGAAATGGGCAAAAGACTTGAGTAGACATTTCTCTGAGGAAGATATACAAATGGCCAATAAGCACATGGAAAAGATAATCAGTATCATTAGTCATTAGGGAAATAAAAATTAAAACCACAGTGAGATAGCTCTTCACACCCAAGTGTTGGCAAGGATGAGGAGAAATTAGAACCCTGGTGCATTAATAGTGGGATTGTAAAATGATGTAGCTTCTATAGAAAATATTTTGGCACTTGCTTGAAAAAGTAAATATGGAATTGCCATATGAGTCAGTAATTTGACTGCTAGATGCTTACCAAAAAGAATTGAAAACAGGGACTCAAACAGATATTGTACACCAATGTTCATTGTAGCATTATTGACAAGTCAAAGGTGGAAACAACCCAAGTGTCTATCAACAGATAAATTAATAAACAAAAGGTAGTATATACAGTGTAATGTTCAGCCATAAAAAGACACGAAGTTCTGATATTTGATGCAGAGTGAATGAACCATGTAAATATTATGCTAAGTATAATCCACATATAAAAAGGACAAATATTGTATAATTTCATTTATATAAAATATCAACAATCAGCAAATTCATGGAGACAGGAAGTAGATTAGTGGTACCACGGGCTGGGGGAGGGAGGAATGGAAATTAATGCTTAATGAGTCCAAAGTTTCTCTGAGATGATGAAAAAAATTGGAAATAACTAGTGGTGATGGTTGTACAGTATTGCAAGCGTACTTAAAACCACTGAATTCTACACTTAAAAATGGTTAAAAGGAAAAATTTTATGTTATATATGTTTTACCTCAATTTTTTCAAATAAGGTATAGAATTTAATGTGTTCAGGCTACCCTAATATCACCCGCTTATCTGAGCCCTACACTTTCTGATCAGTAGTAGTGAAGAAGTTTTCATAAGAGTTGTTCTGATGAGGTCTTTTTTAACCTCTGAAGGTATTTTGGGTTTTTTTTTAAGTGAATCTTCGGAAACTAACAGCTTTTCTTCTAAGTGAAAATCAGTGTGCTGCAGCTGGCAGCTGACAGCATTAAAATCATCCATTTGACATACAAATTAGTACTGGAGTGTCTTTTGTCATACAGATATGCAGAAATTACTATACAGTGACCAGATGTATTGGATATATTATCTAAACTCACATAGAAGACAGAATGGATCTGAGAAATACAGCTTATTCATGTGCCTGAATAAGTATTATATAATCAGAAGCCATGTGATACCATTTTAATATGTATTCATTAACTATTTCCTGTAATTACAATTGATTAGCGGTTTATTGCTATAAGATGGTTTCTTTACAATTACCACTTCCCCTTTTGTATTTGTATTTGGCCCTGCTTCCACATTAAATACATCAGAAAACCTTTGGAATCTGCCATTTTTTATCTAGATAAAACATTGCTTTTCACCAGAACAGAGTAAAGAAGGACTGCAAAGATCTTAGTTTACTTAAGGTACCATGTAGAGGCTTCTCTAGGCCAGAATTTAGTCTTGCTAAATCCCACTTGTCAGTTATTCCTTAATTCACTTTATCTTAAAGGTTAAATAAAGCAATGAGCTATAGTGTATAGTATAATCAAGTATAGTCAAATATGCTGTAAGCAAAGCTATATTACTAAGTCTTAAGAAAAATCAGATAATCTCTAATGAGTGAAGTGGAGTCCTAGATCTCTGAAATGTATGGTACTGTTCACAGGGTAGACCCGTTTTTGTGCTAATCCTTGTTGCTGTATGGATGAGTTTAATTTGACAAGCCAAACAAATGTCGACTGCATCTATTGGTAGGAAGACCTTTGTATCAAAACAAGCATGAAGTCAATTCAAGCCTTTATTGTGTCACATTTAAAATGAAAAACACGGCAAAGTCTCACTCTTGTGCTGTTGCAAAAATAATCGTTTTTTAAAAAGTCATGTGAGATATTACATCTTTGGCTACTAAACTGTAATTAGATTCTCTGGGCTTAGAAACAAAACATGCCAGCAGGATATATACAGAGAGCCCCAGAAAGATACCTCTTACAAAACTGAAGCATGCTGAATTAATCTCAGAGAACAAGTATATAAATCTGGGAATTGAAGCAATAACTATTCAGATCAATAGGGAGAGCTAGTCTACCATATCATGTATTAAGTAAACAAGGATATAAAAAGGTACATTTTTATATCCTTGAGCAGAGTGTTCAGATATAAAGGAGAATTTTTATTTTGACATTAATCAAATGTTACCTAGTGGAAAATGTATAATTTGTTTTGATACCCATGGCAACCATTACCCACATTACCCTACTTCTAACATAAGGTCAAAGTTTCAGCTTGTAAAAACTCCATAGTGAATCCATCTCTTTCCTGAAAGTAAATCGTGATGTTTAGTAAGAATAATGAGTTGGTACCATAGCATGCTTAATGTGTTATTGTGCTGTTTTCCTCCCTGTGGGAAAATAAGGTAATGGGATGCAACTCTAGAGACAGTGATGGGTCTCAGACTGGAAAACTGGCCAACAACATAGAATAGAAGAAATTGAAAGCTCCAATTAGTGTTTTTATAACTTTAGTTTTAAGAAAAAGTGTAAATGTCTTATTGGTATGTTAGTCTCTGAAACTCATAAGACTAAAATTAATTATTAACTATATCTAGATAATATTTTGTGATTATGAGACCACTAATATTTTATCCCCAACAGTGTATCACATTCAAAAGGATATCTACAAAAGAAACTGGAGGAATCTTTGCCTCTCACTTTGTCTTATCTTTTCAGAAAATATTAGAGACAGTTCATCTTACCCTTAAATTGTTATATTCTTGGCACAAAGTTAATACTTTTCTTTTGTTATCAAAAGAAATATTCATCTAAACATATCTAGTTGCAGGCAGATGGGCAATTATTCTTTAAAGCAAAACAAAAAATAGAAAAGAGTAATGTATATCTGAATAATATTTTATTCTTGTCTAGAAACCTAGACAAGAGACAGTTTATGTGGATATTCTATCACTAAACAGTGTGAGTAACTGATACTTTCTACATGTGGCATGTAATAATTAAGTTTAAAATGTGATTTCAGTTGTTTTTAAATAAAAATGATCAGATTCATAATAAGCAAGACATGCCATTGCATCTACTTTTTAAAATAAGGTAACAACCCAATTGTGTTAATTTACACTCCCCTGTAGCCCTAGTATATTTGATCTGTAGATGATAGGTTGGAAGTTAATTTGTGTTGTGGTAATATGAGGCTTTTCCCCCCTCTCCCGGCTCCCCATTACTTCCTGGATTCCTTAACCAAGCTAAACCAAGTTTTAAGATATTGTGGTGATCATTGGTAGCCTTTACCTTTTGCTAGTCTCTTTGTTCATTCAGGCTACAAGAACAAAATACCAAAGATTGGGTGGCTTATAACAATAGAAATTTATTTCTCACAGTTCTGGAGACTAAGTCCAAGATAAAGGCTCTGGTAAGAGCCCACTTCATAGTTCATATATGGCCATCTTTATGCTGTGTCTTCATGTGGAAGAAGGGGCAAGGAAGCTCTCTCAGGTCCTTTTTATCAGGTACTAATTCTATTCATGAAGGGTCTCCCCTCATGACCTCATCACCCCCAAAGGCCCTCCCTCCTAATATCATTACCTTGGGGTTAAGATTTTAACATATGAATTTGGGGAAGACACAAACATTCAGACCGTGGCACCCTTCTCTCTTTAGCCCTGTCACCTTCCCCCCTTTGCTCAAGCTCTTCCTCTAGCCTTTGGTCTCAGGCACCTGAGATTATCCTTCTACAATTATGTGTTCAAAAGAGTCAAAATAACTTCATAAGACACTGTAAACCAATTCAGCATATGTGTTGTCCCTGTATTAAACTTCTCTAGCTCCAGATAGTATCTATCTAGTTCTTCAGATTAATATGATACTTCTAGAACTTCTAAACGTGTCATGGGTCTTTTTACCTGTTCTAAAATTTATTAGACCTCTTTATACCTTAAGCATTTAGTTAAAGAATGAGAAGTGAATATCCTTTATCAGCTTCAAGTATGCAAGGAATTCTTTCTTGATCTTGTTATACCTATAAGCACTGGCTATGGTTAAACTTGGCTTTCTTCCTGACATTTTTCTTGCCTTGCTCGTCAGCAAATGTTTTAGTCTGTAGGTTTATATTAGATTATAAGAAAATAGTTTATATATTAATGCACCTTGAACATGCTGGACATCATATAAAAGTTGGGAGTAACAGTGGAAACTCTTCTACATAACTCTGATTTGTTAAGTGATAAAAGATTACTTCGAAAGACTCATGAACTAAAAACTCCTGTTGAGTCCTTATTCTTATAGCTTTTCATAAGTTTTGTGTAGTAAAAAGCAAAGTAGTAGTGAAGAGGGCCTTAATACACCTAATCCAGACATTGGTTTTCTTGGTTTTTTAACATGTTTACTAGAAATATTATATGGTAAAATATAAGCAGTTTTTAAAAAGAGAGAGCAAGCTTTTTTCCAATTTCCAGGAAAAACTGCAAAGTCATCATCTTAATCTTGTGATCTTTGGCACTCACATTTGTGACCTGACACAGGATGAAAGTTATCTTGTCTCAATATGTGTTATTCTACATACCCACCCTGTACTCCACAGCCCACCATTTAATTACTCCTTACCACAGGAATGTCTGTGGCTGAATAAGAAACTAACCATAGTTGCCCTCCCATTTGACCCACAGAGGTTGGAACTTGGCTGTGATCCATCATAGTCCTAACTGTTTTTTGAATCTCAGTTTTTATTGTATACATTCTTTTCAGGGCATAGCGTACTTTGTGTAATATGACCAGTGGCTTGAACACAGTGTGGGTTTACTAGTCTCAGTTGTCTAGTGTAAACAGAAGCTGATAAATGCTTGTTGCTGAAATTCAGTTCCCAAATGTCATAGATCAAAAGAAAATTTACCACAAGACTTATTAGGGCTCCTGATACAAAATGATATTAGATGATGGAATTTTATCAGAAGAGCCTTGTCTTCTCACATAAGCCAGTGCATGTTTTTAAGAACAAGAATTGTTTTCAAGCAAACTTTTCTATCATAGTTTGCTTTTCAAAAAAATTTCCACATAGCCATTTCTGGAAGGACTTGTTTAAAAGTAGAAACTATTATTAATCACTAATCTATAAATCTATAGGAAGATCCTAATTGCCATATTCACAAACACTAAGTCACTAACATAATTTTAAAAATTAAAACATAGTATAAAAGAAAACTTTTTAACCTGGAGTTCATCATGAATTTCAGGAGGTTTTTGAACTAATTGAAATTATGTGTAAAGTGTTCCACATAAATGCCATTTTTTGAGACACAATATTCATAGTCTTTATCTGATTGCCAAAGCGTTTGTGACCCAGTACATTAAGAGTCACTGGTAAAAATCACTCCTCCATCATAAAGAGTTCACCATGAACACCATAAAGCCGTATCTCACATTCCATTTGGGGACAAGTTTGCATTTTACATTTGAATCTATGCGTTTGCAAAGTGTTGTAAATTTCTCTCCTATAAAAGGAGTGATTAAGGAAAGGATAACGGAAGAAGAGAGGATAGAAGGAAACCATCTTGTAATAAGGATCTGCCTGTGAATCGGGCATATACACACACACACACACACACTCACAGAAACACAGGCACACCTCAAAGATACTGCAAATTCAGTTCCAGACCAACCCAATGAGGCAAATATGGCAATAAAATGCATCACACAATTTTTTTGTCTCCCAGTGCATATAAAAGTGGTTTACACTATACTGTAGTCTAGTAAGTATGCAACAGCATTATATCTAAATTAAGTACATACATACCTTAATCAAAAAATGCTTTATTGCTAAAAAAAAAAAAAAAAGTATGCTAACAGTCACCCAAGCCTTCTCTAAATCATAATCTTTTCACTGGTGCAAGGTCTTGCCTCCACACTGATAGCTACTGACTGATGGTTGCTAAAGGTTCCTAAAGGGCAATGGTGGCTAAAGATTGAAGTGGCTGTGGCAATTTCTTAACATAAGACAACAATGACGTTTGCCGTATCAATTGACTCTTCATGAAAGATTTCTCTGTAGCATGCAGTGCTATTTAACAGCATTTTACTCACAGAAGAACTTCTTTCCAAATCAAGTCAATACTCTCCAATCCTGTTGTTGCTTTATCAAATAAATTTATATAATAAATGCTTTGTTGTCAAAAATGACACAGCATCTTCACCAGAAGTAGATTGCATCTCAAGAAAACACTTTTTTTTTTGCACATTCATAAGAAGCAACTCCTCATCCATCCAAGTTTTATCATGAGATTGCAGCAGTTCAGCCACATCTCAGGCTCTGCTTCTAATTCTAGTTCTTTTACTATTTCCACCATATCTGCACTTTCTACCTCCACTGAAGTCTTGAACTCCTCAAAGTCATCCATGAGGGTTGGAATCAACTTCTTCCAAACTCCATTTCATGTTGATATTGTGACCTCCCAAGAGTCACAAATGTTTTGAAAGGCATCTAGAATGGTGGATTATTTCCAGAGGATTTCAATTTATTTTGCCCAGATGCATCAGAGGAGTCACTATCTATAGCAGCTACAGCCTTACAAAATGTATTTCTTAAAGAATAAGACCTGAAGGTTGAAATGACTCCTTCATCCATGGATTGCAAAATGTGTTAGAATGCATGAAGACAACATTCATCTCTTTGTATGTTCTCCGTCAGAGCTCTTGGGTGACCAGGTGCATTGTCAATGAGCAATAATATTTTGAAAGGAATCTTTTTTTCTGAGTAGTAGGTCACAACAAAGAACTTAAAATATTCAGTAACCATGCTGCAAACAGGTGTGCTGTCGTCCGGACTTTGTTGTTCCATTTATAGAACACAGGCAGAGTAGATTTGGCATAATTCTTAAGGGCCCTAGGATTTTGGAATGGTCAGTGAGTATTAGCTTCAACTGAAAGTCACCATCTACATTAGCCTCTAACAGGAGAGTCAGCCTATCCTTTGAAGCCTTGAAGCCAGGCATTGATCTCTTATCTCTAGTTATGAAAGCCCTAGATGGCATCTTCTTCCAATCAAAGGCTGCTTCATTTGCATTGAAAATCTGTTTAGTGTCATCAGCAATCTTAGCTAGATATTCTGGATAGGATAACTGCAGTTTCTCCATTAGTACCTGTTGCTTCACCTTACACTTTTAGTTATGGAGACAGCTTCTTTTCTTAAAGCTCATGAACCAATGTCTGCTAGCTTCCAACTTTTCTTCTCCAGCTTCCTCATCTCTCACAGCCTTCATAGAATTGGAGAGCTAAGGCCTGGCTCTGCAGATGGTGATTAAGAGAATGGTGTGGCTAGTTTGATCTCCTATCCAGACCACAAAAACTTTCCCTGTATCAGTAAGAAGGCTGTTTTGCTTTCTTATCGTTTGTGTGTTCACTGGAGTAGCACCTTTAATTTCGTTTAAGAATTTTTCCTTTGCATTCACAACTTGGCTGTTTGGCCCAAAATGCCCAACTTTTGGGCTATCTTGGCTATCAACATGCCTTCCTCACTAATCTTAATCTTATTTCTAGATTTTTTATTTAAAGTGAAAATTATGTGACTCTTCCTTTCATTTGAACACCAAAGGCCATTTTGAGGTTATTAATTGGCCTAATTTTAATATTTTTAATATTTTTGTGTCTCAGGAAATAGGGAGGCTTAAGGAGAAGGAGAGAAACAGAAATGGCTATTCAGTGGAGCAGTCAAAACACATTTATTCACTAAGTTTGCCATCTTATATAGGTATGGCTCATATCCCCCAAAGTAATTACAATAGCAGCATCTGAGATCACTTATCACAGATCATCATAACAGATATAATAATAATGAAAACGTTTCAAATATTGCAATAATTACTAGAATGGAACTTAGAGGTATGAAGTGAGCACATGCTATTGTAAAAATGGTACCAATAGACTTGCTTGACACAGGATTGCCACAACCCTTCAATTGGTTAAAAATGCAATAATTGTGACATGCACTATAGCAAAGCACAATAAATGAGGTGTTCCTGTATATACAATTTTTCCAACAACCCTCTAAGTGTACTGTTTAACTGAATTATTATTACACATTTAACAGGTAACAAAACTAAGGCCAAAAAGGCTAAGAAACTTGGCCAAGATCCCACAGCTGACAAATGGCAGAGTAGTGATTCAGACCCAGGGCTATCTGTCTACAAAGTTCCTACACTTTCCTCCAAACCACCCAGCCTGTTTATTTGAAGTAGTATTTTATCCTTCTTGACTAATGGCAAGAAATTATATGAAAAAGTATTATTTGACTTATTACTCTGTTAACTAGGTCTAAAATTATCTCCATCTTTACTGCACAACTGTTTTCACTCAGGTTGCTGATATCTTGTACCTGACTTATTGAAAGACTTACTGCAGCTCCCCACTGTTCCTGCCTGCAACTTCCCATCCCTCACTTCTGCCCTACACTAGACTGAGCTTTTTGAAATGTAAATTTGATAGTTGCCAAAATACCCTATGACTAGTTGCTAAAATATCTATGACTTTCCGTTGCCTTCAAAATGAAGTTCGAATCCTAATCATCTTTTATAAGGCTCTCCATGATCTGGATTCTGCTCTGTGTTCCAAGGTCCTTCCTGGCCGCTGCTCCCTCACCCTCTTAGGTTTCAGCCATAATTACCTACTTGCAGTTCCTTATATTCTCTTTTTGTTTTTCTCCTCATTTGGAGCATTATTCCCACTTCTGTTAATCTAGGTAACTCCCATTTGTTTTGAAATGCTGTTTATATAGCATTTCTTCATGGAAGTCTTCCTTAACAACTCAAGTCTGGAACTAAGTATCACTCTTAAATCCTCATAGAAAATCTTTTACTTAGTTTACATATAGAGAGCAACTTTATTTATGCATTAGATAAATCCCATGCTTCCTTCAGGGAAATACAGCACCATGTGAGGGCACAAAGCTTAGAAAGGAAGGGATGGGCAACTTTTCATGCTCCACTTACTCCCTTTTTCAGGCTTTCTCGTACAAGGCACAATTTGAACAACCATAAATGATGGCTCTAGGTAGCATTTATCAAATGGTATTGTAATCACCTGTTTACTTATTCATATCCCCATCTAGTTCATTAAGGAGAGGGACTATGTTGCATTGTTATATCCCCAGCCCCTAGCATGGTGCCTTTCAAATAGAAAACACTCAATAAATATTTGATAGGCAAATTGATTAAGTTAATGAACAAAGCATGTGAAAATAATAGTTTGCAGTAGACTACACCTTTGCACAAGTTGCCCTAAAGAGAAAGGCAAAAGAAAAAACACTAGTGTCAAGTACTAGTTTAATTCAGGACAATGAACAGTGAATGCCTACAAATGGAAACTTGTGAGGCAAGAGAAATGAAAAAGATATAGTCCCTTGCTCTCATAAAACTTTCAGTCTTGTTAGGAAGCTTAGACATGTATACAAATGATTAAAATTGAAGGCAGAATGCAACATTGTGACATGTGCTATATGAGATTTATAATTAAAGTTCTGGAAATAGTACTGCGAAGGAAGAAATTTCATCTAAGTGAGGAATTCTGAAAGCTTTACAGAGAGGGTGATAATAGACCTAGACCTTCAACTATGGGTAGGATTTCAGTAATACAAATTGTTGGGGAGGACCACAGTCAGGAGGGAGTATTTCAAGCAAAGGAAACAGCACAGTAGCATTGGAAAGCACAGGGCTTCTTTGAAGAGCAGTTTGGCTGCTGATAAAGCTGGAAAGGTACGGAGAATCTGATTATGATAGAGGACCTTGAGTGCTATGTTAAAGAGTTTTCATTTTAGCAGTCGGGAGCTATTAAAGGTTTTTAGAAAAGGAAAGTGACACTATCAGCTATATTTTGGAAAGTCGTTTGGAAAATAACTTTTTTATTTGTATTAAGGTTTGCCAAAATTTAAGCATCTTCCCTTTCTTTTGCCCTTGATCCCAATTAAACAAATTTTAAAACACCAAGGAACAGAGATTTTCCCTAATACTCCCAGTCTATCTCAATGCTAGATTCTTACCTTTACATTGACCCTCTCTCTTAAGCTTTCAGTCTCTCACTATCTAAATAGTTGGTAGCCCTCAGAGTGAACAAAGCTCACAAGGCTGTGAGGAAGAGACAATAGAAGGGTTTGCCTGAGACTCATAGCCAAAGCTCTGTGACTTTCAAAATGAGACTGGGGAAATAATCCCCTGCTGTTACTATGTGATTCAAGGCACCTGGTCACTTTCTTTCCTTACTTTCTTTGTAACACTAAAGGACAGTCTTCTCTTCTTGTTAACCTTTCATGTAAATATAAGTTAATGTATGTATTTGTATTAGGAGTAAGCAAGTGTGTGTGTAATGAATTTGTCTTTCTTGAAATGCAAAGGGATGTTAGACTTAACTATTATCAAAATGTAACTTCCAAAAAGAAATTTTAAATAGTACACATTGTCTTTACTATGGTAAGCAAACTATTTCTTGGAAGGGATCCATGGATCTTGACTTACTTTGCTTAAGGACAATAACCCTAGTAAGGAAGAAATCTCTGTATGATACTGACTGAAGTCTCAGGATTTTCTGAGAACCTTCCATAATGTTACCACCAGTCAGCAGAGAACTGGATGAGGAAAACCTAGAAGCATTAGGACCACTTAGGAACTAATCCAACAATAATTGGACTCTAAAATGAAGTAGAAGAAGAATGAAAAAAAAAAAAGGAATGGATACAAGACAAGTCCTAAATTGACACAGCTTTGTAACTAATTAAATGTGCAGACAAAGGAGGTTTAAAATATATGTGTATATCTATCCACATCTATCTATCTATATTTATATATAAAGAGAGAGAGAGATACTTAGAGACAGATATAAGAACTTGGCTGGGTGTGGTGGCTCACACCTGTAATCCTAGCACTATGGGAGGCTAAGGAGGAAGGATCACTTGATCCCAGGAGTTCGATACCAGTCTGGGCAACAAAGCGAGACCTTGTTTCTACAAAAAAAAAAAAAAAAATTAATTAAAAAAAGACCTTAAAGTCTCCAGGTTGGGTGTTTGGGGAGGTTGCTGATACTGTTACCAGAGATAGAGAAGAGAAGAATAACGTAGGTTTGAAAAGAATGTGATTAATTTTGGACATATTGAATTTGAAGTGCTAATGGTACATCACTGGAAAAATAATCAGCTGAGCATTTGGAGATTCAGACTAGAATTCAAAGAAGACTTCTACTAGATGTGTATTGAATCCTCCCACTTATGTAATAAACAGTATTCTACAGAACATGAAAAAAAGGTGTAGGGCTTCATTTTCCATAATTATCATAATTATGGTATAATTTTCCATAATTTCCATAATTACCTTTAAAAGCTTATAAATGAATTATTCTAGAAAGAAAGACAAATTCCAGGTGATAGTCTCAATAAGAGATTGTTGAAAAGACCCTTAAAAGATATATTAATAACTTGTATTTGTTTCAGAGATTGTTGAAAAGACCCTTAAAAGATATATTAATAACTTGTATTTGTTTCAAGAAACCATAAAAATTGACTGTCTCCATTATAAATTAGCTTAAAAATAAGAAAAAAATTGCATAAGTGCAAGTGATTAGTAGAAGAAATTTACAAAGAAAATAAGATCAAAGGGAACTAGAAGAGAAAGGAAAGGAAAAGACCATTTTGACATGTTAGAAGAAAAAAAATTATATATATGTGTGTGTGTGTGTGTGTGTGTGTATAATTGAACTTTCAACAAACCAAACTATGAAGTTGCATTGACTCACACTCATGCTAAGATGTTATGCACCATAGGAAAAATATTTATTTGTCTTGACATTTCTATTTAAAACTTATAATTTAAAAATTTTAAATTATCTTTCTTTCCTTTAATCCTTATGAGATTTTGTTAGAATTACATATGAAAGTAAAATAGGAGAGGAAAATTTATAATTGTTCATGAAGATATCCATTTATCTTTTTTTTTCACACTTCTATTGAGTGATCCACTAAAAATTGCCAAACTCATTGAGAAAAAAGTAACTAAGAAAGCACGGGGCTTCTTTGAACAGAGCAGTTTTGGCTGCAGACAAAGGTAGAAAGATATGGAGAATCTGATTATGATAGCATGGAGCCTAAGAGTAGAAAGTAAAACTTTCACTGCATCCTCTCTAAACTCTTCTATCTACTTCTCTTCCTTAACTGTGGAAATGAAGTGAGGATATTGTCTATCATGGGTGGATATAGATGATATGTTACATATAGTAACATATGTCACAAGCATTTATTATTTCTATAGTTATAAACTTCATCAAAATTATTGTATAAATATATTTTTGTGTAGATGTCTTTTACCTAAGATATCATTTTAAAAAATCATCTTGCCTGTTCAACTCATACAAGAGTTGGGTGAAGACTCTATTAGTAAAAGATAAAAGCAACTAGCATTTGACTCTTACCAGAGCCAGTCAGATTCCTTACTATTTGCTCTAAAATCCTTTCTGCCTCCTCCACTGGAAGTAAAACAGCTTAACCAGTCCCTAGCATAGTGCCTGACACACAGTAGATGCTCAGAAAGTATTTGTTGAATGAATGAATCAGTTATTCAACATATATTAGAGCAAATACTGTGTACTAGCAGTCACTGTTCTAGGCATTGGAGAAACAGTAACAAGTAAAATTAAGTTCCTACTGTCATGGAACTTACAATATTTGGGAGAGACCATCAATAAACATACATACATATATATAGTTTAGATATATATATAAAGTGGTTATAAATGATCAAATAAGGTTAACACGAGGAAAAAGAGTGCTGATGGCTTCTTTTCTTTGTAGAGTGATTAGTGGAGCTCTTATTCTGAGATGGAAAGCCAATAGAAGATGTGGAACAAAGGGTGTTATATCATCCGACTCATATTTTAAGAGAATCATTCTTTTGATGATTGTCATGTAGAGAAAGATTATACTGGGCAAGGATAGAAGCAGTCATTCAAGAAGTTCTTGCAGTAATCTAAGTAAGAGATGATGGTGGTTTGGACTGGGAGATGAGATTAGAGAGGTAGATGATGGGGAGTTGGGGAGTTGGGAAATTGTTTGCAGATTTGCAGATCATGTAAGACCTCATAGACTATGGAAAAGACTTAGGAATGTATTCTGAATAAAGCTACAGGCCGTTAAAATGCTTTGTGACAGGTTATGTGAAATGTCTGTCTTATATTTTAAAAGGATCACTCACGTTGTGTGAGGGTTAGACCATAGCGGAAAGAGTGGAGGCAGGGGAGACCAGTTGATAGGTTGTTAACAATAATCTAGGTAAGAAATAACCATCACTTGAGCTAATACAATATTAGTACAGGCAGTGAGAAGTGATCAGATTCTGAATATGTTTTGAAAGTTACAGGATACATTGGTAAAGAAAAAAAGAAACATATCCAGGTTTATTAGTTAGATAACTAGAAGACTGAAATTGCCATTTCCTGAGATAAGGAAGACTTCAGGAGAGGATTGGGTAGAGGAGGGTAGGAATCAAGTGTTCCCCTTTGAAACTGTTAAGTTTGTGAAGCCTAGTAGATATCAAAGTGTCTAATAGATGTTGAGGAAGCAGATTCATGAGTTTAAATTCCAGGGAAGATAGTAAAGACAAATTTACAGTCATCAGTGTATAGATAGGACTTAAACCTGTGGGACTAAATGAAATCATTTAGGGGAGGAATGTAGATAGAGAAGAGGTCAGAGGACTAAGCAATGGAGCACGAAGTCAAAAAGATAAGATAAATCCACCAAGGGAGATGAGAAGGCACAGCTAGTGAAGTAGTAGAACCAGGAGAGATTGGTGTACTGAAGGCTAATGGAAGAAAGTTTTGAAGAAAGGAGGGCATGATCAAATGTGTCATATGATGCTGATAGGCCAAGTCAGATTCAGAATGAGTTTTAAAAATTGGATTTGACAATGTGGAGATTACTGCCAGTCTTAATAAGAGTATTTTGGGGGAGTGGTAGAGACAAAAGTTTGGGGAGAATTTGAGAGAGAATAGGCTTCTTGCAAAGAAATGAAAAGAGATAGGACAAACCATTAGATTAAAAGAGCCTTAAAAGATGTCCGTCAGTCACAGTGCGTGGCCCTTGTTTGGATCCTGACTCAACAAATTTAATTATGGATGAACAGATGGATAGACAAAGAGAGGGAGGGGAAGAGAGAGAGAGGACGTTTATGAGTTATGAGCTAATTCAAAATTTGAACACTTGCTGAATATTTGATTATATTTTACAGGAAGAGTATTATTGGGGCTTTTTTCTAGGTGTGATAGTACTATGGGTATATATTTTTTAAATCCTGTTATTTCAGTGATACATGTTTATGTATGAAATGATAAAATATCTGGGTTTGCATCAAAACAGTACAAAGGTGGGAAGAGGGCATGGAAGGAATAAATGATACAATTTAGCTACAAGTTACAATTGTTGAAGCTGAGTGTTGGGGACCTAGCAGCTCGTTATACCTTTCTTGTCTATATTTATATATTTTTTGACTTTTTTTAAAATAAAAATGTACAGAGAAAGAATGGGAAGACATGAAATAAAGATAGTAACTTTGGGTAATGGGAAATTAAAACATGAAAATGCATTGAGTTAGCACACTCTAGATATTTATAATATCTCCTTATGTAACACAAACTATAAAAATATTTTTTAAGATAAAAATCCTTACACTATCAAATTTCCTAACCTCAAAGATTGGTTCCAAAAAAATTAGAAACAACTTGGTTAAAAGTTTATTAGAACCCTTTTTGTGGACAATACTAAAGAATACTATTAGTATGGCTTCAAAATATCCCAGATAACATTGGAGTAGTTATTTATAAAATAAACATGGATGAGAAAGCTGGACCATGTAATGACTATTCTTCTAGACTCTCCCACTTTTTAAAAATACATAATTAGCATTTTCTCATATATAACACACTAATATGCTGGAATTACCTGTTCTTCTCCTTCCTTGTCACAAGTGCCTATGGTAGGGTATAAAATGATTACTGGCCTGTGCATTCACCTTCTTGGCTTTGCTCTGCTGCTGGTTTTATTTCTGTGAGTGAAATTAGAAAATACAGCAACCACTGCCTAATTGTTACTAGATATTATTACTATGAAAACCAGTTTTATACCTTATATAATGCTATTAAGAAAATAAACTTCAATGAGTTAAAAAGATCTGAATACGGAAAACTAGCAGGACACAAAATATTTATCTCAGTATGGGGGAACACAATAAGGATTGAAACAAAAAGTGACATTCAAAATTATATTTAATTATATAATCAAGGGAAGAAATCAGTGCAGTATTAGATAAATCATTCCCACCTCTTTCCTACTAATCCTTGCCACAGCTCTTATGTTTCTCATTGAGAGCACTGAGATGGGCAGTTCTACTGATTAAGAACTTTATTAATGAGCTCAGAAATTTCTTAAATAATTGGAACAAGACAGCACTTCATTTATATTCATTCCAAGACCACACTGTACTCTAGATTGAGAAATCACCCCATATTCTGTTTTTCATCTCAAATATGCTTATCTGCCTTGTCTAGCCAAGCTCTTAGAAATATGCACCTAATTTGTGTGAAGCATCAGCCTAGCCATGGTCACACAGTGCCAGAAATATTGAATATGTGTCATATTAAGCATTCCAGAGGGTCAAGAGGAGGCATAAGACTAATAGCATCTGCCTCACGTCCATAAGATGAAGAAAAACAAATTACTACAGCTGCTTATTATAGGATAATTGCCAGTTTCTTTATTCAATACCATGCTCAACCGAAAGTAAAATTTTCATACCCCAAATGTAGGATTATTTGGAGGGAAAGGAATGGCCAGATAAAATGGAAGAGATAAAAGACTTCTCTGTTTGAGCTTTGTCAGGGTCTTAGTTAGTCCATGCCAATTGTCCAGTCTCCAGTATCAACTTCAAACTCGTATCAGGTAACCTAATTGTCCTGCCATGTGTTCCTCCCTAAATCTTCCAGAACCCCAAACTTTCTTAGTTTCCTGCTGCTACTGTGAGTTATTCCCAAACCTGTGTCCTAGAGGGCCCAGTGAGAGACATGATTCTGTTCTACATACCTCATGAATCCTACCTATCATCAGCTTTTAATTTTTTGGCCTTAGTTCACCCACAGTACTCTGTGGCTGCTTAAAAATCCCTTTTCTTCACTTATTCTCCTGCTACTGCACAACTTAACTTTCTCCGGGCAAACATGCCAGTCTCTTAATCCAAGTTCAGATGCAAGATAAAGAGAGAAAACAAGATAGAGTGGCACCCGCAAGAACCTTCCATATTCAGACACTGCTGTATTAAGGTGTGCCTGACCACATCCTAGAAATGAATTCCAGCACCAGATCCTAAAAACCAGAGGAACTGTGAAAATACAAAAGCTTTGCCCTCCCCACATGGAGTACTGTCCACAAAAATGAGGTCTGGAAGTCCCCAGATACTGTGCCAGGAGATATCATATCTGGCCCCCTCACGTGGGATGTTGCTATATAGATCTCAGCTAGTTGTGCAATTTGAAGACCCCCATTCTCTCTACATGGGATGTAGCCCTATAGTGGGCCTTAGTGGCAACCCACGAGTTTTTATGTTATTTTCATTATTAATCAGTTGAGAATATTTTCTAATTTTCATTGTGAATTCTTTGACCTGTAATGTTTAGAGGCATATTGCTTAATTTAGAAAGAGTTAGAGATTTTTCTAGTCACCCTTTTGTTACTGATTTCCAGCATAATATTTACTGTCATCAAAGAACATAATCTGAATAATTTCAATCCTTTAAAAATCTGAAAGTTGAGTTGCTTTTTTGAATTGGTCAATTTTGGAAATGTTTCACATGTACTCAAAAAGAATTTTATTCTGAAGGCATTGGGTATTAGTGTTCTGTATCTGTCCCTTAAGTAGATTTGTTAATTGCATTGTTCAAGTATTGCATCTTACCGTTTTTTTTCTGGTTGTTATTTCACCTACCATCATGGTGGATTTGTCTGTTTTGCCATTCAGTGCTATCACATTTTTATATTCTGAGTCTTAGTTATTGAATGCTCACAGATTTAGAATTGTCATATCTTTTCAGCAAATTGAATTTTTTATCATTATGAAATCTCCCTTTTTATCTGCAATAATCTGTTTCACATTAAATTCTACTATGTCTGATAAAGTTCAGCTCTCACAAATTTCAGCCCTACAAACACAGCAGCCTCTTCTAGTGCAAAGTGACTTGCTCTCCACATATACGTATAGGAATTGCAGTTTGAGGTCCCAGACAAACCTGACCTGCAAATGAATCCCATTATCTAATTAAATGACTCTCAATGCTAGTTACACATTAGAATCACCTGGGAAAGGGGGAGCCTTTTAAAAACAACTGATGTCAGAGATCTGTCCCAAGAAACTCTACTTATTATTAGTCTGCAACAAACCTTGTTATTGCTGTTTAATAAAAGCAACCAGATGATTCTGCTGACTTTATAACCACTGGTTCAGTATGATATCCTGCCACCCCCACCAAGGATGTTGCTCAGTAAGTGTAGATTTGTAATTTCTGGGTGGAGTCTGCACTCTGTGGAGTATACAGTCAAAAGCCCTGCCAGATGAAAAATGAAAGATGGAAGAAACCCTATACCCTAGATGCCTGGTTCTCCCCTGTCCCACTGTATATCTTCTCCATGTATGATGTGACTTATTTAACACTGTGGAAATCTACCCCAGCACATTCACAGCCTTTTCTTTCCTCCCTAACCTGTCAAGCTATAGCCACAAAGAATATTGTCTGATAAGTATAGCAACTGTGGCCATCTCATCTGGATTCTCATTCCCTTTAAGAGTCAGTAATGAAAGAGAAATAAAAGGAAAGAAGAAAGAAACCAGCTCCCCAGCCCCTGTTAAATTCAGAAACTCGGCTTATTATCTCTGGACTGCTAAGATCCCTAAACTTCTGCTTTTATGCTACCCATACTACTTCATATTAATTGTCTAATACTATCTCCCCCACTGAACTCTAAGCACTCCAAAAACTGGAACAGTGCCTGGTACCTACTTAGTAGGTGCTCAGTGAAATGTTTGATAAATGAATGACCGAATAACTGAGCAAAGAAATGTTTCCATAGCAGTAGAAAAGATGCAGTCGTGGTTTCACTGCCAGGGGCCAGTATTTAACATGGATAATTGAAAACACAGCAGAGCATCAGAGGAGCATAACTCATAATCTTATGTGAAAACTCAACAGTTGCTCTTTTTCTTAAACACAGCCTGCTTCTTTTCAAGGCATCTAAACATTTGCTATCTCCTTGCACTCCATTTCTACTCTTCTTCTTAGACCTCCCACACAGCAGCAACCTGATTGTTGCAAAGTGCTCTGTTCTGCCTGCTTTGTCTTTACCATTTTCCAGCTCAGTAGCAGCCTGGTTGTTAGGGACTTCCTTACAATAACAGAACTCTTTCCAGCTCTACAGCATAGTTTAAGGGAGATTAGTTGCATGTACAGTCCTTCGTTACTCATTTTCTGATTTCCACAATGTTTTGAAAGAACTGAAAGTTAAGACTGCTTATCCACAAGGCTTTTTCAGTAATGTTATGTTTATCTTAGAATTCTGGCCTAAATGGTAATTGAATTGTGCATGTAGGAGAATGCAGCCAAGATGTTTCAATAATCATATGGTACCAGGGACTGTGCTGCCTGCACATGACTCAGGCAGATGAATCTGGTGCTTGCTTTCTTAAGGACTGGGGTTCAAAGAGAAGTAAGAACAGGATGAAGACCAGCTCACACCAGCTCACTTGACACCTTTTGAAATACAGGAGCACTGTTTCTCTTCAACATTAGTTACTATCAAGGATTCCCATCTGTTAGCTCTAAGAGAGGATAGGATGTGAAATATGAACAGCCGTTTGAATCTCTGTGGAGCCACTGCAGAGAATCACAGAGAAGATAAGTAGGGTTAGCAGTACTAAGACCCATTTATGTGAGTTATTTTGGAGATTGCTAAGATCCCAGTCCAGCATTATTTATTCCACCTACTGACCGAGACCTTTATCCTTTTGACTTAAGACAGTATTATTCAAAAAATTGTCCATGGGCCACCTGCTTTAGAATCATCTACAGGTGCTTATTTAAAAATACCTATCCCTGAGCCCCAGATCAATAAAGCAGAATCTCTGGGAGTGAGGCCTTGAACTTGTCCTGGCCAAACCACTCAGCCCATTCTTTTGAACCCTAAAGTTTAGATTGCTGCCTTGAGATATTACTAAGTATTAAGCTTCAAATAGCCCCAAGAAGCAATAGCACTGTGAGCAGATTAGTCATTTTTATTGAAGGATCTAAGATCAGGTTTTAGTAGAGACAGTAATTGAAAAGAACTTGAAGACACAAATACTCAATGAGGAGGAATAGGACACTATCAAAGAGAAGGAACAGAGATAAAATAGGCAAAGGGCCAAAGAAAAACTTCTTTACTTCATAATTTTGCCCTAGGTTTTATGGTCATTTGGCATAGTTTAGTTCAATCCAGCAAACATATATTGAGCCCCTACCATCTGCCAGCTACCAAGAAGAAAACAAAATAGAAGGAAGCTCTTAAATGGATAATTTAAATAAATGAGGTAAGGCCAAAGATTGAGATTCATACAAGAAACTTCGGGAGCTGAGAAGCAGGGACCCTAATGGCAACTTAGCTTCTAGAGAAGGAAGTGCCTGAGCAGGAAAATGAATAGAAGTTAGGCAGGTTTGAGGTTATGTGTGGGGGTTACTATTGAGGAGGCGCTAAAGAGGGGACAGGAATTGGTGGGAAATGGAGCATGTGCCCAACATTGGACAATCTGCCCAAGAAAAGGTCTGAGCATAAAGCAGTATGCTATATTGGGATTGATACGCAGTTGAGGGATGCTTTATCATAAAGTGCAAAGAATAAGGAAAGGCAATCGATGATCCTGGATAGGTAGATTTTAGCTAAGTCGTCTGTGTATATGTCTTGATAACTTTTACAAAGTCCTCTTGTGCTAGACATCTAGAAGTCTTCCTGGATCTGTCCTTCAAATTCATTCCAGGTTTGTGGACTCAAAATGTTAGTTGTGATTGCTCCAAAAACATGTTACAACTGGTTTATGGGCTCTCTGTGGGACATTGAAGTGGACCATAATATCAAAATTTTTTCAATGTACATTTGAGCTTGTTTTGACTATTACTGGAAGAATACCTAAAAATAGTAACATTAATGACCTCTGGAGAGGGAGGACTGGGAACAGAAGTGGAATGAGTTTACTTCTCATTGTATACCCTTTACTACTGAATTTGAATTGTTTACCATGTATATTTATCACATATTCAAAAAAATCATAAAAGAGAACTGAAGAGACATTTATTCCATAAGATAAAGAAATTGTCAGCGTCAGCATATAAAAGAGTGATTTAATTTATATTAATAACCAAGTTGACAACTTATTATACAGTGGTGGCAGCAATCATAACATTAAATTAATTTTGTCTTTCAAATTCTGAGAAAAAACATGAGGTTGGAGATGTCTTCTGTATATCCTCTAAAAATTTTGCCTCTTTTTTTTTCCAGTTTGCAGCTCACCTTGTGAAGATGAAATATCCAAGAATCTGTATTCTAGATGGTGGCATTAATAAAATAAAGCCAACAGGCCTCCTCACCATCCCATCTCCTCAAATATGAAGAACCAAGAGTGTGACTGCCAAAACTTAGTGTGGCATCAGCACCAACAGCACAGTTCTTCATATCCACGCCACTCTCAGACAAAACTAGATGTCCAGATTGTTGCATTTCCGTAAAGTTTGTCACGAGACATTTTTTAAAATCTCATAACCCACATGTTCAGTTATCCATGCAAGAAACTTGACTCTACATGTATTGCTGAAAGAATTTTCTTAACAGTGAAATCTGATCATATATTTTTACCACACTGCCACATAAAGCCCAAGAAATTCAGCTGACAAGACAGATTTAGCATTATCAAGAAATCCCATTTGCCCTGAAAAAGCTGTCCTCCATTGTACTGAACAGACAGTCCTGTCGATTGTGTTATTTAGAAACATACACTGAATGTGGGCTGAAATCATCATCTTTCCATAATGAAAACTGAGAAACTATTCACAATGCATTCCTTATAAATAAATGCTACATTTAGTAACTCATTTCACCCAAACAAGGGGGATGTGTGTGTGTGTGTGTGTATAGGAAGTGGAGTTTATCCCATTGCAGAAAGTGGTAATACTTACTCCCAGAAAAATGAAATTTAGAAACCATTTATATTTGATAGAATATTTGGTCAGTTCCTGTAGCAAAGACGAATGGCTTAAACAAATTTTCTAGTTTCTTTATCACATGAAAGTCTGTACAGTCAGTCCAGGGCTAGTCTACTGGTTTCCTGATCATTAAGAACTCATTACCTTCTCTCATTGCTTTACAAACCTCAATATGTGGCATCCATCTCATGGATGAAAATGGCTCCTCAGCTTCTACCATCACATCTGCTATCTAGAAGGAAGAGAATGAGGGAAGGAGGGAGGGGATGAAGAGAAAAGAAGGAACAAAAGAAGGAGGGAGGAAAGAAGAAAAGAAAGGAAAAGAAGCGAAGCACACTCCTTCCCTTTAAGGTCATAAACCAGAAGTTGCGCACACTACCTCTGCTTACATATCATTGGCCAGAACTTGGGTGCATGGCCACACCTAGCTTTAAGGAAAACTGGAAATAGAGTCTTTGGGTGGTTGATCATTTCCCCAGCTAAAAACATTCTTATTACTGTGTGGGAAGAAGAGAGTACATATTGAGGTACAGCTAACAACCTCTGCCTCTGCCACATTGTTTTTAAAATGAGTATTATATTTCATTAAATCTAAGACATCTCACAATTTTAGGTACCACAAAGAAAAAATGAAGCCAAATGAATTGTGACACTTTGTCAATTAAAAGACACATTCCCTGGGAGGCCGAGGTCAGGAGTTTGAGACCAGCCTGGCCAACATGGGGAAACTTTGTCTCTACTAAAAATATAAAAATTAGCTGGTCATAGTGGCACACGTCTGCGGTCCCAGCTACTCAGGAGGCTGAGGCAGGAGAATCACTTGAACCTGAGAGGCAGAGGTTGCAATGAGCCATGATAGGGCCACTGTACCCCAGCCTGGGCAACAGGGCTCACCCTGCCATCTCAAAAAAAAAAAAAAAAAGAAAGATACATTCCCATTTCAGAAATCTGAAAAAAAAAATGCCTCATATATATGAAATATAGCATATCCTTTAATTATCTTCAATTTTGTTTTAACTAAAAAGTGTTCATTCATCTATAACTTACATTCCACTCCAATGTTAAGACTGCCTAGGCAGAACATTTCAATAAGAGCCTCAATTCAGCTTTCTGGGCCATGGTTTTGTTGTTGCTGCTATTGTTTACTTTATTTTATTTTTTCTTTGCATCTACTTTTTAAATTGAGATATACTTAACCATAAAATTCATCCTTTTAACATGTACAGTTCAGTAGTTTTTAGTGTATTCACAAAGTTGTGCAATCAGTATTATCCAGAATACTTTCATTGTATGCAATTGTCTACCTGATCAGCAGGTATTCCACATTAACCCCTCCTAAGGTCTTTGATAAATTTTTGTATATGGAGTGAGGGGTCCAGGTTCATTCTTGCATATGAGTATCCAGTTGTCCCAGGACCCCTCCTGTTTTGTTTGTTTTATTCAATTTATTTGGTCATTCACCAAATATGTTTTGAATACCTACTATGTATTTCTAAGACACTAATATAATCCATAGTTATATCATTTGTGATCCTTACCTAGTTTACAAGGAAAAAAATGTGAGAATTAATGAGAACAAATATATACCAAGATTTCACTAACATTGTTTTTGGGCCATTGTCTACCCTCTTCAGAGAAATATTAAATCCTCCTGTCCTGGCAATTACTATTTTCTTCCTTCAGTCTTTGATGACTTACCTGAGTTCATAATCAGAATGCACCATTGATGATCATTCTGAGTCTTAACTCTGCCTTACTGAGAAAGCAGAGAAGAGAGGGATGGAGGGGCAGTGATTTGAGTTGAATAAGGTGGTAGGTAGTAGGAGAGGATGAAGACCTTGTGAAGAGAGCTATGTAAGAAGATAATAGTAGCAACCCTCTGTCATGATTTTGCATTTGATCTTTCTTAAAACGACACATTTAGGCTTATTCCAAGAAATTGAAGTTTTTTAAACATGAAAATTATAATATTTAATATTCTCAACAGTAAAGTAAGAGCACACTATCACTGCCATGTTTATACACAGGGCATGTTATTTCATGGTGGATGATACGAACAGTTGACCTCAACAACTATTTGTTAGATTAAACGTATATAACCCAGGATTTATTTGAGTTCCTTTTTAATGTATTATTGATTCCTACACGATGACTATCAGCACTGTTTCTGGCTTTACCTGGAATGCCATAAGTACCACCACCAGCCCACACAGATATACATACACACACACACACACACACACTCACATTCATAAACACACTTATTAACTCTTGATAATCTAGCAACAACAGTGTACCTCCTCCAGTCTTCTCTGGCTTCCCCATGCTGCACTAAGAGCCCCAAATCTACTAAAGCATTCCATTCATAATTTACTAATAATAGATTTATTACATCATTTTGCAATCGTTTGTTTACATTTAGTCCCCTATTAAAATATGAGCTGCTTAAGATCAGGAGCTATAATTTATACCTCTTGCTACCTTCAGCAACCCACCACATTGGATATGCTCAATTAATATAAAATTGAATCTATCAATTTTAGAATCTATTTGAAGGGAGAAAAATAAAAATAACCTGTGGTAATTTTTTTCAACTGCCAAACTTATCTGGTACCTGATAGTATAGAAATAAATTGAAATCTCAATTCATGGAGTGAAAAAAGGATCTCTAAAGTCCCATCCAGCTCTAAAATCTGATAATTCTAGAAGTTGGAGCAGATAACTTCCAAAATAAGGTAATTTAATCTAGTTGCATCCTCTTTTCAAAATACAGAAATGTTAGATTCAAAAAGCATATTAAAAATAACTAATGCTTAACCAAGTTTGAAAGAAAGAAGTTTTTTGATGTCAGAAATGAAAAGGACCTGAAAGGCACAGCTTTTAGGCCCGTGGGATACCCAGTATCAATATAAGCCCCAAGAACTCAGGTTTTGGAATACATATAGGAATAGAAGACATAGCTTTGGATCTTATGGGTGGGAGTTCTAATTAAGACCTCTTTATGAAGTGACCGTCTCAAGGAACTCCGCTCCATGAAATGACAAGACATAACTTCCCGCCAAATTAGGGAAGCTACAGAGGAGATTGTCATTGGCCTGGTTATTCTTGATGAAGGAAGAAAAATCTGTTACAGACAGAGTTGTTCAGTGGAAAGTCTGGGGTAAGTTCCTGATTTAGAACAGGCTTTAGTGCACTTTAAAAGGAAAACAATGAATTATATAAAACTTTTAGAGGACACAGTGGTGCCAGATTTTTGTTGGATTCCTGTGCTTTCCTCCTCCAAATAGTTACCAAAAAATATTCCTTTGGGAATTAGTATCAAAAGGATTCTATAGCATCTCAAAAGAATCTTATTCACTTTGGGAGGCCGAGGCAGGCAGATCACAAGGTCAGGAGATCGAGACCATCCTGGCTAACACGGTGAAACCCCATCTCTACTAAAAATACAAAAAATTAGCCAGGCGTGGTGGTGGGCGCCTGTAGTCCCAGCTACTCGGGAGGCTGAGGCAGGAGAATGG
Source organism: Homo sapiens (assembly GCF_000001405.40). Taxonomy (NCBI): domain Eukaryota; kingdom Metazoa; phylum Chordata; class Mammalia; order Primates; family Hominidae; genus Homo; species Homo sapiens. Next base: position 106,042,461 of record NC_000004.12, on the reverse strand, counting down.
CGTGAACCCAGGAGGCAGAGCTTGCAGTGAGCCGAGATCGCTCCACTGCACTCCAGCCTGGGAGACAGAGTGAGACTCCGTCTCAAAAAAGAAAAAAAAAAATCTTATGCAGTAGTCTTATTTAATAAAATCCACTACAAGGAGAGAAGACTGCTGCCTTGACTATATAGAAAGGGTTGGCAGATATTTCATTCTATCAGTTGTAACTAGTAATCCCATTGTTATACATGCTGACCCAAAATATAGCTGTTATTAACCAAATAATGCATTTTTCTTGATAAATGTTGATTAAATCAGATTGGAAGCAAAATGGTAATATTTATGATCAATTTTAGTTTGGATGTTCAATGTCAAGACCAAACCCTCTTCACAGCTACCAACTTCAATTTTATGTGGAAAACTAATGGTGAAGAGTTTCAAACTTTAACTGACACTTGACATTTAACAGGGTATGTAATTGCTCACACACAACCTTTAGGTTTTGTAATCCAGTTTTATCTCATACAATATTAGAAACAGTACACATTGTAAATACCTATTTTAAAAGTTAGCCATATTTTATAAAGTCACATGTATTTATATCTTTTCTGAGTAATTTTCCTGTTAATGCCTTATGATAGGTGCTTGTAACATGAAAACTAAACTTGGATCTTGGCATATTCAGTGTTCTATAGATAGATTGTGATCTGTATAGCTTCTACGGTGACTTTCAGGCCTAATGTCTCCTTTTAAGTTGTTATTCTTTAATATCCTTTCTCATTCCTTTCAGAGGACCTATTATTAGTTTGCATTGTCTGCAGCATTTCAATAATACTGTTCTATTCTAATAATACTGATCTGTTCTAATAAACAGTTCTAAATACTGTTCTGTTCTAATTGGTACCAAAGCACTACATTGCCAACATTTCTAGATATTAATCCCCTGGGTGGTGGGGGTTAAAACACTGTTCTGTCTTGGCCTATGACTAATCTTGGAGCTATAACAAATGCATTTAAAGCATTAGATCAGATTCTAAATATTGCTTCCTGCCACGCTAAAAGATTCAACTTTTACTCTCATTATATATAGATGTGACTTAAGAAACAGTACATGGCCTACCATTTTTTAAAAGACTATACTAGTGTGATCACTAGCATTAAAACCTAAGATAATCCTTGCAAAGGAGACTTAATTTTCTCATTAACCTGGAAACCCATTCTTATTCTGTTATTAATTTTTTCTCAGTTGTATTAGCATATTTTCAGTCCTATAGAGTAGAATGATTTATTATTCTAAGTCCTGTATTGCTCTGGAACTGGCTCCTCATAGCTTGAAAGAGCTGAATGTTCTCATCTCTTCTCAACTCCGTGGTCAGTGATCTCAGGTTAGTAGCTTATAATCAGCCACATCAGGGGTATTTGCACCATAGAAATAGGCAAGTATTCCAAATCAGGCTCTTTTTAAAACTTTTTATTTATTTTTGAGAGCCAGTCAATAACATTTACTAGTGCATCATTGATTCAATCATCCTAGGGTCATTATATTTTCTGTAGATTGTGAAAGTAAAAGGAATGTTAAAGATTATTCAATCCAAATGTCATTGTTCAAAACAATAAGAAAAGTGAAAAGATTTTGCAAAGATCACATAGCTAGTAAAAGGCAGATTCAAAATTGCAATTCTGCTTTTCTGATTCTTTGCCTATTTTTCTGCTCATCATATACAGATAAAGAAAGTAAAGGGCACCAGTTTCAATTCATTACATATTTATTGCAGACCAACTTTGAGTCAGTCGCTGTATTATATAATGTGTGGGGTACAAAAATGAAGCAGTGAAAGTGTCGATTAAACTGACTACTGACTCTATTACTTGGAAATGCCACTTAATATCAGCCCTTAGAGGATGGCACTCTCACCTCCTCATCCTCCACACTTTCAAAAAAAGACTGCATTTGAGCATTCTACTCTGAGGGAAGAATCACTATTTTCAGGAACTTTTGCTATGTTTTAAGTTACCTTTCACCTTCAAGGCAACCTTCCTCAGAAAAACATCTCTGGTAGAGAAACACATTGTCTCTGTCTACAGTACAATCCTTGATATACAGGATCAAAGTTGGCTTTTAACCTTTGTTTTCTATGTCTTAGCCAGGGACCAGGCTTGAAGAATAAGAAAAGTCCTCCTATCAGTTTCCCAGTCATGTGTGGAAAGTCAAGGTGGGGGAGTGGGGGATAGCTAGTTTCTGAATCTATTAATCACAGAAGAAATAGAGGTCATTTAAGTCACTTGCTAACTTTAAAATATAGTTTTATGCTTTGAGGTAAACTATCCTGATAATTTATTATTTGCCAGATAGCGTATATTTTCTAAAATTATCTTTAAGATCATTAATAATTCCATATACCATGCGTTCATAGCCACAGACTCCATATAAGGTCATTAAGGATTTGAAAGGCATGTGAGAAATAGAGCTATTGGATTGAGGCCAGATGGCAGAGACGGTAGTTTGCAAAGTGATGTGCAACCAAGAAGGGAATCATATTATTGTTGAATAAGCAGGATTTACATAAATGAGGATTTTTTTAAATCTCTGGACATATTATATTGTCATTAATTACATGTGGCAGTATAAGATGACAGGATAAAACATCTGTCTAAATGTAATGCCTAGTGTGACCATTTTAACTCCCTACTCTGAGCTTGTTTCCTAATTTTCAAAGATCTCGGGATCTGCTCCCATCCCACACTGTCCTAGTATGACTGTGCTCTGGAGAGGCCTTCCTGAGATGCCTTCTGATGAAGACCTACCCTGAGCAACTGGCATAAACAGGCAGAAGCCATTTCCAGGGATTTATCCATTTACCTCTGTAGCAAAAAATATATATATCACAAATAATGACTCAGAGGTAGGAGGTTAGTTTGAGTTGTTTCTCAAATTACTCTGATAGAGGTAATAGGTATTAAAAAGTTTTTAACCCTACTTTGGGCTACGACAACTCAATGACTATACAATCCTCCTAAATAATGGTTTATCTATGTTTAGTTTGTAACAGGATTTTTTTCGTATTAACAACTGTCAGATAGTCATTTTGATTTCTGCCATGATTTGGTACCTAAAAAGAAGCATGAGAAGAGTGTTTTCCTGATAATGAAGAAACTTTAAAATATCCCCCCTTTTTAAAAAATTAACTAACATGAATCCAAACAGATTAAGTCTAACAGCATCCCAGGTAATAGAGGACTAGACTAGTTCATATTTCAAAAGTAAACATACCTACAGATATTCATAATTATTTAAAAAAATGAAAATAGATTGAAGCCTCTATCATGACTGATGCTTTACTAATATTTTATAAAACACACTGGACACGAAATGTGCTGATGAGGCATTTAAGCCCATATCCCAAAATATGTTTACTTGTAAGTCACATGTGTATGTACGTTAAAGTGAATGAAATAATAAAAAGGAGGTGATTTTAATAGATTAAATCTTAACACTCATTTAAGTGACATGTTATTTTAACATGAACCCTATGCAGCAATATAACTATTTAAAATTTCAGTGGTAACTTATATAACTTACATAAAGCAAGATGTTACATATTTGTAAAGAAACCATCCCATAAAATGATAATAGCTCAGGCAGAGGCTGACTATATTAATTGCCCTGTAAATCACTAACTCTATGTCATTCTGAAATGAATTTTAAATTGCCCTGTTTGATTAAGTGAAGTAATATCAAAATTAATATTAAAGTTAATTATTGTCAGCAAAATTCTGTTATTGCAAAAAAAATTAATTAATAAGGAAATTAATTGTTGCAATTACTTAACCCTTTTAATTAGCTTGTCCTGCCCAGGACGTTAACTGAACCACTTTTAAAAAGCTGTTAGGCATTTATTATAAAGCCTGACTGAAATTTTATGTGAGTGTATTATTGGATGTGTACTTTATTACTTACCAGCTAAAACTAAATGATGATTTTTAGGATCTGAACAAAATACTAAATTAAATATCTGATACAAATTAGTTGTATAAAAATAACCAAATGAAAACAGAAAATTGTGAAAGGGACCTACTGACAACTCCAAAGGTTGTCATCCCACACATATACCTCTACCAGATACTTGTTGGTCCAGGTCATGATAATTGTATTGCTCCTTGAGAGCACATGAGTGCTTCAGCCATTTCAAGGGCAGGTGAAACCTCAGCTCCTCCATGACAGCTTTCCCCTCAAATGGCACACGTATTTTTTTGTTTACCCAGATCCTGGAAGGCTGGAATGAGGAAGAACTGTGAGCTGAGGTTTCAGGTTGGCTGGCATTTGTTTAGTGTTCATGGTTAAACTTTCTCGAGGATCTTTCATTTCACAACACTAAGTTTCCTTAAGCCCCCCAGAATTGTGGTAAATCCTACTTTATGCAGCACTATTCAGGAAGCTCAAACCTCCACAGTGGTCAAAGTAATGACTGTCTTCAAAGCAGGGTCTCCAGATTTTCAGTGTCAGCATTTAACCTCCAGACATCTTAAGAATAAGAAATATGTTCTAAGATCCCAACACTATCATGTTAAGAGTACATTGAAAAAGACCACCCTGACAAAAACAACACGTTTCAGGAAGAAGAGGGGGAAGGGAGGGTTCAAGTTTTCCTCTCGCTTAAACCTCAAATTACAGGGAGCCTACAGGAAGAAAAGGAGATCAATTATCAGAGAACTTGGATTCTCTAGTACTGGCCCCTCCACTGTTTTTTTCAGTGTCTCTCTGGGCAGTTCACATGGGTTCGCTCAGGCTCTGGTTCCTCATATATAAAAGAGGTAATAGCATTTATCTAGCCTGTCTCCTAGGTTTATGTTGAAGCTCATAGAAAAGTATTTTGTCAATGGAAAAGTATTATTCAAATATGTGTATAATTTTTATAAAAGTCATAACTGTTCTGGAAAACTATCAAGCCAAACTCTTGATCTATTGTGTAGTTTTTAGAGAATATTGACACAACAAATAATTACTCTTACAATCCATATACCTTTCCTATTATGCAACATAAACAAAATGGAAGACTTCACAAGCAGTATTAAGATTATACACTGCACACCTGATACTGTTTAATTCTATTTAAAGCAATTATTTCTGCTAAGTTTATAAATTTTATGCAAGATCCTTTCAGACTTCTCTTTGTTTTATATGCCACCCTTTCCAAACCCAGTTTTACCAATTTAAAACACACTTTTTACAATAATCTAAATTCTCTCAATGCAACCTGGCAGGTTCAGTTTTGCCAATAACTATCTACACCTAGATGGCAGAGATTAACTTTGTTTCAAATCCACCCTTCCCTTCGGTTTTATCTCCCTCTTCCCTTGCACCTCTCTCCTGGACTTCAAAGCAGTTTTGTGGTTGACTTGCAGAAAATCAATGGTTGGGAGATGAAAAGCAGCTCTTGTTTATCTCTGCCTGCTGAAGGTCATTCTACTTGGTAGCATCTGTGCGAGATCCACAGCCATTTCTCCTCACAGAGGGGAGAAGCAAATTGATTACACACACAGAAATCATTATAAAGAGAGAGTGGGATTCATTTTAAAGGGGTAGGATCACATTAAAACACAAATATAGTAATAAGAATCAGTGTAGTAGTGAAGTACTGGTGTTTGGAGTATAAGTTTAAAGTGTTATTGAATGTGACCCTAAGTTTTTAAAAAGCTATTATATGTCTGGACTTGTTACAGGGTACAAAACTACGTAGTTTATCACATTCTCTAACAGGTACCCAAGAAGTTATTTGAATTTAATAGGCCTTAAGGACTATGACTAATAGGACATTAATAAATGAGAGCCGTGGATGTTGAATTTTACATAGATAAGTCTTCCCACTGCAGATACCAGAGTTGTTGGCCTTGTTAGCCAAATTGTCTATCAGTCTCTTTTCGAATGCTGATGACAAGCTGTCACTCAAGCCTATTACATGAATTGCTTAGCCCTCAGTGTTCTTTACATAACAAGTCCATTGTTTGAACCAGTATTGAGAAAAGAAACCTAAAAAGTACATACATTCGCCCAATGCCCTCAAGTTGATAGTGAGCTTTCCTGGAGTCCTATAGCATGTGGATTGAGCCTTGATGATAACACTTTGTCCTGTCTCTGTGATGTAGCTACTGGGTTAGGTCAGGTAGTAGAGTTTTAGTGGTATTTTATGGCATTAAGGGCAGGGACCTAAAAATCCTTGCCAGTCATCTTCTCCACCAAGTTCCCAAGTGAAATTTACACATCAGGGATAACAGCAAGTGGAAAACAAAGTACCAACTTATGGCTGGGCTAGTGACCACTTCTCCCCAATTTAGAGCTTTCATAACCCTGGATTAAAACCCACAGCTTATGCTCAAGGCCTCCATAGCATTGTGTCTGCATCAAGCCAGAATCTAAATCTTGGATCTCATTTTCTAGTTTATCACATAGTATGAGAACTAAAAAGCCCAGTAAGCTTTAAGTATGTGGATAAAAAGATAAAAACATCATAAAAAGATGGCCAGGTAACTAAAGAGACCTTAGTTCAATTTACAAATTGTACCACATGCACTGGAAGGGAGGAAAGACAGAAACTCTTAAAAGTTAAATAGTAACACCGCCCATCAGTAAGTGTGGCCAAAAAAGTGTTCTGGAACCAGACCAATCAGATTATAACTGCCTCTTTTTGTGGGGAGATGCAAGGAAGGGGAAGAGGAAAAGTGTGAGCAAGGTTCCTCTTCCCTACATACATGATGCTCCCCATTTTCTAGATTTCTTTGAGGGCAAGATGGGTAGAATCTTCATTTTACTATTTCGCATAGAAAGTACTACACTGTCAGCACAAAAGTGGGCTTTAATGAGTGTTTATTTATTGAAGGAAGAGAAACACTGTTTCCAATATAAAAAGCATCAATCAACAATGATTAAGTACCAGATACATGTCTGCACCCTAGGATATGCAATGGATGCTTAAAGAAATAGCACATTGTCCCTGTTATAAGGGTTGGCACATACAGGGGATTAGAAAAGAGAACAATAATGTAACTGTGTGACACAGGCTACCAATGTACTGTGTGCTTAGCCAAAGCTAAACCTGGGACCGCCTTGTGAACCAAGGCTGTCCTTAATGGAATATCACTTCACAAGATAGGGAACTTTTATGCTTTGGACTCAGACACTCTGCCACTTACTGAATATGTGACCTTGGGCAAGTTGCTGTCTCCTTCAGCCTCAGTTTTTGTTTTGTTTTGTCTTTTTAATCTGTTAAATGAGCTCAATTAAAGCCTGCTTTGCAGACTTGGTATGAGGAATAAAGAAGAAAATGGTTATAAGGCAACAGTATGTAGCAACTAGACCACATAAAAATGGAGGTAGCTATTTTTATGCTTTTTATTATTAACCTACTAAAGGAGATTTTCACCTTAGTATTGGTTCACCCTACAAACACAGTTAATCCTGTAACTTTTCCATGCTTCAGGGCTTTTTCCACCCATTACATGGGAATTAACCAGTCAAACCACAAAAAGTGCTAAGGATTGCAGTAATCATGAGGAAGAACCAGACAGGAAGGAAAGAGGGCCTTTCCTTTCAAAAGCTAATGCAAAAATGAGGGCTGGGAGTGCTAATGGCAATGAGCTGGGCACTGTAGAATTTAGTACAATTCTTTGCTGAATTTGGGGGAAATGGCACCTTTCTGCCAGGGTTATTTGCCAGGTATCCTGAGAGCCATCAGTTATTTGCCTGATGGAAGAAAGACACTGCAGTAACCAGCTGCTGCTGCTGCTGCTACTCCACTGAACTTTTACAAAAATAGTTTACAACTGTGAGGAGCTATGCAATTCTGTCGTGATAAGCTGCCAACTAGTCCTGACTTCTTTATGTTCAAATATCCTATTTGAGTCAGTTGTATGGAGCCACAAGTTAAAATTCCCTTTTAGCTTCTGCCTGTTGCCAAATGTACTCTTGCTCTGTCTAAAAATGACTTTTGTCCTTAACATGTATCAATTTCCTAAAAGCACAGTGAGTTAATGCTGTTGCAGGTGGTGACGGCATGTCTTCCTGGGCATCTCAGCAGGGAATTTTATCTTGACACAAGGATTAGTACATAATTCTGGCATCGCTGAGCACAAAAGTACCATGATAAATCTTTCCTCTGCTGCTTAATTATTGATATGAGCAATAAGTTAGGTATTTTAACTAAGAATTCATGGGCTCAAGTAAAAAAGAAGAGATTTTTTACTTCACAACCGCATAGCACTGTTTCTGTTCTAGAAGTAACCTAATTGAATAAACAACAACAACAAAAAAACAATTTCTCAGAATAAGATTTTTATTGGGACTTTAAATTTTTAAAACTACCTTAAGCATGCCTCTTATTACACTCAGTCTAAATAAAATTGGAGTTCAAATTCAGCAGGTTAATTGTGTTTCCTTACCATATTCACTTTTTAAGAAAAAGCACCGACAACTTTTTGATCATATAGGAACATTGCTTCCCTAAGAATACTTTTTGATATATTTAAATCCATTTGTTATGATTGGAAGAGGAGAGACTGCATATTTTGCCCCAATAGGTTGTTCTAATTCCATGTGCAGTAGAAGAGAGTGTGCTGTAATTAGATGGGAACTTTGGCTTTTCCCTTCCTGGTTGTGTGACCTGGAGCATTTAATTTAACCTTGCTGAGCCTCAGTTTCCATATCTGTAAACTGGGTTTAATAATTATGTCTGCTTTACATAGTTATAATGAAGATAAACATGATAATATTTGTAAAGCACTTAGCAGAATGCCTGGCACAGAGGAATGACTCAGTACAAGGTGTAGCTAATATTTTTAACAAGACACTGCCTTCCTATGCTGAAGTGCTTCTAAATTCTCTGCCATTGAAATGCAAGCATGGTGAAATTGGCAAGTGAGATGCATTTCTTGGCTAATAGAGGTAAATTCCTTTATTCATGGTATCTACATGCCAGGGATGGGCTAGGAAATGCAAGGAAAATGGAGAAGATGCCAGCAATGTCTTTGAGGAACTCAAGAACAGGCACAGAAGGTGAGTCAAAGTGCAGCAAGAATGCAGAAAGCATGCCTGGGTTTGCTGGGGGTGGTTGGCGAGACCCTTTTGCTGAAACCTAATATGGAGTAGGAATTGGATTAAGATGGTGGGTAAGAGGCAGAACTAGCTTGCAGCTCCAGCTCAGATGGACAGAGCAGCATGTGGAGACTCACATCTTGAACTTTTGCTCCAGGAAGTACTACAGAACATACCAGGAAAAGCTAAGAAAATTCACCAGTCTTTTGAAGGAACTGGATCACTACTGCAGGCTCCCTGAAATGCCCAAAAACTGTGAGTCATCTTGCGTTTTCAATGAGGAGGCTCATGGTCTGGGCAAATTCTCAGCCCTGGTCACCAGCTGCCTGGAAATAGACTCAGTGCTGTTGCCAGGGGTACTGTGGGAGTGAGTCTGGACTTTAGGACTGTGGGCTGCATGGGAGAGGGGTGAGGCCTGGGACTGCTGGCTTTCCCACTTCCCTGGTGACCTGTATGACTCAGCAGAGGCAGCCATAATCCCCCTGGGAGTATAATTCCATTGGCCTGGGAACCACATCCCTATCCACCACAGCAGCTGCAGCAAGTTCTGCCCAAGGAGAGTTGGAGCTCAGACACGCCAATCCCTGCCTCCACCTGGTGGTCTTTCTCTACCCACCCTAGTATCCAAAAAACAAAAGTCATAATCTGTTGAGAGTTCTATGGCCCTGCCCAATGTCTGAGAAACCTGAATATTTAACCAGGTATCTCTAGAGCAAGCTTGCATCCTCCCCATAGGACTGCAGCTGATGTGCTCTTGAAAGTGCCAACTCCTGACTGGAGGCCAACCAACACAAAACCAGTGCACTAAACAAAAACACAACTAAGGAACCTCACAGAATCCACTTCACTCCCCTAAGACCTCCACCAGAGCAGGTGCTGGTATCTACAGCTGCAAGACCTGAAGACGGATCACATCACAGGACTCTTTGCAGACACTCTTCAAAACCAGCCCAGTGTCTGGTAGCTCCACTGGGTGGCTAGACATAAGAGCAAAACAATCACTACAGTTCGGCTCTCAGGAAGCCCCATTTTTAGGGGAAGGGGGAAAACACCACATCAAGAGAGCACCTTGTGGAACAAAAGAATCTGAACAGCAGCGCTTGAATCCCAGATTTTCCCTCTGACATAGTCTACCCAGATGAGAAGGAACCAGAAAAACAATTCTGGTAATATGACAAAACAAGTTTCTTTAACACCCTCAAAAGATCACACCAGCTCAACAGCAATGGATCCAAACCAAGAGGAAATATCTGAATTGCCAGAAAAAATATTCAGAAGGTCGATTATTAAGCTAATCAAGGAGCCACCAGAGAAAGGTGAAGTCCAACTGAAAGAAATCAAAAACACAGGCTATATGAAAGAAAATTCTTCAGTGAAATGGGTAGCATAAATAATAAGCAATCACAACTTCTGGAAATCAAGGGTACACTTAGAGAAATTCAAAATGTACTGGAAAGTCTCAGCAATAGAATCAAACAAGCAGAAGAAAGAACTTCAGAGCTCAAAGACAAGGCTTTCTAATTAACTCAATCCATCAAAGACAAAGAAAAAAGAATTTCAAAGAATGAACAAAACCTCCAAGAAGTTTGGGACTATGTTAAACATCCAAGCCTAAAAATAATTGGTGGTCCCAAGGAAGAAGAGAAATCTAAAAGTTTGGAAAACATATTTAAGGGAAAAATTAAGGAAAGCTTTCTCAGCCTTGCTAGAGATCTAGACTTCCAAATACAAGAAGCTCAAAGAACAACTGGGAAATTCATTGCAAAGAGATCATTGCCTAGGCACATAGTCATCAGGTTATCTAAAGTCAAGATAAAGAATAGAATCTTAAGATCTGTGAAGGAAAAGCATCAGGTAATCTATAAAGGAAAACCTATCAGATTAATGGCAGATTTCTCAGCAGAAACCCTATAGGCCAGAAGAGATTGAGGTTTTATTTTTAGCCTCCTTAAATGAAACGATTATCAGCCAAGAATTTTGTATCCAGCAAAACTACACTTCATAAATGAAGGAAAGATACATTTTTTTCCAGACAAAAAAAGTGCTGGGAGAATTTGCCACTACCAAGCCAGCATTACAAGAACTGCTAAAAGGAGCTGTAAATCTTGAAGTGAAACCTCAAAATACACCAAAATAATTTAAAGGGGTAGAAAGAGATATTCCATGCAAATGGACACCAAAAATGAGCAGAAGTAGCTATTCTTATATCAGACAAAACAGAGTTTAAAGCAACACAACAGTTTAAAAAGACAAAGAAGGACATTATATGATAATAAAAAAACTGATCTAACAAGAAAATATCACAATCCTAAATATATACGTACCTAACACTCAAGCTCCCAAATTTATAAAACAATTACTACTAGATCTATGGAATGAGATAGATGGCAATGCAGTTATAAGGTGGGAGGGGACTTTAAATACTCCACTGACAGCACTAGACACATCATCAAAAATCAAAGTCAACAAAGAAGCAATGGACTTAAAGTATACCCTACAACAAATGGACTTAGCAGATATTTATACAACATTCTACCCAACAACTGCAGAATATACATTCTTTTCATCAGCACATGGAACATTCTCCAAGATAAACCATACAATAAGCCACAACACGCAATAAATTTAAGAAAATAGAAATTACATCAAGTACTATCTCAGACCACAATGGAATAAAATTCAAAATCAACTGCAAAGTAACCCTTAAAACCATGCAAATACATGGAAATTAAATAACCTGCTCTTGAATGATCATTAGATCAACAATGAAATCAAGATGGAAATTAAAAAATTATTTGAACTAAATGATAATAATGACACAACCTATCAAAACCTCTGGGATACAGCAAAAGTGGTACTAACAGCAAAGTTCATAGCATTAAATGCCTACATTAGAAAGTCTGAAAAAGCACAGACTGACAATAGAAATTATATCAAGTACTCTCTCAGACCACAATGAAATAAAATTCAAAATCAACTATAAACCATAGCATTAAATGCTTACATTTGAAAGTCTAAAAAAGCATAGACCGAGAATCTAACATCACACCTCACAGAACTGGAGAAAGAAGAACAATCCAAACCAAATCCAGCAAAAGAAAGGAAGTAACAAAAATCACAGCAGAACTAAATGAAATTGAAAGAAACAAAAATACAAAAGATAAATGAAAGTTTTTAAAAGCTGGTTCTTTGAAAAGATAAATAAAATTCATAGAACATTAGTGAGATTAATCAAGAAGAGAGAAGATCCAAATAAGCTCAATTAGAAAAAAAATGAGAGATATTACAACCAATACCACAGAAACACAAAAGAGTATTCAAGGCAACTGTATTTGTTCTTTTTCATGCTGCAGATAAAGACATACCCAAAACAGGGCAATTTACAAAAGAAAGAGGTTTAATGGACTTACACTTCCATGTGCCTGGGGAAGTCTCACAATCATGGTGGAAGACAAAAAGAACAAGTCACATCTTACATGGAAGGCAGTAGGCTAAGAGAGTGCTTGTGCTGGGAAGCTCTGCTTTAAAAAGCCATCAGATCACATGAGACTTATTCACTATCATGAGAACATCAAGGGAAAGAACTGCCCCCATGATTCAATTACCTCCCACCAGGTCCCTCCCATAACATGTGGGAATTCAAGATGAGATTTGAGTGGGTACACAGCCAAACCATATTATTCCACCTCCGGCTCCTCCCAAATCTCATGTCCTCACATTTCAAAACCAATCATGGCTTCCCAACAGTCCCCCAAAGTCTTAATTCATTTCAGTATTAACTCAAAAGTCCACAGTCCAAAGTCTCATCTGAAACAAAGCAAGCATTTTCTGCCTATGAGCCTGTAAAACCAAAAGCTAGTTACTTCCTAAATACAATGGGGGTACAGGAATTGGGTAAATACACCCATTCCAACTGGGAGAAATTGGCCCAAACAAAGGGGCTACAGGCCCCATGCAATTCCAAAATCCAGCAGAGCAGCCAAATCTTAAAGCTCCAAAATGATCTCCTTTGACTTCATGTCTCACATCCAGGACATGCTGATGCAAAAGGTGGGTTCCCATGGTCCTGGGCAGCTCCAGCCCTGGGGCTTTTCAGGGTATAGCTACCCTCCTGGCTGCTTTCACAGGTTGGCATTGGGTGTATGTGGCTTTTCCAGGTGCACAGTGCAAGCTATTGGTGGGTGTATGATTCTGGGGTCTGGAGGATAGTGGCCCTCTTCTCATAGCTCTACTAGGGGGTGCCCCTGTAGGGATTCTGTGTCGGGGCTCTGACATCACATTTCCCTTCTGCATTGCCCTAGCAGAGGTTCTCCATGAGGGCCCCACCCCTGCAGCAAATTTCTGCCTGGGCATATTGGCGTTTCCATACGTCCTCTGAAATCTAGACAGAAGTTCCCAAACCTCAATTCTTGACTTCTGTTCACCTGCAGGCTCAATACCACATAGAAGCTGCCAAGGCTTGGGGCTTCCACCCTCTGAAGCAAGAGCCCAAGCTGTACCTTGGCCCATTTTAGTCACAGCTTGAGCAGCTGGGATGCAGGGCACAAAGTCCCTAGGCTTCACACAGCAGAGGGACCCTAGGCCTGGGCCATGAGACCATTTTTTCCTCCTAAACCTCTGGGTCTATTACTAGAGGGGATGCTGGAAAGGTCTTTGACATGGCCTGGAGACATTTTCCCCATTGTCTTGGTGATTAATATTCGGCTCCTTGTTACTTATGCAAATTTCTGCAGCTGGCTTGAATTTCTCCTTAGAAAATGGGATTTTCATTTCTATCACACTTTTAGGCTGCAAATTTTCCACTTTTATGCTGTTTCCCTTTTAAAACTGAATCCCTTTAACAGCACCCAAGTCACCCCTTGAATGCTTTCCTGCTTAGAAATTTCTTCCACCAGATATCCTAAGTCATCTCTCTCAAGTTCAAAGTTCCAGATCTCTAGGGCAGGAGCAAAATGCTGCCAGTCTCTTTACTAAAACATAATAAAAGTCACCTTTGCTCCAGTTCCCAAGTTCCCCATCTTTATCTGAGACCAACTCAGCCTGGATTTCACTGTCCATATCATTATCAGCATTTTGGTCAAAGCCATTCAACAAGTCTCTAGGGAGTTCCAAACTTTCCCACATTTTTCTGTTTTTTTTTTTTTTTTCTGAGCTCTCCAAACTTCTCCAATCTCTGCCTGTCACCCACTTCCAAAGTCACTTCTACATTTTCAGGTATCTTTTAGCAGCACCCCACCATACTGGTAACAATTTACTGTATTCATTCATTTTAACGCTGCTGATAAAGACATACCCAAGGCTGGGTGAGGTGGCTCATGCCTGTAATCCCTGCACTTTGGTAGGCCAAGGCAGGTGGATCACCTAAGGTCAGGAGTTGGAGACCAGCCTGGCCAACATGGCAAAACCCCATCTCTATTAAAAATACAAAAATTAGCCAGATATGGTGGCACACATCTGTAGCCCTGGCTACTTGGGAGGCTGAGGCTGGAGAATCACTTGAATCCGGGAGGCCAAGGTTGCAGTGAGCCAAGATCACACCACTGCACTCCAGCCTGGATGACAGAGTGAGACTCCATCTCAAAAAAAAAAAAAAATAGACATACCCAAGACTAGGCAATTTACAAAAGAAAAAAGGTTTAATAGACTTATGGTTTCATGTGGCTGGAGAAACCTCACAATCATGGTAGAAGGCAAGGAGGAGCAAGTCACATCTTACATGGATGGAAACAGGAAAAGAGAGTGCTTGTGCAGGGAGATGCAGGGAGACTCTGCCTCATTAAGCCTTCAGATCTCATGAGATTTATTCACTCTCACTCGAACAGCACAGGAAAGAACTGCCCCCATGATTCAATTGCCTCCCACCAGGTCCCTCTCACAACACGTGGGAATTCGAGAGATATTTGAGTGGGGACACAGCCAAACCATATCAGCTACTATGAAAATCTTTACACTCATACACTAGAAAACCTAGAGGAGATGGATAAATTCCTAGAAATATACAACCCTCCTAGATTAAACCAGGAAAATAAAGAATCTGAGCAGACCAGTAACAAGTGGGAAGATTGAAATGGTAAATTTCAATTTAAAATTTGCCAACAGGAAAAAAATGCCAGGAACAGATGGTGTCACAGCTGTATTCTATTAGGCATTTAAAGAAGAGTTAGTACCAATCCTATTGAAATTATTCTAAAAGATAGAGAAAGAGGGAATCTTGCCTAAATCATTCTATGAAGCCAGTAACACCCTAATAATACCAAAACCAGGAAAGGACATAACAAAAAAAAAAAAAAAGAAAACTATGGACCAATATCCCTGATGAACATAGATGTAAAAATCCTCTACAAAATACTAGCAAACCAAATCCAATAGCATATTGAAAAGATAATCCACCATGATCAAGTGGGTTACATACCAGGGATGCAGAGATGGTTTAACATACATAAGTCAATAAACATGATACATCACATAAACAGAATTAAAAACAAAAATTAAATGATCATCTCAATAGATGCAGAAAAAGCATTTTATAAAATCCAGCATCTCTTTATGATTAAAACTCTCAGCAAAAACAAATTTGAAGGGACATAATTTAAGGTAATAAAAGCCATCTACAACAAACCCACAGCCAATATTATACCGAACAGGGAAAAGTTGAAAGCACTTCCCCTGAGAACTAGAACAACACAAGGATGCCCACTTTCACCACTTCTATTCAACATAGTACTGAAAGTCCTAGTCGAAGCAATCAGACAAGAGAAAGAAATAAAGGGCATCCAAATCGGTAAAGAGGAAGTCAAACTGTCACTGTTTGCTGATGATATGATCATATACCTAGAAAACCCTAAAGTCTCATCCAGAAAGTCCCTAGCACTGTTAAATGAATTCAGCAAAGTTTCTGGATACAAAATTAATGTACTCAAATCAGTCACTCTGCTATACACCAACAGCAATCAAGCTGAGAATAGAGTCAAGAACTCAACCCCTTTTACAATAGCTGCAACAACAACAACAACAATAACAAAAACAAATATTTAGGAATATACCTAACCAAAGAGGTGGAAAACTTCCAAAAGGAACACTACAAAACACTGATGAAAGAAATGACAGATGACACAAACAAATGGAAACACATCCCGTGCTCATGGACGGGTAGAGTGAATATTGTGAAAATGACCATACTGCCAAAACAATCTACAAATTCAATGCAATTTCTATCAAAATACTGCCATAATTCTTCACAGAACTAGCAAAAACAATCCTAAAATTCATATGGAACCAAAAAAATAAAAAAGAGCTCACATACCCAAAGCAAGGCTAAGTAAAAAGAACAAATCTGGAGGCATCACATTACACGACTTCACACTATACTATAAGGCCATAGTCACTAAAACAGCATGGTACTGGTATAAAAATAGGCACATAGACCTATGAAACAGAATACTAAACTCAGATATAAAGCCAAATATTTACAGTCAACTAATCTTTGACAAAGCAAACAAAAAACATAAAGTGGGGATAGGACACCCTATTCAACAAATGGTGCTGGGATAATTGGCTGGCCACATGTTGAAGAATGACACCGGATCCTCATCTCTCACCTTATACAAAAATCTCTCAAGATGGATCAAAGACTTAAATCCAAGACCTGAACCATAAAGATTCTAGAAAATAACATCAGAAAAACCCTTCCAGACATTGGCTTAGGCAAAGACTTCATGACCAAGAACCCAAAAGCAAATGGAATAAAAAGATAAATAGATGGGTTATAATTAAACTAAAAAGTTTCTGCACAGCAAAATAAATAATCAGCGGAGTTAACAGACACCCCACAGAGTGGGAGAAAATCTTCACAATCTATATATCTGACAAAAGACTAATATCCAGAATCGACAATGAACTCAAACAAATCAGCAAGAAAAAAACAATCCCATCAAAAAGTGGGCTAAGGACATAAACAGAAAATTCTCAAAAGAAGGTACACAAATGGGGAAAAAGCATGTGGAAAAATGCTCAACATCACTAATGATCAGGGAAATGCAAATCAAAACCACAGTGCGATACCACCTTACTCCTGCAAGAATGGCTATAATAAAAAAATAAAAATAAATATATGTTGGCAAGAATGCGGTGAAAAGGAATACTTTTACACTGTTGGTGGGGATGTAAACTAGTACAACCACTATGGAAAACCGTGTGGAGATTCCTTAAAGAACTAAAAGTAGATCTACCATTTGATCCAGCAATCCCACTACTGGGTATCTACCCAGAGGAAAATAAGTCATTACATGAAAAAGATACTTGCACATGCGTATGTATAGCAGCATAATTTGCAATTGCAAAAATATGGAACCAGCCCATATGCCCATCAATCAACAAGTGGATAAAGAAAATGTGATACACACACACACACACACACACACACACACACACATATACACACCGTGGAATACTATTTAGCCATAAAAAGGAGCAAAATAATGGCATTCACAGCAACCTGAATGGAAGTGGAGACCATTATTCTAAGTGAAGTAACTCAGGAATGGAAAACCAAACATCCTATGTTCTCATTCATATGTAGGAGATAAGCTGTGAGGACACAAAGGAACAAGAGTGATACATTGGGCTTTGGGGACTTGGGGAAAGGGTAGGGGATGGCAAGGGATAGGAGACTACACATTGGGTATGGTGTATACTGCTTGGGTGATGGAGGCACCAAAATCTTAGAAATCACAACCAAAGAACTTATTCATGTAACCAAACTTTACCTGTTTTCCAAAAACTTACTGAAATTTTTTTAAAGGAGTAGGAAATTTTACTCTGATGGGCAAAAGAGGAGAGCATTGCAGGTAGAGAAAAAAGAATGCACAGAAGTGAGGAAATGAGGGGAAGTAAGCAAACTCAGGGGAGGCAGAAATAGTGGGAAATGGATGAGGCAGCAAATTTCCTGTACCTAATACTTCATGGGGCTGTGTAAGAGCACAGAGGCCTTTCCACACCGTGCACACAGGGAGTCCTTAGGTTCAGAATACCTGAACTGGGGAGTGGTGGGGCAGGTTCAAGTTGTGCACATCCCTGTGGTCCCAAGACGTGGCCAGGGGAGGACTAAAGCTGGGTGGGGAAGGGAGGAACTAAAGTACCAAGCAGGACCCAGAGCAGAGGCTATTGGAGAATTCTGAACAGCAGCTTGATCTTATCAATTTTAAATGTTAGACATGTCACTCTGATAGTAGAGAAGAGGACTAATTGAAGGAAGAAATGCTTTGGGGTAAAGAGTCCAGTAAGTCTTCTATAAGTGGAGAAAGGGCCAGTTCTGAACAGTGGGGATGGAAATGGATGAATAGAGACAGGAAATCGTAAGGATATAGAATCAAGAGGATCTTGTGATTTTAAAAAATTCCTATGTATGTGGGTGATGGTACAAAAAAAGAAGAGAGAAATCTAGGTTGGCCCTGTGGTTTTAGGCTTCATCAAGAAGCATTGCTGGCTGAGACTTGGAGTAGTGGAAAGAGGTGGAGAAATTGGATTCAGCTCTGAACTTGAACTGCCTGGTGGAAACCCAAGTGGAGCTGCTTGGAAGGAAGCTGGGCAAATGAACCAAGGGGCTGGGGGTAGCAGTCTGGAGTGGACATACTGGTTTGGGGTCATTAGCACTTTGGTGGTGGGTTAAAACTATGGATGTGGATGAATTTGGCTGCAAAGAAGGTGAGTGAGACAGGAAGGCCAAAGGTGGAAACCTGAACAATACCTGATGGAGAATGGCCAGAAAGATAAGAAAAAGAGATACATGGGTTGGAGATGTAGGAAGAGAACCAAGAGATTACCCTAGAGTTTAGTTGAGGAAGGAAAGAATGGTTAGGAATGCAAATGCTGCTGAAAGTTCCAGCAATATGAAGAATCAAGAAATTGTTATTATACCAGCTTAAATGTCACTTCCC
The DNA here is from genome assembly GCF_000001405.40 of Homo sapiens. Classification (NCBI taxonomy): domain Eukaryota; kingdom Metazoa; phylum Chordata; class Mammalia; order Primates; family Hominidae; genus Homo; species Homo sapiens. Next base: position 106,023,462 of record NC_000004.12, on the reverse strand, counting down.
ACAGAGACCTTCCATGACCATTATATACTAGTGAACTGGAAATGAGAAAACAGAGAAAGAATGAGAAGACTCCAATCTGTAGAAACTTGGCTGTGACGGCTAAAAGAGAAAGAGCAAAAGGTACATTGTGAAGATAAGGTTAAAGAGGAGCTTTTTATTGTGCTAGTTTTTAGGACTGTAGAGATGAATCTGTTTAAATTATGAAAGAGTTGGTCTCATGGAACAGAAGTTAAAGGCACATGAAAGGAAGAATAGGATCCAGAGTCTGGTAGCTGGATAGCAGAAAAGAGGGGATGGGCTGGTTCTGGCCCTGCCGTGAGCTGCAGTGGAGGAGAGGAGACAGTGTAGATCCAGGGAAATGTGTGTGGGAGAAAGAAGTTGGAAAAATTCAATTCTAATGGTCTCCAACTTCCCCATAAAACAAGAAGTAGGGGTGGTGGCTTGAAGAGAAAAATGATTTGTAGCCTCTAGAGGAATAAAAGAAGGAGCTAGCGAGATGGTAAACTTCTTGAGGGCAGGGATTTTTTCTACCTTTTCACTCCTGAATCCTCAGCATCTGGAATAGTGCTTAGCACATGAGTTCACATGAATGAATAAACAAATGTTGTTTGGGTTATCAATTGCTGTATAACAATCCCCCCTACCTGTGGGGTGGTAGTGGTAGGGGAAGGGGGAACTTAGAGGCTTAAAAGAACAATGACCTATCATTTATCACATTTCTGTGTATCCACCAGACAGTTCTCTGGTGTCACATAGTGACAGCTTGGGTGCTGGAAGGTGATGGCCGAAATAGCCTCACTTACCAGGCTGGCTTTGGATGCAGCCACTGGCTGGGAGCTCAGTTGAGACTGTTGGCTAGGGCCCTTGGTTCCCTTCTTGTGGGCCTCTTCATGTGGCTGCTTTGCCTCCTCAGAATGGAGGCTGGCTTCCAAAAATGAGTGTCGAACATGTCCAAGACCTCCAAACAGCCATCTTGAGGATGGCAGAACAGAGACCTGGAAGGAAGTGGCCTCCCAACACAGGACAGCCTACCTCTTAACTTCTCTTACATGCAACAAAAATAACCTGCTGTATTGTTGAAGCCACTGCTTTTTCTTGTCAACTGAAGAACAACGAAGTTACAAATTTGGAAAGGAGAGCTTTATTTCTCATAAAGCGTTGCAGCCTGCAGGCAGCCATTCTGATAAGCTGGCAAGCGTCACCTCCAGTCAGAAGCCAGAAATAGGCTCTTGAGAGTGGGAAGAATAAGACAGAGATATACGCTGAGCAGGGTGGCCAAATATATATATTTGACAGTTATAGGAGGAGCTATGAATATTCACAAAGGGGAGGCATGGGCATGTGTAGAGGACTAACATGAATACAACATGTGTCCCATGTTCACTTTGGGGTGGAAACCTAATGTTTAAATGTATTACAATTAGGCCCTATACATCCAAGGGTGAAACAGAGCACACAAAGGCCCTCTGCACAGCATCCATAGATGGCCAGAACCACTTTGTGGTTGGCGGTCTCTTATCAGGAAAGAATGCTGATCATTTGTTGTGTCAAAACCACAAAAGGGAGGTTGGTTGAATTTAGCAGTGGAACAAGTCCTTCCAAAGGGCTGGTTTTTGTTTAATGCTTAAGAAAGAAAGCCTAATAGTGGTTAATGAGGGAGGGGGTATAACAAGGCATGTCCAACCTTCTGTACCATCATGGCCAGTTTTTAAGGTTTTTCTGGGGTCCCCTTGGCCAAGTGGGGAAGGATCCAGTCAGTTGGTATGGCATTTAGGATTTTATTTTTATTTATCAATCTCATTTTGTTTTTCCATTAAATGCAGCCAAACCTAATTTGAACGATATACTTAACGAAGAAGAAGAGAGCAGAACTCAGGGTTTTCTTGACTTATAGTCAAGAAAAACAATGTGGCTCAGTCGATACTTCTTATTTCTACCAAACAAGTGTTCATTTTTATTATGAACATTTTATAATACCTATTTTACTCTCCTAAAATGAAAATCACAGACACTATTGCCTATAGGTATAAATAATTGTAAATAATTGAACACACACAAACACATTGCTTTAACAATAGGAAAGAGGATAAATAAAAGGAAAGTAAGTCAGCATAAAATGACATATAATTTAACATGTAAATACTGGAGTATGAGCATCCCAGGAGACTTAAAGAAGTTGTCAGGAGCTAGCACTTTCATATCGTGAATAGGCTTGCATTTAAGGGAAGTAAGAAAGCACATTTAAGAATGTCAGGTAGGACACACAAAGAATGTGGAGTGGGAAACTGGACTGTCTCACATATTACAGGACATATGGCATTGCTGTCCATTAAGTGCCAGTAGAACCTCCCAATCACTGTCACAACAAAAATTGCCCCACAGATTTCCAGACTGAAGCCAGTAGCCCGTCTTATTTGAAGCCTCTGGTCTAAGTGGGCTAGAAACACCTGGGCTCTCTCCTTGGCACAGAGCCTTGAGGGTGGCCCCTTCCTTCCTGAGGCCAAGGCCCGGCCTGCCTGTCTTAACAGCTCTTAGTTTTCTCTCTTTCTGCTCTAATCTCCACTTAGGAATGCCAGATTTAGCAATAAAATTCGAGAATTCCTGGTTAAATTTGAATTTCAGATTAAACTATGAATAATCGTTTAAGTAAGTCCCAAATCTTGCATGAGACCTACACTAAAAAAAAAAAGAAAAAAAATTGATTTAACTGAAATTTGAATTTAGCTGGAACACCCTGTATTTTACTTGACAACCTTACTCCCAGTACACATTGTTCCCCTCAGAACCTCAAGAAAACCTATCTTAAGGGTATCAATTCAGCCGGGAGACTTTAAGACCTACGGGCATAATGTAGAATTTCCCAAAATGGGTTCCACGGAGTACTTCCATGAAGTGCTCAGTAGGAAAAAAGAGACAGCCTACCTTAACTCCTCTTAGAGATTCGTAATACTGTACATATCTCCTAGGAAAGCTTAAGCAGGTCCTGCCCTTACATTTAATACTTAACCTGGTATTTCCCAAACCATTTCATCTAGCACCTGCTAACTGTCCCAGACACCAGTGGTCCAGGGAACACACCGTAGGAGGCAGGTTTGAGGAAACTATTTCTGGAGCCCCAAACTAATCCCACATGGCCACACTCCTGCTGTGGTTACTATGACTCTCTAGGCCTCAGTTTCTCATCAGCAGAAGGGTGGAGTCGAATGCAATTAGCTTGAAGGTCCCTGGAGTTTATGAAATCTGGAGATTCCACTTTCATACACTGCCTTTCCTCAGAGCTCTGTCCCATTATTACCAAGAGCCACCTCAAGCCAAACTCAAAAGTTGGGGCAAACCAAAGGTTCAAAGCTCACACAGTGCATGAACTGTCTCCAGGAGCCTGAATTCTCCATCCTATTTTTAGCTCTGACCCATCTCAGGCCCAGCAGATGCCATAGTGATGATCACTGTAATTTCATGGGAAAGATACAGGAAACCCAACAATAACAGCAATAATTCAGCAGCCTAGCAGATGCCAGATCTCATTTGTGCTTCACCCTTAGCATGACTGATGATACACACTATCAGAGCAAAAGAATGTTCATCTGTGGCAAAAGACCTTTAGCACATTTCCTGTAACCTCCAATTTGCAACAAGTTGAGTTCCAGTTGGTGGGTAAGTTAGCTTGTGTCTTCTCATAACACATTTCCCACAGAAATGTTCGACATAGTCTAGACTTCCCGGAAGGCCCCTTCCTCAAGGCCCATTTAATCCATTATAAAACTGTAGTTCAAGGACTACTCCTCAAAGACTCAACATGGGAAGGCATCCATTTTGTCCCCTTCTCTCCCATTTTTTCTCCCTTGCTTTACAGCCCCTCTTATCCTCCAGGCCTCCTACCCATCAGTTGCTTTACTAGTGCACCAAAGAAAGAATTTTCTACCACCAAATATAATAATTTTTGCAGTAAGAGGGAGAAGACCACACAAATGATCATTCTTCAGCATTTAAGGGACCCCCCACCTCTACCCCCAGAATGGTGTTGGTCAGTAATTCATACCTAAGGAACGTGCAAGTGTGAAGTTCTGGAGTCAAAACCTACATTGCCTGAATGCAAACAGCAAATCTCTGCTTTAAACGCATAACATGGGAGAGTCAATGTGTTTTCATCTATGATGGCAATGGAGGTACCAGATTGAACATAAATGGGGCCCTCTGTGAAGATGCACGTGACTGGGTGTGTCTCTGTTGAGGGGCAGGACCTCCCAGACAACTGGTGGATCAGAGGCCCTGGGGCAGCATAGTGCTTGTCCAGAACAGTGGTTCTCAAAATATGGTCCCTAGAGCAGTAGTACCAGCATCATCTGGGGATTATTTCGAAATGTAAAATCTTAAACCCCACCCCAGAGTTACTAAATCAAAAAGCCTGGATAACACCCAGAAATCAGTGTTTTAATGAAACCTTCAGGTGACTCTAATGCATGCTGAAGTTTGAGAACCACTGGTGTAGAATGTGGATCCTCCTACCTTAATTTTTTATCTGCACTGCATAGAAAGAAGGAGCTACAGGCAGAAGGTGGAGGATATGTTCTCACAGGGTTTTGCATGACCTAGCAGCATGATCATGGCTACCCAGGAGGCAAATGTGACGGAATAGGGGAAACAGTGTTGCTTCAGCCTGGTGAGAACTCCAGAAAGTACAGCTGTTCCTTGGTACCCTGCAGGTTGCTGATGTGGCCACTAGAAAAAGGTGACCCCTCCATTCCTTGGCATGGACATTTAGACTCTCAAGAATACCACTGAAGCCATGCAGAGGTGAGGTGAGTGCACAGCCACCCTCAGATGGCATCTTGATCCCCAGCTATGAAACCCTTATCAGGAGAGCATAAAAGAACTGTTCCTGAGGTCACACGAGATCCCACTAGAGAGTATCCAACACTGGGTGAGACTTTGATGGAGCTGGAGCTTCTGGGCCATGCATTGGTGGTAAGGGGTGGGGGGTGTGCAGGGGTGGGGGCTCTGATATTTTGGCTATTCCCATTAATATAATCCTGTTAGACTGGGGAAGCTTGAGTTACAGGTGAAATAGAAATTCATCCTTACTGTAGGGTTTAGCACACCGAAAACTTCACCTCTCTCTGCTGACTCTGGCATATACACCAAAGAGAGAAAAATTGGATTTAAAAGCAAAGAGAGATAGACCATCCTTACTCCTCAGCTTTCTCTTTCACTCTCTCTCTCTCTCACACACACACATACACACAGTATGTATGCACACTCATACGCACAGGTCTGCATGGCACACTGCAGTAAGTAATTCCCAAGTGCTTCCTGGCTGACAATGAAAGCCTACTTGCCCGAACAGCAATCAAATCCACAGCCTGCCCTGATAATTACCCCGTCAACTTTAGCCCCAGTAAAATAAATGAGCCATTCAAAGATTTCTGGAAACTTCAGTCCCAGCAACGCCTCCTCAGATACAGTGGTTTGGCAGTTTGGGGTCTCCTTGTGCTCTCACAGAAAGGATATCAAATTTCTGACCACTCTCCTTGTGGTTGAACTATTTCTCCTCCTTTGAAGATCATAATTTCTGAAACATTGGCGTCTCCCTTTTCTTTCCTACTTGTTTATCCTCTTGTAACTTGAAGGCTCTGAAGGCCAAGTCATAGAAATTGTTAATTGCACTCTTGGATTTTGTTAAACAAAAGAACTGGTGATGACTCTCACTGGGGCTGCCAGAAAATACTGCTTATTTGGCTGGGCATGGCTGGAGCCCACACTAAATGTCAGCTCCTCTATGGAGCTATCTCCTTCTCACGATGTCAGCTTAACTCTCATTACTTTTAAGCTACTGAGTATCTGGGCATTTCATTCTTCAGAAAGTTTTTCCAGAAAATTAACTTGTGGGGGAAATCATGTGCTGTATTAATTCACCCCAGACACTATCCGTTTCAAAGTGAAATCTCCAGGCTTTAGTCAATACTGGCTCTTTGTAAGTGTTTCACATCTCCCAGGGCATCAAGAGATCAGACGCAGTGAGACAAGGATGTAAAATTCTTGTCAGTGTTTCAGTGCCCACTATTTCTTGTCTCCTGTGGCTTTGTGCCACTGGATCATGTAATACAAGCCTTGTCTTGCCTGCTATCTTTCCTCACTGAATTTCCTATACCAGGTATCAGGAAAGTCAGAGAACACAAATATTTTCTAATGCCAGCATCTGCTTAGAGCCCTGTTCACAAGACCTGTCAGAGAACCCAAAGCAAAAAAAATCTCCTTCCTGTCATCTGCCTTTCAGTCATTTGGTGAGGAGTCCTTAATGCTGGAAAAGTAACTCAATGAAATGGAGCCAGAGGGAGAGAGCAAGTGAGCCACGTTCACTGTAGAGTTCACAAACTTCAGGTATGAACCTGAAGACCCCAGAGTTGTCGTAAGCAGCAAAGACCCCCTGCAGATGCAACCTACACCATCTCCCAACCATGTGACTGGTAGGACATGTGTGTGTTCCAGGTCCCTTTATGTCAGGTCAGACTGCTTTAGTCCTGCCATGGAAATAAATCCCTAAACTAGGATCAGGTGTCTCCTGTCAAAACCAAAATACAAAGTTAGTAACAATGGCTCCTTTGGTGTTCTGGAAAGGAAAGGCTGTTGGCACAGCTCACCCATCTCCTTTTGTGAGGGACATTGCTCCATCTTCCCTGTTTCCCCTTCTTTCCTCCCCTTGTACTGCATGATAAACAAACCAAGTGGTATCTTCCATTTCACCTTGAATGAGCTCTCTTATCCCCATGTATTGATATCACTGACATTTGATTCTGAGGTACTGCAATAGGTGATAAACAGCCATACCTTTTATAGAGGATCTAAAAAGAAAGGACAGTAAGAATAAGTAGGCTCATTGTTGATAAGGTCTGCAGGTGCCTCCTGGCAAGGTGGCCTGTTCACCAGGATACTTTGCTTCCCTTACAAATGGACTTGCCAATCTGGCATGGCACAGTGACAGAGGTGGGGGAGGTGGGGTAGGTGGGGTTTTCATGTTTGAGAGACTTTAATTTAAAATTGGCTAACATGGTGTTCCTCAATTGAAAAGTTTTCTGGCCTGGTATCAATAGCAGTAAAGTTAAGTAATGAGCTGGGTTCTCTTTCTATGTTTATCTTTATAATCAATCTTAATTATATTTTGTTTATTCATGATCTCATGTAACCAAGGGGTAAGATATACAAATCCTTTGCTTTCAGCCCAATAATGGAAATAGTTCTCAAATAATGAATATTTATAATTACGACTTTCCTGGCCCCATTTTGTAGAAACTAGTCTAGATCATTTCCTGTAGCAGAAAGCTTAACCTCATAAGTAAAGAAGTGAGCCCTGAGCCCCAAATATGCCATGATTTCTACCATTAAACTGTTTGGCTGGAAGGCCTTGTAGAGTCATAGGAAGGACCTGGACTTCAGAGTTAGATCTGCTGGATTTGAATCCCAGCTCTACGACTCACTGACTTTGTGAGTTTGGGCATGCTGTTTGACCTCTGTAAAAGCCAGTTTCCCTATCCATAAAATGGGGGCAGTGATACCTATCTTGTGAGAATTTAATTATCTAGTTTATGTTAAATTCCAGACATTCTCTCATCAACTATTGCACTTCTTGTACCTCAATTCTATTCTATACTTTTCTGTGTTCTATATTTTAATTTGTTTTGTCAATGAACATTGAACAGGTAGGACACTATATGCTTAGAAACATTTTCCATATAACCCCTTAAGTTAAAAGAGAAGAGGCTTGAAGATACCTAACCCTTCCTAATTTTAATAGGTTCCTAAACATAATAATTCTGTTCCCTTCCATTTGCTGTCAGTTGACTCTTGAATCTATATGCCCAAACCAGACCTCTCCTCTAAATGCCAGACTCAGTATATCCAATGATCTCTTTAACATCTCAATTGGATGTATAATTGGCACCTCACACTTAAATATTCAAAAAGAAACTTCTGCTCTTCCTTTTTAGACCACAGTCCTCCCCATCTCAACTAATAGCAACTTCATCCCTCTGCTGCTCAGGCCTAAAACATTAGATTTCTTCTGAATGCCTCTCTTTCTCTCATACCCTACATGTAATCCACCAACAAGTCCTGTTGGCTCAACTTTCAGCAGAATCTAAAGCCATCTCACACCTTCACTGCCATCCTAATTTAAGCCACCATTATTCTGTCACTCAATAATTCTGTCACTGAATAATTCTGTCCTAACAGATCTTTCTGCTTCCATACTCTGTTCCCAATCTCTTCCCAACACCACACTCAAAGAAATCCCTTTAAAGCTTAATCATATCATGGCCTTCTAAATGGCTTTCCATCTTACTCAAGTGAAAGCCAAAGTCATTACATACAGCTTTCAATGTCCTATTTGATCTGCACCCTCTGACATACCCCCCAGTATGGCTCATTCTGCTCTAGCTGATGCTGGGTTTCTAGCCACTTTCTCCAAACTCACCAAGTATATTCCTAACTCAGGCTCTTGTACATACTGTTCCATCTACCTGAAACATCTTCCTCAGATATGTGCATGCCTCAGTTTCTCACTTTATTTCAGATCTTTACTCAAATACTCCATTTCCAATCAGAACTTCCCTGTCCACTCTATTTATAATTATACCCTATTCACCATCTCTGGAGTCCATTTCATATCTCTTGCTTGCTTCCTTTATTTTTTTCCCATAGCCCTCATCACTATGTGAAGATTATGTGTTTGACTTGTTTGCTTTGTTATTAGTCTCCTCTCATTAGAATGTTAGCTCTACGAGGACAAGGGTATTTTTTTTTCTATGCCCCCATCACATATTAGGTGTTCAGTAAACATTTTTAACAAATTGAACTGGTGAATGAAATCCTCAGGGTTTCTTCCTGGTTCACTCCATACATATTTTACTTGTTCCTTTATACTTCCCCCCCAGACTTTTTCTTCTAGCCAAATTAGAATAACAGAGAACTAATTTATACTTACATCTTATAATTATGGTCACCAAAGATATCAAGTTATAATCCCTGAACTTGTAAATGAGAATTTATTTGGGAAAGAGGTATTTGTAGATGTAATTAAGTTGAGGATTTTGAGATGAAGAGATTACCCTGGATTATCTGGGTAGACCCTTAATGGAATTATAAGTGTCCTTCCAGGATAGAGGCAAAGGGAGATAACACAAACACTCAGAGGAAAAGATGATGTGAAAACAGAGGCAGAGATTAAAGTGCAGTGACCTCAAGTCCAAGAGTGCCGAAAAAGCCACCAGAAGCTGGAAGAGGTAAGTACTGGATTATCTGCCATTTCCTTTGGAGGAAATGTGGCTCTGCTAACATCTTGATTTTAGATTTTTGGCCTCAATGGCTGTGAGAAAATATATTTCTGTTGTTTTAAGCCATTCAGTTTGTGGTAATTTGTTATAGTGGCACTAGGAAACAGACTCTTTTAAAATAACTTAACAAGGTCCTAGAACAAGTTCAAAAACATATAAAGAAATATGAAATATCCAGCACTCATAAAAAGGTAAAATCTACACTGTTTGTCATCCAATCAAAAATTACAAGGCATGCAAAAAATCAGAATTAAAACTCATAATGAGGAGAAAAATCAGTGACTTGAAACTGACCCAGAAATTATATAGATGATAGAATTAGCACATGAGGAAATTAAAATAGTTAATACTATATTTTATGTGTTCACAGAGTAAGGGAAAGCATGAGCACAAGTAGGAGAGATATGAAAGATATCTAACTTTGGAAATGATGAATACAATACTTAATATGAAACATATAACATATAAAAACAGACTAGACACTGTAGAGTAAAAGATCAATAAACTTGAAGACAATAATAGAAACTATCTAAAACAAAACAAGGTAAGAAAAAAGACCAAACAAAATGAACAATAACAACAACCTCAAGAACCTTAATATACATGCAACTGGAGTTGGCTCAGAAGGGTACAAGTTTGGGGGGTGAGGGTGGACAGAAAAAATAGTTGAGAAAAGAAACAAATTTGACAAAAAGCATAAACTGATAGATCCAAGACACTCAACAAACTGAAAACACAAAGAACATAAAGAAAACTACACTAAGGCACATTAGAATCAAATTGATTGATACAATTGGGAAAGAGAAAACCTTAGAAGCAGCCAAAGAAAAAAAGACACATTATGTACAGATAGCCAAAGAGAGGGATGATGGTAGATTTCTCTTTAGAAACAATGGAAGCTCAAAGGCATTGAAACATTTTCTTTAAAGTATTGAAAGGAAAAAAAAATCCTTTCAAGTAGAATACTATATCCAGTGACTAGATCTTCCCAAAACAGAGGGAAAATAAAGACTTTTTAAATTTATAAATCCTAAAAGAAATCATTAGCAGCAGATCTGCTCTACAATAAATATTAGAGGATTGCAGGCAAAAGGAAAATAATGCCATATGGAAATGTGGATCTATGTAACAGAATAAAGAGTACTAGATAATAAACTCATGGGTAAAATATAAAATACTTTTTCCTTATTTAAAAAATCTCTTGGCCGGGCGCGGTGGCTCACGCCTGTAATCCCAGCACTTTGGGAGGCCGAGGCGGGCGGATCACGAGGTCAGGAGATCGAGACCATCCCGGCTAAAACGGTGAAACCCCGTCTCTACTAAAAATACAAAAAATTAGCCGGGCGTAGTGGCGGGCGCCTGTAGTCCCAGCTACTCGGGAGGCTGAGGCAGGAGAATGGCGTGAACCTGGGAGGCGGAGCTTGCAGTGAGCCGAGATCCCGCCACTGCACTCCAGCCTGGGCGACAGAGCGAGACTCCGTCTCAAAAAAAAAAAAAAAAAAAAAAAAAAAAAATATCTTGGCCAGGTGCAGTGGCTCCCGCCTGTAATTCCAGCACTTTGGGAAGTCAAGGCGGGCAGATCACAAGGTCAAGAGATGGAGACCATCCTGGCCAATATGGTGAAACCCTGTCTCTACCAAAAATACAAGAATTAGCTTGGTGTGGTGGCATGTGCCTGTAATCCCAGCTACTCAGGAGGCTGAGGCAGGAGAATCACTTGAACCAGGGAGTCGGAGGCTGCAGTGAGCCAAGACTGTGCCACAGCACTCCAGCTTGGCAATAGAGAGAGACTCTGTCTCAAAAAATAAAAAAATAAAAAATAAAAACACACCTCTTTGAAAAGTTGGTTGACTGTTTAACAGCATTCAAGAAAACCAGTGCACTAAACACAACTACAACCAAGGACCCTCACAGAGTCCACTTTACTGTGGACTGTAAAGCTGTCTCTTCCAGAGCAAGTGCTGGTGTCCATGACTGCAAGACCTGAAGATGGATTACATCCCAGGACTCTTTGCAGACACTCCCCAGTATCCTCCTGGAGCCTGGTAGCTCTGATGGGTGGCTAAACCCAGAAGAGCAATAACAATCACTGTAGTCTGACTCTCAGGAAGCTCCATCCCTAGAGAAAGGGAAGAGCACCACACCAACAGAGCATGCTGTGGGACAAAAGAATCTGAACAGCAGCCATTAAGCCCCAATCTTTCCTCTGACATAGTCTACCCAAATGAGAAGGAACCAGAAAAACAATTCTGGTAATATGACAAAACAAGGTTATTTAACTCCCCCAAAAGATCACAGTAGCTCACAAGCAATGGATCCAAACCAAGAAGAAATCTCTAAAATGCCAGAAAAAGAATTCAGAGGTCAATTATTAAGCTACTCAAAGAGGCAACAGAGAAAGGTAGAAACTAACTTAAAGAAATTTTGTAAAAAGTACAGGATATGGACAAAAAATTATCCAGAAAAATAGCATAAATAAAAAACAACCACAACTTCTGGAGATGAAAGACACACTTAGAGAAATGTAAAATACACTAGAAAGTTTCAACAATAGAAGCAAACAAGTAGAAGGAAGAACTTCAGAACTCAAAGACAAGGCTTTCAAATTAACCCGACAAAGACAAAGAAAAAATATTTTTTTAAAAAAAATGAACAAAGCCTCCAAGAAGTATGGGATTATGTTAAACAACCAAACCTAAGAATAACTTGTGTTCCCAAAGAAGAAGAGAAATCTAAAAGTTTAGAAAACATATTTAAGGGAATAATTGAGGAAAACTTCCCTGGCTTTGCTAAAGGGCTAGACATCCAAATACAAGAAGCTCAAAGAACACCTGGGAAATGCATTGCAAAAAGTTTATAACCTAGGTACATAGTCTTCAGGTTATCCAAAGTCAAGAGGAAGGAAAGAATCTTAAGAGTTGTGAGGTAAAAGCATCAGGTAACCTATAAGGGAAAACCTATCAGATTAACAGTAGATTTCTCAGCAGAAACCCCACAAGCCAGAAGGGATTGGAGTTTTATTTTTAGCTTCCTTAAACAAGACAATTATCAGTCAAGAATTTTGTAACCAGCAAAACTAAGCTTTATAAATGAAAGAGGGAAAGTCTTTTCTGGACAAAAAAAAGTGCTGAGAGAATTCACCACTACCAAGCCAGCACTACAGAAACTGCTAAAAGGAGTTGTAAAACTTGAAACGAAACCTCGAGATACACCAAAATAGAACCCCCTGAAAACATAAATCTAACAGGGCCTATAAAACAATAACACAATGAAAAAAAAAACCACAAGATATTCAGGCAACAACTAGCATGATGACTAGAATAGTATCTCACATCTCAATACTAATGTTGAATGTAAATGGCCTCAATGCTGGGTCAACAATGAAAGCAAGATGGAAATTAAAAAATTATTTGAACTAAATGATAATAGTGACACAACCTATCAAAACTTCTGGGATACAGCAAAAGCAGTGCTAAGAGGAAAGTCCATAGCTTAAAATGCCTACATCAAAAAAGCTGAAGAGCACAAATAGACAATCTAAGGTCACACCTCAAGGAACTAGAGAAACAAGAACAAACAAAACCCAAACCTAGCAGAAGAAAAGAAATTACAGTGATCAGAGCAGAACTAAATGAAATGGAAACAACAACAAAAAAAACATACAAAAGATAAATGAAACAAAAAGCTGGTTTTTTTAAAGATAAACACTGATCCACCATTAGCGAGATTAACCAAGAAAAGAAGAGAGATATAAATAAGTTCAATTAGAAATGAAACAGAAAGTATTACAACCGATACCACAGAAATACAAAAGATCATTCAAGGCTACTGTGAACACCTTTACACACACAAACTAGAAAACCTAGAGGAGATAGATAAATTCCTGGAAATATACAACCCTCCTAGATTAAACCAGGAAGAAATAGAAACTCTGAACAGACCAATAACAATCAGTGAGATTGAAATGGTAATTCAAAAATTGCCAACAAAAAAGAGTCCAGGAACAGATGGATTCCCACATGAAGTCTATCAGACATTCAAAAAAACCTGGTACCAATTATATTGACACTATTCCAAAAGATAGGGAAGGAGGAAATCCTCCTTAAATCATTCTATGAAGCCCTAATACCAAAACAAGGAAAGGACATAACAAAAAAAGTAAACTACAGACTGATATCTCTGATGAACATAGATGCAAAAATCCTCAACACAATACTAGCTAACTGAATCCAATAGCATATCAAAGAGATAATCCACCATGATCAAGTGGGTTTCATACCAGGGAAGCAGGGATAGGTTAACATATGCAAGTCAATACATGTGATACATTACATAAACAGAATTAAAAATAAGTACAATGTGATCATCTCAATAGATGCAGAAAAAACATTTTATAAAGTCCAGCATCCCTTTATGATTAAAACCCTCAGCAAAAACAAATTCGAAGGGACATACCTTAAGGTAATAAAAGCTATCTATAACAAACCCACAACCAGCATTATATGTAACAGGGACAAGTTGAAAGCATTCCCCTTGAGAGCTGGAAAAAGACAAGGATACCCACTTTCACCACTTCTATTCAACATTGTACTGGAAGTCCTAGCCAGAGCAATTAGACAAGAGAAAGAAGTAAAGGGCACCCAAATCAGTAAAGAGAAAGTCAAACTGTCTCTGTTTACTGATGATATGATCATATACCTAGAAAACCCTAAAGACTCCTCTAAAAAGATCCTAGAACAGTTAAATCAATTCAGTCAAATTTCAAGATACAAAATTAATGTACACAAATCAGTAGCCCTGCTATACACCAACCATGACCAAGCTGAGAATCAAATCAGGAACTCAACATCTCTTACAATAGCTACAAAAACCTTAAAATATTTAGGAATATACCTAACCAAGGAGGTGAAAGACATCTACAAGGAAAACTACAAAATATTGCTGAAAGAAATCATAGATGACACAAACAAATGGAAACATACCCTATGCTCATAGATGGATAGAATCAATATTGTGAAAATACCATACTGCCAAAAGCAATATACAAATTCAATGCAATTCCATCAAAATACCACCATAATTCTTCACAGAACTAAAAAAAAAATCCCAAAATTGTATGGAACAAAAAGGAGCCCACATATCCAAAGCAAGACTAAGCAAAAAGAACAAATCTAAAGGCATCACATTACCCAACTTCAAACTATATTGTAAGGCCATAGTCACCAAAACAGTACAGGACTGGTATAAAAATAGGCACACAAACCAGTGGAACAGAATACAGAACCTACAAATAAAGCCAAATACTTACAGTCAACTGATCTTCTGACAAAACAAATAAGATGTAAAGTGGGAAAAGGACACCTATTCAACAAATGGTGCTGGAACAATCGGCAAGCCATATGTAGAAGAATGAAACTGGATCCTCATCTCTCACCTTATACAAAAATCAACTCAAGATGGATCAAAGACTTAAATCTAAGACCTGAAATCATAAAAGTTCTAGAAGATAACATTGGAAAAATCCTTCTAGATATTGGCTTAGGCAAAGACTTCATGACCAAGAACCCAAAAGCAAATGCAAGAAAAACAAAGATAAATAGATGGGACTTAATTAAACTAAAAAGCTTCTGCACCACAAAAGAAATAATCGGCAGAGTTAACAGACACCCCATAGAGGGGGAGAAAATCTTCACAATCTGTATATCTGACAAAGGATGAATATCTAGAATCTACAAGGATCTCAAACTAATCAGCAAGAGAAAAGCAAACAATCCCATCAAAAAGTGGTCTAAGGGCATGAATAGATAATTCTCAAAAGAAGATATACAAATGGACAACAAACAAATGAAAAAATATTCAACATCACTAATGATCAGAGAAATGCAAATCAAAACCACAACGTGATACCACCTTACTCCTACAAGAATGGCCATAATAAAAAAATTCAAAAAATAATAGATGTTGGGATGGAACAGGGAACACTACTACACTGCTGGTGGGAACGTAAACTAGTACAACCACTATGGAAAAGAGTATGGACATTCCTTAAAGAACTAAAAGTAGATGTACAATTTGATTCAGCAATCCCACTTCTGCGTATCGATACAAAGGAAAAGAAGTCATACAAAAAAAGACACTTGCACATGCATGTTTATAGCAGCACAATGTGCTACTGCAAAAATATGGAACCAGCCCAAATGCCCATCAATCAATGAGTGGATAAAGCAAATGTGGTATATATACATAGTGTATATATACACATACACACCATGGAATACTACGCAGCCATAAAAGGGAACAAAATAAAGGCCTTTGCAGCGACCTGAATGGAGCTGGAGACCATTATTCCAAGCGAAGTAACTCAGGAATGGAAAACCAAACATCATATGTTCTCAATGATATATGGGAGCTAAGCTATGAGGATGCAAAGGCATAAGAATAATACTATGGACTTTGGGGACTCAGAGGGAATGGTGGGAGGGAGGTGAGGAGTAAAATACTACATACTAGATACAGTGTACACTGCTCCAGGGATGGGTGCACCGAAACCTCAAAAATCGCCAGTAAAGAACTTATCCATGTAAACAAACACCACCTGTTCCCCCAAAACTCATTGAAATTAATTAAAAATAAATAAATATGCTGGATGCAGTGGCTCATGCCTGTAATCCCAGCACTTTGGGAGGCCAAGGCAGGTGGATCACTTGAGGCCAGGAGTTGGAGATCAGCCTGGCCCACATTGCGAAACCACGTCTCTATAAAAAATTTAAAAAAGGCCGGGCACGGTGGCTTCACGCCTGTAATCCCAGCACTTTGGGAGGCTGAGGCAGGTGGATCACGAGGTCAGGAGATCAAGACCATCCTGGCTAACACAGTGAAACCCCGTCTCTACTAAAAATGCAAACAATTAGCCAGGCGTGGTGGCAGGCGCCTGTAGTCCCAGGTAATCGGGAGGCTGAGGCAAGAGAATGGTGTGAACCCGGGAGGCGGAGCTTGCGGTGAGCCAAGATCGCGCCACTGCACTCCAGCCTGGGCAACAGAGCAAGACTGTCTCAAAAAAAAAAAAAAAAAAAAAAAAAAAATTAACCAGGAGTGGAGGTGCTCGCCTGTAATCCCAGCTACTTGGGAGGCCAAGGCAGGAGAACAGCATGAACCCAGGAGGCAGAGGTTGCAGTGAGCCAAGATCGTGCCACTGCACTCCAGCCTGAGCAACAGAGCAAGACTCCATCTCAAAAATAAATAAATAAGTAAATAAATAAATATCGGTTGACTGTTTAAATGAAAGATAACAATGTATTGAGAGGTATATAACATGTAAGCATTAAATTATGACAATAGCACAAAGGCAGAGAAAGAGAAATTATACATGAAGGAATATGTTACTTGAAGCTAGGTTATGATAAATTAAAGTTATATGGTTTAAAACCTAAAGCAAACACTAAAACAAAACCAACAACAAAAACCTATATGACAATAAAAACCACAGAGCTAAGAAGCCACCAAAGGAGATAAAATGGAATAATTTAAAAAATGCAATCAATCTAAAAGAAGGCAGATAAGAGAAAGGGAAGCAAAGAACAAATGAGAAAAATAGAAAACAAATATAACAAAATGGTAGATAGAAGTTCTACTATGTCAACAATCTCAATAAATTTAAATTGCCTGCACACCTTCATTAAGGCCTGAGGACATGTAAGTCACGTGCATTTGCAGCATTTGTGTCTTTAGAGCAGTTTCCAGATTTACCGCCTTGACTTCTTTCATTCAGGTTTGGTAATAGGCTATTTCAGGTTATGTAGAGCTGAGACACACTTGAATATATTGTAAAGATATGAAGAGAAGTAAGCGAGGCAGGAAATGGTCATAACTCCCACATTGGCTGCTTTAAGGAAAACCTCAATATCTTTTAGAACAAAGTGGAAATTGCAAAATTGAAAGTCACAGAGAACACAATTGCCATTCAGGAGACAATGCAGATCTGAACTTCTGGGGATCTTCTAATGCTCTTCTATTCTCTGCCTCAGCAATTACTGCTATGCTAATTTTCTATCTCAGGTTCAGACTCAGGAGAGAGGTCCCAACTTGTATAATACAAGTCACTGTCTTACGTGAAGTACTATATAAGTTAGGCTTAGCAGGAGCCACACAACCCATGTCACATGGTACAATATAGTATATTGAATATGGACAATTAATTATGGACCTGTGGGAAGACCCGAAAAGGCAAACAGCAAGGGACAATAAGGCAATCCAGAGAGCCAATATCTTGCCTAGGGCTGAAGAGACTCAAAGGAAAAAGAGTTGTTACTAGAGCCCAGAAGCCCAGGCTGCCTAGAAAGCTCAGAATATGTAGTTTGCAAAGGTCAGTCCCATGTTACTGAGAACAGAGAAAGAGAAAAGACACTAGATCTGAGAGTAAACGCAAATAGGCAAATGACTAGCCTAGTTGCTTTACTGGGCAGAGTCTTAACACTAACCAATTAAATGTGGATCACATGCCTATCACTGGTCTCTTGGTCTGGAAGACTTTGAAAATCATGACTTTGACATGGAAATTTCCATATTCAAACTAATCTCAGATATGAAAATCGGTCTACATTTGGTTTAAAATCCTACCTTCTCTCTTTATGTAAGGAATTCTATTGGGATTTCTGGAAAGTTTTTTTTGTTTGTTTGTTTTTGTTTTTTGTTTTTTTGTTTTTAACAATTCTCAGCAATGCTCACTGCTAAAATTGTATTTTCCATCCTATCCTGCCATGAGGCACATTATCAATTGCTCAATTATAGCTCAATAGCTTTCTCTTGATTCTATACCTAAGGCAATACTTGTGGGTTTTGTTTTCGTGCCTCAGTATTTCAAAGACTGGGAGACTGATAGAATTCTGACTGTGACATTCTGCAGGATGCTACTATGGATCATGTAATATCTGACACACTCAGCTCCTTTTGTAGAGTGATTTTATGGTGTGAAGGTGATGACTCTGAGTGCTTTGCCATGTAGCTAGGCATTTGTGTGCAAGGGCTGGATTGCTTCCCAATGTTGGTCTGACAAATCATTTTACATAATCACGCTGAAAGAGCACCTTTTTTGTTTTGTTTTTGTTTGGACAGTTCTTGGTTAAAAAGAAACCAGTTCTTAATTTAGCCTTTTCATAGATTGCGAATCTCATTTAACTTAGATTTGTGTTTAATTTTGGCAATTTTTAAAAAGGGAAGACCAGGGATTTCTTCCTGTAGAATATGTTCTTGGTTAATGTGTTCATAAAGACTTTCATTGATTTGTTCCTTTAACTGAAGGAAAGAAGTTTAAAATCTCTAGTGTGAAATACTGCTGGCTTAGGGGTCACTAAAGTCTTCTCATCTGTGCTTTACTCTTCTCCACCAGAATATAAATTTCCTAAGGGCAGGGATATTGTGTTATGCACTGCCATATCGCCACTAGCTAGAATAATTTTTGACACAGAGTGAGTTATCTTATTTGTTGACTGAATTAAGTGATTAGCATCATTTAACTTAAAGAAATAAACCCTGTATAGTGACTGGGACATGAGCATCAAAAAATACAATGTGTAATACGGTAGCTTCTTTAAGAAGATGGCACAGTGTATTAGTCCACTAAGGCTGTCCTAACAAAATACCATAGGCTGAGTAGCTGAAACAACAAAAATTAATTTTCTTATAGTTCGGGAGGCAGGAAGTCCAAAATCAAGGTGCTGGAAAATCATAGTGCTTGGTGTCTGGAGAGGCCTTTCTTTTTGGCTGGCAGATGCAACCTTCTCCCTCTGTCCTCACATGGCCTTTCTTCTGTGGGGTCAAAGCGGTGGGATGCGGAAGCTCTGGTTAGAGCTCCTCTTCTTCTTATAAGGACACTAATCCTGTCAGATTAGGATCCCACTCTTATGACCTCATTTAACCTTAATTATCTCTGTACAAGCCCTATCTCCAAACACAGTCACATTTGGGGTTAGGGCTTCAACGTATACATTTTAAGAGGGCACGAGTATAACATACAGATTTGTTTGTTTTCTTCCTAGGAAATGTGTAAACCAGTGTGAGTCAAATCTATATATAGCACTTTGGAAAAATGGAACATTTAACTGCTAAAATTATTTTCTCTAATTGAATGTTCTCTTTATTTAAGCATTGTAGAGACTGAGGTTCAAAGGTTATTTTCTCAAAGTTACAGCAGCCTCTGAGGTGGTGGAGGGTGGCAGCAGGACAGTGAGCTGACGGCCAACCCCTGTGCCCAAGTGTGCTGCTCCGCTCAACTCCATGTGCACCAGGGAACAGCCATTCTCTGCAGGCTGATTTGATCTGGAACCACAATTGAGTCTAGTTCTGGAATCTCAGACACATGGAGAACTACACCTTGTCTCCAGTTGCTACAAGTCAAGTCCACCTGCATGCAGACAGCTACAATTGTCTTGTAAAATTAGAAAACAGAACAGGGACAACAGTATTATCTATATTGACTATAGATTAATTATTCATTTGCATTCTTTGTCTTTTGTACTTATAAATATGAAATTTGTATATAAACGTGTGTTTTACAACATAAGATACAGATCTATATATATGTACCTTTGAAAGATTATTCTCTCTGCTCTTTGGCCTAAATTTCCAAATGGAATCATCCTGTGTACAGTAACCTGTGTCTGAAAATTTCTGTCCACTTAGAGTAATGAAGGCATGGGGTCATAATGAGAGCAACAAAAAAGTTACACTTTATACTGTGAAAGACCGTCACCTTATTGTTCATTTACTTAAGTTTTTCATTTTGTTTTTATATTTTGAAATGTTGAATAAAAAACTCAAGGCACATCTCATTTTATGTCTAATCTGTACAACTAAGAAGCAAAAACAGTCTGTCAGGAAGCCTTTCCCTGGGGATCTGGTTAATGTTTCCACGTTTCTCTAGAAATAAGTACCCTGATTTCAGAAATACACTGGCTTTCTAGTCTATACCAGATCGCACCAGTTAGCTCATTCACAAGCAACAGGTTATCAAAGAGGAAAAATCTTCCCTCTAGCATTTTTCAACATTCTTTTTCAGGGAGTTAGAGCCAGATATCTGATGTATCTGGAAAGAGCCTTTCCTGGTTATAGCAAAACCAATTGTGTCCAAAGGTCTTGAATTTAGAGATAAATTAGGCACCTAACAGAGACTCATGGGGAAAAGCTTTCTCACTAGAAGTCCATTAGAGAATAATTTTATTAATGATTTGCTCTACAGGCTACCATTTGTTCAAAGGGTCACTTAATTTTTTTTACTTTTGATGAAATATAACATACAGAAAAGTGAATTAAATATAAATGTACAATTAACAAATTATAAAACAAACACCCACATAACATCTGCCAGGTCAAGCAATAGAACATTGCCAAACCCCAGAAGTTTCCAGTATGTCTCTTACCAATTATAGCATCCTCCCTTCCCACTATCCTGATTTTTATTATAACTACTTCCTTGCTTTTCATTAGTTTCACCACCTATGCATGCATCCCTAAAAATCATAATTTAGTTTGACTAAGTTTTGAACTCTACATAAATGCAATCATACCATATTATTTTGAACTTGCTTCATATGTACATTATAGTTATAAAATCCACGTTTCCTGTAACTACAATGTATTTTTTCTCATTGCTATATAGCATTCTGTTGTATGGACATAGCACAATTTATTTATTCATTCTACTTTTGGTGGACAGTGGGTTGGTTCAGACATTGCATAATTATGAGCCATGCTGCTATAAACCTTCTTGTACATATATTCTTGGGCACATGTGTGTTTGTTTCCCTAGGGCATGAAATTCTCTAGAAGGGGAATTGCAGGAATGCACAGAGGGCATATATCATCACGTATACCAGACAATTTATTTTCCAAAGTAGTGGTACCAGTTTACAATTCCACCAACAGTGCATGAAAATGCCTTTGCTCTACATTCCCACCTATAGTGTTTTCTAAGTCTTCTACATTTCAGACTTGATTTTTATAAAAGTTTCCACCTCAACTTTTAATGAAATACAATTATGAAGCTTAGTATGATATCTTTACCATATGCCCTCTCCTCACAACCTAGCAGAGCAGACAACTCCCTTAACACTGTTGCCCACTTCTGCACAAGTGACAAAGTGGCCAGTAGGTTGGTTTCATTTAGCATGGATCCAAGCCTCTTCACAGTCTGAAACCTTCTCCTGTGCACATACTTCACTTTTTCCATATCTGTCTTAACATGTGGTTTCCAAAACTGAATATTGTCTTCCCCAAATGAGCTGGTGGGTGTGGAGAATCAGGCTCACTGAGAAATTATTCTGAAGCATCATAAAGATACGTCAAGGTACATACAGGCTACTTGCCAAGGAAACAGAAGGAAGACAGAGCACCATGAGTCTTTGTCTGCAAGATGAAGGTGGTCTAAGTGCTTAACTATTAAGAAGTGTTAGGTTTTCCCTTCCTTAGAGCTGAACTAAAAAGTAATGAGACTGCTGGAAAGGATCTATGAGTGTGTTTGGCAGGCTCAGTAAACAGCCAACCTTTACTGCCTCCACTTAGTAAAGCAGTGCCCTGCTGGCCACTTACCATTTGTAGAGAATGCAAGAATAGCATCCTCTTTGCTGCTCAAAAATATAAGTTAGAACACAACTGTGGTTCTTTAGATGATCATATGTTAAGTAATGCTGGTGAGACTCAGAAAACCACTTGATAGTTAATGGAGAACATTCATTCTGAAGCTG
This sequence comes from Homo sapiens, assembly GCF_000001405.40. NCBI lineage: Eukaryota > Metazoa > Chordata > Mammalia > Primates > Hominidae > Homo > Homo sapiens. The sequence goes on along the minus strand of NC_000004.12, from coordinate 106,001,399 downwards.
GACAAGCAAATAGAAAAACACATGTATTTCAAATGTTCTAAAATAAGGAAATCACTGCTATTTATGGTGCACACATAAATTGCTGGGCACTATATTAAGCGATTCCATACATTGTCGCATTTAACCTTCCCAACAGCCTGAGACCTGAAATGCTCTTCCCTTCCCCCTTTCTCCATGCCCACTGCAACTTAGCTCACTCCTACTTAGGGCTTAGCACTCACCTTGAGGATCTCTTCCTCCAGGGAGCCTCCTGTGACACACCAAACCCAGGTTGAATCTAACTCCCAAGCATTCTCATGAAAGCCCATGCTTCCTCTGTCTTAGAACATAACACACCACATTGTAATCTCCTTTTTCATCTCTGTTTCCCTATTAGATTGTAATTTTCAAGATAATAGAGACTTATCTGTTTGTAGTTTTAACTCAACATTATTTCAGCATATGGGCTAGAATGGAGGCAAAAAAATGTTGAATAAATGAATGATTATCCTGATTTTAGAGACAAAGTAGGAAATTAAGGCAAGATTGGAATCCTGGTAAGCCTGAACTCCCAAGCCTGTGTTCCTCATCCGCACAGTAGCCTGTTTCCCAGTAGCTGCCTTCTTTTAGGATCTGTCATAGGCTAGGCACCACTCTCATGCTTTATATACTGTGTCTATCTCAATCCACACACTAGGTCTGTGAGAAATGTCTCTCCTGCTACCCCTTTACAGATGAGGAAACTGAGGCTCAGGGGATTTAATACCTTGCCTTAGATCTCCTGTTAAGTCCAAAGCAAGGAGCTGAACGTCTTAGGCTGTTCCCCACTCATCTCCTGCTACCCGCTCCACCCCACAGCATTCCTCTCTGGACAAATTAGTTGTACAGAGTTTGGCTTTTGCAAAGGAAACCAGTGTCAATGGAGCAGAGAATGTTCTTTGGAATTGTGGGTAGAACTACCCTCAAATTCTTTCTTTTCATCTACTAATAACTCATGGATAAAAAACATCAACTGAGCAATGGCACATATTACCTAATATTAAATTAGGAAACAAATGGAACCACTGTGAGTATTAGATTGGGGCCCTGGAGTCAGATGGTCTATGTTCACACAAATGCACACCTATTCCTCCAGGGTTGTGCAACCCGGGCAAGTTTCTAAACCTCTGTAAGCTTTCGCTCCTTGTTTTCCAACCAGGTATGACAATGATGTATGTCTTGGGGTTGTGTGAGGATCGAATGAAGCAATACACATAAAGCCTTAACACATTGCCTGGCACACATGTGTGCTCATTAAATGTGGTTGGATCCCTTAGGATGCTTTTGTTGCCAGTAACAAAAAACCTTGACTAGTTTAAACAACAGAAAGTATTATGTCAAATAATAAGACCCAAACTCAGATTACTCCTTAATTCAGGTTGATTCCCCAAGGGCTTAGTGGCTCCTACACACTCCAGCCTCCAACTTGACACTGTCCACTTCCTCACAGAGTTTAATTTCCCCCAGTATACGCTGAATACTTCCAGACCTGGATCCAGGATTTGACTTCACCAGAAGGCTAAAGAGATGTTTTCATGTACTCCAAACTCCATTAACACTGCCACTCTGAGCTCGGACCAATTGTTGAGCTTTCTGCGAGTCTCTGTGGATGCGTACTGCTTTGTATTCACTTTCCTAGAGCAGGCACTAAGTAACACCAGATTGTTATTTCTGCTTCCCTTTCCCATCTCCTTTTGCTTCCTTCTAAGATCCAGTGCTTCTCAGACCCCACCTAGGAAGTTCTGTCCTCCCCGGAGAGCAGCTCCTGCTTTGTGGTGCCAACCTGAATTTCCAGCAAGGCCGTGCTCTAGGCTTTTCTAGATGGGAGGCGACTGGTCTGAGTTTCTAAGCCACGGGATGTAAGAGTAGTAATTTGTGGCACTCTCCCAGGAACTCTTGTCTTTTGAAATGGTTTTCATACATAAAGTGATAATGGTAGAAATTCCAGACACTGAGACAAATAAGTGGAGCGAACATTTTAGCACAGGTAAACTCTTAACTTTTTCTGTAAGGTTTGTCTTTTTCTTGCTTGCTTTTTTATTTTGATTTGTAGTCCTTATTTCAAAAGCAAAATCTCAAACCAGAAAAATTTGAAGACGCACAAAAACAAAAGCACGTAAGCACAAAAACATTCACAATTCCACATTACTAATAGTCCTTTCGTGTATGTATGTATGTGTATACATATTGTGTATGTATATATATTAATATATATATTAATGGTTTTTTGCTATGCAAATACTTTTTATTTTCAAACAGAGATTCGTACCCTATATTCGGTTTGGTAACTGCTTTTCTAACTAAGCAATGTAACATAAATATCTTTTTATGTTAACAGATACGATTCCTCAAAATAGATCTTAAGAGCTGCAGATTATTCCATTGTTTGAATGTACCATAATGTATTTCAGGAAGCCTCAGAGTGGGACAAAATGTTGTCATTACAAACAGCATCTTTTACACAGTTATGCAGGTGCATTCTTTGTTTTGTTCTTAAATCATTATCTAAGTGGGTACTTAAACTTCCAGCTGTGCAACTTTGAATAAGAAATTTCTTTTCTGACATCTGTTTTGTTCATGTTAAAATGGAAATGAGGTCTACCCCTCAGGGTCATAGAATTGATATCAATGAAAGAATATAAAAAGCTATAAAGCTTTAGAAAGCTGGAATGGTTACTCCTGGGTACAGTTATCTTAGAATATAAACTGAAATGATGAGTCCTTGAGGACCTCTCTGTTTGCTTGTGTTAACTCTGAAAATGATTGTGGATGGTGTTTCTTCCGCCTTATCAGCATGAGGGCATTTGCGGTGTTTTGAAGGCATCGTATTCATGTGGTTTCTCCCCAGTCTTTCTAGTGCTTCAGGTCCAAGATAACTCGTTTAAGTTATGTTCACAGACCAGGCTCATGGCAGATGCCCTTTTCCTCCAGAAATCCCAGGGTATGAGCTGACTTTGAACGGCACCCTTGACTAATTTTTAACCTTGCAGTACAAGCCATAAGTCATTGTCAGAGGCTGGATGGATTGATCTGGAATGTAAAGGTTTATTTATTTACCAGCTCCCTAACGTGCAGGGTTATGTTACCAGTGGTGATGGTGTTGTCTTGCCATGCAGGAAATGTGCACCCTCTTTGAAACCAAGGCTTAACAGGAGGATAATATTCTGATCCCAGTGAGTGGTGATTTTCCACAGCAGCAAAAACCTTTAAAGATACAGTAGTGGCAGGCAGGCTTACTGACCAGAAGCTAAAGCGGAATACAGCTTTGAACATTAGATTTTGCCTTCACTTCCTGAGCCTCTTTCCTCCCCGCCCTCCCCCACCCCCCCAAAACACATACTCGTTCACTTTCCAAATCCTTCTTTTTTTTTTTTTTTTTTGAGACGGAGTCTCGCTCTGTCCCCCAGGCTGGAGTGCAGTGGCGCGATCTCAGCTCACTGCAAGCTCCGCCTCCCGGGTTCACGCCATTCTCCTGCCTCAGCCTCCCAAGTAGCTGGGACTACAGGAGCCCGCCACAGCACCCGGCTAATTTTTTTTTGTATTTTTAGTAGAGACGGGGTTTCACCGTGTTAGCCAGGATGGTCTCGGATTTCCTGACCTCATGATCCGCCCGCCTCAGCTTCCCAAAGTGCTGGGATTACAGGCGTGAGCCACCGCGCCCGGCCTCCAAATCCTTCTTTTAAGAACCCTCTCAAGTCCTTTATCTTTCATATATCTTCACTGATCTCTTTCCACCCTCTTAGATATCTCTGTCCTCTAAATTCTTTCAGCACTTAACAGTCTGTGCTACGCACAATTGACACTTAATTGCGAACTTCCATCTCTTCAAATACATTTGGTTTGTCTCCCCAAGGTCATGTCCACTTCTGTCTCCAGAAGGTTTAGTCAGGTGAAGCACAGGGTTAGTGCTCAGCCACTTCTTTGGAAAGATTGATTCAAAACAGGACTGGCTCTTTTCCTTCTTGCTTAAATTTCATTCAACCAACATTTATCAAGGGCCCATGTGTTCCTGGCTCCAGACACAACACTTCACAGATGAGGGCAATTTCAGTCACTTCTGAGGCCATCAAATAATGGAGAAAACACCACTGAATATACGACTTGCTAACTGTACAGTGCACGTCTAAGTAATATTAAAACAGAGGATTTTTTGTCATTTGTCCATCCCTCTGCTATTTAGTGGTGCTCTTCCACATAGAGGGAATGTGAGATAACAATAGACATATAATCTCCAAGAAATGCTGCTGGAGGACTCTAGCATAGATAGCCACAGTATTAACCCCAAGCACAGGGAGTCAAAAAAGGAAACCAAGGGTCATTATCACACTACAGGGCGATAGGAACTGGCTGACTCATCAGGTTACTCTCGCACGCTTGTTAGGTGACCATCATGCACAGGCGCTGCCTGGCTGCTGACCCAGTGGTGGCCGAGACAGAAGGATCTGCCTCCCTGGTGCTCAAAGGTGCTGTCACCCCATACACGTTTCATGTACTTATAAAATTGATGTCAGTGTTTCACAGCAGAGTCGGGTCTACATTTTATCACTTAGCCACTCTGTGTATAGGAAATGCATTTGTATAGCAAACCTAAATCTTTCCTGCCATAATGTCCTTCTCAGATATGAAGCCGGTGCCACAGAATTCTGGGCACATGGTCGGCACCTCAGTGAATATTTACCAAATGAATAAACAAAGAATAAAACCTTTTAAAACAAACTTTCACTCTAGAGAACAAAAAGGTTGCTGAAGTAATAATCATTGTCTTCTTGATTCTAGAATCCTTCACTATAAATGCTACATATTAGGATTATCTAATTTTTTAATGAAGAAATGAAGGAGTATATTTGCATCTTGAATCTCTGTAATATTAGTGATTTATAATAATAACAACTAAGAGATTACTGAGACCAACTCTTCTTTTACCGAGGATGTTCTGGCCCAGAAGAGTTAAATGTCCTGCTCGAGGTGACACAGATATTTTTAAGGCATCAAAATTACAACCCTTTGTGCAAAAAGCTATAAAAATCTTTTGTATTCCTCAGTGACAGACACTACAAAAAATGCATTGTTCAGTAAAATACTTATATGTCAAGATCCCATCATAGTAACAGACTCTAAGCACTTAATTCCTTTAGTTGTATGGAAAAGTTTAATTAAGAGATTCTCAAGGAATTCTTTTTATTAAGATAACTCGCCATACAGTAAAGAATCTACCAAATAAATAAAAATTCACCTAAGCTTTCTCGGGTTGGTCCCCAAAGTGCTTGCTGTGAGAAACAATTCCTTGTTAGTGCAATACAATACAGCTCACAAATCTTACTTTAGTTATGTGGTCTGTACCTGGAGCATTCAATGTGTATAGGAAAATGGTAAACTTCTCAACTTTGTCCTGGCAGGTTAGTATCATAAATCTAACCATGAAAAACATTTTGTGCATCAAGGAAAATTATAAGAGTAATATCAACATAGCTGGTTTAACAGCTGTTGTTAGTTATGAATAATTACTTTTTTTATTTTGCAAAGTATGTTTATTTATTTAGAACACATTAGCAGACATGGAGGAAGCATAGAGCAGTAAGACACGGAAGCTGTCCCCAAGGAAAAGGCTCTGTGTTACGGGGACAGAGCGTTGGCTTAGGCCTCCGGTACACTTTACTGCTCCATGTAACTAAAATGCCAAGAGACAATTCCAGCTTCCAGTGAGACTTGATCCAATGGCTCACCCATGTCTCCAAGGACTGAGGTTCTCTCTATAGCTCTCTGTTTTCCATGGGGTCAAATCTATCCTCAGGCTCCAAACTTCTCGTAACAGCATCAGATACTCTCCTGGTGGGGGCAGGTGCTGCCTCCCTCACCCCACACCGTCAAGGGAAGGAAAGCCTCTGATAACTTTCTTAGCAATAATTGGAGTCTACTTGGTTTTGACCAGCTCGAGAGGAGGGCCAACATTTGGACCGGTCACCAGAGCAAGGGGAATGCTCCAAGGGGCGTGGGTCTGTGTCACCTGCTTGTGCCTGAACCACTAACTACAAATTAATCAGCTTAAGCCAAGCAGGGCAGGACCTAGGGTGGGGACAGCTTCAGCCAAATCACTCTCAGGGAGTGGAGAAAGGAGAGTTCCACCCAATTAGCCACAGGCTTCTGTTGTCTACAGTAAGGAAAATGGAAAGTAGGGAAGCAATCTACAAATGTCTGCCAACAAATGCCCAAAAGTAACCTCAGGGTGAGATAGAAGTGAAGATTCCCTCAACCAGGAGCTGTTTGTGCACCTCAGGTGACATTTTTTTACTGCTGCAGACAACCAGCCATGCTGCATGAGCCACTGTGCAGTATTCAGGTGTGAGTGGGTTGCTTCAGCTTTCTCCTGGAGGACTCATTCTGCAGGAAGGCTGTTGTGCTATAAAAGATGTGTTTCACTCTTACTGAAGTGACAGAAGCTAGGAACTCAAAAGCGAGCTGCAGTCAGAGCCATCTGAAAAAAGTCAGACTTGGGGGCTCTTGCCAGGACCAGAGCCCAGTCAATCTATGTCCCACAGGACGCACCTTGGCAGCATCTTCTTCAATACATAATAATCGTATGTGTGTAATATTGTCACAGAGGTATATTAGAAAAAAAGAGAGAGAACATCTCAGAGAGAGAAGCAGTATAATCATGGTGAAGAGCTTAGAAATGGAAGCTGAATGGCTCAGCAGCTAGTCCAATCCATGGCAGGAATTCACTAGAGGCCATGTTCGTACCTGGGCTCTGGAGTCAGTCAGTTTCACAGGTCACTAACTGTGTGACCTTGGGCAACTTACTTAACCTCTCTGGCCCCAAACTTTCTCCTCTATAAAATCGTAAGAAGAATAATCCTTATTCTTAGTGCATCTTGCTACACTTCAGCTGGCTCCTATGTAAACAAGTGAGTGAATGTTTTAAATAGCAGTTATTAATTGCCCTGTGGATGGATATAAGAGAGGTGGTATTATTCCTGTGACATTGAAAAACATTGGGAGGTGAACAAAGTTGACTGAAACTTGCACAATGTAACAATTTGGAGATGAACCCAAACCTGCTCACTCCCCGTGCCTATGAACTGGTTGCTGTGCTGTTTCCGGGAGGACGGGCTGTATCCTGAGGACATAACGCTTGTTGGACGTGACCCAGGACTGGCAGAAGTAAACTGACAGTATCTGTTTATAATCATCTCACCATTTCATGCTTCATTAATAACCACGTTTTCCACTCTAAGAGTGTGGAAGTCAGAAGAATCAGCCCCTGTGTGAAGCAAAACCTTTCCTTAGGAAATTTTTCAATTATCAGGAGAAATGCTCCCAGACTCTGGATCTATTTCCATTGCAGGAGGGTCTTCTCTTCACCTATGAAGATAACTACACATTCTAAACAAAGCCCTGAAATGTGGCCAGTCTTGTAGAATACATAGTTTGGGTTTGATTTCTGGTTACATCCTCCCTATGTGACTTTGGACAAGTTATTCAAACTCTCTGAGCATTAGTTCATTTCCTCATCTATAGAAGAGGTGTGGACAATAATACCTTGCAGCGTGGTCGTGGGAATAAGTTTGATGAAAAGTATTTCACTTGATTCCTGGCACATAGGATTCGTAAGTGGTGGCTTTATTTGTTGAAGCCACCTTTGTTACTGGAATTTTGGAATTTGGGCTCAGAAAACTATATTTTAAACCTAAAAAGTAAATAAATTAATTGATAGTAAATGTACTGTCAATTAAATATGTATTTAAACTGAAAAGTATTTAGTATTGTTGCTTTAAAAGTATCAGCTTGTCAGGGTGCCCAGGTATTGTTTTGAAATATGGTTGATGGGTTGCTGGTCAACAAGACATAAATGCTCATGGAAAACATGGTTCAAGGAACCAATCACAGGATTTCTAAGAGGAGACAATCCTAAGGAGTGCATTTGAATGTTCTGTCCATGTGACCCCACGGTCCGCCAGCCATTCTGATTACTGTGCTTTAAAATGGTGCTGTCTGTATGTAGGCGCAGCTGCCTTTTGCAGTAATGGTGCTGACATAACAATCAGCAAAGCAGCATGTGGGTTATCGGGAAGAGTGTGAACTTCCGAGCCCACCTGCTGCTTACTAACTAGTACCTTAGTGACTCTGACCAAGCTGTTTAAACTCTCCAGGTCTTAGTTTTCTCATCAATAGAATGAGCAAAATGATATTTCTCCATAAAATTGTTGTGAAACTTAAATAAGACAATGTGCCAACTGCTTGGCCCATAGGGAGCACTCAATAAACAGTTATTTGTGTGCTTTTGTGGTTTTCTAATTTTCACTGGTTCTTGGCATGTGTTGGGTTCATTGGCTTTGTCTCTGTATTACATTTTCTAGATTCAAAGAACATGAAAAATGTCTAAACTCTTTCCCAAAACTGTGTCTTGTCCTATTGGTTAATTAATAATTTTAGTTTGGATGCCAGAGGTTTATGCTCTTTAGGAATCTGAGTCCTGTTGTCCCAGATGGGGTTTGAATTCCCCATGCCTTCTGACTCACAGGTATTCTAAGATTCTCCTGCTTCAAAGGTGAACGGTCATGGTCTTTTAACCACTAACCAGTGAGTTTCTTTTTCCTAGGCCTCTTTCTTGAAGTGGATTCAAGAATGTGCCTCATGAGGCCATTTCCACATACATGGCTTCCTTCATCCTAGAGAATCCCCAGTTCTTTCCTGGGCTGATCTGTGTATATCTAGGTGAGATGACTGGACATGCCCATTTGTTTGTTCCCCAAATGATCGCACTATGAAAACAGAGGATAAAAACCCAAACGCTGCTCTTTCATTTCCAAACTAGCTGTAGGAATGAATTTTCATTGTATGTTGATCCTGTTGCTCTGAAAATAGCAGGTATATTTTATACATGATATAGGTGTGCTATGTGTCATAAGTGCTAGACATTCAAAGAGCTAGGTGTTTGGAGTCAAACTGTAGTGTATGTGTTGGAATACATACACATATGTGTGTATTACAAATATATGAACATTAGCCAACCTAAATGAGCCACAAGTAATAATAATAGTTATTACTATTATTAATGGTACATTACTATTGTTATTACAAATATAATTCCATTTATTATTAATCTTAATAATACTGCTAATAAGAAAAATGGCTTCCTATTTATTGAATGCCTCTTGTGGCTAGGTGCTATGTTAAGTGCTATACAAATGTTACACTCCTCAAATGGATCTGCACATAAACCCTGAGAGGAAGTATTGCATTTCTTATTTAGGAAAAAGAAACAGAGTCAGAGAGGCTGACTAATTTGCCCAAGGTTACAGTTGGCAATTGGCAGAGCTGACCGTTAATGGGTTGTGGGGAAAAGCCTGTGATAAAGTAGATAACGAGAGGCCTCTTGGGCCCATGAGCCAGGAGGACATGAAGAAGGATGGGGATGAGGTACCATCAGGCAGAGTCAGTGCCAGTAGGGGCAGTGTCAGCCCCTGCAGCTGCTTCTCCCTCACTCTACCCGATACACCCCGAGGCAAACACAGTTCTACAGAAGAACGGACTGGACCAGAGAGACAGAGTTCAAACTGTAGGTTCTGCAGGAGTGCGGCCGCTGCTCGAGATGACACTGTCATGGCAACAGGGCCCAGTTATTCTACTGATGCTCTGGGAGCTTATAGTGGCCTCACAGAAGTCGTGAGACACATATATCATTTCCTTTGGGTGTGGGGCATTCTGTTCAATAAGCTTGCTCCCATCACCAAAAGGAAATGTCACCAAAAGGATATAGACTCACCTTTCCTTCTCTGCTTGCACAAGAATATTACCTTTGCTGAGCTAAAACCGAGGCAAATGCTAACAGGAGGTTGGAGGGGAGTTCTTTTTGATGCGCACTTTGGGTGGAGCAGGATGTTTTAGATTCTGTGTAGATAATCAGTTCTCTACATCAGGCCACTGGACATCTAGGTTCCTTTTCCGTCTTTTTAATGGAATCTTTGAGTTCCAATATAGAAAGTGGTCACCTTACTGAAGTCTGAGTTGGTCAAAGTCATGACTCTTAATTTCGAGTATATGACAAGTTAGGGACACGGTTTTGCTCCTACCTCAAATACACTGGAGACCACAGCACTGAAGCTGAGTCAGCTCTGGCTCCCTCAGGGATCATGACCAGCTGTCCTTTTCTGTCAGCCTGACTCACTGGGGATGTCCACCTTTTGATTCTCTCATGCTGTGCCCTGGATACTCACCAGGCCTGTTTTAGCAGGTTTCACAGGCCTGGCGTCCTGCCCAGAGTCTCCACCAGAGCTTTGGCCTAGCTCCTGTGCTTGGCTGAAAGCAGGAAGAACTAAACTTGGCCTGGTGGCCCACATCCCAAGTGCCCTCATTTCACAGGACATCCGGCTCTTTGTCTGCCTTCCTGATCAGGCCCCATGAAGTTGCTCACAAGCTCTGCTGCCCACAAAACCCCCACTTGCTTCCCTCAGGTTTTCTTCCCTGTGAGGGAAAAGGGAGAGGAGAGCCAGCTCGATGCTCGTTATTAGCATTTAAGGACATTAATTCATAGCACCCATCTCTCCTCTGGATAAGGAATAAACTGAAAAAGACACAGTCAGAGACCAAAATGCCAGTTGTATCACTGCTAAAGCAAGATTGCAAAGGCCTGGACCTTTACCCAAGATGGGTAAAGGCATCATATCATTTCCTTTGGCCCTGGGGCATCCTGTTCAATAAGCTTGCTCCCAGCCCACCCTTGACCCAAGAGACGTTCTTAGCCAGAATAGCTGGATGATTACAGAACTTCACCACCCTCCCCCTTCCAGGGGCAAAGTCTTTTCTGAGGGTTTACAAGATGGAGGAAACCATGAGACTGCATAGGGCTGAGAGAGCCAGAAGGAAGGCTCAATTAGCCTCACTCAGTTGGGACTCATAGACCAAGAGTGTGACCTGATACCTGGACATCTCACCCAAGAGAGGAGAGAGAATGCAGCAACTTCCCTGATCCTTCAGGGAAGGTAGAAGTTCTGAAAATCATGAGCTGGTGGGAATCCAGGGAAAGGGGAAACAGCACTCACCACCCTTCCCCATTCTGAACTCTCATCTCTATACACATGTAAGAGTTGTAAGAACAAGCAACCAATGGGAAGACTAGGGGCAAATGAGAATGGCAAGGAAGAGAAAATAGGCAGGGAACAGGGGTGTAAGGTTAGAAGGAAACATTAGAAATAGGAAATATATTGAAAGGTAAGTTAGAGACTGAAGTATCCATTATCTTGTTGACATTTTTTTAAATGACTAAACATTATGCACTCTGACCAAAACACACTTAGGTTATAGAAGGAGTAAAAGAGGGGAATGGCTGGCATTCTTAAGTCACAACTACTCACTCAGAAATATACATTTTATGAGGTTTGTTGAGACTAGAATTTTTTTAAATGACTAATACTTGTTTATTGGAACAGTTAAGGGTTTCATTGGATATAAACTAAGATCGCATCTTCATTATTTGATTTGTTCAGGTTTTAAATTAACCAAATAACTACATTAATCCAGTTTTCAATAAGGCATTTTTCATCTCCTTTGAAAATGCTGGGAGTTTAGAGGTGGCATTGCCAGGTCAAAGGGAAATCTTACACTTGGGACAAAATAGCCAGTGACCTCATATCAGGAGTTGCCAACCACTCCCTCTAATGGGAGGATTTCCTTCATGCCCGAGGAAATCACAGGTTTTCTATAGCAGAACAGGAGGGTGGGAATCAAGCCAGTATTTAACAGTGAGTCTTAAAAGGCCTTTCCAGGGGTGTCCTAACAAGGCCACACAAACTTTGGAGCAAAAAAGAACTTGTTTAGGACAGCTGGCTAATCTTCTTGGATTAATCAAGTTGGAACCAACTTGACAAGATACAGACTTGTTAAGAATACCAGTGCACACTTGACCAAACCCCCCATTAATGCTATTTTTAAAAATACCTTGAGACTTAACATTTTAATAAAAATAACTTGGTATTCTTTGCATAGGAGTGTGACTCATTTAAGGAGAAAATTTACGGCAGCCAGTTCCTCAGTGATATCATAAAAATATGAATAGAGGGACATTTGCTTTTGGATATAGGGTAAAAGCGAGCACATCAAAGTGGAAACAGTATCTTGCAAAGTATTCCTCCCAGGATTCTCATAGCCCTGTGAAAATGCGTCATATACAGAGAAAGTTTCTCATGATTTTAGAGGAGTTAGAGGAAGGATTCTAAGTTGTTGACTCCCATTCGGATACTTCAAACACAGATCATATTTAAGAATATTTTAGGGCAGAACAGAAGATACTTTTTTATATACAAATCAGATGTATTTAAATGGACCATTGTATGACATGTACATGACTATATGCATATGCCATGTATGATTTTAGAACCCATCTTGCTGGGGTCTTTTCTTTACTGGCACTGAGGAAACAAGTGGTCCTGTTGGGGAATCCGATGTGGCAAGGAACTGTGGGAGACTTCAAGGAGTTGAGGGCAGCCTCCGGCCAGCAAGAAAATGAGTCAGATGCAAGGAATTGAATTATGCCAACAACTGCCTGAACTTGCATGTGGATCCTTCCACAGTTGAGTCTTGGATGAGGCCACAGCCCTGGCTGATACCTTGATTACAGCCTTGGAAGATGCTGAAGCAGAGAATCTACTGACACCATGCCCACCCAGACTCTTAACTCACAGAAACCATGAGATAATAAATGTGTGTTATTTTAAACTGCTGTTTGTGGAAATATTGTTAGGTAGCAATAGAAAACTAATGTAAGCAATCTCCTATAGTGGATTTCAAATATAGGGTATTCAGTCACTGGTCTCAGAGGCTATCTATAAGGAAATCCATGAAGGAATCAAATGAGTAGATGATGGTGTAAATATCTAAAATTACAGTTAGAATAATGCCCATGTCAAACTCAAACAAGTACCTATTCACCACATAGACTGTAGCAACGTTGGGCATTTAGAAGGCCTTCATGGGCTTGGAGAAAAGCATACCTTGGAGATACAGAACTCTCTATTCCTTAAAGGCCAGAACAATAGAGTCTCTACAATATGTTCTCATCAAGCTATCAAGTGATATTGGAAAAAGTCCATTTCCCACATACTTCTTATTAGACCAAAAAGATACCTTTAAAAATTAGCCATAATGCAAATGTAGAAACAGTAGTTACATCTTTCTCATTTCTTAAAATAAAGAACAGACTTCTTAAAAACTGAGGCTCAGAAATAACCCAGGGACAGAAAGATAAATATCACATGTTCTCACTCATATGTGGGAGCTAAAAAACAAATTTGAGGCCATGAACAGTGAGAGTAGAATTGTGGGTATTAGAAGCTGAGCACTTTGGGAGGCTGAGGTGGGCAGATCATGAGGTCACGAGTTCGAGACCAGCCTGACCAACATGGTGAAACCCCGTCTCTACTAAAAATACAAAAAAATTAGCCGGACATGGTGGTGCACACCTGTAATCCCAGCTACTCAGGCAGCTGAGGCAAGAGAATCGCTTGAACCTGGGAGGCAGAGGTTGCAATGAGCTGAGATCATGCCACTGCACTCCAGCCTGGCTGACAGAGTGAGACTCCATCTCAAAAAAAAAAAGAAGCTGGGAAGGGTACGGAGCGAGGAGGATGGGCAGAGTTTGGTTAATACAAAATTGCAGCTGGGTAGGAGAAGTGAGCTCTGGTGTTCTGCAGTACTGGAGGGTAAACTATAATTTATTGTATAGCCTCAAAAAGCTAGAAGAGAGAATTTTTGAATGCTCACAAGACAAAGTAACGATAAATGTTTCAGGTGATGGCTATGCTAATTACCCTGATTTGATCATTACACATTGTATACACATATTGAAATACCATTCTGTATCCCATAAATATGTACAAATATATTCAACTAAAAAGAAAAAGAAAAAAATTATTTAAAAAACTCCAGAACTTCAAAGGTTGTGTTTTTTTCTTATTATTTGTCAGCAACTAAAATGATGGGGGTGAAGAAGTTCAACAGAGAAGAGAAAACTGCTTAAGGTGCAAATTTCTTTACCCTATTTTGTATCTGCTTCTCAAGCATGCCTTTTCCAGGTTAGTGTGCTGCCAGAGCAGGAGGTCCTTTGGAACAATCCAATACAACTGAGAACAGCTGTGAACAGTGCAGCCCATGGCAATGACAGAGAGACACACAAGCCCAAGAGACCTGAATCCCTCACTCCTCTGTGGGAGAACAAATAGTCACATTTTTTTCCTAACCTGAGAGTAGATGTATTACAGAACTTGGCTGCATTCGACGACATGATTGTATATCTAGAAAACCCCATTGTCTCAGCCCAAAATCTCCTTAAGCTGATAAGCAACTTCAGCAAAGTCTCAGGATACAAAATCAATGTACAAAAATCACAAGCATTCTTATACACCAACAACAGACAAACAGAGAGCCAAATCATGAGTGAACTCCCATTCACAATTGCTTCAAAGAGAATAAAATACCTAGGAATCCAACTTACAAGGGATGTGAAGGACCTCTTCAAGGAGAACTACAAACCACTGCTCAAGGAAATAAAAGAGGATACAAACAAATGGAAGAACATTCCATGCTCATGGGTAGGAAGAATCAATATCATGAAAATGGCCATACTGCCCAAGGTAATTTACAGATTCAATGCCATCCCCATCAAGCTACCAATGACTTTCTTCACAGAATTGGAAAAAACTACTTTCAAGTTCATATGGAACCAAAAAAGAGCCCGCATCGCCAAGTCAATCCTAAGCCAAAAGAACAAAGCTGGAGGCATCACACTACCTGACTTCAAACTATACTACAAAGCTACATTAACCAAAACAGCATGGTACTGGTACCAAAACAGAGATATAGATCAATGGAACAGAACAGAGCCCTCAGAAATAACGCCTCATATCTACAACTATCTGATCTTTGACAAACCTGAGAAAAACAAGCAATGGGGAAAGGATTCCCTATTTAATAAATGGTGCTGGGAAAACTGGCTAGCCATATGGAGAAAGCTGAAACTAGATCCCTTCCTTACACTTTATACAAAAATCAATTCAAGATGGATTAAAGACTTAAATGTTAGACCTAAAACCATAAAAACCCTAGAAGAAAACCTAGGCATTACCATTCAGGACATAGGCATGGGCAAGGACTTCATGTCAAAAACACCAAAAGCAATGGCAACAAAAGCCAAAATTGACAAATGGATCTAATTAAACTAAAGATCTTCTGCACAGCAAAAGAAACTACCATCAGAGTGAACAGGCAACCTACAAAATGGGAGAAAATTTTCGCAACCTACTCATCTGACAAAGGGCTAATATCCACAATCTACAATGAACTCAAACAAATTTACAAGAAAAAAAAACAATCCCATCAAAAAGTGGGTGAAGGACATGAACAGACACTTCTCAAAAGAAGACATTTATGCAGCCAAAAGACACATGAAAAAATGCTCATCATCACTGGCCATCAGAGAAATGCAAATCAAAACCACAATGAGATACCATCTCACACCAGTTAGAATGGCAATCATTCAAAAGTCAGGAAACAACAGGTGCTGGAGAGGATGTGGAGAAATAGGAACACTTTTACACTGTTGGTGGGACTGTAAACTAGTTCAACCATTGTGGAAGTCAGTGTGGCGACTCCTCAGGGATCTAGAACTAGAAATACCATTTGACCCAGCCATCCCATTACTGGGTATATACCCAAAGGAGTATAAATCATGCTGCTACAAAGACACATGTACACGTATGTTTATTGCAGCATTATTCACAATAGCAAAGACTTGGAACCAACCCAAATGTCCAACAATGATAGAATGGATTAAGAAAATGTGGCACATATACACCATGAAATACTATGCAGCCATAAAAAATGATGAGTTCATGTCCTTTGTAGGGACATGGATGAAATTGGAAATCATCATTTTCAGTAAACTATCGCAAGAACAAGAAACCAAACACTGCATATTCTCACTCATAGGTGGGAATTGAACAATGAGATCACATGGACACAGGAAGGGGAACATCACACTTTGGGGACTGTTGTGGGGTGGGGGGAGGGGGGAGGGGGGGGATAGCATTGGGAGATATACCTAATGCTAGATGACGAGTTAGTGGGTGCAGCGCACCAGCATGGCACATGTGTACATATGTAACTAACCTGCACAATGTGCACATGTACCCTAAAACTTAAAGTATAATAAAAAAAAAAAAAAAAAGAACTTGGCTACATTCAATTTCCAAATGAAAACCAGCACCAGGCAGTTCCAATATGGCCGAATAGGAACAGCTCCAGTCTATAGCTCCCAGCGTCAGTGACACAGAAGACGGGTGATTTCTGCATTTCCAACTGAGGTACCGGGTTCATCTCACTGGGGCTTGTCAGAAGCCCACGGTGCCCTTTCCTAGCCAAGGGCAGCTGTGACAGATGGTACCTGGAAAATCGGGACACACCCACCCTAATAATGCACTTTTCCAAAGGTCTTAGCAAACAGCACACCAGGAGATTATATCCTGTGCCTGGCTCAGAGGGTCCCATGCCCACAGAGCCTCACTCACTGCTAGCACAGCAGTCTGAGATTGAACTGCAAGGTGGCGGCGAGGCTGGGGGAGGGGCGTCTGCCATTGCTGAGGCTTCAGTAGGTAAACAAAGCTGCCAGGAAGCGCAAACTGGGTGGAGCCCACCACAGCTCAAGGAGGCCTGCCTGACTCTGTAGACTCCACATCTGGGGGCTGGGCATAGCTGAACAAAAGGCACCAGAAACTTCTGCAGACTTAAATGTCCCTGTCTGACAGCTTTGAAGAGAGTAGTGGTTCTCCCAGCATGGAGTTTGAGATCTGAGAACGGACAGACTGCCTCCTCAAGTGGATGCCTGACCCCCAAGTAGCCTAACTGGGAGGCACCTCCCAGTAGGGGCTGACTGACACCTCATATGGCCGGGTGCCCCTCTGAGACGAAGCTTCCAGAGGAAGGATCAGGCAGCAACATTTGCCGTTCTGCAATATTTGCTGTTCTGCAGCCTCTGCTGGTGATACCCAGGCAAACAGGTCTGGAGTGGACCTCCAACAAATTGCAACACACCTGCAGCTGAGGGTCCTGACTGTTAGAAGGAAAACTAACAAACAGAAAGGACACCCACCCAAAACCCCACCTGCATGTCACCAACATCAAAGACCAAAAGCAGATAAAACCACAAAGATGGGGAGAAAGCAGAGCAGAAAAGATGAAAATTCTAAAAATCAGAGAGCCTCTCCTCCTCCAGAGGAATGCAGCTCCTCACCAGCAATGGAACAAAGCTGGACAGAGAATGACTTTGACAAGTTGAGAGAAGAAGTCTTCAGATGATCAGTTACAACAAACTTCTCCGAGCTAAAGGAGGATGTTCGAACCCATCACAAAGCAGCTAAAAACCTTGAAAAAGGATTAGACAAATGGCTAACTAGAATAATCAGCATAGAGAAGACCTTAAATGACCTGATGGAGCTGAAAACCCTGGCATGAGAACTATGTGATACATGCATGAGCTTCAGTAGCTGATTCAATCAAGGGAAAGAAAGGGTATTAGTGATTGAAGATCAAATGAATGAAATGAAGAGAGAAGAGAAGTTTAGAGTAAAAAAGAATAAAAAGAAACAAACAAAGCCTCCAAGAAATATGGGACTACGTGAAAAGACCAAATCTATACCTGATTGGTGTACCTGAAAGTGACGGGGAGAATGGAACCAAGTTGGAAAACATTCTGCAGGATATTATCCAGGAGAACTTCCCCAACCTAGCAAGGCAGGCCAACATTCAAATTCAGGAAATACAGAGAACGCCACAAAGATACTCCTCGAGAAGAGCAACTCAAAGACACATAATTGTCAGATCCACCAAAGTTGAAATGAAGGAAAAAATGTTAAGGGCAGCCAGAGAGAAAGGTTGGGTTACCCACAAAGGGAAGCCCATCAGACTAACAGCTGATCTCTTGGCAGAAATTCTACAAGCCAGAAGAGAGTGGTGTCCAATATTCAACATTCTTAAAGAATTTTCAACCCAGAATTTCATATCCAGCCAAACTAAGCTGCATAAGTGAAGGAGAAATAAAATCCTTTACAGACAAACAAATGCTGAGAGATTTTGTCACCACCAGGCCTGCCCTACAAGAGCTCCTGAAGGAAGCACTAAACATGGAAAGGAAAAACCAGTACCAGCCACTGCAAAAACATGCCAAATTGTAACGACCATTGATGCTAGGAAGAAACTGCATCAACTAACGAGCAAAATAACCAGCTAACATCATAATGACAGGATCAAATTCACACATAACAATATCAACCTTAAATGTAAATGGGCTAAATGCCCCAATTAAAAGACACAGACTGGAAATTGGATCAAGAGTCAAGACTCATCAGTGTGCTGTATTCAGGAGACCTATCTCACATGCAGAGACACTCATAGGCTAAAAATAAAGGGATGGAGGAAGATCTACCAGCAAATGGAAAACAAAAAAAAGCAGGGGTTGTAATTCTAGTCTCTGATAAAACAGACTTTAAACCAACAAAGATCAAAAGAGACAAAGAAGGCCATTACATACTGGTAAAGGGATCAATTCAACAAGAAGAGCTAACTACCCTAAATATATATGCCCCAAATACAGGAGCACCCAGATTCATAAAGCAAGTCCTTAGGAACGTGCAAAGAGACTTAGACTCCCACACAATAATAATGGGAGACTTTAACACCCCACTGTCAACATTAGACAGATCAACAAGACAGAAAGTTAACAAGGATATCCAATATCCAGGAATTGAACTCAGCTCTGCACCAAGCAGACCTAATAGACATCTACAGAACTCTCCACCCCAAATCAACAGAATATACATTCTTCTCAGCACCACATCACACTTATTCCAACATTGACCACATAGTTGGGAGTAAAGCACTCCTCAGTAAATGTAAAAGAACAGAAATTATAATAAACTGTCTCTCAGACCACAGTGCAATCAAACTAGAACTCAGGATTAAGAAACTCACTCAAAACCACTCAACTACATGGAAACTGAACAACCTGCTCCTGAATGGCTACTGGGTACATAACAAAATGAAGGCAGAAATAAAGATGTTCTTTGAAACCAATGAGAACAAAGACAAAACTTACCAGAATCCACACGTAAAGCAGTGTGTAGAGGGACATTTATAGCACTAAATGCCCACAAGAGAAAGCAGGAAAGATCTAAAATTGACACCCTAACGTCACAATTAAAAGAACTAGAGAAGCAAGAGCAAAAACATTCAAAAGCTAGCAGAAGGCAAGAAATAACTAAGATCAGAGCAGAACTGAAGGAGATGAAGACATAAAAACCCTTCAAAAAAATCAATGAATCCAGGAGCTGGTTTTTTGAAAAGATCAGCAAAATTGATAGACCACTAGCAAGACTAATAAAGAAGAAAAGAGAGAAGAATCAAATAGATGCAATAAAAAATGATAAAGGGGATATCACCACCGATCCCACAGAAATACAAACTTCCATCAGAGAATACTATAAATACCTCTATGCAAATAAACTAGAAAATCTAGAAGAAATGGACAAATTCCTGGACACACATACCCTCCCAAGACTAAACCAGGAAGAATTTGAATCCCTGTATAGACCAATAATAGGCTCTGAAATTGAGGCAATAATTAATAGCCTACCAACCAAAACAAGTCCAGGACCAGATGGATTCACAGCCAAATTCTTCCAGAGGTACAAGGGGGAGCTGGTACCATTCCTTCTGAAACTATTCCCATCAATAGAAAAAGAGGGAATCCTCCCTAACTCATTTTATGAGGCCAGCATCATCCTGATACCAAAGCCTGGCAGAGACACAAAAAAAGAGAATTTTAGACCAATATCCCTGATGAACATCTGTGCGAAAATCCTCAATAAAATACTGGCAAACTGAATCCAGCAGCACATCACAAAGCTTATCCACCACAATCAAGTTGGCTTCATCCCTGGGATGCAAGGCTGGTTCAACATACGCAAATCAATAAACATAATCCAGCATATAAACAGAACCAAAAATAAAAACCATATGATTATCTCAATAGATGCAGAAAAGACCTTTGACAAAATTCAACAGCCCTTCATGCTAAAAACTCTCAATAAACTAGCTATTGATGGGACATATCTCAAAATAATAAGAGCTATCTATAACAAACCCACAGCCAATATCATACTGAATGGGCAAAAACTGGAAGCATTCCCTTTGAAAACTGGCACAAGACAGGGATGCCCTCTCTCATCACTCCTATTCAACATAGTGTTGGAAGTTCTGGCCAGGGCAATCAGGCAGGGGAAAGAAATAAAGGGTATTCAATTAGGAAAAGAGGAAGTCAAATTGTCCCTGTTTGCAGATGACATGAATGTATATTTAGAAAACCCCATTGTCTCAGCCCAAAATCTCCTTAAGCTGATAAGCAACTTCAGCAAAGTCTCAGGATAAAAAATCAATGTGCAAAAATCACAAGCCTTCCTGTACAGCAATAACAGACAAACAGAGAGACAAATCATGAGTGAACTCCCATTCACAATTGCTTCAAAGAGAATAAAATACCTAGGAAGCCAACTTACAAGGGATGTGAAGGACCTCTTCAAGGAGAACTACAAACCACTGCTCCAGGAAATAAAAGAGGACACAAACAAATGGAAGAACATTCCATGCTCATGGGTAGGAAGAATCAATATCATGAAAATGTCCATACTGCCCAAGGTAATTTATAGATTTAATGCCATCCCCATCAAGCTACCAATGACTTTCTTCACAGAATTGGAAAAAACTACTTTCAAGTTCATATGGAACCAAAAAAGAACCCTCATTGCCAAGACAATCCTAAGCCAAAAGAACGAAGCTGGAGGCATCACACTACCTGACTTCAAACTATATTACAAGGCTACAGTAACCAAAATAGCATGGTACACCAACATGGCACATGTATACATATGTAACAAACCTACAGGTTGTGTACATGTACCCTAGAACTTAAAGTATAATTTAAAAAATTAAAAAAAAAAGAAAACCAGGACCTTCGATTTGTAAAGAGGCATCTACTCTGCTTGGGGAAAATCAAACTATATAATATGAGGGAGAATGGAGTGAAATGACCGGGATCAGTACTCTGAATCAAAAAGAGTGCTTGAGGTTGACACAAGAGGTTGGGATCCTTTGAAAGAGCCATATAACTACGTAGAGTGTTGTTTTGTATATCAAAGTACCAGCTTTAGCTCTAGAATGGCTAATGGGTCTCAGTGTTTAATGCCAGCTCCAACTGATTAGGAAGGACTGCTTGGCAGGGTGGTGTGGTGTTCATACCCATAATCCCAACACTTTGGGAGGCCAAGGTGGGCGGAGCTCAGGAGTTTGAGACCAGCCTGGGCAACATGGCAAAATCCCATCTCTACAAAAAATACAAAAATTAGTTAGGATGTGGTGGCATGCACCTATGGTCCTAAATAGTTGGGAGGCTGAGGCGGGAGGATTGCTTGAGCCCCGGATGGTGAAGCTTCAGTGAGTCATAATCTTCACTGCAGCCTGGGTGACAGCAGAAGACCCTGTCAAAAAAAAAAAAAAAAAAAAAAAAAAAAAAAAGGAAGGCCTGCCTGCTAAAGTGTTGTCTAGAAGCACTTAAAGCTGAATCAGCGGGAAAGAATCCTCACTGATGGAAGAGTTAGATCCCTAAGCTGAGTTTTCCATACAGGCCTCTAAACTTTGACACCAGCCAGCCATGTGTGCTGAGGAGAGCTGAAGGACACAAAGCCAGAGCCAGGAGGTGATATATGTCATGGACTGAGAATGCACAAGGAAGGCTCACTATAGGAACCCCACAGGAAGGGTACAAATCTCCCTTCCAAACCACTTGAAACTCTGTTGAAAAATCCCTCTTTTGTTAGCTGAACACTGTCAAGGCTAAAACTCTACACATTTCCAAGCAGATTAAAGCAAGCGTTTTTGTTTTTGTTTTTCCTTATTTTGTTTTCACATATTATGCAAAAGCTCCTGGATCTAGTGACATTTTAATAAAGAATTCTCTTTTTTAGAGCTTTAGAAAATCTCCAAATTGGAGATTTTCTATCTCCAATTTGGCTTACAGGTATTCTGCCTTCTATAGTAGGCTTCCAGAATGAAGCTGAGTTATCCACAAAGGCATCTAAACTTTAACTTTAGCCTCAATGTTATAATGCTTTAGTTACCAAAAACTTAGAAGAATGGCACAACGAGCTCAACTATGATGCAAACTCAGGAACTTCCATGACTGTGCTTTGCTTCTTCCCCTTCCAATGGCTCACTGAACAGCTGGGAGGAAGCAGGAAATTTTGTTGCCCTTTTTCTTCTGTTGTTTTAAAATGAAATGTTTTGGAATCTAGGAAGATTCCTAATGGAATGTTTCTTCTCTATTTCTATTTCTAAAGGCTGACCAAGTACTCAGGTCTGGCTTTTCTGGGAAGCTAACACCAGGCCCCCAGGGAATGCTTCCATGGTTCACTGGAGCAAGTGAGGAAAGGAAAGAGCCAGCTATTACAAATAGATCGTGAATCATTTCCTGCAGCATAATTAGTCTTCTGGAATCCCTAAAAGGCCTGGCTAGAGAGGCAGTCCAAAATCCCAGAGAAACAGTTTAATGTTTATGGTTAATCCTTTCAATAGAATACTATGCAGCCATTAAAATGAAGTAGTAGAGGCAAGTTTGTATTAGTCTGCTCTCACGCTACTAATAAAGACATACCTGAGACTGGGTCATTTATAAAGAAAAAGAGGTTTAATGGACTCACAGTTCCACATGGCTGGGGAGGCCTCACAATCGTGGTGGAAGGCAAAGGAAGAGCAAAGGCATGTCTTACATGGTGGCAGGCAAAAGGGTGTGTGCAGGGGAACTGCCCTTTATAAAACCATCAGATCTCATGAGACGTATTCACTATCACAAGCTATTCATGAAGCCTTGTTAGTTACAAGCCTTTACATGTAGGTTTGGATAGGTTTAAATAAAGGAAAAAATCTGAGAGTATATATACAAAAGTGTCAGCAATGACTATTTCCAGATTGAGATATAATGGGTTTTCTGTCTTCCCTTCCTCCTTCCTTTCTTCCATCTTTTAAAATTTTCTCAATATTCTACAGTAAGTATTTATGACTTTTGTGCATTTGCAAAGATGTTCACTAAGTTCCCTGGGTCCCTTTTTCTGCTCCTGACCTTACCCCACACTCCTGCAGAGTTCTTATGACTTGCCACTATTGTTCTGCATAGATTAGAAGAACTTTTAAATCAGACCCTAGTTTGAATCCCAGCACTGGTACCTACTACCCAAGTGACCTTTGGAAATTTGGTTAACTCAATGACTCTCATATTCCATGTTCTATAAAATCAGGGACTTACTACCTACATGAAAGCACTACAGTCAAATGAAATCATTTTCATCAAATGAGGTTAAATGAGATATTAAATGGTATTTAGAGATATTAAATACCATTTAATCTCTCATTTATCTTAGTATTTGTCAACTGTAAAACCATCTACATTTGGTAACTCTTATCACAGTTTCTTTGCTGTTCACATAGGAATAGAAAAAGTCAGGAGGACTCAAGCACAGTGTGGCAGGATCACTTCTTACAAGTGGGTTGGGGGCAAGTAATCACTCATCATGCCCCTAACCCACTTTTAACTGGGTTCATAATCATTCATTTTTGACAGAAATGCTATTATCTAAATTGAATTTCCCTAGTTGTTTCAATAATGGTCTTTCTAGTTATTTCTTCCCAATCTGGTATTTAATCGAAAAGGCTTTAAGAAACATGAGCTGTGAAACCTGAGGAAAGTGATGTACAAGTAGAAGAACAGTTTATGAAATGTGCTGAGATGCAGCCCAGTGTGGTTACTGGCGACAGTGAGAATTACAGCGCAAGGGTCAAAGCAACACATTAAAAGCCAGATTCTCAAAAAATCCCTAGAACTTCTCTGTGAGATTGGGCTTATGCCTGGGGTTAAACAGAACACAATCCTATTAATAAAAATAGCAACAAAAAATTGCCCTTTTGACAGTGAACTATTTACCCCGGTGAAGAATATTAGCATCAATGGTAAGCTTCACTGCAAAAAGAAAGAAGTTGTAATTGCACCTTGCTTGTTACTCATTTGTCTGTTCCCTGCTTTCTCTCAGTGCAGCGTAGATAAGTTCTTTCGTACTTAGAAGCTATTTCACAGAAGGCCTGAAGACATACACAATGATAAGGAAGAAGTATAGAGTCTAATCTACTTGGGCACACAGATAAATATTGAAAGCTTTGTGGATTTTACTTTTCAAAGAAAAGTTGCAGATATTGTGCAATGAAAACTCATAAATCTTTTACCTAGATTCACCAGATGTTAACATTTTGCCTCATTTGCTTTATCTCTTTCTCTCTATATGTACACATATTATTTTTGTTGTTACTGTTGAACCTTTAAAGAGGAAGTTGTGAATTTTTTCATGGGTTTTTCTTCATTAATCTGAATGTCTGAAATGTATTTTCCACAAGGTAGAAAACATTTTGGAGTTTTCAGCTACATTTGAAACTTCTCTAACTTTCAAACTGCTGAGAGAAGATCTCTTAGCAATTGTGCTTTGTGGGTTCCAAAACTAGCCCTGGCCCTTAATAACACTACGGGCTTTCACAAGTCACTTAATCCTTCTCAAACTCAGTTTTCTCATCTGTTGTGGGAGGTAATTATATCTGCACCCTTGGATAGCAGTGAGGGTTAAATGAAATATTGTGGAAAGCACTTTGAAAGCTATACATTTTCCGTGCATATAAAAAACGTTATTCAGACTACCAATGAAATAACGTCGACTCAAGTTCTCCTAATTATACATTAGCCCTGCAACCATGTTGAACCTCATACCTGCAGGTGCTGATGGTGGCTCCAGCAGTGCTGGTGTTGGTAGGCACTCAATAAACCATACGGAGGCAGGAGGCAGGGAACTTCCGTACCTGTCTATGATCCAGCACTGCCGTCTCCAAGGCAGTGGTTCTTAGGCTTCAGTATGCATCAGATTTACTGAAGTATGGTGAAAACCCCTGACTGCTGGGCCTCACCTGCAGAGTTTGATTCTGTAGGTCTAAGATGGGCCTGAGAATCTGCATTTCTAACAAGTCCCCTAGTGATGTTGAAGCTGCTGATTCCAGCATCAGACTTTGAGAACCCACCACTCTAAAGCATGGTTTACCATCTGCCCATCTACCTTAGTTGGGCAAATTTGTTTCATGGGTGTTCCTATGTGGGAGAAAGCTAAGGTTAATAGAAAAGTGTTACACAGTACTCTAAAGTGGTACTTTGCAAAACTTAATGGGCCTACAACTCACTTAAGAATCTTGTTATAAGTGGATTTTACTTCATTAGGCCTAAGGTGGGCCCATGATTCCCAGGTGGTGCTTGCACTACTGGTCCACTGACTACACTCTGACTGATAAGGCTGGAAAGGGCAGCTCATGGCTGTGCATTTGCTTTCTTTAAAAAAGAAAAATGGATATTTTTAAATTTATTGCTAAATATGTTAAGCTTTCTGCTCTCTGCTACTTGTCTGCTTTTCAGATAATTTGACAGTGAGTTCAACCCTGCAATAACCAAATTTTTTCTTTAAAAATTATATTATTTAATAATAGATTTGAAGGAGCTTACAAAAATACATATGAAAATACATATAAAACTTCTGCTCTACATCTATGGCAGGGGTGTCCAAGGCCATAGACATTTGGCTTCTTTGGGCCACATTGGAAGAAACTGTTTTAGGCCACACATAAAACACACTAACACTAATGATAGCTGATGAGCTAAAATAAAATAAAATAAAATAAAATAAAATCACAAAAAACTCAATGTTTTAAGAAAGTTTATGAATTAGTGTTGGCTGCATTCAAAGCCATCCTGGGCCACAGGCAGTTTGACAAGCTTGATCTATGGCTTCTGGATGCAAAAGAAGACTACTTCATGAGAGGGGATGCAGCAGTACTATTTTTCCCCTATTAATTTTAGGTGACACATAATAATTATACATATTATGGAGTATGGGAGTGATATTTCGATACATGTATACAATGTGTAATGATCAAATCAGGATAGTTAGGCTATCCATCACATCAGGCATTTCTTATGTCTTTGTGTTGGGAACATTCAAAGTCCTCTCCTCTAGCTTTTTGAACATATACAATAAATTATTAACTATATTCACCCTGCAGTACTCTAGGATACTAGAACCCATTCTTCCTGTCTGGCTATAATTTTGTATTTGTTAACCAATGTTTTTCTCTTTCCCAGCTTCTAATATGAACAATTCCACTCTCTCCTTCCATGAGCTCATTTTTTTAGTTTCCACATTAGTGAGAACATGTGATATTTCTTTCTGTGCCTATTTTAACGTAAGTCCACGATGCTTATCCATGTTGCCATGAATGACAGCATTTCATTCTTTTTAATGGCTGAATAGTACTATATTGTGTGTATGGACAGCATTTTCCTTATCCATTCATCTGTTGATAGTTTAGGTTGATTCTGTATCTTGGCTATGGTGAACAGCACTGTAAGAAACATGCAGGAGAGCAGTGCTACTGACCAATCATTTAAAACACCTGATGAATTAAATCATCGGGGAAAACACATTCTCTTTAAAATTTAAAAAATGTTCGCCCATATTTTTGCATTTTTGATTGGTGGGCTGGGGGAAAACTATTTCAGAGGCAGAACAGTTAGAATTTGTCAACGATTTGAAGAAATAAAAATAAAAGAAAAATAAAAACAGAAAACCAGTGACAAATTTCAAAGGTTAATGAAATTGATGTTAGTGCTTTTATTCAAAGAAGGAAGGAATTAGCAAGGTCAAGCAGGCTTCGGGGAGAAAGAGGGGTAGATTAATAATAAGCTGTAATTAATACTGTTTGGAGCTCCTTTATGGAATCTCCTTGCACCTTTCCAGTAAACAGTTGGAAATGTGGGAATGTGGCTCAAGAAAGCCAAGGGAGAAGAGGATATCAAGGAATATCAGATGTGCTCATCACTGCCAAATGCTGCTTATGTAATGATACATGTGGATTAAACATTGGAACTTATACACAATTATACAAGTTAATAAGCAGACTTCAAAAGAGCACTTTTGGTAGAATAGTGATGTTAGTTCAGAGTTAGGGAGTGAAATAGCAGTGGTAGCAAGGCACTGGAAAATTGGTCTCATGTAAGTCACTTTCTAAATAGATGATGAAAAACAGAAAACATTAATAAGGAAAGAATCTTAAACTAAGGCACATCAAAGTTACCTGGAGAACTTGTTATACCCAGATTGCAGGGGCTCCACCTCAAGTTTCTGATGCTGTTGGATGGACATGGAGGCAAAGAATTTGCATTTCTAACATGTTTCCAGTACTGAAGTGGCTAGTTTGGGGACTACTCTTTGGAAATCATTGATTTTGATCACAGTATTATCATTCGAAGCCAGATTATTCTTCATTGTGTGGAGCTGTCCTGTGCTTTATGAGACGTTTGGAAACATATCTAAACACTAGATACCAATAGCACCCCCGCATTGTGACAACCAAAAATGTTTCTATGCATTACCAAATGTCCCCTGAGGATGAAAACTGACTGCAGGTGAGAAAACTGCTTTGGATGACCCTACAAATCACGAGTGTCTGCAAGCAGATCCCGAACACCAGAGTGGGGCTTGGTCTAGAAAATGAAGATTTGCGTAAAACAACAGAACAGAGCCTCCAGGGTCGGTCATCTATACTCCTCGAAATTACATATCAGGTTATGAGTGAGGGCTCAGTTTTTAGCTTTTAATGAATTAATCCCAGAAAAATCAAATTGGAACTCACCTCTACTGGAATTTCAGATTGCTTTCAAGTTTCTGAGTCCTGGAGCCCTGAAAAGCAATGCTCTCCAATTCATGAATGTCCCTTTGTCTTTTAAAATACAGGCTTCCTGGATCACTGCCTCACTTATATTTAAGTGTCCTCAATTATAACTTCCTTATTCCGAAGGCCCTGCCAGTTGTTTAAAAAGCAATGTTCTGCACCAGGTGGGCAAGTTTAAATATTCCATGCTCAGAAAAGAAGTTTTTGAAAGAAAAAAAATACACTGGGACTTTGTAAATTTTTACGAATCCAGATCTTGCAACTATGGGCCCTCAGGCCTTCCAGCCGTGAATGTTAATGAAGATGAAGGCCCTAATCTCCCTCAGTACACTTACCATTAAGGCCTTGTTACTCAAATTGTGGAACCAGGACAAGGAGCATAGGCATCACCTGGGAACTGGTTAGAAATGAAGCATCTCAAGCCTCACTCCAGATTCATTAAATCAAAAGCTGCATTTTAACAAGATTCCAGGTGCTTCCCATGCACCTTAAAATGAAAAGCAATGGGTGAGAGTCTTGAAATCCACCATGGTTCCAGAACCTTCAAAACACCGCCTATTTATTCAGAACAGCAATTTTGCATTAATTTATATGACTTTGATAAATGTCCACCTCCCTCTCAAGACTGAAACACTAAAAGGGGAAATCTCCCACTGTCGGACCCTAGAGCCCCCCTCCCTTTCCTTACACATGGGTATTTGAAAATCTGCTGACTAAATCAATGAACTACACCCTGGAATCTCATCGTTATCTGCTCCTCCCAACCCACAACCTCAAATAGGTTTCAGAAGAGGTTTAACTTCTTAATTAACATACTCAGAAAACCTGAACTTTCTCAGATCTCTGAGGGATGATTATGAAGGATCTCTGAGATAAGTTATTCCTTACTTTTTGCTTGAATTATGTATTTATCCAAGATTTTATGTCCCCAGCTAAGAATTCTCTGCATATTGGAAAGAGAGAAACTATTGAGTATATTCTCTATAATTCTGCATGAGGACTAATTTTTATTCTTGTATAATTTAAAAATTTTTTTGTTGTAGTTGTTTTCTCCAGGAAAGGTTATTAGAGTATGAGTAAAGTGTTATAAATAAAATTACAGTAAAAAAAGACTTTTCACTTATAATTCACATATTTGTATATTTACTTATAGCTTAATCTGCCTTTCCATAATAGAATTGAAAGCAGCTGGGCACAGTAGCGCACACCTGTAATCCCAAGCACTTTGGGAAGGTGAGGTGGGAGGATAGCTTGAAGCTAGGAGTTGAAGACCAGCCTGAGCAACATAACAAGACCCTGTCTCTACAAAAAAAAAATTTAAATATAAAAAATTAGCCAGGTCTAGTAGTGGCATGTGCCTGTAGTCCCAGCTACTTGGGAGGCTGAGACCAGAGGATTGCTTGAGCCCAGGAGTTTGAGGCTGCAGTGAGCTATGATTGCACCACTGCACTGCAACATGCGAGACAGAGAGAGACCTTGTCTCAAAAAAAAGAACAACAAAAAAAAAAGAATTTAAAGCAAATGTTTACAATGAAATGATAATAAAACATAACTAAAGCAATTTACTAAGGCATGGCATGGGTTATAGTGATCTTCTGATCTCTTTCCCTGTTCATGCTGATAAAAAAAATAAAGTGTCTCATGTTTTATAACCTAGAAAGTATAATACTGCAGGCAACATCTTTGTTCCCACCATCCAAACAGTAAAAGGGATTCTACTATGACTTTTGTGAAACATCATTTAACTACCTCAATGCTTTTTTCCAAGTCAAAAAAAAACAAAACTCAAAAAACAAGAATAGACAACTGGTATTACTAACAGTGTTTTTATTTACAAATAATTGTTTTTATTAGGCCATTTGGAAAACCACTAACATTTTTTATTTTAGAAAACATTAAATAATAAACAAGATGTTATACAGTACTTTGGATAACTTCTTCCATCAGTTTAGTGCAATGTATCATTGGCATCGAAAAGTAAAATTTTCATTTATTTTCCCCTTTCATCTTCAGCTGTGCAGTTATATGACCATAAAGGAAATGAACCATTAAAAATGGATCTACAGCCATATATTCTGCCGTTACTCAAAGGCTTAATGATTTATTTTCCCCCTCCAGCCCTGCCTTTACCAGGTTAAATGACAGAAGACCTTCTATTGTACCTATTGTTCAAAAAATATTACTGTTCTGTGGAACCTGGGAGAGTCCAATTGATAAGAGAAACTGAATCATACTGATGAGGTGAAGGAAAGGTCTGCCGGTGTGGGGCAGGGCACTCTTTCTCAGCAGCCAAGATAACTTGTCACACACGAAGCAGAGAGAATGCACCCGATGAAAATCTCTCTGAACTGTGTTCCTTGAAGGATCTCTTAAAAAAAAAAAAATCTGAAACATCATCCATTGAACAAATGAAAGGCTTATACCTTTAACATGAAGAAACATTGAAAACCACCGCCACACTAGGACATTACTGAGATACTAAAATATCTGTCCATCATACTCTCATTTGGAATAAATAGTTTCCTTTTTTCTTTAATACTGCTAGGATTGCCATAAGGGAGAGATATTTCAGTGAGCTCAGCATTTGGTGGGCTCTTCCCCTTTCAATCCCTCTCCATTAGGAGGTCAAGAGGGAAATGCCTAAATTAAGCCTTGTCCAAATTATTTAGTTCTAAAGATTTTCACTGCATACTACTAGTAGGATCAAAACATCTTTTGGGAAATTCTATAATTTGTTACTTTTCCTTGGGTAAGAACATCTTTAACCATCTTAAATAGACAAATTTTTATCTAATTTTTTAGAAAGAGAGAGAGATACTGAGATTTTCACACTTCTTTTTTTATGAAGTATTCTAACAATGGCCCCTGCCAAGAAATGCTCCCTTATACTCTAGTCTAAGCCAGTTTCCTCTTGTTCTATTCTTAGTGCATATGGAGAACAGCTGGTCGCCACCCTCTCTGTGCCAACCCTTCATATACTTGAAAACCATCAATGGTTTGCCCCTCAGTCTTCTCTTCTCCAGGCTCAATAATCCCAGTTCCTTTAATTTTCCATCATAGATCTTTTTTTCCAACCCTTTAATCATCTTTGTGATTCCTGGCAAAAATAGCAGAAAATATTCTGATTACTTAATCAGAAATTAAGACAAACCTCAGGAATGATGCCTTTTAAAAGTTACATTGTTTTTTAATATATTGGTAAAATATGCAGGGAGGAAATACAGTTGGGGGTTCATGGATCTTAGAATTCCAACTTGCCCTGCTCCTCCAGTGTGTGTAAATCCCGTTCCAACACATCCCATGCCTCTAAGCATGGGACTTGCTTCCTATCCCATCCTGACACAGCACAACATGAGCAACATAAGTTATGAACTACAACTGCCTAAACTTATATCAATTTAAAACGTTGTGTGAAAATCTGTTCCAATGGAGTTTCCCCCTATGCTTCCTCTCACTCTGCAACAGGATCCTTTTTCTGAATCAACCAAAACTTTTATAAAGCTTCCTACATATTACCAGAGCCATGTTATGATGGTAAAAGCTGTGGTTTTAAAGTGTAACTTGAAACAGTGACAGTTCTAAATTAACTGCAGTTTCTTGTCTTCCTAAAGGTTTCCTATCCTTTGCAGAGATCAAACTCAAGGCCATTAAAAAAAAATTCATCACTCCGTTACCACAACCCAACACTTCTGCCAATTTCCTACTGCTGCCAATATAAGGTCATGGAACTGGATGACATTTCACCATGTATTTTTTTGAGATCACAAGCTGCCCTTTACCTTGCAACTAGAGTCTGTAAATATTTGGAACATGTAAATACTTAATATCAATAGCACATTTACACAAAACACAATACTACTAAGGAGGGATTACGTGCCCACTCTACATAATTGTCTTTAACAGGAAAAAAAAAACAGATAAAAATAAATGTATCTTGATATGTTACACACCCTTATTTTATAAAGTGAATGGCAGTAAAAGTCAGAGTTCAGGTCAGGCCAGAACTAACTTAAGTGAAGAGGGTAAGTCAATTTCACAAGCACATTGTACATCATATCTCAAGGGAAGTCAATACTACTCATGGTACAACACCGAACACATAACATCATAGCCATCTGCAAAGATTTCTTTTAAAAACTGCTCCCGTAACTCACTCTCATAATTTGCTACAAGGAGCACCTTGTAATCAGGATGGAGGATGGTATGGCTCACGCATGCTGAATGCCTTCCTGAAAGAGACACAGGATGGAAGGCAACACCCACAGATGGCTTTGATGTGTCTGCGATGCCCCTGTATTTCAAGGAGGGTATCACTGTTCATTGGGATTGCACAAAAGCAGGCCAGAAAAACCTGGGTCACCAAATAGACTTCCTTCTGACCCACTGACCCACTCTTCTCCTAGGCCTGATAAAAGGGAGAAGAGGAGAGAAGATGAGAATTGGAAAAAGAGGATAGAGCAACATAGGAGTTCATTGTTAGTTCTGGAGTTGTTAGCGTTCTTCAGAGCAGTGGCCTTTTTTCAAGCTCACATCATCTAATCCAATCTCCCCAGTGTGACCACGCCTTTTTTCACCTTTGAAGACGACCTAGGGAGAGAATGCACACACCAGTCAAGCCTCCTCTGCCCCTTTCTAATGCCTCCTTATTAAGCAAAAATAAAGGCAAACCTTCCCCCAAACCAATTTTAAACTTATTTTGCAGGAGGAAAAAAACAGAATATAGTTGCCAGTATCACTGAAGCTTCTCTTTCAGTAGAAACTGAAGTCATCAAACTGTTCATCAGACCACATTACTCAGAATCAATTATTCTTTAAAAAGCCATTCTAAGCTATAGACCAATTCGATTTAGGATTGTTTATAAAGTGCACACTTTTGTCAAGGATTACCAAAGTTAGAAGAGTGTGATAGAATATAAAGGAACAGATATTAGGAGCCAAAGATCTGAAAGATCATAATCACACAGCCTATCTTAAATGTTTCTTAGTTCCTTTGTGGTTAACATCGCTTTCTTGCTGAAAATGGAATAGAATCAAACACCATAATCCAATCACACTGTTGCTTTACCTATGTAAAAACCAAAAACTTTTATTATTCTTACATTATATTTTCTATAGAGCATCCTTGCTCCTTATAAAACAAGAGAAAACCTAAGTGCTATGATTTAAAATGATTATCTTGTTTTATTTCTCTAAACAATAAAAATACTGAGAAAAGTTTTAAGAAAAAATATGTAAGAATTAAACAAAATCCAAGTACTCTGATAAAAACTGTATTAATGGAATCTATCTTTTCTTTCTAAAATGGTTTCTTATAAACTATACCTACATACAGGCATAGGTATCTCCCAACAGCAAGTTTCATAAGCACCAGCAAAATGATGACATTTTCCCAAATGCATTCATAATTTTGTTGGGATGCCCTAGACCATTTTTTTGCTACCTATGTCTTGATTACTTAAGATCAAATTTATATATTCCATCAAAGCACTTCCCACATCCTGTCCTGAATAGAATAGTGCTTTCCAATTGTAGTTCTGAGTTCCCACCCTACGCTGCTTAACTGTGATCTCTGAAACAAAGAAAAAAATTTGAACTTGAAAGAAACATTTCAAAAAAGAAAAAAGAACCATCTCCTGGGTAATTTATGGTAGTAAAAGTTTGAAATCTAAGGAATTAAAAGGAAAGGGAAAGCAGGAACAATTAAGCTCACCACCCCACCCTTGGAAGTTTCTGTTGATCAACTTTAAAAAAAACCAAAAAAACTTTTCTATTCCTAGATTTTTTTTTCCATTAAAAAAAAATGGATCTTTACCAGGGTTAGGGAGAGGTGGTGATCACAGGTTGCAATGAAGAAGGATGAAGAAGCAGAAAGTGGTTTCAGAAAGAGACACTGAATGGAGTCATCAGGCCCAGAAAAAAACCCAAACCTTTATCTGAGCCTGAATTCACACAGCAAGGCTTCTTCAAATTCAGATCCCAGAGTTCTCCTATGAAAGGAAAACGTCCCAGGTCCTGCCTCCTTTGTGGATCTACTTACGCTCTTGATGTCAGCCCCTCGCAAGGTGATCTGTGTTTGCCTCCAGCCATGGCCACCATTTCTTCCCCACAGGGCTGCTCCGTGGGCACCGTGTTTTCTCACAAACACCTGGAGTGTGCCAGAGTGCAGCCCCGTCACCTTGTGCCTGAATGACAGGCACAGGTCCCCTGAATGCATGAGGCGGCCGAGAGGTAGCACCAAGCGTGCAGCTTTTCCCCCTGGGGCTTTGGCTGCCGACACTGTCAGATATTGTCCACCTGGAATGGGAAAAGCAGGGCTGTGTGTATGTGCCAATATCCCTTTCTAGAACAAGCAGCATGGACAGGAGTTTTAGTTTTTTTTTTTTTTTCTTTTCTTTGTAAAGAATTCCAGATTTTTGAAGAAGAAAAATATGACTTATTTGTATGCCTGTCTTAAGTTCTATGGTATGTGTTTACAGAAAACATTCACTTACTTTGCTCATGGAAAGTACAAGTAATGCCAGAGACACACAATAATTAGTAACCAAACACTATGAATATTTCCAGTGGAATATGATCAGACATATAGGCATACAACAACATATACACATTCACCACCTTGTGACCCTCACCAGTTTATGATAACGTTGTCCAACACCCCTGGCGATCTGGCTTGGTGGTTTGGTAAAACTGACCCTAAATTTCTAGGGAGAATTTTCTGGTGGATAATTAACCTCTGAACAGTAAAGCAGATGGTGATTTAAAGGGCCCTATATCTGCTTATTCTCTCCTCCCCCAACTTAAAAAAAAAAAATCTCTAAACGTAAAGGTTCTTTAAAAAAAAAATCAGAGTTGGCAGAGCTTCTCACACTGGTGTAAATCTAACACCAGGAAGATACAGAGGTATTCAGGAAACCCTCCCCGTCTTCCTGGAGCTTCAATTTTATTTGGAGGTAAGCCATTTAAAACATTTTTATAGTAAAACAAATCTATATCATATCTATTCTATAAATATGTCCTATTATATATACATGAACACAAATATTAATAAAAACTTTCACTTTAGATAGACCACTTTGATGATGTTCTCAGATCCCTAGGGCTACAGAGTTTTCTTCCCTCTGTTGTTAAGGAAACTGCATTAGAAAAAAAATGGTTAAGCAGCAGTGAAGTGGGGGGTGCTGCTTCTCAAGAGAGAGAAAGTTGCAAGTAGTATTTTGAAACTTGATCCATGTACAAATGACATTCCCTCAGGCTATTTTATCTCAGTCAACTGAAAACACACTGTATGTTTCAACACTGGTTTTTCCATAGAAAAATGGTTGGAATGTTGAACATGTGTATCTATTTTGGTAGTAATCCCATTTAGTTTTCAGTTAACAGATATAAACTATCATCTCTTTCTTATGCTTAATTTATACAGGACATGATAAAATTTGGTATTAACTTTTTATTCCAGTGTCTTCTCTAACAAGTCCCGTCGGAGCTCTATAGGTCACAGGTGATTTCTGTGCACTTACTGTGTGCCAGCCTCTGTGCTAAGGGCTCCCCAGCAGGTTGTGAACAACTTAAAAGTCTGAACCAAAGTTTCCCCCAAACCTCTGTGTTACCCTGCTAGCAGGCAGCAGGTGTTTAAGGATGTTTGAATCAACGAATGATGTTCCAAGGATACAGCAAAAAACTGCAGGGAAATAGATCCTTGATTCACGTACTTGAATCACTAAAAATACATAATGTCTTAAGAATCTTTCTCCCACTTCCCTTGTCCCCTTCCTCCACAAACTAATCCAAACAATATTTTGGGCCAAAATATTTACATGTCTCACTATAAGTCAGCTTTTGAATCATCACAGGTACTCTGGTTAAGACTAAGATATAAGGTTATTACAGTTAACCTGCAAGTTTCGAGAAAACAAGGATTAAGTCCCTGTGGAATGTACACTGATACCATTCTGCCAGACGCTACCTGCAAACAAGACAACCTAACACACCAAGGTATTCTTTGCATATGCATTTAAAACTCTAAAATTTACAACATGATAAATGAGGTTATGATTGTTCTTCCTCTGTAGAGCTACTCTGTGCGCACCAGGTTTTGCTTTTGCCGTTTTTTTTTTTTTTTTTGGCCATGAAGAATTCGTTCCCTTTGTAATAAAGGAAATGATACAAGTTGGAACATTAACTAAGGGAAAAATTGATTCAGTGTCAAGCAAGTTACCTATTAAAATTTTCACTTCTGATTTCATAATTCTGGTGATAAATGTACAATTATATTAAACATTCATTCAGTTTACAGTATCACAATATCTCAAGAATTTTGGGGAGGGAGGGTAAATAATAGATGCTGCAAAACTTGACCAGAAAGTTGGGTTATAAAATGTTAGTTTATTTATTTTTAATTCTGTAGTGGTTGGTGCCTTTAAATTTTCAATTCACAAAATCTAGAGGTATTTGTGAAGGTTTTGACTTCTGAACTTTTCTTATGTAATACATTCACATAAATGCACATGAATATGAACTTTTTTTAAAAAAAGGAATACTATATTTGCAGTGTTGTAAGTTGCTTCTTGTATAACCATTTTTCTATGGTAGCAAATACACTTTGCATTGCTGCAAGTATGCCAATAACCATTTAGCCAATTTCTTACTGAAGAACATTTAAGTTTCCAAATTTGCATGTTAAGATAAAAATACCATAAAATAGACAAACAAAAATGTTTTTAAATATTTGCAACAAATTAAAAAAGGATAATTTTTCTTTTTGTATAGAAAACTTCCATAAATCAATAAAAATACTAAAGAAAAATAAAGAACATCAGAGAAAAAATGACAAATATATGAAAATGTGATCAACTTTTCACAATAAAAGAAATGCAAAGTAAAATTAAAAGAGATTCCTTTTAACCTATAAGATTGGCAAAGATTTTGAAAATACTTTTATAATATATTGGGAATGGTTTTCAAATATTGTAGGAAGAAGTGTAAATTGCTACAACCTTTATAAAGGGCAATTTAATAAAATCTATCAAAATTCAAAATACAAATTCTCTTTTGACATAGCAATTCCACATTTAGGAATTTATTCTATGGATATAGTCTAACATATATTAAATAATGAATGTATAGGGTTATTCACTGCACTACTGTCTGAACTACCTAAAGTCTTGAAACAACTTATGTTCCTCTGTGGAGGGCTGGCTAAATACATTGTGGTACATCTGATGAGTAATGGAATAGCAGCCAGCCATAAATAAGAATGAGGGTGTTCTGTATGTACTGACAGGGGACATGCTTCAGCCACAATGGCTAATACTATTTTAGTGGTAACTCTGGGCGAGGCACTGCTTGAAATGCCTTACATATGTTTAGTGGATAGTACTTATTATCCCCATTTAAGTAACTTGCTCAAGGTCAAAGCTAGTATGTGGTGGTGCTGGGTTCCAGACCAGGTATTCTGGCTTCAAAGTCCATGTTCTTCCTGTTAACTCTTAAGGTAGTATCGATAAGTGACAAAGGCAAGGCACAGAAGAGAATGCCATTGTATCCAAAAATATCTCTCTGAGAACATAATCAAGAAACTGGCTGCATCTTGCTGGGTGGTGAATGGGAGTCAGGGATGGTAGAAAGCTTTCACTTATATTGTTGATTTATTTTACATTTATGTGTATTTTAAAATAATGTTTTAATGCTGAAATAGACATACTTGTATGTACATGCTGGCATACTTGATACATATGTAAGCAAATTCCTTGTAGCTATCAGTGGCAGACAGAGTGCTGAGTCAGTTGCCCTTAATCCTTGTTCTCCAGAGATCAAGGTTCCAGGAAAAGGGCCTTAGTTCTAGCTTTGACACACACAGGAGAAGGGTGTGTCCCCAGGGCCACAGCTACATACCTGCAGCGCATCACCATGTCTGTCAGCAGCACAATTTTCCATTTCTTAGAGGCATTGTTAATTTCACATCTCACTGTGACTGAATGTGATAAAACCTAATAGCACCATGAAAGGCAGCTAGCAAATGCACTTATTTTGCAGCTATTTCTTAAGGTTTTGAGTTTTGAGAGTTTTCTTAGAAATATTAGCATATAAGAATATTTACAAATCTGGATCTTGGATTAGAACTGCACATCATTAAAATCATCCATAATTGGATATCCAAACACATATTCTTTTATAAGTGGTATAATCTAGATAGAAATAGGTAAATAATTAGCTTGGTAATTAGAATAATACACAGAAATTATTATTTATTATTTTTTTTTGACGGAGTCTTGCTTTGTCACCTAGGCTGGAGTACAGTGGCGTGATCTCGGCTCACTGCAAGCTCTGCCTCCCAGGCTCAAGCGATTCTCCTGCCTCAGCCTACTGAGTAGCTGGGACTACAGGTGCCTGCCACCACGCCTGGCTAATTTTTGTATTTTTAGTAAAGACGGGGTTTCACTATGTTGGCCAGGCTGGTCTTGAACTCCTGACCTCAGGTGATCCACCCACCTCAGCCTCCCAAAGTGCTGGGATTACAGGGGTGAGCCACTGTGTCTAGCCGATTTTTTATATTCTTCTCTGGCCTTCACATGTGATACACACACACATACACATACATACACACACACACATACACACACACACACACACATACACTCCATCCACCTGAATTTCCTAGAATAAAAAACCATGAAAAGGTAAGCTTTATTAGTATTTTCCCATCAGTGCTGGGTTATAATTCTCTCAACATATTCTAAAAATATATTCTGCAATTCCATCCTCACATATCCTGCCTTCCAACTCTCTGCCATCTTTTGGTCTTCCCATCCTTCTTTCCAAGCTAGAATCCTGCTCACTGAATTTCTTGGGACTATTTCCACATTCCATTCTGAATCAGGCTCTCAGAGCTGGTTTAGAGGTTTTCTAATCCAACTTTCATCTGATGCTCAAAACCTTTTAACAGTATCTTGCCATATGTCACCCAGTCAAATGCTTCCACCAAGATAACTCACTCTTTCCATGTCAGCCTGTTCTCTTTTTAGATGACAGTGAGCCAAAATGAATCTCCCTGTATTTTTTACCCATCAATCCTATTCTCATCCCCTTTCGGTCACAGAGAACAACTCTAACCCTAGTCAATTATTTGAAAAGGAACCCTGATGCATCATTTCTTCTCCAGGCTAAACGTTATGGTTCCTTTGCCTGTTTTTCACAAGCTTGGAGATACCTTTCCATGCAGGTCATCCTCTTCTAAGTGACCAACTCTATTCTTCTCATATTAGAAAAAAAGAATTCTCAAAAGTGGATTCACCACTTAACCAAAGTGGATTTTCATTCTTGAAACATAGCATATTTCTATAGAGATGGTCCATATTTCTGGCAGCAACATCACAAGGTTCGCTTAGATTGATTTCATTACACACTAAAACTCTAAAGTCTTCTACCCTTAGTGATATGTCAGGTCTTCCCCCTCACTCAGATGTGTGACTGGTTTCTCGACTATGAGCCATAACTTCGACTCAACCCCATTACATTTCACCTTCTTAATTGTGACCCATTAATCTAATTTTTCGAATGCTGGTTGTATCAGCACACATAGTCACTTTCCTCTCCAGATTTGAGTCAACCGTAGTTTGGTCAGTTTATCTTCAATATTAAGTTCAATGTCCTATTTATCTAAGTTCTTGGTAAAAACTTGGACCAATTCTAGAAAAGCATCCTCCAGGGACCGTAGCCAATCATCACGAGTTATCCAATCACTCAAGCAGGCATCTCTTCCTTTCAATTTGCTCTGTACTAACACGGTCCAATAACGATTTCAAATTTCTTTGTCTACCATTCTAATTTCTAACCCTCTTCTCATTTTTCCATCAGAGAGAAAGGGAGATTTGGGTCACAACAAATTTAAACATTTACAAATATAATGAATAATAAAAAAATGTTGAAAAGGACTAAATTGGTTCTAAAATACAGTATTTAAATTCTAAAACTCAAGTATTTTACATAGATTGTTTACATAGAAGTGCAGTGAATTCTCCTGAGTTTAGCATGAATTACTCTCCCCAGTGTAACTTACTTGAAGGAATCATTCATTATGACCATAAATATTATTCACCATTCTGTCATACATGACTGCCAAAGATCCCTCCTTCTGTAGCAAACTACTCCAGGTCAGTGGTCAGTCAGTCTAATCTACAGGTCTGTGATCTGCTAATCAGATCATGCACACTACCACATGCACACCTACTGAGGCCAGCCTGTGGTACAGTCAAAAACACAATAATGCTGCAGATGTTCTGAGTATTGGACTGTCTAGGAGCCTGCATGAGTAGTACAGAGTGGTTTGGACTTAATTCCACCACTCTCTAGCTCTGTGGCCTTAGGAAACAGGTAACTTCTCTGGGTGTCAATATTTCCTTTGTGAAATAAAGACAATATTATTTGCTCCTCGAGTGAATGATAAAACATGATCAACTTTTCACAATAGAAGAAATGCAAAGTAAAATTAAAAGAGATTCCTTTTCACCTATAAGATTGGTAGAGATTTAAAAAAATACTTTTATAATATCTGTTGGGGATGGTTTTCAAATACTGTTGGTAGGAGTGTAAATTGCTACAACTCTGTAGCAATGAAATAAATTTATTTTAATTGCTACAATTAAATAAAATTGATGAGATTTTAAATAAGCTAGGACTGTCATAGGTATTTTATATTGTATACACACACACACACACACACACGTAGATATGTTGGTTTCTCTCTTATTCACAGAATCTGTGACATTAATGATAATGCTGTCCTGCTCAGAGTTAACTTTAAATGAGTAAGACAGTAATGCAAGAATGACTGAGAGTACTGTGTGTGAGGCACTAAATGATATTGTCTTTTACAATGAAAAGAAATGTATGAACCAATTTGAATTTATTGAATATTCCTATTTTAAGGAATTTAATTCACATTTTAATTTTTAAGTAAATCTCTATTTCAACCTTAGGGGATGTAATGAATATATTTTTGGACTAATTTTTTAATACCTTGTTACTCAAAATGTGCGTTGAGGACCACCATAGAGATCTTCAGGGAGCCTGCTAGAAATGCATGAAAATCTGTATTTTAATGAGGCCCTCAGCTGCTCTGCAATCACAGTGAAGTTTGAGAAGAGCTGGTTTAAGATATCATGAGCTCTCTCAAGTTAACTTTTCTGTGTTTGGTGCTCTTATCCAGTATGGTATTCAAGAACTAGGCTTTTAAAATAAATGAAATAACAAGCTTTTCCTTCACATTCTGTATCTTCTTAAAATCTAGAATCAGGAGTATAAAAAGGAAAAAAAATGAAACCAAACTCCTCACCCTTCCATTAAGTAGGCCTTATCCATAAAAGATTTAACTTCTGGCTGGGCGCGGTGGCTCACGCCTGTAATCCCAGCACTTTGGGAGGCCAAGGCGGGCAGATCACGAGGTCAGGAGATCGAGACCATCCTGGCTAACAGGGTGAAACCTAGTCTCTACTAAAAATTACAAAAAATTAGCCGGGCATGGTGGCACATGCCTGTAGTCCCAGCTACTTGGGAGGCTGAGGCAGGAGAATTCATTGAACCCAGGAGGCAGAGGTTGCAGTGAGCCGAGATCGCGCCACTGCACTCTAGCCTGGGCAACAGAGCAAGACTCCATCTCAAAAAAAAAAAAAAAAAAGATTTAACTACTGAGGGGAGAAAAGCTATCTTGAATCTAGAAGAAAAGATGTCTTATGAGTACTAAAACTTTAGATTAATAGGAATTGTGCAATTTAAAACTCCTTTGAGTTCCAAGGAACTATGTCTAAATCTACCTTTTGTTATAAAATGAGTGGTGGTGATTCGTAACCATTTCCTTCAGCACCCAAGTTAGAGTGAAATTTTTTCAGAGGATAATCACAACTTTATAGAAATTTCCACTGTGTTCTTCTACTACCACTCAAATCTTAAAAAAAAAAAAAAAAGAAAAGAAAAACAAAGAAAAAACAACTGGGGAATGCCTATTACCATGGCTGATATACCACTATATTACTTCTTTTATTCCTGGGAATGGGTGCTACAAATAACTTAAGAATTATTTGCAAGAATTAATCTAAATATTTTATTTATCAAGCTTTTTGAGAGAAATTAGTTGACCTTTTAATTAACTACTTGTCTCCCATAATATAGTGCTAGTTGATAGCTAACAAATTTAACTCTTTCAAAGAAATGAAATATAAATGCTAGGCATGGTCCTTTTTGACCATCTTTATCAAGTAAACACAGAGATGTGTTACAGTAGACTTGATTAGCAGCAGTGGAGTCTTCAGATAGTATCACATTGAAATGTGTACCAGAAAAAGTTAAATGAAATGGTTTTACCTGCTGGGTCCCTGATTGGTTCCCAGTGCAAGTCATTGTCTTTCTCCCTGATCCATCCACAAAGTCCATGGTCAAAATTACAACTGTGTACCAGAACACCTACAAGGAAATAATCAGAAAGATGAGTGGATCAGAAAATCAACAAAAAACAACAAATGAATCTATGAACTAGGGGTATCTAGACAACAAGTGTTCTCTCCTATCCATATAACCAGAGCTTCTTTCCATAAGACCAAAGGGAAATTACATTAATCTTTTCTCAGCACAATAGTGCATCATCTGTAAAAATAGAACACACAAGTGTTGCCAAATTATAACAATGTTACATCATCACTTATAAAATATGATTTCCTTTTTACAGTTTAAGTACTACTTTAAAATTTTTTTAAAAAAGAAAATGATTCATAATTATTTTTGCTCAACTGATTTAACTACAAAGAAAATCTGAGTTGTTAAAGAAAACAGGTGTAATTTTCCCAAATGGTCCAAACGATCTACATTTAAAAGTTATTTTCATGGAGAGAAACAATAAAATGTCATTATGATGGCACTAAGAGTGTAAGTGTCACCTGGATCATCCTTTGCTTCATCGTCTGCACTGACTCCTCTTTCTATTTCAAATATTTCAAACAAGTCATTTGAAGGTTGCCGTGGAACTGCAAGAGAAAGGTTTTGAGTTTTTGTGTGTGTGTGTGTGTGAAGTATTGATAAAGAGGCATTACCTTTAACAAGGGCAGGAGGAAAAGGCCTAGTCATTTTATTCATCTGGATGAATCCAAAATATTTAATTATATATCACATGAAGATTCACGAATTTTGTTCTGCAGTGATTTATACTGCAACCTTGATCTGGGTACATTTTTTAAAAATGATTTTCAAAAGTTTCTAAAATTCAACAAAAATAACTTAAAAAGTCTTTATCTGGAAAATACATTTTAATAGAGCAACCAATTTCTAGCCAACTATTCATCTCTATGAAATTCTAAAGTTCATCTCTACGAAAGATACATTATTATGATCTTTAAATCAAGGTTGTTTTAACTGAAAATACCTATGATGGAAGCGAATGGTTTGGTTTCTAATCACAGCATGTACTCCCCACCCCCAGTGAACTCCGCACATTGTTGCACTCTAATATACATTTCCTACCATGGCCTCCCTTGCTTAAACAGTTTCCCTGGCTCCTTTAAGATCAAACTCAAACTTCTTGGGCCAGAGTTTACAATCTACCCCACCAAAATACACAATGCTGTCCAAACATGCCATTCATTTTCACGTCTCAGACCCAATGCTCTCTTTCCTGCTAATTAACCTGCCAAAAATCTCTTCTTCCTTCAAGGCCCAGCATAAATATCACGGCCTCTGTGGAGTGATTCTGCCCCAGGCAGAATCAAATTCTTCCCTCTTGTACCTCAAGAGTTCATGCTTATAAGCCCCTATTACACACTTTCATAAAGAATTGCAGCTATTTACACACATGTGTCTGTCCCTCTGCTAGTCTCTGAGGTCCTGGAGGGCATCAATCATGTCTTATTTGGGTGGCATTTCCAGGGCTTGACCTGGTGACAGGCACTCAATAAGTGTTTACTAAGTGAATGCAAAGATCCTGTTAGAACCCCAGGTAGTATTTCACACTTTTCCTCAAAGGACACAAGTGGGACAAAGCATAAGAATCTACTTTAAAAAAATAATTGATTTCTTTAAATCATTGATTTATTTATTCAATCAGTGTATATTTGATGGCCAAGCAGATGCCGACCACTGTGGCGGGCACTAAGGAGACAGGGTGAACGGGGTAGACAAGACTGAGGGTCTGGATCTTACATGGCTTGAATTCTAATGGGAGAAGCAGACTTTAAATATGGAGATAAACGAGTGCTGTAATTTGAGATTTTGGTAAGAGTTAGGAAGGAAGACATCATGGAGAGTAACTGGTGGGGAAATGCGTGGGAATGTTCATGGTGGTGAGGGGAATTCTTGGTCAAAGGCCAAGGAATACTCCCTTCTCTTTGCCAGAACTTCAATTAATTAGCTTTATTTTTATAAGGCAGGGAGTAGGAGATGTAGAACACTATGAAACAGTCATCACTCAAAGGGGTTCTTTTTTCAACGATGTTCCTATTGTTTTTAGCAAAAATTCTTAAAATTAAGTAATAATCCCAGAACGTTTGCACAAGTTGTTTTTAGCTTACTACTTCTGAGTTTTTTCCTTTTTGTTTCAAACGTTAAAACAGTGAAGTCCCTTCCCCTCTTATAATCCATACTTGCAATATACCCAGCTGGGCAGCAATGAAAGAAAAGAAGCTCTAGGGACACAGCTGACTGTGGATACCCAGGGGATGAGGCAACCCCACTCTCTCTTTTATAGCCCAGCTGACTGACAGCAATGACATCCAATTACACTTTCCTTATTTGGTGCTCTGAGACGGGGAGTGCCTCTTTTATTTACTAGAAATATTACAAAATTGTAGACAAGCGTGCTTTCTTGTGACAGAAAGTTATAAAAACTCCATAGAACAATCATGTTTTTGTCCCCTTCTTTTGTTGTAACTTATATAAATCATCTCCAAAATGGAATAGGCTCAACTCTTAAAAGTACCATATTCCAGGGACATTATGACAGTTTTTCAAGCTCCCCTCCGTCTTTTTTTTTCCTCCCAGATGAA
The DNA here is from genome assembly GCF_000001405.40 of Homo sapiens. Lineage (NCBI taxonomy): Eukaryota > Metazoa > Chordata > Mammalia > Primates > Hominidae > Homo > Homo sapiens. Next base: position 105,956,460 of record NC_000004.12, on the reverse strand, counting down.
GGACTATCAAATGGCAAATCGAGTGTTGATGTAAAGGTTTCCTGGCACCGGGAGCCTGTTTTATAAAAAGGGAGATCAAGAGGTCCTCTCTGAGGAAGCACAGTTTAAACTGAAAGGGGAAGAATGAAACTTTCCAAGCAAAAAGCATAGCATTGGGGTTGGGGAAGAGGGAGGGTTTCAGGCAGCAAGCACAAAGAAAGTGCTTGGAAAATTTAAAGAAAGGAGTTCACAATGGCTGGAGGATGTTGAGAAATGAAGAAAGCGGCATGGGATGAGGTTGAAGAGAAAGGAAGAGATTAGATCATACAGTTAGAAGATGGCAACACAAAGAATTAGTCAAGTAACAACTTGTAAAATGTCAGATGGTTTATTAATATAAATTATTAATATTAAATTAAATGGTTCTTGGTTTCTAAGAACCATTTAATTTAGCAGCAGATGATCATGTATACCTTCATTACAATCCACTGGGAAACATTCCAAGGAATTTAGAGACCAGAAGTGCTCAGAAGCTATTGGTTCTTACAATTTTGTGTGCTCTACTCTATAACCATACCAAATTATTTAACTAATTTTCCTTCCTCACACATACCAGTATGGGATTACTAAGAGCATCCCACTGAAGTTTCAAGAGAAAAAAAACTACCCACCCCCGATACACTTTAGAGTTTATGTGAAAATATTAAGTGAAATAAGTAGCAGAACAAATCATTCAAGCAGTATTATGTTATTATCACAATCATGTACAAGAAAAACAAACCAAAAAAAAAGGACTAAAGAGGGATAAATACACCAATATGCCAATATGCTAATACTGGTAATCTAAGTATTAGAAATGAAATTTTTTTTTTCATTTGTATTGGTTCACTTTTTTTGTAATTCTATGTTTTTAGGATTGTAAAAAGAAAAAATATAAATATGAATAAAAAACTTACCTAAGACATCTAAATAAAAGAGGGTTCTGTTAGATCACATATAAATAGCAATTATATGTCTGTTATTTGTATTTTGGTTACTCAAAGAGAACTTAGAATAGGCTTGATACTTGTTGAACGCAAGGCTATGAAATTGAAATATGTTTGTGAAATTCAAACACTTTTCTTTGATTTCAAGGGAGCTATTTTGATCAATGCAGAAAATGTTAATTAAAATGAATGACTAGCCTTGCCCAAAAATGAACTATAACCAGGATAGACATTGGTACATGATTTTTCTAATTGTTCTTTCCCTGCTTGATACTTTGGCTAATATTCAACTTAAATACACAATATATATATTTCATAAAAACAAATGCATACCTGCTATTCTCTGCAGTTGAACCATTAATTCTTAGAATTAGAATGGTATAAATTTAGAAACTAAAAAAGAATCAGAGAAGTGCTAGCAATACAATTCCTCCACCATCTGTCCATGCATCCTGCCTCCTTCTACTCCATCCACTCATTTATGCAGTCAGTCAAGAAACTGAGCATCAGCTATACAAAGCATGGGCTAAGAGCTTGTTATAAAGCATTGGGCATACTCTTGCCTTCATGGGATCTACATTCTAGAAGTGAAGGCAGATTTTTAACAATTTCCCCAGGTAATGTGTGCTTTAAAGAAGCAGAGGATGCTAGTGAGTACGGGAGTGGGGAGTGAGGGACTGGCTAAGCTAGGCTGGGGAGGATACACGTCATAAAAATCTCTGAGAAGTGATGCTTTCTCTATGACATAAGAAGAAGTACTATGAGCTATGGCTCTGGAGAATGAAAAGAGAGGGGACTGAAACATCAGAATTGCTGTAGACCTTACAGGGGGAGGGAGGCAGCAAGAAGGTGCAGGAGGAAGGGCATCAAATGGAATTGGAGATAGAGGCAGAGTGTGCAGGAGCTTTTAAAGCCTTGTAAATATTTTGGACGTTATCCTGGTGGAAACTGGCGGCCTCTGAAGGATTAACAGAGGATTGCCAAGATCAGGTTTGCATGCTGAAATGACCATTCTGGTAGTAGCTTGGAGAATGAACAGGAAGAAGGTGAGAGTGGGTGTCATAGGGGAATTATGACTAAAATTAACATCAACCATGAATGTTCATATATTTTTAGAAAATGTCCCCAGAATCTTTATACCATTGGTCCATGTTTTACCCACCAAAAGATATGTCTTGCCTGTTGCTTCTTACAGCCTTCTGCATAAACTAAAAGAAAGGGAATGTACAGGTACTGAAGCAAGTGACAGCTGGATAAAGGCATGGTTGGACTGGGCTGAGGAGCACAGTACTTTCTAATGGCTACTGGGCCCTGGAGTCAGGGGTAAAATCAGCCACAAAAAGGAGCAGGAAAGTTCTTGTAAGAAATGCTGGCCAGGCACTTTCTACTAAATATGTATTTTCCCCAGGGATGTGATCATATATAACCTGTGTTCACAAATGAAGTTTCCCAAATAGTCAATTGCATATTTTTACCCAGAAAACATTAACAGTAAGCACAGAGAAGTAAATGTAAATATTATCATATACACCTCCCACTGCTCAACTTCTTGCCAAGAGTAACTATAGCAAAATGTAAGCATTATTTAGTAAAGGTAGGTTTGCAAATTCTCTTCCTGTTTCATAGGAAACAAGGTGGTTCCTATGGCATTACCCAGGCCAGTTCTGGCATTTGTTGTTGGACTAAATGATTAAAAATAACACTGTCTTAAATTACTTCTATGCTTAGGAGTTTAGTTCATTGAAGAGAATGGTACATATGTAATTATTCCAATATTCTGAAGGCTGTTTCTGGTGGCAAAACCTAGAGGCTTTTAGAGACACAGATTGGAGCGTAGGGATGAATGACAAGAGTTTTATGAGATGGTCTCTCCTCCTCTCCCTGTCTCTCTCTCCCCCTATTCTCTCTACAGATGCAGGACATATGCATCACAATTTTAAGTGATCAGAGAGAAAAGCAAATAAAAGGGCTGGAAATTAGTTTCTGAAATTTCTTTAACCATGTTAGAGAAAAGTTTTAGCCATCTATTCATTATAAGCCAAAAGAAAAGGGTTGTTGGACTCACAGAAATAAGACCTTGTTTGTCAAAGCTTTCATCCCATAGGAAGAATCTACAAAGTTCCACAGACACCTTTGGGCTGACAGTAAAGAGCAAAATTGGCAAAAAAGTTAAATCTCTGGTGAAAGGTGGAGCATAGACATTGCTAATCAACAATGAGCCCAATTTTTGTGACATACCTATTTCTCCTTTATGTATTGTAGGAACTTTTAATAAAGTTTTAGAAAGACTCAGAGACACTGCCCGGAGACAGGATAATTTTTTTTCTTTTGAGACAGAGTCTTGCTGTGTCACCCAGGCTGGAGTGCAGAGGCACGATCTTGGCTCACTACAATCTCTGCCTCCCGGGTTCAAGCAATTCTCCTGTCTCAGCCTCTCGAGTAGCTGGGATTCCAGGTGTGCACCACCACCCCTGGCTAATTTTTATATTTTTAGTAGAGACAGGGTTTCACCATGTTGGCCAGGCTGGTCTTGAACTCCTGACCTAGTGATCCACCTGCCTCGGCCTCCCCTTCTCCTCTCTTCTAAGCCAATGGTTCCCATGAAGGTTAGGCTCTGCCAGGAATGAGTCCTTCGCACCAGAATGCAAGTGGTAAGAAGACTCTCTGATAAGGGCTGCTTGGACTGAGTGCAGCATGAACACCGTCTAGGGTGAGCAGAAGCCCACCAGCTGTTGGGGACAGGTGTAAATGCACTCAAGCCAAAAGAATCTATTTAAAGAAAGAATGGAAGTTTTTATCCCATAGGAAGTCTGAATTAAAATAGGGTCTGAACTAAAATAACATAGAATGTTTATTTATGATGTAGATTTCTAAATCCTTTTGGTACATTTACTAAATCAGATTTTCTGGGGAAACTACTTGTCAGATTATTTTGTTTATTTTATTTTATTTTGGAGATAGAGTCTCGCTCTGCTGCCCAGGCTGGATGCACTCATCAGATCAATCATGTAAATTTCCCATCTAGACAGATTCATCTCTGAAAAGACTATTGTCATTATTTTCACAGTAAAGAAGTTGAGATGATGTGGTCTCTATTTTAAAATCACAACTGTCTAATGAGACTATAAACACCTAAATAAAACACAGTATTCTAAATATTTGGTAACAAGCCTAGAATAAAATCGCAAGTTTCTATTTTCATTTTTCTCTGTGCACCTAACAGCTCACACTTGCAAACCAATTTGTTTCAAAAGGATCTAGTTAGTTAAAAATAACATTAAAATTGTAATGAACCATAATAAAAAGCATGAGAAACATATAAACTCAGAACAAGAAAACAGCATAGGCTGTCTTTTTATGAATTAAGTAGGAAATGTTATCATTACTATATAAATGAATTCAACATCAATAGTAGCAGTAATAGCTAATATGTATTAAGTTATTACTACATGCCAAGCACTACAGTAAAAGTTTTATAGGTACCTCTGCACCTAATTCTCACAACAGCCCAATGAGGTAGATACTATTACTATCCCTGACTTACAGATAAGAAAACAAAGGCACAGGAAAATTTAATGATACGCCCCAAATTACAGACTGGCAATGAGGACAATACTTGTAAATTATAACTCTATTGACAAATGTGCATGTAACTTCAAAAAAAAATCTGACTTCTGACTTTGGTCACAATCACCAAGGGCCCATTTATACGTTTTGGAGAGAATGATATTTTCTTTACTAGCTACCATAGGATCTAATTAAAATATAAATCAAAAATCTTGAAAACTTTCAGAATTCACAGCAGCAGATCCTAACCTGTGAGAAGTGACAATTCGCTCCTTCAAAACACTAGCAGAAATTTAATTTTCAAGGAGATATCAGGCATCTTCTCAGGGTCTCTGCAGGTCTTACTGTTTACAAGAAAGCAAACTACTTTGAAGACCTTTTCACCCCTCAGCAGAAACAATCTTTTTACTTATCACTACACAGAATCAGAAAGACCATAATATTTCCATGACTAAGAACAATGTGACTGAACTAGCCACAGACTCTGTAAAATCTGTAGAAGAGAGATGAGGGGAAAAACCTCAGGACAACACGCAGCAATCAGTAAAAGAAAACAATTTTCTTCTTACTGCTTGGTACTTGGAATTGCAGCACAGTCTCATGTTGCGTAATAACAGCAACAATGAGGCTGGTTCTCTGATATGGCCACTCATAAGAGCACCTGATACATATTAATAACATTATGTTCTATAATCTGGCTTCTATTAACGCCTTTTCTTTTTATTTTACATGAGTCAGGTGGACACATGCCTAGGCACAATTGCTATATTTTAAATAGCCTACATTTGGCTAGTTCTGACTCCATCCAGAATATGGTTCTGCTGGGTTGGAGCTGCCATTATGCTTTAGAAAGAGCCCTGCTATCCAAAGTGGGGACTGCAGATCAGAAACATTACCTGTGTTTGTTAGAAATGCAGAGTCTCTGGTCCTACTCCAGACACACTCAGTCAGTCTTCAATTTAACGAGATCCCCTTGTAATTTGTGTACACATTAAAGACTGAGAACAGCCAGGCACAGTGCCTCACGCCTGTAATCGCAGCACTTTCGGTGGCTGAGGCAGGCAGATCGCTTGAGGCCAGAAATTCAAGACCAGCCTGGGCAACATGGTGAAACCCTGTCTCTATTAAAATAACCATGTGTTGCAGGGGAGCAGGAAAGGAGGGGGCTCTTCCTGACAGGTGCAGGTTGTCAGGCATTGGAACCCTACTGGGTCTGTCATGTTCACATCCAGCTCACCGCTGGTTGAATAAAAGGTTGAGTGTTGGGGACTAAGTGTGCCTACTCAGATGTGAATCCCTGTCTCTATTAAAATTACAAAAAAAATTAGCTGGGTGTGGTGGTGCACGCCTGTAATCCCAGCTACTCAGGAGACTGAGGCACAATAATCACTTAGGTTGCAGTGAGCCAAGATTGTGCCACTGCACTCCAGTCTGGGTAAAAGAGTGAGCCTGTGTCTCAAAAAATAAATAAATAAATAATAAATAAATAAAGATAAAGACTGAGAGATACTTTCCCTAGTAAGTCTGATTTAGTAAATGTGTCATAAGGATTAGGAATCTACATCTTAAGATAAGCATAAAATAACTATGTTATTTTAGTTAATAAACATCCTATGTTATTTTAGTTAAAATGGGCTTCTGACAACACTGGGGAAAAAAAATCTGTTTCCTGGTCCAAGTGATGTTATATTCCCTCTCGTAATACAAATTTCCTAGCTAAAATTGGACATAGCTATCACATTCAATTGTAAAGGAAAATCTGAAAGGTTAAAAATAGAAGTTAATAAAACCTTCAATGAATTTTTAAAACTCAGTATGTCCAAAATAAAATAAACATGATTAAGAATCAGAATCCTCACTTTCCTGCTGAGAAGAGTGGGGTTCTGTTACTCTGCCCCCTCTCTGAAGGAATTAATGATATAATGAATTACTGTTATCAACGATAGTACAGTTGAACAGTTTAAAAATTACTGGATAAAGACAACAAAAAGACAATGAAAATCGCCCAAAATATCATAAACAGGATATACTCATGGTTACTATTTTGGTCTTTTTTCTTTCAGACTTTTACACACATCCAGACATATGCAGACATGTATTTTATATCTAATTGGAGTCAAATGGCAGGTACAGCTTTGTACTTTTCAGGTAACATTTTTGTAACATGGGTATTTTCCAAAATTATTAAATATTTTCCATAAAACATGTTTAATAGTTATATAAGATTTCATTATATATTGCTAGAACAGAAAGCATGTCCCCCTAACTTCCTTTACTTTGGGTTCTGCAGAAAGTTTTTCTGAGTTTCTTTGCCCTGGGATTGCTCCTACCCCTGTGACACCAGAGTTTTGTCTTTGAAAAGTGGCTTTTTAACAATCCCCTGCAGCAAACCTATGGTGTCCATACAGGCATACCACCACTTATAGCTGCTTTTCTGGCTAAGTTTGTGCAGCACCTTTCTGCCCTCCCCAACCCTCATTCCTAAATCCAAGATCAACCCATTAGTCTCAAAAACCAGGCAACGAGAGCTAACTAGTGAGGGATACTGGGTTTTGTGGAGTATGGTCTCCATACTTCCTAGTTTAGCCCAGCCTGACCTAAAGTTGATTCCAGTAAACTCTAATCCCAAGATTCAAATAATCCCATGGTTAAAACAACTTGGGAAAAGATACATTACATGCCTCTCTTAGAGATTTGCAATATTGTTAGCACATTGGAGTATTGAGAAGTCCTACAGTTAAGAAACCTATTTAACTTAGCTAAACCTAGGAGTTCTTAAATGTATTTGACCTAAGAACTTTTTAACACATACAACTGTGTAATATTTCAGAGAAATAATGCTCTATAAAACACACTTTGAGAAGCACAAGTCTGTCTCATTAATGAAACAACAAGAATTTTACGCTACATCAGATAACTTTAGTGTTGCTCAAATCATGCCCACCGGATTAGCCCTGTAAATACATCTTATTATATTTCTAGTCATATAACCTAAAAAAACCTAGGGTCCCTCAAGCTAAAATTGTTTTTAGGCTGGGTGCAGTGGTTCATGCCTAGAATCCCAGCACTTGGGGAGGCCAAGGTGGGAGGATTCCTTGAGCTCAGGAGTTGGAGACCAGCCTGGGCAACACAGTAAGAATTTGTATCCACAAAAAATAAAAATAAATAGCCACCCAGCTACTTGGGAGGCTGAGGCAGGAGGATTGCTTGAGCCTGAGAGATTGAAGCTGCAGCAGCCTGGGTGACAGAGTGAGACTCTGTCTCAAAAAAATTATTTTAAAAATAAGTTTAATATTTCACATCACACATAAAAAGTTGCAACCTTAAATCACATAAGTTCTCCCCATCAAGGTTATTTACAGTGATAAACAAAACACATTAATCTTTTACATTTCATAGTAACTCAGAATTCACAAACACTAGATCCCTTATCTCTGATCTTTGAAGCTACTCAGTGAGAAAGGATAGCTGGGAATATTCCCTCAATTTTACAGATGAAAAAATTGAGGTGGAAAGCACAGTAACTCTTCCAAAGTGATGTACCTCATAAATACTCATACTAGTCCAAAGTCATGTACCTCATAAATAGAGGTAGAAATCAAGACTAGGTTTTCTGGTTCAGTATATTCTATCTTTAGTAGTGGTTAAAACCCCTTAATTCCAAATGTTTCAATGCTATTTTCATATTCCTTTTCTATGCTTTTCACTATTTTTCAGTGTCATGCTTAAAATTTAGAAGTATATTAGACTTAGAATTTTCTAGAGAATATTTTCAATGGCTATATTAAGCTGTATCAGGATAAGAAAAAAAACCATAATCTGAATTAACTTTGATTATTTGGGGAAGGAATATCAGAACCAACAAGTAAAATTTAGCTAGTTAAGCATATGAAGGATTACTTAGAATGAAAAAAATTAAATCCAATATAAAATTCCATTTCATTCCATTCAACAAATATTTTTGACTGCCCACTATGTGGCCATTTGAGGAAAAAACATCTGGAGATTAAATAGCTGCCCATAAATCTCTACTTTGCAACAAAGAGAAATGATTTAGATTACAAAACATGTTAAAAGAAACCCCCCCGTGATCAGTATTGGGTCAGATTTGACTATTATATATCTTTGACTCGATCATTTGTGACAGATTTGGAAAATAAAGAATGTTCAAAGGACCAGTCAACAAGATTGCTAAGTGGGTTGAAAAAAAGCATTTCTAAGAAAAGATTAATAAAATATAAATTATTGGGCCCAGCGAAGAGTGAGTCATCTCCTGAAAGTGTCTTTGAGTACATGGAGTATGGGATCTGGAGACAATGAACAACTGTGTCCATTAACCCTGAGTATCTGACAATATTAAAAATGCATAAACTGTAGTTTCATAAATTTAGGTTAAATATAAGGAAAAATGCTCCAGTGGTGGGATGAGTGTTGTGGGAAGTCAGGGACCCCGAATGGAGGGACCAGCTGGAGCTGCAGCAGAGGAACATAAATTGTGAAGATTTCATGGACATTTATCAGTTCCCAAATAATACTCTTATAATTTCTTATACCAGTCTTACTTTAATCTCTTAATCGTATTATCTTCTTAAACTGAGGATGTATGTCACCTCAGGACCACTATAATTGTGTTAACTGTACAAATTGGTTGTAAAACGTGTGTTTGAACAATATGAAATCAGTACACCTTGAAAAAGAACACAATAACAGCGATTTTAGGGAACAAGGGAAGACAACCATAAGGTCTGACTGCCTGCGGGATCAGGCAAAATACAGCCATATTTTTCTTCTTGCAAAGAGCCTATAAACAGATGTGCAAGTAGGATAATATTGCTAAATTCTTTTCCTAGCAAGGAATAATAATAATTAATACCCTGGGAAAGGAATGCATTCCTGGTGGAGGTCTATAAACAGCTGCTCTGGGAGTGTCTGTCTCATGCGGTTGAGATAATGACTGAAATATGCCCTGGTCTCTTGCAGTACCCTCAGGCTTACTAGGATTGGGAAACTCCACCTTGGTAGGTTTGAGGTCAGACCAGTTCTCTGCTCTCGAACCTGTTTTCTGTTGTTTAAGATGTTTATCAAGACAATACGTGCACCACTAAACATAGACCCTTATCAGTAATTCTGCTTTTGCCCTTTGCCTTGTGATCTTTGCTGGACCCTTATCAGGAGTTTGTGATTTTGCCCTTGTCCTGTTTCCTCAGAAGCATGTGATCTTTGTTCTCCTTTTTGCCCTTTGAAGCATGTGATCTTGCGACCCACTCCCTGTTCTTGTACCCCCTACCCTTTTGAAATCCTTAATAAAACTTGCTGGTTTTGCAGGTCAGGTAGGCATCACGGTCCTACTGATATGTGATGTCATCCCCGTAGACCCAGCTGTAAAATTCCTCTCTTCGTACTCTTTCTCTTTATTTCTCAGCCAGCGGACACTTATGGAAAATAGAAAGAACCTATGTTAAAATATTGGGGGCGGGTTCCCCTGATAGATGAGTTATTAGAAGGGACTTCAGTCACCTTTGGAGATGCTGGATATAATTGGGAGGACTTAACAAAGACCTCCTAAGGATATCACACTTAGATAATTAATGTTGGTTTAGATGAAAATTTTTAAGCCCCATATTAAAATACCAAAGCTCATTATAACTACCATATCTAACCAACTGCTTAAAGTTTAAATAACTTTTCTGTTTTGTACCCCTTTCTTTTGGAAGTAGCAAATGGACAAAAACTGCAGTGTCAATGGTACTTTGTTTATACTTACAGGAAACATTGTTTTAAGGCATAGGAAGATATAATAATATGCCCCAGATCACAGACTGGCTATGAGCACAATACTTTTAATTATAACTCTATAGACAAATGTACACGTAACTTTAAAAAAATCTGATTTCTGGTTTTGCTCACATTTGCCAAGAGCTCAATTTATACTTTCTAGAGATAACTACTTTTTTCTTTAATAATCATCATAGGATCCAATTAAAATATAAGTAAAAAATTTGCCTTAAATCTTGCTAACATTAAAAAATTTGTGCAAGCTAGTAAATATATGCTGTGAGACATCATCTCTGAGTTAATATCATTTTCCTTTCCTTAACATTGATATGTTCACAGTAAAAGCACTAGAGGAAAATCAGTATGTTTCACTACTTCAGTGTGTACTATATAGTATGTGTACCTTACTGATTTTCTAAAATCTAAAAAATGCTATATTCCATAAGTTATTTGGATAAAGGATTTTGGGCCTGTATTCCAGGGGAGAGATGGCTTGGGCCAGGGTGGTAGCACTGGAGTTGGTGAGAAAAGGTCACACTTAAATATAATTTGAAGGTACAGCTAACAGGATTTCCTTACATATTGACTGTATGTATGAAGAGTAATTAAGGATGAATCCACATTATTAGACCTTAGCAACAGGTGATAGAGGTCCCATTACCTGGGATAAGAAAGGCTGAGAGTAGAGGATGTTTAAGGGAAGAAAAGGAACAATTCTATACATGTTGAGTTTGAGACGTCTATTTTCATCCAACTGGATAGGTTAAGCAGTCAGCTGACATCCAGGTCTAGAGTTTGGGGGAGAGGTCTGGGCTGAAGATGTGTTCTTGTTATAATATTTTTCTTCCTTGATTTTCTTTTAGAATATCTTTACAGTCTTTTCTCAGGGCAACAACGCACATACATTATAAGGAAAAGCTCTCTTTCACAACCTCTTCCATTAAAAGAAATCTTTCATACCCCATAAATATATTGTTATTATCTGTCAATTAAAAATCAATTTAAAAATATCTTTCAATGTAAAGAAAAACACAAAGTGGAGGGCTATTTGAAGGAGACTGCCAAATAGTGGCCATAATTAACATCACCTAAAAATTTATGAAATGAGGTGAGCTAAATTCTATTCTCAGACCTGTCTCGGAGAATAAGGATGATTTAAGAAGTTATGCCAGAAGTGAAGAAAATATTCAGTAAAGAAATGGTGTTGAACTGAAATAGTGCTAAGGTTCCTTAATGTTTTCACAGTGAATAGACACTGGTTATTTGTCCTGAATTAAAAACTTAGAGCCTTTGCCTTATTTAGAATATATGCTATAACCACAAGACAGCAAGTCAAAAAGCATCTAAAGCATTCTCACACATGCTAGACTTAATAAGCAGCTATCGCTGAAGATGAAATGAGAGTGGAATTTAATTTTTGGCAGGAGTTTCTAAAGGCAGCAATGCTATCTGTGGCATGCAACAGCCTTGGCATTTGATCAAGGCAATGCTTTCCCAGAGCATGTCTTTAAGATCACACTCTCTTATAATGAATGCTCCCAAACATCATTGGAACTCTGTATTTCCCCAATTTTATTGCACTAAATTTTATTGGTGAACTTCAATGTCATTTTTAATTCATATATGTATTGGCATAGAGAGGAATACTGGAAATAAAGAGAAACATTTTAAAAAGAGAAAGGATTTTTTAAAATTCTCAGAAAGATGTATTCTTTCATCATAATGAAAAAAATATTTAGCGTATCATCTTACATTAAATAGCCAAATTTCCCTGTTATCCTAAGGCAGCAAAATAATGTAAATACCATAATTACTTAAGCACTCATAAATTAAAAATCCCATTGTATGATCACAATGATGAGAATTTAAAAAGGAGAGTAATAGGGAGAAAAAGACAGTATCTGAGATGGAGAGAGGGGGTGAGGAGAAAATTACAAAAACATAAATTTCAGAAAATAGTTATGCACATATAAAATGTATATTTTGAGAGCTACCATCTAATTCCCCTAAAAATTATATTGATTATCCAAAACATACATGACTATATCAGAATTAGAGAATTTCCATCTTTCTTTAAATGGACAATTACCCAGAGGAGAAAATTTAATTGAGAGTCACATACAAGCAAAATGCGGCTCTGATATCCCCTTTATTAGTTTATTTATTTATTCATTTTTTTGAGATGGTGTCCCACCCTGTCACCCAGGCTGCAGTGCAGTGGCACAGTCACAGCTTACTGCAGCCTCAACCTCCTAGGCTCAAGCGATCGGTCTGCCTCAGCCTCCCAATTTTCCCCTTTAAAGAATAATAAATGTCAGTATTTTTTTCACCTGATAAAAAGTTATAAAGGTATTCAATATAAAAGGCACAAACTTTAGCTTCATCATAGAGGAATGAGAAAAGGAACAAAACAAACTGGTAATGTATAAAGGAGGAGACAGGAAGAGTGAATGCAAAGGTAATTAAGAATAAGCGAAGTGACACAGGACAAGCAGATAAATATGAGGAACAGATGAAAGTTATAACATGCAAATTTTGGTCTGGTAATAAATTAACAACCTTTTCCTCCTTCAGAACTTGCTTCTCTTCCTGAATCCTCTATCTCCATTGGTGGTGCTACCCTTTACCTAGTCACCTGCTAAGAATCTGGGAGTCTTTGATCTAATCCAGCCCCAGTGTAGGTCTAACTATCAGTTTACAGCAATCCAAGGGGTAGCTGTCCAGCTTCTCTCATCTGTCCCTGACATGACCCTCCAATTTACTGGCAGTCTACTGCCTATTACACTGCTTCCTACTTCTTTGCATTTGTTGGGCTGTCCCTGTTAACTATAATATCTTCCTTTCCTCATCCACTTTGCTCCGTTTCACTCGGGAAGCCCTCCCTGAATATTCCCTACCCAAAGACTGACGAGGTATCCCTTCATTCTCCTCTCATAGTGTCCTACACAGATCTCTTTCACTAACATACTACCACTGGTATCTTCTGAGTAACCATCTTTCCCACCAGACTGTGACCTTTTCTGTTTTATCTTTACATGAACCCAATAACTAATACAAGGCCTTCTTGACACTCTAAAGACATTCAAAAATGTTCACTGACTGAATGAATGAAGGGTTAGATTAAAAGTAACATAGCATGGAATACAGTTAAGTTCCCACCTCTGAGAGTTTTCAAGTAAATCCAACTATGTCAGAATTCCCATACTGGCTAAGAGCTGTCATCTACCATATGACTTTGTGAATATTCCTTCCATTGCTACATACATTCTTTCTTACTTGCCCAATTAGACTGACTCTTTATGTAGCTCTTTATAATATTTGTCAATAGGGACATACGACTTTACATAGCTAGTTCTTCTTACGAGTTTCATTCTTATTCAAGGCATGGCCTGTGGTTGAAAAGTCATTATAAAGAGCCTATTGAAAATGTGCTAACATTTATTAGACTTACTGAACACATCTCCTCTGGGTTTCTGAGGGTCTGTCTGTACCCTGTTGTCAACTGTAATCCCTCCTGGAGGTGTACTGGCAGCTGGTGCTATAGTTGTCAGTCCGGTGGTTGGCCTTTCTGGGGTTGTAGGTGGTAGAGGTGTTCTGAGCTCTGTTGGCAGGGGTGGTGGTGGTGGTGGAGTAGGAATTGGTGTTGGCTTTGGTGTAGGTCTTGTTGTTGGCTTAGAAGTAGGCCTGTTGGTAATGATAGGAGGAATATATGGTGTCTTCGGAGGCCACCAAGTACTTCCAACATCAGGAATCCAATTATTATTTCCTGTGTCACCCTTTAAAATGGTACCATTTCCCTTTGGTACATGAATTGGACCTGAAGGTTCAATCATAACTTTTGGGATATCTGAAAGAGTCAAAGACTTAAATCAGTATGTAACCATTCCTCCCTAAAAAGTGAAGCATTACACTGACAGACATAAAAACATCTAATGACAACTGGTATCATTTTTCACATTTAGAATATTACCTACTGTAAGTCATACTATTTTCCAAATAACAAATATATATGTGTGTATATATATATATATATATATACACACACACAGACACACACATATATATTCATATATTCATCCTTTGGATGTATGTAACAAATATATTGGTGTGTTTAAATAATTTATATGTATTATTTGCAACATAAAAACATTTTAAATATTTGTGCAGTGCAAACAGACAACAACCAATGAGAATTTTTAAAATGCAGAGACATTCTAAGTTTTTTTAATATAAGAAATGCATAGTTAGAATCTACGTTGTATCCCTATGCTACGTGTATATTATAAAATTGTGTTCAGAATTGTCTAAAGACAAATACTTTTCTTATCCACACTTTATATAAATTCAATTTGCATAAATACAGCTTGAGTAAATGTTCTACATATTGTTTTATGGTCGGTTTTTATTTCCCTTTACTGATAGATACAACTGCTTTTAAATAGACATTTTCAGAGGTTGCAAAGATCATCTGTGAAATCTTTTTCCTTGATAATCTTCATCAAAAAGAATCAATATTTAATCTGCCTGAATGATACATTCCAGACTGGGAATGACTACATGACTCTTTAAAAACCCTTTAATCCTCATGATTTTATGCACCATGGTTTTCAGTAAATATTTTACGGAGGAAATTTAAAAAATTATCTTCTGTTACATGAAATGTATGTTAAATTATGACTTTTGGGTTTTTTTCATGTTTATCTATTACATAACCACTACTCCAAATAAAACTTATAAAAATTTTAAAAGCAAAACAGTTCTGAATGTAGAGGAAATAAATATGGGAATGGCTTTTTTTTTCTTTTGAGACAGGTCTCGCTCTCTTGCCCAAGCTGGAGTGCAGTGGCATGGTCAGAGCTCACTGGGCTCATGGCAGTCTTAAGATCCCAGGCTCAAGTGATCCTAGCACCTCATCCTCCTGAGTAGCTGGGACTACAGGTATGCGCACTGCAGCTGGCTAATTTCTAAATTTTTTTTTGTAGAGACAGGGTCTCATTATGTTGCCCAGGCTGCTCTTGAACTCCTACCCTCAAACAATCCTGCTGCTATGGCCTCCGAAAGTGCTAGGATTACAGGCATGAGCCACTGTGCCTGGCCGGGAATGATTTTTTAATAGCAGAGTTAGGAGCAATAAAACAGAGGGAAAAAAATGTAGAATATATCCAGATTATCCCACCATCAAAATCTAACGCTAATGGCAAACATGATTTCTAATTTTAACAAAAGCAAATTCTCAGGGAGGACTCAATAATTTCTTTTTAGCTAAAAAGAAAATATTGAGAGATTTCAGTGAAGAGATTAAAATACTCTTAAGATTATAGTGTATTACTGAGTCCTTAGTTTTTACAAGTACCTGAGCAAGTGATTTTATTGTTTGTGGAAATCAAAGACAAATATAACCAATTATGACAATTATACTTCTTTGATAATCTTATTCCTTATTTTCCCTAGCAATGGCCTTTGTGTAATCCTGTATTTCCTGCTAGAATTTAAAGCTGAGAGACAAGTGCTACTCACACACACAAGTCAGTCCATCACCCTGGTATCCTTCTTTACATTTGCACTTGTAGGACCCACGTATGTTATAACATCGAGCAAAGCTGCTGCACTGATACTGACCAAGTGAGCATTCGTCTATGTCTGCATCAGAAAGTAGGAAAAGAAGAGACTTATTTAGGAGATAAATATGATGACATAAAAAATATATACAGTTTCAAAAATGATTTTTTTTGGCAATGTGATGATCTACATAATATTGGCAGATAAACAGAAGAAATAAACTACATGTAGACTGAGAACTACCAGTGGTTAAACTGGATGTCTGTTGGTTTAACTTAACGCCAGTACTCTCCCCTGCCCCTGACATTCCAGCCATCACCACAATTACGAGACCTTTCAGTGCTCTAGGAAGAAACAACACAAAGCAATGGTTGGGTTTCATTACCATGACATTGATATTTGCCTCCAATATACATGAGATCGAAGCCTTTATGACACTTGCAGATGTAGCTCCCAAAAGTGTTGACACATTGCCTAAATCTAGGGCAGGAGGCTCTTCCTGTAGCACATTCATCAACATCTAGAAACATAAGTCAATAGCATTTTAGGAAGAGCAAGGGTATGTTAAGACAGAGTGGGTTTCAAAATAAATAACTGACTACAAATGGTTGCCTAGCATATAGTGGCTCATCATAAACGGTATCTAGCTGGTTGTCCCTACAGGCAACATAAATTCCACATATCCAAATTTCAACCCAGCCTTCTAAGCCAAGTTATTATTTTCTTGCACTCTATATATTAGCACATACTGCACCTGTATCTACCAAGTTGCTTAAACTAGAAACATGAGTCATTCTTGAATTAGAAACAACCCTCTTTCCTTTAACTCCCATATCATCAAGTCCAGTTAATTCTACCTCTAAAAAAAAGTATTTGAATCTGTCTACTTTTCTCTTAATCCACCACCACTACCCTATTTGAAGCCACCATCTCTTGGGTTAGACTGTTACAAAAGCCTCAAAACAGTTCCTTTTGCTGTTACTTACCCCCTCCAAAGCATATCCAACCCAACTGTCAAAATGATTCCATTAAAACATACAATCAAATCATTACTGTGCTCAAAATCTTTTAACTATTTCTACTTGCACTTTGAATTAAATCCACATTCCTCCCCTGTGTCCTTGAAGGCCCTGCAACAAATCACCCTCACCTACTTCACCCATTATATCTCCAGCCACCACCCCTCATACTCACACCCTGTACTTGAGCTACATGGACCTTCTTCCTTGAAAAACCTCACACAGGCCAACCTCTCTCTCACCGCAGTGCCCTGCAATGTCTTCAGCTGCTTGGCTGTTTCTTCACATGGCTAATGATACAGGTCTTACCTTAAGGCTAATAGACACATTCTGTTTTTCTCTCAGTACCTCATGTTAACACTTGGCATTGTCTGTAATTTTATGGGGTATTTGTTTCTTTTCTGTCTCCCCCATTAGCATGTCAGCTTTGTGGGGATCAAAATCTTGTGTGCTTAGGCCACTGCTATATATCCTAGCACTCAGCACAGTGTCTGGAGTATAGAAATTACTCAGTAAATAACTCTAATCACCAAACACTTCCATTCATTCAAGGCTTATTACATGCTAGGTATTGTGCTAAGCTCTTTGCATCCATGATCTCATTCAATCTTCCTACCAGTTCTATGTGGTATTATTTCCATTTTAAAGATAAGAAGACCCAAGCTCAAAGCAACAAAGTCTCTTGCCTAAGGTTACATATCTAGTACATGGAAGAGCCAGGTTTAAAACCAAAGTCCAGACTCTCAATCCTACACTGCCTTCCTAATTTACCAGAAAAAAATCTGAGGCCTGAAGAACAACACATACAATCTAGCTATTCAGCTTCATCACTCATTGCTCACCCTTGCCGCTTACATTCTAGGAATACTGAGCTCTTCTCGTTTCCCTAAACATTGTGCTCCTCTGAACTGCAGTGTCTTTGCACATAGGGTTCCCTCTGCCTGAGGCCTCCTCCTATTTCTCATTTTTTAAAAAACAACGCTCCCATTATCCATTCACAGAGATGTCCTCTTCTGAGACATCTGATATCTTCTGAACGATAGCTAATTATCTGATGTAAGTAATTGCCTTTTTTTTCCTTATTCCCATCACCTTTCACTTTCTCCCTTTATCCTACAGAGGCTGCTGACAGAGATGCTTGATTTTACAACTCACCTACACAGGTCCTCCCATCAGGAGCCAGCTGCAGGCCAGGGGATGGGCACTGGCACCGTATTTGTCCTTTAACAACATCACAGCCATACTGACAGTTTGCCATGGAGCAGGTCAGGGCACCTGGAAAGAGAGTGACTGGCTGACTCAGACAGGTAGAAAACAAAATCTGTAATGGAAATAGCTATGTTTTTTCACTTGTCCTGAAATCAGTGACACTGAACAACAATGAAGACAAAGAGGCCTTAACTATCAAACATCTAAAGAAAATAAAAGGGGGAAGGAAAGAAAGCATTAAAAGACAAATATAAAACTATCATATATAGATTATCTGGAAATTTTTCCAGTGGCCAAGGAAAGTGAAGAATTGAGGTATTTTTCCAGATTACTCAAGCTAAACGCTATTCTTAACTAATCATCCAAGTAACTGTCTCAAATGCCCATGAAATTTCTCTAGGGGAACAGCAGATTTCCCATTGAGTTGCACAATGTTAAACATGTATTCACCTAATTCCAAAAAGTTCCATGCTATACTTATGCAATGTTAAATAAAATTAGCTAACTTTATTTTATGCAACTCAGTTAAATGATAATTCAGTAAAAATAAAAATCAAGTCATTAATTGTCAGATATCATATGAATACCACAATTCAGGAGTCAGCCTATAGAGAATTTTAGGGCATAGTCCATTTTTTACATCCAAATGATGGTGAAAACATGCATTTCTTCCTTATAAACATGAATCCTACTTTTCTGGTATCATATTCATTTATTTTTTATTTGAAATTGTTTTTTAGAAGTCTTAGACTATTATTAGAGTCTAAAATTCTATAAAAGCCTAAAGGCTTTTATAATGAAATATAAAAATGAAGAAAATATTTATGAATGATTTAAAATTACAAAACAGACCTGATGGATTCTGTCTGAGCAGTCCCTAAATAGTCAGTAGTGTTCTTTTTTTTTTTTTTTTAGCCTGGAATCATTCTTCTATGCCCAGATAGAAGACATGGGTAAACATGTTTAAAAAAAAAATTAGAAAACATACTTAGTTTTGTAATTCTTATTCTAAACACCATTTCCTAATCAATTTAATATTGGCACCCGTGATAGAAGAGTATTATACATCGAAAATGGTGCCTCTTATTTTGATTTTCAATTCCTCAGGCAAAAGTATAAACACACGCACACATCTTGTTTAGGAGAACCCCGGAGGCCATTTTCACAAAAGCAAGCTCTCAGAGCACAACAGAAACAAGCCCAAAGCACTTATAAAACAGTTAAGATTCTTGACATACTTGAGCAGGAACCATCCGGCATGAGCATATATCCGTTGAGACAGTAGCACTTGTAGCTGCCGTAAGTGTTCATGCACCTGTGCTTACAGGGCCGGGGCTTCAGGCCACACTCATTTAGATCTGAAAACAATGTGGGTTGAAGCAGAAAAATTACAAAACCTCAGCACTAATGTAAGCCATCTAAAATTCTTTTCTATATTAAAAAATGAAAGAGAAAAATAGGTCAAGCTACAGTAACTGTCATTTACATAAGAGATAGATCCTGTTCATGCAATATTAATTTGAAGGTACGTTACACTAGGGGCAACCAGGAGTCGCCATGACCTTTATGGATCTCTGTTTATAAAGGCCAGTTAGGAAAATTCTCAACAACAGGTGCCTACCTTATCAACCCTAGAAACAGCAGCATACTAACGTCCTCATGGGCAGAGATGCTCTATCAGCTAACAACTGTTTGCCAATATTCTCAAAATATTTGGGTTCTATTGCTAGATCCAATCCTGACAATGTAACCCTATTCGTTCAATGTCTTCCTTTCTCTGTTTAAAGAACATATTACATGAGAATATTTTACTTTAAATGGATAAGGCATTGGCCTCCTTAAGGCTTGGACTTTGAGAATATTTTACTTTACAGGAAGTATACAGATTTTAAAACATTTGACTGCTTTGACCTTCCCAAAGGAAGGCTACATAGGCTATATTTTCAGAGGATAAGAACGAAATAAATTAAGAGTGATCAATATTGTAGTTTTTCTTGTTCAATCTGGTAGATTTTATATGATTTCAGATTAAAGAAGAAACTTCAGTTTCCTACTTTAGTAATGCATTCAAGTCACAAAATGAACTTTAAAAAACCTACCAACATATTTTCATTTATTCCGCAGTTAAAAAAGGCATATGGAAACACTAATGGACAAAATGTAATAGACTGTCATGTATTTCAGGTTTATTGGTTTAAGTATCAATATGAAATGAATCAACAAATTTTACATTATGAAAAGGTTTTAACCTAAATTAAACACTGCCTCAAGTGAACATAAAACTCATAATGACAAATAAACATTGAAATAGTAATGCCCAAAATATATGCTTCATTAAAAAGAAATGTGACCACATGTTTGTCTGGAACCACCAGCATAAGTACCCATTTAGCATAATTTAATTATCTATTAATCCATGTCATTGAATAAAAAATATAGATAATATGTCTAGTGACAAAATTGTTTTCAAATCTAATCTATTTCAATCTGATCTGCTCATTTATTAGAAATCTGTATATTTCATTTAACTAAATCACCAAGTTCCATTATGTTTTAAAACCACCAAATAATTATTACATCTAAAAAAATTTTCATATCTTACTGATTTTCCAAGTAGGTCTTTTATCTGCCCTGAATGCAACTGTAAGCAGACCCCGAGCTGGGCAAATCCCGGAAAGGTTAAATAAATAAACCAAATACTTTTGTCATCTCCTATGCGTTCTTCAATTTTCTACTTTATTGTCTCTTGACTAGTTAAGGGTTTTTAAAACAAAATCACATTTTAAATATTTCAAAAAAAATTTCCTCACAGAAAGCGCCATGCAGATTACAGTATCAAAAATGTTTTCTCCCTCTGTTAATTGAAGCAAAAATCAAGGAAGAATGACTGAGAAATTTTCTACCCTTCCCATATTCTTCTACTTTGTATTTCAGAATTTACTAAAAATGAGAGGGAAACTTTTCTCATCTTCTAAGAGGAGTTAATGACTGTTCCTAATATGGTCCTGCAGAGTCACACCTGTCTTTGATAAATCTTCTTGATATTATAGCAAATAGCATTTAAAACCAAATATGGTGTTAGAGAAAGGCTTTGTGTTTTAAGTATTTTTCTGCACTAAACAAAAACAGAACAAAACCACAACATAACACAGTAAAATCAAAACCTATATCTCGAGAAAAGGATACTGATGGATTTTTCTTTACATGTCAGTTAAGTATCCCTAGGTTTATTTTCAAAGCATAACAGAAACTTTTGTGAGTTCCTGATGGGAATGGATTCGGTGTTTACAGTTTCAGGCAGCTCATAAACAAGGAGTATTTATGCTGATGGAAATTTCTTCAGACACTATGTCCCTGAACTAAACCTGAAGCCCAGTTGGGGCAGCTCTTCTACAATTTGGCTCCAGTCTGGGCCAATAAAGGGCCCCTTAGGATTGCTATGGTAGTATTCATAATCTGGACTGGAGCTGCTGGTGGTTTTAGAGAATGGCTTCGACCGAAATTTATCCTTCCGTTCCCATGGCAAAAGCACTTTGGGGTTAAGAATCATGAAACTGAAAGGAAAGAAAAGCCAATGTGCTGTCATGAGTCCAAAAAAAAATCTGGACTGTATGAATATGTGAAAGGAAGAAAACATGCAACATTCAATGGGTAAATGTGGAAATGATGTACTGGCTATTTTACCTGTTATTAACGGGCATATAAGTATCCAAAACATGGAAAGCAATTGAGAAAGCTGTACTCTACCAGCTGCTGATGGTCTGGATGATATTCCCTGACAGCTGACTGGTGTTAATATCCCTAGTGACTGCCATCATTGTCCCATCTGCCACAGGCAGGTGTCTCCTAAAAACTTCACAATGACCCTTATGAAAGCCACTTCAGATACTATAAAATAGGATTCCATAGTCATCCATGTTTATCAAAATTTGCCAAATATCAGACTTTTCCTAAAGTACAGAGCTTCAAAAGATTAAATGCATCTGGCATCCTGGTGAGAAGCCTTTTTGTCCTCAGTTTTCTTAAGAGTTTCTTGTCTTCAATTATGTTACCTTCTTTTCTCATTGACCTAGTGCCATATTAAGTAAGTTAATATGTGCTGCTTTCTATAAATGCTGTGTTCATTATCACAATCTATTGGAGATCATTCAATTAAGCAATAAATTCAAAAATAAATTACTTCCAAATTATAGTAAATACTCCTACAATAATAAGCAGAACAAAATGAAGTCATTGATCATACTGTCTCAAATAAATCTTAAAAGTTGATAAAAGAACCTAGAAATAAAACTTTGGTGTTTTTATTTTAAATTTACTTATCTTCCTTTTTCTCTGGAGGTTTATAATATATATAAGGAAAATCTATAAAATAGGAAAATAAAAAATTTAATGAATTATTTCATGTGCTTATCTTATACTAAAGGATAGAACTTTACAATAAACCACTTACATTCAAATGCTTCAGTTATTATGTATACAAGTCTTAAAGTGCATCTACTATTGTCAGGAATACATTTCAGTAGGTTGGTGGATTCAGGAGCTTGGATGGGAGAAGGAGAGGGAGAAGGGAACTGGTCCAGAATGGAAATGCAAGCTGCACAGCATTATTATTAAACTTCAGGAAAAAAATCAGAAATTTTATTAGCATGCAGACACTGAAAAGTAGCTTGAAAAATCGGGAGATAACTAACTTACTGGATTTTTTAAAAATAAACTTTCATTTGTTTTAACACATTTAGACTTTCTCCCCGCTTTGGTGCTTAAATCGGGCAATGTCATAGGCAAACAGATGTCAATATGTCAACTACCAAAATTTTAATTTTTTAATTATTAAGGACCGAAATTAATTCTTTTGCCCTAATTCCTTGTGTAGAAAATATACAAATGCATCAAATTTCTTCTCAGCAGAGACAATGATTAATAATTTCAACTATTTTAATTCAGTTATTCTAAGTTCTTAAACCTATGAATGGGTTAGAGATAAAATGACCTAAAAGAGGAACTGTAAAATTATGCTACCACATTATTTTCCTACAAAGCTTTCCAGCATGACGAAGACATTAATATTTTTGGTGTTTCTATTCTCACGCCAACCCCACAGGCAAATAGGGCAGGAATTACTGTCTCCCTGTTACTGATTGGTTAATGACTTGCTTATAATCAAATAGCAACTAAGTGCTCTCTTGGAACCAGAACTTAGGCTATCTGATGTTACACAATGTATACCAAAAGAAGGTCACTAATGTATGCTTTGATTTTCAGATAACCTAAAACTCTATACCTCAAGAGTGGGGAAGAGGACTTGATTTCTAAAATCTCCTTGGCAAAAGGCATCAAACCCCCAATTTCAGTTGCTTTGGAACTCCTGAATTTGCCTACATATGAAAAAAGTTGTTTTGCTATCTGTTTTTAGAACATATTTCAAAATTCAGAAAAGAGAAAGAAAAGCAATGATACTCGATGCATTAAAAGGACAGTAGGGCTCCATGCTTTTCAGAGCACAGAGAATCAGCACCAGGTGGCAATTCCTGCTGCTTGCTCATGCTCAGGGCTGAAGGCTGGACACTCCTGGGCTAGTCTTCAGAACATTTGCAAGAAGTGACATAACTGCAGGAAGCCATGCAGGTGGGAAGAGCAGACCACCTGGGACAATGCACGCTCACCCCTTGAAGGCAAACTTGTGGCTTGGTGATCCAGGGGTTGGAAAAGAGGCTGTTCACTGCCTTGGTCAAGAGGAGCTGGGATGTGCTCGTCTTCACACCAGGAAGAAGGTAATAAGAGTCAACTTTGAACTGATGTCAATTTTAGCCCTAAAAATCTTTGCAAGTATATATTAAACAATTACATACAGTTGGTAGAGTTTAAAAAGAATGCATTAGATACTTTATAAACAATAGTTTCTGGTTCTTCTGGTTTCTCTTTTCCTTTAATTTTCTTAAAAATGTATCACTGTCATCTTGTTTCCCAAGGACAACACACACATTATAAATGAACAATCCATCGTCATACAATTTTTTAAAAAATTCCAAACAAGAGATCATCATTTTTAAAAGTATTATTTAGTCATACACAGAAGGAAGAAAACAAAAAACAAATTATACAAATATTGATTATAATCCACCTGCTCTATTTAAGGACACTGAAGTTGTAAACGACCAACTTAAGATTTTTTTCCCTACACTATCACGTTGTACAATAGTAGTTTAAAATACTCCAAAATTATGCACAAATGTATGATTTACATAAAGATTTTATTTAAATAACAGCATAATAGATCGTCAATATTATCATTTAAATGTAAGAAATTATGCTTCTGGAACATACATGAGAAGCTTTATGCAAAAAAATGTTAACTGTTGCCATTATTAGCTTACCAAAATATAAGATGGGTGAGACTCAAAGAAGAGAGTTGAGACTTAACAATCACGTTCTGTTTCAACACCATTATGTTATTAATAGCCAGTTAAATGTCCAAATCAAATGAACATTGGTTTTGGGAGTTGAAAGCATACAACTTCCTTTTTTTTTAGATGGAGTCTTGCTCTGTTGCCCAGGCTGGAGTGCAGCCGCTCGATCTTGGCTCACTGCAAGCTCCGCCTCCCACGTTCACACCATTCTCCTGCCACAGCCTCCCGAGTAGCTGGAACTACAGGCACCTGCCACCATGCCTGGCTAATTTTTTTTTTTTTTTTTTTTTTGTATTTTTAGTAGAGATGGGGTTTCACCGTGTTAGCCAGGATGGTCTCGATATCCTGACCTCGTGATCCGCCCGCCTCGGCCTTCCAAAGTGCTGGGATTACAGGGTAGAGCCACGGCGCCCGGCTGGAACCATACATCTTTCAAAACCTACGGCTGTAGGTAACCACCTTAATATTAGAGTTAAAGCCCTTAGATTTTTGTGCTTAGCAAAGCAGTCAACTTTCAGATGTAACTAGTCCACAAAATTAGTATCTGGTTCTGACCTAAAAGACTCCAATTCTTTCCTTATGATAAAGAATTCAACATATGAAACATAAACCATGCTAAAACATTAGGAATTGACATTTATAAATATTTTCTTCTGAAATTATTATAAAGTACACTGTAAATTCCTAAGAATGTCTTTCATTTCTGAGAATATGCAGTGATATATTTACATACTAAAAATCATTCCCCAATGGAAAAGTTATAAAAAGATTATTATCTATAATAATATTTTTTTTCTGGCTGGGGGAAAAAGAGGTTTGTGTTGGTACAGAAACTCAAGGAGGAGGGAAATATGCATAAATAAAAGTAAAAGTAAAGGAAGCAAATGATCAAAGAATCTTGCCAGAATTCAGGTTAGAATTTCATCTGCTTTGAAAGGTAACGTGTGCCTTGTAGAGTACAGTATGTTAATGATCAGCCCAAGCCTGTAATTTCCTAACAGTTCTAGGTGTAACAAATCCAGAAAATGACTTAGTGGGGAAGATCAAGCCACCAAAAGCAGATCACACTAAGCCTGTGGCAAGGCTACTAAATTAAACCAGTTCCAAAATGCAGCTTGCCCTGGTATTCTGGCTGTTTCCCAGGCAGCTCTAAAGGCACTGGTTAAGCACTTGTTTATTCAAGCTGTTTACACCATGATGCAAGTTTCTGGGGGTTATTTCTTAAAGTATATAACTCGCTACAAAATTCTCAGTGAATACTTGTCATATACCAAAAGCTACTTTTAATCAAAAGCTAATTTCCAGTTCTGTAAAGTTATTTCAAATTTAATTCTTTTTGACATTTCTCTCCTCCAGAAAAAAGGAGCCTGTTTGATTTCCCTTATCTGTGAAGCATATTTTCTACTTTATTAAAATGTGTGGGCCTGAATGAAAACAGTTTAAGTTAATCTGCTATGTAGGCACTATCAACAATTTTCTCTAACAACTTTTATGGAAGTCTCTAGGCAGCTCTCACACTCAACCAGGCCACACATGGCAGCTTCCCTGATCCTGACAGGGCCCTCAAGTCTATGGATGCAGAGACTCTCTAAGATGCTGTACCAAGAACTGGTGGAACCCTTTCAAGCTTCCACAGTGTTCAGGACTAAGAACCATTAGATGAAACTGTCATTTATTTAACATATTTAGTGTGCATTTACCATGTGCAAGTCACTTTAATAATAGTTTTCAGGAACTTAGAAATCAGAGAGACAACAAAAAGGATTTCTGCTCTCAAGGAGCATAAACCTTGCCATCAGGAACCTGCCACACTGCTTTTTTGTGAGGAGGGCAAAATAAGAGATGATTAAAACACCTAAGTTTATTTTAAGCTGTAGTTTTATTTTCAAAACTGGACTTGAAATTACATTTTCAGTGTCAGCACTATTTTTGCAGGTGTAAAATCCCATTTTGCTACTAATCAAATCCTCTTCTCTTTAAGGAATATGGTTTTGGGGAGCAAGATCTTAACTTGATACATTCGATTTTTTCTTTAGAGAAATAGGTATGTGTTACAGGAAAAAAAAGTACATGTTAAACTGGTTTTCTGAAAATAGGAGCTACCCAGTGATGAACTTTTGTTTCAATAATACTTTTAGCATGTCTTTAAAGCATGTTAAAGTTGATGCAGCTTCTGCAAAGAAATTTAAATGAATTTCTCTGCAATCTCAAAAGTGACTTATTTTAATCGTCTTCTTTATATTTTATATCCTCACATTTGGACAACAATATTTTACCGTGCTGATATATTAATGAAACCTCTGAGGGCTTATGTTCACCACTTTAAAAAAAGTATACTGAGATTCTAAGATGAACATTGGCATCCAATAACCAGAACACTGCTACCTGCAAACTTATGCTGGGGAAGAAAAATCAAGTGGAGTTTTTTAAGGAGCAAACTGAGATAATAAGAGCATCACTTATTTAAAAAGATTATGCAGGTATGTTTGGTAAATTTCAAGTTAAAAAGAGTATTAGAGAGAAAACAAGCATTGGGAAAATCAGTTCTAAATCAAATAGCAGATAATACAAGAACACACTTTAGAATAGCAGCTTCTACCATTGGGACATGTCATTTTTGCTAGTGTGGATTTCATCTGATGGTTCATGAATAATTTCATCTGATGGTTCATGAACCACCATTTTGAGTATGTTTTCAAAAATCAATGTTCTGGATGATTGTAAAAACGGTGTCTTAACACAGGAACAGAAAACTAAACACTGCATGTTTTCATTCATAAGTGGGAGTTGAACAATGAGAACACACGGACACAGGGAGGGGAACTGTTGGGGGTTAGGGGTAAGGGGAGGGAGAGCATTAGGACAAATACCTAATGCATGCAGGGCTTGAAACCTAGATGATGGTTTGATAGGTGCAGCAAATCACCAAGGCACATGTATACCTTTGTAACAAAGCTTCATGTTTTCCACATGTATCCCAGAACTTAAAGTAAAATTAAAAAAATAAAAATAAATAGTGAAAAAAAACTGTGTCTATAAATCATTAGTTTACATGACATACCTCAAGGAGTATCTTGGAATAAGTATCAGACACTGAAGAACAGTAGTATTTCAGCAATATCATTTCTATATCAGATGAGGTCAAGTAAGTATGTAAGGGATAGTTAGACACCATATGATTATTTCACCTGACATTTAAGATGATAGGGAGTATAATTTAAAAAATAAGTAAAAATTGACTTATCTTTTTTATTTTTGACACTTATCTATTTAGTGAAATCTAACCCTAATCTTTCTTTAGTTTAATTCCTAATAATGATTTTTTTTTCTTTTTTTTTTTTTTTTTGAGACAGAGTTTCGCTCTTGTTGCCTAGGCTGGAGTGCAATGGTGCAATCTTGGCTCACCGCAACATCCGCCTCCTGGGTTCAAGTGATTCTCCTGCCTCAGCTTCTTGAGTAGCTGGGATTACAAGCATGAGCCACCACACGCAGCTAATTTCGTATTTTTAGTAGAGATGGGGTTTCTCCATGTTGGTCAGGCTGGTCTTGAACTCCCAACCTCAGGTGATCCACTCGCCTCAGCTTCCCAAAGTGCTGGGATTACAGGTGTGAGCCACCACGCCAGGCCAATAATGGAAATTTTTAACTGAATTTAATTAACAAGACAAGCCTTGTCTGACTTTGTAGCATGAGTTCGAGGATCACATTTCCAAATATATTTTTTTATCCAAAACTAGTATAGTAGAAAAAATATGGATTATATATGCCATAGCTCTAAGTTGACATGCTAGCTCTTTTACTAACTCTGTGAACCTGAGCAAGACACTTAATATTCCTATGCCTCTGTCTCTCCAAATAAAAAATGGACTAATAATTAATAGATTATACCTTAATTATAATAAATAATGCTCTACTTCCTAATGTTGTTGTAAAGATAAAAATGGATTATATATATAAAATACCTGGGGCACTATGAGTGTTGAATAAATATTTGCTTTAAACAACTGATGCTGATTTTTTTAAAAAGTGCTTGCTAAATTAATCATTTTTATTTATCATGGAAACATTCCAAACTGGTCAGTAGTTGAAGGGAGATTTAATCACGAATCGAAGGGCTCAGAGTTAGGAGGAAACTCCAAATTTCAAATCAAATCCCCTACTTGACTTTGGCATTAAAGGGAAGCAGTACCTGGGGTCTGAGGTGGTTAATTATTTGGCCAAGGATTTCCAACTAGTTAGTGGAAAAACAAGGAGTACCAGAAGGCTTCTAAATTACTGATGCAGGGATTCTTTTCTTCAAAATACATTTTAATTAGTATCAGAGAATAAGAGGATACAATTTGTTTAATTGTCCTTTGATAAAAGAAATTTTACAATATTTATCATTAATATATTTTTATTTATCAGCAAAATGGCAGCTCACATATTTTGGAAAAATAGCCATGGAAAGTAGTTTGAGATAAGAATATTTTTAATTTGGGAGTGATAGAGGTGTCTTCGATTGTGTATTTATGTCAGACTGTTTTCCTACCTTGATTACAGGTTTTTCCAGCATAACCAGGATGACACTTGCACTTGTTTGGCCCGATACATTCACCATGTTTGCATCGTGGTTGGCACACAGCTGTGAAAAGAAGATGGCATGCATTATTTCTAGGTCAACGAAACACCAATCATATAGCATTGATGTCGTGCACTAGTTTAATAATAAAAGAAAAAAAACTAGAACTTACAACAAAGTAGCCAAAGTATACAAAATCAGTTTCCTATAAACACTCTGTAAGCTACACACACACACATGTGTTATGTATGTATATGTGTGTGTATCAGTTGGGGCTGAAAAAAATTTTAAATTCAAGGACAATACTCAAATAGACAAATAAAACTAGGTAAAACTATGCATAAGCATAACTGATATTTATTCATAGTTACAACTTTATAATGTCCTGCACCCAAAATTTCAAACTCATTCCCTCAAATATACTTCAAATAGCAGTTCTTAGTCCAAAAGTACTAAGTATGTATGAAATACAGATAAATTTCTAACTAAACATAAAATATTTATTTTACTAGAAATGGTATTCCTAAGTATGAAAGGATTCAAAATGAAACAAAAACCAAAACAACATTGTTTTGGAACTTCAATTCAAGGATATTTCTGTATCTTGATCTTTCTTAACCCTAAGATTCATTACAACTGCTTTTCAATCTATAATGGCCTTTCTATGCCCTAACATAGCAAATAGGACGTTCTCAGTTTGACATTCACTCTTTTCCATCAACTGAGTTCCACTTTCTCAAGACTTTAAAATTCTGTAAATCATCACTCAAATATTTTCACTGTTTAATTGGAATTTATTCCGTTTATTCTCTATCAGTGATTCTCAACTGGGGGGCACTTTTTACCCCTGTGGAAATTTGGAAATGTCTGGAGACATTTTTGGTTGTCACACTAGGGAGAGGATACTACTGGTATCTAGTGGATAGGCGCCAAGGATGCTGCTAAACATCCTAAAATGTTCAGACAACCCGCCACAACAAATTATCCAGCCCAAAATGTCATCGTGCCAGACTCGGAAACCTTGTTCTGTACCAAATATGTGCATGTCCCTATGCCAGACACTATAATAGATGAAAAATAATTGTATAGCATGGTACTGGTCTCAAGGAGTCTACAATTGAGATAAAAATACAAAACCACGTTTCTTATTCAAAACAATATTTATTTATCAGCAATATGAAATCTGTGAAGAAATCATTACACAAGCAAATCCATATACATACGTGCAGAAAGCCTCATAGAGGAGGCTTATGTTGAATCTTGAAGCATGAGTAGACAGAGAAGGGAGCAGACTACCCAAGAGAAGAATATTTCACAGGCAAGTAAGCCGCTGTTTAGTTGGGAGATACACAGGGGACTCATTAAGCTAAAGAGATGGGTAAATGGTGGAGGAAGAGTGAGAAACAATCAGGTGAGTGGTATCAGATGATTATGTTCCCTACATTTCAGAATGAGAAACATGCACTTTAGCTCTAGGAAATGGGAAGTTTCCATACATTTATCATCATAACTGCCTGATAAAAATCAAAGCTCTGGGAATCTTATCAAAGCTCTGGTGATGGTATGTAGGATGGACTGGAAAGAGTTTAGAGGCAGAGAGAACAGTTGCAAGGCCAGCGAAATAGTTTAGGTCTGACGTGAAGAAGGTATGATTTGTGTTGGTGACAGGAAGAAATGAGCTTCAATAATCATTGAGTGAAGAGCAGACAGTCCTTGAAGACCAAGGGGAATGGACTCAACAATGATCCCGAATTTTGAAGCTCCTGACACCTGTTCCTACCCATTTTAACCCATGCTGTTCTCCATTCTGGGATATGCTCTATGCTCCCAGTTTCCTCTCTGATAATTATCAAACATTGTTTCCTTTAAGACTCTAATACTCCTGCGAAACTGATGTGCATGTTATTTTTTTTTCTACCTTTCCTCCCCCAACTGTCACTAACCCTTCCCTCACCTTCCATTCCACAGGGCCTCTTTGCTAATTTTACTTCCAGGCCTTCCTTGCCTGTTTGTCATCCCAACTGGACCCTGTACCACCACAAATCCTTAGGCAGTGCTCTGTAGGAGGTATTTAATGTAAAAGACTACAGAAAGAAAACACAAGCAGAGTGTAAATGATAGGGAAATGCCCTTGGAAAATTCTTAAAATCTGATTTTAAACATGGCATTAAATTCAAAGGGAAACAATTGTGTTCATATCCATGAAATGAAATAAACTGTCCAGGAGGGCCTTCTAATATTACTCTTTAGCCAACTGTACACTAGGCGGATGGTTTATATGCAGTTTAAAATAAGTTCCAGAAGTAAGCCACTCTACATAATTTCTAGGCCCTATCACCAAGAAATACCAGCTTAAAAAAATTCTTTTTAATCTAAAAAGATGACCTTCCATAAATCTTAACATTTATATATGCATGCAACCTGGATAACCATGTATCACTGAGGCACACAGAATGCCATATTGAAAAAAATGTAAACATCTCAAAATCGTTAAGTGCAAGTCCAGGAAATAACCCCTTAAAATAATTGGAATTTGGAAAACTCTCTCAAAGCATGAAAAAGTAGTTTTAAAAATACCACTTAAAAACATAAAAAATTTATTTAGGACACTTTATAAAACAATTAAACTTGAGGCCCCCAGGCTGTAGCCTTTGGACCCCCTGACCAGCTTGAGAACCATCAATTTATAGTACTTTCAGGTGCTTTATAGGACCAAAGTTTTTATTGTTTCCTCTCCCTTTTTTGTTATTTGTTCTCAAGCAGAGTGCCCTAATCTTGAGCACATCAAATGCACACATTCCAACAGGCCAACACTGTTAATGTTTCTTCCATGTTTAGGGAGTCCTATTTCAAAACAAACTGTTGTTTGCACTCCCATCTGATAGGCTATTCAGTGAAGTAACCAGGAACCCTTAGATTAGCCAATGGCTATTAAATGCGGTAGGATACTCATAAAGTTGATACAATCAATTTCTTTCTTCTTAGAAAAAGAAAACCCTTTGGAAACTGTTGCACAAAAAGATATTCTCCTATATAGCACAAAGTTATCTTGCTGGCATTAGTTCTGGAATGGAATTCAATAAATACGTATCAAACATTTGTTATATATATAATGTATTATAGTAGGCAAGTGTGGCAGGGGATTAGAGAGTCATAGAGGGTATGAAAATTTAGCTGTGGAACTAAAATATATTGGCTAAACCACAACAAGGGCTGTGATAGAGAGATGAAAGAACCAAGGAGGGTGTGTAATAACTACAACTGCAGGTTGGTGTGTTAGAGGCAGTGTGTTAGAGGTAAGAGCAGTGGAATAGGAAACAAAAGACTTTCAGAATATAAGCAAAGTGGTGGGGGGGGGGCGCAGCAAAGGGGACTGCTTCTTAGTGAGTGCAAAGTGTTCTCGTGGGGCTACAGTGTAAAGTGCTTAAAACAGCAGATGAGATCAAAAGAAAGGCTGACACAGATCACAAAAGGCCAGCTGGATTCTTACCAATATCTCTTTCCCTTCTGCTTTAATATAGAATGGCTTTTAAAATTTTTATTTTTTTGAGTGGGGGATGGGTTAGTAATGGAAAACTATGTTCCCTATTCTCCTTAGCAGATATGGGCAGCCAAATGACTAAGTTCTGGCTAAATGGGATGAAAGCAGAAGTGATGGGGTGGGGCTTTGGAATGCTGTGTAAGAAGGGGGCTGAAGAGCACGGCTTGTTCTGTGTTCTCGCCTAGAACGTGCATGTCATGACTCAACCACAGTGGCCTCTTTATGACCATGAGGCGATCTTGAGAATGGAAAGAGGGTAGAGCAAGAAGTCATAATATTAACCCTAAATCACCATCCTAGCAATTTAGGGCACTGTTCTTTGTGTCACGTTACTTGTAGCTAAATACAATTCCTGAATTTCCTTGATCACTAGACTGTGGAATCTGGACTTAGTCTGTGTTTATTATCAAGACAGCAAAGGTTTCCTTTTGATACAAATTTAGGATAGAAGAGTTATGAGTAGATCCTAGTACAGAAATAAAACTCATCAAATTTATTTTATACCTACAATACCATATACTCAGGGGAATGTAAAAAAAAAACTTTATTTCTACATCTAAATAACTAGATTAGAAAGTGCATAACCATTTCAAAACTAGAGAAAAATAATTCCCAACCTCTGTATAAACTGGCTCACCTTCCAATAACACACTCCACTGTAATGTGAGCTCTCAGAGGTCAGCAAAAACCAACCTTTTCAGCAAACTGCATTACTCTGTGAATAGTAGGTCATCCCTTCCTTATCAAAAAAATAAAAAAGTATAAATGATCCATTTTCAGTGGTCTTCAAAAATATTAAAATTCTTGTTTGGAGTAAACAACGTGCCTGCTGGTGCTACTGGCTATCAGAAAAGGCAGCATTGCTTCTCTGACCTTCGTGTGGATCAGAACAAGAAGTTTGGGCCGTATTTGATGGTCTGCTATCACTAGCATCCAAATATGGTTTAGCAACTTAATAAAGCTTAAGTAAAGTCCAGGTAAAAATCACAGATAATCAACGAATGATAGACATTTTACCCCAAAATCAGTTGCCAGAATTAAGTCCAAATGGGCAATCACTCTCAAAATTTGCTCTCTAGCATTCCTGTAGCATAATCTTCAAAGTGCCCTCAAAATAACCTCTAAATCATTGTTTTAACTAGAAAAAGAAACAAGTTTCAACTGGCAAAACAAACATAGCTCTTTAATGTCACATGTCCAAGCCTCTTCTGTTTGATTGCAATCTAAAATTTTAGTCTTAAAAATCCATCCTAGGAGTTTGTGACCAGCCTGGCCAACATGGTAAAACCCTATCTCTACAAAAAAACTAGCCAGGTGTGGTGGTGGGCACCTGTAATCCCAGCTACTTGGGAGGCTGAGGCAGAATCATTTCAACCTGGGAGGCAGAGGTTGCAGTGAGCTGAGACTGCGCCACTGCACTCCAGCTTGGGCGACAGAGTGAGACTTGATCTCAAAAAAAAAAAAAAAATATCCATCTTAAGTGATGTAACTGGGTCTCTGAGAGTTGGACAATAGTTTCTAACTCTAACATAAGCAGTGAATTATCAAATAAGTTATGAGAAAAGTAAACTCCCACATCAGTCCTATAATGTTTCTTATGTAAGGTAATCATGCTGGGAGTAAAGTGCCAACATTTGAAAACTAAGGATATGTTGAGATACCCAAGCAGATGGAGGCTCTGAAAAGTAATAAGGCAAAAGCCAATCCAATCTCAATGGTAGTTAGTAACTTGAGAAGGATTTTCTCAATAGAAATAAGATTATCTTTAGAATTCCAAGAATCATTTGTAATTTTTTCAATCTACATCATGTTATTATGCAGACATGGCACCACTAAAAGCAGAACAAAAAACCTTGTCCTCCAGGTTATGCTCACAGAAGAAAAGGGGACAGAGAAACATGCAAGGGTAGGGCAGAAGAACAAATAGATATGAAACTGGAAGACTTTGAAAAGCTGTTTTTACACCCAACAAGCTTCACAGAATTCAGATATGGACAAATTCATTTGAGCAGAACAAGAAAATATGACAGGGAATGACTTTTTCAAATGGTAATTGGCCTTGGAAAAGGGAAAGTCACTGAAGGCAATATGAAACAACTCACTACTATATTAATAGGACCTGGGTGGAATGGAGGGAGATTGTACAGTGGTCCTCTGAAAAGTGCCCTGAGCCATTGCATATCATGAGCAGAACAAAACCTAGAAGAATCCTACTGTCCAAGATCTCCAGGGGAAAGCATCTTTCCAGCTTTCCTAATACCCTGTACTATAGTGTCAATTATCTGATGGTCAAATCTAAACTCCTGCTGCAGTAAAAACTGAATAATAATGCCTCTGATTGTTATCACTATAAGACACATTAAATGCCCTCATGAATACAGAACTCAAAACCATTTCATATGACTGACTGAATTTATCCTCATGATATCCATATAAGGCAGGAGAGAGGCAGACACTATCTTCATTTTACAAGTAAACAAGTAAAAATGCAAAAGATTAAGTGACTTGACCAATTTCAGGAAAAATGTCTTATCCCAGTTCCATGCTCAATCCACTACTTCTTCTGGTGGTCAGAAAAAGACCAGAAAGTCCAGCATTTTTGAGTGCATTTGGAAGTGGGGAGAGTGAGATTATAACAAAATACTAAGCAGGAAAGGATGAGAGGGGTAGAGAATGTTAATAATGATTAAAAACATAAAAGTATTTAAGTAACATTTAAATAACTTAAATACTTCTTAAAAGGAGCGAAAAGTTGCAGTTAAGACCACAATCTATAACTTAAGAAAACTAAAGTAGCTCTGCCAGAATATTTGAAAAGAAAATAATTTCATTACCCTGTTGCTTGTTTTATGTAGATGCTGGATTCTGAACCATTGATGCAGCATATTATTATTACCTCTGTTGAAGTATTGCTATAATTTTTGTTGTTGTTTGCTTTGGGCTTCACATTTTATTTAACATTATTGCAATTAAGAACTTAACCACAAACCATAGTCAAATACGAATGTCAATTACTCAATGGTAATTTAGAACATAGAGTTAAAATAAATAACGTGTCTAGTCTTTATAATGTTGTCTCCCAAGAGCTGTCAATAACTCATTTTATTTTTGTGTCTGGGAACATCCAATTCAGACACATTTACCAAGTATCTATTTGATCTCTCGCTATTTAAATTTTAATTCCTGAAGTGTCCCCCGCCAAAATAAGTGGCTGCATCTGTATATGTGCATCTCAAGTTAGCTTTTATTTGTCATAATTAAGCACTATCCCTTTTCACTTAAAAAAAAATCCTCTGAGCACTATTGTTGTTTTCAGTTTACTTGAAATTTTAACTTTCTCTTTCTGTTTTCATTGTGCTAGAGGGGAATTTAGATTAATGCCAAATAAAACGTTAAGAACACATTAAAAAGTGTTACTATTTATTTGGAAATGTGAAGTTTTTTTTTTTTTTTTTTTTTTTTAGTAGAGTAACAGTAGCAATGCCCACAGCTAGCACCTGGATCTTTGTTTCTAAATATTTCATTCCCTAATTTGTTTTCTAAAGAAAATAAATAATAAAAGGAATGAGGGCTAGGGGAGGGAGGCTAGAATAAGTTTTCTGTTGCAAAAAGCAATTAAGCACTCAAAGAATGGTAGAGACATGTGAAAAGAATAGAAGCTGGCTTGGAGGAGTTCCACTGACTAGATTTGGGATTGTTTGAGCATCAAGAAGAATAACGGTAGTTATTGATAACAATTGAATAAAAAAAGAATCTATGGTTACGAAGTGATTCTAAATAGGAAGAAGACTGAGCTCCTCTTTAAAGAACAATGCCTACTAACATGTAGAAGGAACGGCGAAATTTGAAAAACAGAACTTTACAATCATCATTGAAATAATTAATTTGAGGAAAGATTATCCATAGATGTTAAAACTTTCACCAAGTGAAAGTTTGTTGGGGAACAGGGTATCAAAACAGTGTGAATGTATTACCCCACAGGTTACTTACTAATTACAAAGAAAAAAAGGTGCCTTTCAGTAGAGAAATCTGATGGATACCACTTCATCAAGTGATCAAACTTAATATCACCAATAGTAGGACAAACCAACATATGTGCACAAGGAATATCATAACAGATGATCATCTATATATAATATTCTTACAAATAAATTTAGTTCTAATCTAATGATGCAGAAACAACAGACAAATTTAAACTGTGGTAGATTCTACCAAGCAATTGATATGGACTCTTCAAAAATATCATTGTCGAGAAGCAAATAAACAAACAAAAGTGGTAGAATTGTTTTAAAGCAATTAAATTAAAGAGGAATGTCAACTAAATGCAGTGTTTGATTCTTAATTGGATCTGGATCAAAAAGAAAAAATCCATAAAAACCATTATTGGGACAATTAGGGAAATCTAAATATGGATTGTTTATTACATAGCATTATTATATCAATACTAAATTTTTTAAGTGTGAAATGATACTGTGGTTTGTAAGTAAATGTCCTTGCTCTCTGGAGATGAATGCTGAAGTGTTTAGGCACGAAGTGTCATTAGGTCTGTAAGTTACTTAAAAATGGTTGAGGGAGAAAGAGAGAAGGGTGAGGCGGGAAGGAAGAGAGAAAAAAAAATGTGTAAAACGTTAACAATAAGGATATATGGGTATTTACTGTTCCTATTGCTTCAACTCTTCTGTGGATTTAAAATTTTTTTAATACAAAACATGGAAGAAATATATAAAAAGGAGTACAATAACATGAATACACAGACAACTATTATTTAACTTGTGAGTAGTTGTTAACTTTTCAATGTAATTTAGAGAAAGGTTTACAAGCATAGATGCTGCAGTTAGACTGCTGGGATCCCAGCTCTACCACTCGGGAAATGTGCAACCTATACAGATTACCTAGCTTCTCTCTGCTCTCATTGCCATTTTTTATTTAAAAACCAGTAAACTCACAAGATTCATTAGAGATCTTACTCATAGGTTTATTGGAGGACTAAATGAGAAAACCCAAATAAAGTACTTAGAACAGTACCCATCTCATTAATAAGAGCTCAATAAAATGCTAATTATGATGAGGATTATAAGTATGACAAGGAGGAAACGCCCCAGTGTCTAAGACACTATATTAAAAATTGGGGATATAAAAATGAATAGGAGAGCAAGTTCTCATCCTCCAGCAGGTAAGTCTAGTAAGGAGAAACAGAAGTAAGCAGAGATGTCCTGATAACAGATGCATGTTAAGGACACAGAACAGGCAGTGATTAATTACACAGGCTTAGGAAAGTCAAAAAGGTTTGGAAAAGATGTAGTGCTAGAAAAAATTCTTTCAAAAAGGAAATATAATAGATATCTGAAACATAAAAGATATCTTTCATAATGTAAGAATTCATAGAATATGATGAAATACATTACAGTATTTCTTTCAGTTGAAAATTATCATTTTTTAAAACATCTGATACTGTAATTTTGAGCAGGTTTGCTAAAGAATCATCACAAAAGGCCAGAAAATTTTAATGTAACCATCATCACCTTTTTTAGCAACCAAAATCTCTATGTTTAAAAGAGTCACTGATACATGAGTTGAAGTATACATTAATTATTTTTAAAATTAAATCAATTTTGTTACTGGGCCTCGACTAATATGATGTCAGAGATTTGTCATTTTGACCTTCAGGTGTTTTTAGTTTGCTTATTTGTTTTCTAAAGAAAATGATAATTATTCCAAATTTATCTGTTGAAGAACCTTAAACAGAAATTTGAAAACAACTTAAATGTCCATCAATAAGAGATTGGTCATGTAAGTGATGGCACAACAGTCTTTCTGTGTCCAACATCATGGACTTCAATCCAGGCCTGAACTATTGTTAGAGGGACCTCCCTAACCCATGATTTCAGCATGCCATTCTGCTCCTTATACTCATTCACTGGCTCCTCATCATGTTCATGTAGATCATTATACTATTTCAAACACTCAGCATGGCATTCAGTACCATATTTCATGATATGACCCTTGCCTATCCCATTGGCCTCATTTCCAATCACATTCACAAATATAGCAGTTAATTGCAGTTCTTAGAAATACACTCTCGAGTACCTCCACACTTTCACATGGAATGCCATTCCCCCTCTTGTCTGCTACACTAATATCTAGACAGGCTTCACCTGTCAGTTTGACCATTATATCACCCCCAAGATTTTCACGCCTCATGCTGAGTTCATACCCTCTTCAGTGCTTTCATAAGCCTCTGTGCATACTTCTATCATAAATTATATGTATATACAGGTTTACTTTTAAATATATATATCTTATACCATATTTTCAGAGTTGTTTTTCTTATCTAGCTCCTTCACTAGACTTTGAGCTCTTTAAATACACAGTACTTGCTCTGTAGTGTACAGTCTCCTGACAAAGATAGACATGACAGGTGTACAAGGTGTTAAAAGAATACAGAAGAAGGCATTTCTCTGCAGGGAGGCAGGAATAGGAAAGATACCAGGAAAAACTTTCAAGAGGAAATGTGAGCTGAATTTTAAAGGATAAGTAGAAATTCACCATGGGAATGGGTGAAGGGCCTTTGACTCAGACTGAGCAGCATAAGAAAAGCCAACAGGCATGAAGCAGCAGAAGTCTGGAAACCCAAGGGCCGTCCACTGCGACTGGGCCTACAACAAGAAACAGTCCTCCACTGATAAGGCAATGTCAGCCTGAAAAGGCTTCTACTCAAATAATCAAGATTCTACCCATAATTGTGAACAGCCAATGGACTGTAAGCAGTAGATGACACAATCAGATTACCTTTATGTGATTTCAAGCACATAAATTGATTTCTGTTTAGAATCTAAAGCAAGAGTGAAGATCTATGATATGTAATAAGGTCATAAGGTAGGGAGACAAATATATTCATTTTCTCATTAAACTGTTTCCTGAAAACCACAATATGTTTATTAAGATTACATCTTGTCCATCTTTTTTTTAAATCCCTTTTATTAATAAATAGAAATGACTAGCTCTTACACCTTCAAAAGTGTACTGAACTGAACTGGACGAGGCATTGCAGAAGCTGTTATACTGGCGTAAAGATGTATAAGACACTGCCTCCACCTTCATGAAACTAATAGTCTAGCAGAACAAATAATATAGATCCATAAATAACCACAATGTAGGGCAATGTGAGATATGCTTCATGCAAGTGTTATATGTAGAGGAAGTACAGAAGACTTCCTGCTGTGAAAATCAGGAAAGCAGACTGGAGAAAGTGGCATTTAGGCTAGGACTTGAGGCAGGGCTCATTTTTAATACATTGTATTAGGACAGAATATAAACTTAAAAAATAAATGTGCTTGGCTGGGTACAGTGGCCCAGGCCTGTAATCTCAGTACTTTGGAAGGCCAAGGTGCGTGGATTGCTTGAGCTCAGGAGTTCAAGACCAGCCTGGGCAATATGGCAAACCCGTCTCTACTGAAAAAAAAAAAAAAAATTATATGGGCATGGTGGTGTATGCCTATAATCCCAGCCACTTGGGTGGCTGAGGCAGGAGAGTCCATTGAACCTGGCAGGCAGAGGCTGCAGTGAGCAGAGCTCGCACCATTGCACTCCAGCCTAGGTGACAGAATGAGACTATGTCTCATAGAAAAAAAAAAAAGTACGAATTCACTACTAACAATGATTCACTTTTAGTCAAATATTTTCTTAGAGTTAGGAGTGGTGGTGATGTAAAACAAAAAAAGGCAACCAAAAGAGGGAAAAAAAGAAAATATGTTTGTAGAGGATGACTTTTTTTCAGCCCTTGATATAAACAAATGTTGAATTATTAGTTGCTTACAATGCTTTGCCAAAACGGTAAACTGGAAAGATTTTTTTTCAAGAACTTACAACTATTAGATAACATTTAGCAGATGTGGAACACAGATTTTTACCTATCCCACATTCTTTTTCTACTGTTTAAAGCTGTTCCTCCGTGGAGATAGTTGTGGCAATAATCAATGTTGACTGAAGTTGACGAAGGAAAAGGAAGGAAGGTTTGAGTAGAATAGTGGAAAGAAATGAAATCATAGCCTGTGTTCTGTTCAGATCTCACCCTGCAATCCAAGCACATATCAAGTTTCTCTACTTCAAAGTCTCACAAGCGCTTCAAACTGAACATATCCAAAATTGAAATCATTATCTGCACCTTCTCCTGTGTTCTCTAGCTCACCAAATGATGTCCTAGAGACTTGGGAGTAATCTTGATTACATCTTCTTCACCTTTCACAACCAGCATTACAAATACTGCAGCCACCATGTTACTGAATGTGAATATAAGCCAGTTGCTGAGTCAAACGCTTTGGGTTTCCTCATTTGATCCTCATAAAAAGTCCTACTAGATAGGACTGTTATCTACATTTTATCAAAAAAGAAGCTGTAGCTCAGACTGTTTAGGTAAGTTTCTCAAAAACACAATTTGTAGTTGCAGCAAGTCTGTCTGCCAAGCCCATGTGCCCCCCCGCCACTGCCCTAACACTGTGTGCCTCTCCATCCTTTCTTTTCAGTATCTTTCAATCCCTCTCCTTCTCTTTGTTCCCACCACCACTACTTAAAATGAAGCCTAATTTCTCACCAGGTTGACTTCCTACAGGTCCCAGGCATTTGCACTAAAGGAAGTGAGCTCCACAGGGAAATGAGGCACATACTTCTTCCAAATGGGCCAGCTACTTAAGAGGCCCCAGCTGATAGACTCCTCGCAGCAATGCAGACCTACCGATTTTTGAACCAACCCTTATATCCGTGTCTCCTGTGAGACACTGACAACTACAAACACTCCAAGCAAAACTAAATTCACCTGAGTGCTAGATCTGATCCATTACCACCAGCTATCCTCTAAAATATTAATTTCTCTGCTTAAAATCTTTACAGTGTTCCTCTACAACTTTGTGATTAAGGCAAATGTATTTAATATGATATCAAAAGCCTTCCAGGAGTCCTTTCCCACTTCTCCCACTGCGTCTCTCATCAGATGCCCTTCAAACATATACCCCACATATGCTGGGTTGAGATTCTTAACAGTTCTCGGAATGTGCTCCTCCCTCTGGCTACTGAGCTTTAAATGCATTTTTCTGTGTGCCCAGGATACTCTTCACTTGACTGATTTATCCCTCGGGATTCAGCTGGGCCATCACCACTCCATCACTGCTGGTCTGGGCTACTGCCCCTTAAGATATGCTCTCACAGAATCCTATACTAAAACATGCCTCTTACCCAGTATTGCCTTCCTCTGTGGGCTTTCAATACTGATAGTGAGTGACGTGAATGCCTAGAGCTTCATTTTACTAGAATGATATCTGCAGTAGTTGGTCCTGGATCATGCAGGTAATAGCTGGCTCTCTCTCTCCATTATCTCTCTCTCTATATATATAATATATTATATATTATATTATGTATATGTAATATTTATATAATATATATATTATAATATATAATATATATTATATTATTTTTATATATTATATATATAGAGAGAGAGAGAGAGAGAGAATGGAGAGAGAGAGCCAGCTATTACCTGCATGATCCAGGACCAACTACTGCAGATATCATCCCAGTAAAATGAAGCTCTAGGCATTCATGTCACTCACTATCAGTATATACTGATACTATATACTAGATATACTGATAATATATATATATATAGTATCAACTGAATACCATTGAGTTCATGAAGTCTTCCTTGATCCTCTTCAGCAGGAAATGATTCTTTCCCTGAACTCCCTCAAATCTTTATCCCTAACTTTTTCCTATTTAAGAATCATAGAAGGAATAAGAGCCAATCATCTTACAAATTGAGTTGCTTGAAAGTAAGGGTCCCTGTTTTATTCACCTTTGTATCTTCCCAGCACCTAACTTAGCTCTTTACCTCTAGTAAGCTCTCAAATAATTATACGGATAAATTACAGGAACTCTAAATGCTCACATTCAACAATTCAATTCCATCTCCCTTCAATTCATTTCCCAAGCACAAACACTGTTAGACAACCAAAACTGTTCCACTCGGAGGTTTATGGATGGATATTATTAGAGAAATGGGAAAAACGGTTCAGAAGCACAGAAAACTATCCCATGAAAGTTTTGATTTTAGAAATGAATAACTGAAGAATTGTTCTACTTCCAATTGATTATTTCCAAAAGATGATTATGGTAAACAAAACCATTTGAAAATGTGCTGTACCATCTGTCCTAGGATGGATCCTAGTAAAACTCGGCTCAGAGTTCTCCATTTGTATTGTATATATTGAGAACACACTAATAATAGCAAACATCTGTCAAGAACTGTGGAAGCCACCTCCTTATAACCAGTAAGAATCTTGCAAAGTTAGATTTAAAGATTACAACATTGCAGCTCAGAAAAGTTAAAATGTCTAGTTTCT
This sequence comes from Homo sapiens, assembly GCF_000001405.40. Lineage (NCBI taxonomy): Eukaryota > Metazoa > Chordata > Mammalia > Primates > Hominidae > Homo > Homo sapiens. The sequence goes on along the minus strand of NC_000004.12, from coordinate 105,913,466 downwards.
TACAGGTGGTAAGTCATAGGAACAGTTCCTGAACCCAGATGTTGGTGGCCAACCACACATTCTATTCTTTCCTTGGCATTGCCTCCCTAATGTAAGCCATAGCTCTACTAGTCAATCCTATAACTGCTAGTAACTTTAAAATACATATGCTTTAAGTCTCCCTGAACAAAGAAATTTCTGAACTTCTATTTCTAGTACTATCAATTTTGTTCCCAAATATTTTTTTTATTAAAATTCTGCCTTAAAAACATTTTTCATGACATGTGATAGTTTCTTCAATCAGTTTAAAGAACATTCTCAGGCCGGGTGCAGTAGCTCACACCTGTAATCCCAGCACTTTGGGAGGCCGAGGCCGGCAGATCACCTGAGGTCAGGAGTTCAAGACCAGCCTGGCCAACATGGCAAAACCCCATCTCTACTAAAAATAAAAAATTAGCCGGGCATTGTGGTGGGCGCCTGTAATCCCAGCTACTCAGGAGCCTGAGGCTGGAGAATCACTTGAACCTAAGAGGCGGAGTTTGCAGTAAGCCAAGATCACACCAGCGCACTCCACCTTGGGCAACAGAGCAAGGCTCTGTTTCAAACAAACAAACAAAAAGAACATTGTCTTCTTAGAATCAATTCCATTAAACATTACAATTCCACATATTTCACCAACGTTTTCCACTAAAGTGTCATAGGGTGATAAGTGACATTATTTACTGCCAAAAATATCTTAAACAAGGAACCCTTTATGTACCTAAAACAAGAGCATAAATGCCCGTAAGTGCTATTATAACTGATAACATATTTCATACAATAAAAATATTTCTTACCTGAATTGTTCCATGGAGAATTAATGAATATGAAATACAACTCCCTCAGGTTAATGATAGGCTGGTGTTAGTAATTTCATTTGGTGGACTTTGTTTTTATATTTGCTTCCTTAAGTATTAAAAACATAAACTGTCCTTTAGCTTAGAATGGAGGTCAATTTATTAGATTCATAAAACAGAAGAAAGGAATAATCAACTGAAACGGAAAAGTTTAATGTAATAATGGAATTAAAATTAACTTACTATAATTATGTATAGAATAAGCACATCTCTAAGAAATATAGTTTTCCTAAAAAGAAGCAATTCAAAAACACAACTAATGTTTTGTTTACAGCTTTGTAAAATTATTTAGAAGGTATGCCTTTCAAGACATAGATTAGCCAAAATTATTTCAAGAAATATGTTCATCTAACCTTTGAGCTGGCACCTTATCCTGGCTATTCTCTGCCTTAAGACGTAGAAAGCTGCAAAACAAATGTCCAAAAAAAGAAATTCCAGATCTTTTCTCTGTAAGGAGGCTGGACTTGGGTATTTATCAACTTGTTACATTCCCGGAGACTTACACATATTCAACTTTCAGTGCTTTTCTGAAACAAAAAAAAATCTAGGACATGTTTAAAATAGTAATATTTTAGTCACCATTTTGTTATAAAAAAACATTTCATAACAAAAATATTAACCAATAATTGAAGTTATGCTATTCTTCTATAGTCCAAATTCTAAATTTAAATATTTCAGACCTTTTGTGATGCTGTATTTTCAAATCCAATTTTTCATTTCCAGAATATTAATTTCTGATTCCTAGAGACAGTATCCTTTTATTTAAATTGGAGTTGGAAAACACATCTGAAAAAATTTAAACTTTTGATCAATTAGTAAGAAAGGCTAATAGTTTTAAAATTGATATATTTTTACTTACCTGTTTCTTACATACTGTATGTTCCCTTCTCTCTCCAACTTTGGGGAGGAAATATAATTTTTTTCTTCCCTTCCACAGCATTTTCTTCTTGCATGGCTGCTTTGGTTGTCAATAGCAACAAGAATTACCATGAAAGCACAGCCATTTCACTTGAACATACATAAATAACCCAGTTTGATGAAAGTAAAGGGAAGAAACTTGAAATGGTACTAATAATGGTCAGTGTTTGATCAACCTAGAGATTTTAGAGGTAAGAAAAGGGATAATTTTATTCTTCTCTGCTAAATTAATGCCTTTAAAGGATTAAATATCCACTGTAATTTACAATTGTATATTTATTTGTATAATTTGTATAATTTAAAATTAGGTGAATGGGGCCTTCCTTTGGGTAATATAAGAAGAAAAAAATTCTAAGTCCAATTTGATTTAATTGAAGCAATAATTTAACTATTGATCCAGAATGATTGCTATGTATTTTTAAAGACACAAATTACATTTGCTTGCTAGACTTTTTTTTTTCATATTGGTCAGGTTTCTACTGTTATTTTGAAAAGAACTCACCATATCTTGATGTTGACACATTCCTTAAATAGAATAATAAAATACATCAGGTACAATCTAAGCAAACAGCTGAAATCAAAGTGTAAATAGCAAATTACATTCTGGATCACACAAGTTATGACTATGGTTATATATGAGACAGAAAAAATATAAAAGGATACCGTTTCTTTAATATTCTTTAATTGCCAATTTTGAGTCATCAAATTTATCAGGAAAAATACTTTAAATTATTGTAAGCAAAGGTAAAACAACTTAATAAAGAATAGCAAACATCATTATGTTCTAACTAGTTGTATTAGTACCAAATAGCCAAACAGTTTTGTATAGTCTATTTTATCCTTGTAATATCTTAAGGTTGGGTCATATTTTTCCTACTTGGCATAAATTAGCCTTGAAATACATAGATCTAGTAAGTTTTATGGTATCAATATATACCCGACTTCAAGATAAAATTTTAGCCAATGTCCTATATTTTTTAATTTGCATTTTAAAACTACACAAAACTGCATTTTATGTCAAAGCAATGTTAAATCTGGAATAGATTACTTCTAGGAAGTTTCTGGGAACTATCCTCTATTGAAGGATAAGGAAATTTTTATATGCAACCATCACAACAATTTTTATGAAAGTTGCCAGAAATAAATGCCTTACATACAATTTTTTTTTTTTGCGGTATAAACCCCATTAAAACATTCACTAAAATAGGATTCATTCATAGCACATAATACAGAAAAATCTGTCTCATTTTCTCTTGATAATCTGTTGCTCTATGGCCATCATAAAATGGCCACAGTAGCAAATACAAGCAACATTTCAGCAAAGCTACTCAGGTAGTTTAGAATTCTAGAACTCTCTCCGGCAACTTGCCTAAGAACCCTTGCTTCAGTTCATCTGAAGGTTCTTTACTATACGTGGTTGGAATTAATAAGCACTCTGATGATTTTATGAAATTGTGACTCATAAACCAGAGAAACTAAACTATCTGGGGATTATGTTTCTTGCTTGCTAAACACAGGTTTATGGGTTTGGAGCCAGTCCTGAACTTTGGACCGTGTTAGGAAAATCAAGGATAAGAAACTTTAAAGAACTGAGCCTTTTTTTTTTTTAATCCAAAGGTATGCCCATCTTCTCATGTATAGTTTCATTTACTGTAAAGAATTATAAAATGTCTAAGTATTAGGCCAAGTGTAAACTTTGAAAAGAAATAATAAAATGCTACAGGCTAAGACTGCTGATGCAGTTACCATGTGACTCAGACTGGAGGCATACAGCCCCTTAAGCAAGCAGCACAGCATGACACACACACTTTGTTAAAGGTGATAAATGCCAGGTGCATGCATAAAAGGGAAAGGTCCTCCCTGACACAATGTACTTCTGCCTCTCAACCTTAATCATCAGCTAGAAAAAGCAATAGCTCTAGAAAGTTCTCCATACCCCAACCTTAATTTTCATGCTATATTTTTCATTGTCAAAAACAGTGATATTAGCCTGCAAACTCTTCACAGAAAACTACCTAACTCTGTACATTTATAACACCAACATCCAGGACAACAGACCCTATGGACAACAAGTTAAGTAGCAACATGGATGATCCTAACTTTCAGTACACTACTTTAGAACTATTAAAGATATAAAAAAATTCATCAGACCTCAACACAAGATTTAAGAACACAACATTTAGCAAACCTACACATTATTTCTTCATAATTTTATACTTTTATCCTAAAAAGTAATTGTTTCAAAAAACATTTTTGCCTTAGTTAGAAAATGAAACTGTACATCAGAATGTCTTAATTCTTGGCCATACATAGACACCAAGACACAATCTTTTAATTCTTCAATGATGTAAAAACTCAACCCAAGAGACAAGGGACCCTGAAACCACCATTATCTATGTCAAACTTCATAAAATACTTCTATAATCATGTGAACTTGAAATAATCTATCCAGTAGAAACTATTACCACAGTTAGTATATGCAATATAAAATCAACTCTAAACACTGAAATACACTAAAAAATACAACTAAACATAAGCTATGATTTTGTTTTTCTATTAATTATCAATGGCTTTGCTATTTGTTGGTATGTAAATATTCTGCTGATAATTACCAAGTACCTACAAAATCTTAACACTAAAATAAAATAGGAGGCACTAAACACTTTGGAACAATATTTTGGTGGGAAGTTTATGTCTGGAAAGTCCATCCATGGAGTTTGTTTCTGAAATTCAGCAACACACACCTTTGACCACTTAGGGGCTTTCCTTAGAAACTGAATTTAGGAACTTTGATTTACGAAAATAAGGTTAGTCCAGGCACGGTGGCTCACACCTGTAATGCCAGTACTTTGGAAGGCTGAGGCGGGCAGATCACGAGGTCAGGAGATCGAGACCATCCTGCCTAACATGGTAAAACCCTGTCTCTGCTAAAAATACAAAAAATTAGTTGGTGTGGTGGGCGGGTGCCTATAGTCCTAGCTACTCGGGAGGCTGAGGCAGGAGAATCGCTTGAACCCAGGAGGCAGAGGTTGCAGTGAGCCGAGATTGCACCACTACACTCCAGCCTGGGTGACAGAGGAAGACTCCGTCTCAAAAAAAAAAAAGGCTAAAGGTTTTTGAAAATCAACATGGTTTTTGGCAAAGTAAGCATAAATCCAAAATTCCTAGTTGTGTTTTCCTTTTGTATATATTACTACAAATTTAAACTGTGATGACATATTTCCTAACATTTCAGAGTAAGTGAATAACATCTACAAAAGGCAACCCTAATCTTGTGATCTGATGATGTTATAGCAAAGTAATGTCAGCTCTGGAGAATTTATATTATTAATCTACAGAATGGTTAAAAAGATATTGATCAAATGAAGTGTTTGGTTTTAAAATTTAGTTAAATCTTGACTCTCAACATGCAAATAACCCATGCCAAATCCTTATTCTCAAATTTGCACTCCCCTGGCATCTAGTATCTACCAAAGCTAATGTATGGCAGAAAATGAAGTCTCCTAATAAAAAATAATTGGAATAAAACGGTTTGTTCTCCAAAGCAACAACTATATTCTAAAGCTAAGAAATCATTTTTATTATTCATATCTGTTTCCTCCCATCAGAGTTAAGAATAACAGGTTGATTTAACAGTATTTCAGCAGGCTGTTTAAACTGAAATTCTCCAGAAAATTTATAAAATAATACAGAATGAAAAAATAGATGTCACTATTTTACCACACATCATAATGCTTTATCATGTCTGGCCTGTAATATACTCCTTCATTCTGGCTTTATTAGAAATTTTATTAGGAATTCTATTATGGCCATAATTCTTTAATTATGTATCAGTAGTAATTAAGTAATAAAATCAGAAAACTTAAAAAGAAGTTTTAGTGAATCAAAATAAAAAGTTTATTTGTATTTGATATTACTTAATGAATTCTTTACCTTATAACATACCAATTTTTAAATAACTGGTGTATTTTGCACCCCAATTTGCCCTGGCATGTTCCCAGGGATGCACCATCAATATGCTACTAGTATTTTTCTATGGTTGTAGCTGGTTATTGACATCACTTTGAATTTTTTTCAAGCCAAATTATCTTGGCTACATTTTACTATCTTTGAGGACTGATCATTTGTTTGTTACCGTGAAGACAGAAAACCTCGGCCCTGGCAATGCTAACTTTCTCAGCTCGCTGCCACGTTGATATACGGTGACAATTCAGACAGGGAGATTCTTGGTTCACGCTAGTCTCTGCAGAAAAGGCGTTTGAAGACCTTCTCTTTGTTCCTCCCAAGGAGATGTGACACTTACTGGATTGCTGCACTCTCAGAATATGCATTGAGTCATAATTTTTAAAATCACTATTTGCTTTTTTTTGAGAGAGAAATTATCCTAGGGTATATGTGCATCAGGATTTCAGGTTCTATTGCCTAGGGCTTCAAGAGTACATGAGAATCAGCCCTTCCGCACACCCCAGTGAAAAGATGACTTAGGTTTGGGTACGGGATGTTGATATGCAGAGTATTTCCTACAGACTCTGCTTTGAGTCTGTTCAGGTCTAAGCAACTTATATAAATCAACCCTTATAAATCCAGGTGAATTAAGAAAACAGTTGAGGTTACTTTGACTCCCCGGAACACCTATAGCAATCAGGAACTTTGGGGAAATAAGCACTGGTCAGGGATTCTGTTGTTCCTGGGCTCACTGGCCCATATCCATGTATCAGCATCAGTAGGGTAAATGATGCCTGGGAACAATGTTCATGCCTTTCCTCCTTATTCCAAGCCATAACTGGCATGGAAATGAATATGTATATAGCAAAATGGTGGTGAATTTATATATTGCTATCCAATGGATACAAAATTGATATTAAAAAATCTCCCACTAATTTCTTTGCAGATCCTCCTTTTACTGGAGCCTAGGCGGGGCCCTATCCCTGCTCTATTCACAATGTCTCTGGATATCAACTCCATTAGTTGATTACTGATCTTCAAAATATATCGACTTAAAAAAGAAAGACAAAATGAACTGGCCTTTAATCTGTTAAATAATACAGCAAACTTCAGAACATTGTTAGTGATTCTAACCTGAAACTATCTTGTCTAATCCAGAGCTGTCCATCCAAAACCCTATACAGTTCATCCATCACAGCTAGATATTCTGGGCTGTATCTAGCTGAACGTCAGAAAGCTATGCACATAATGCTTCTTAAACTATGTATAGAACAGCTTTCCGTGAACTGTACTTTTAGAGTAAGGGCCTCATCTTATGTTGACGGATCTTCTATGAAACAGCTTTTCAAAAACCACCACTGGCTTCATGATAGGAATGTTGCTGTGGCCCCTTCCATCCCATCATTCACTCCCACTCCGTAAAGGGCCACGTGAAAGTCTTCGTTCAGAACTACATGCAGTAAAACCATAATTCCTCCCACATAACTTGTTTGCTTTTTCCCTGACAAACAACACAAATTAAATCAGCAATAACATCTTTTACCTTTGGCTACCAGAAGCTAGTAGCCAAATTGTAGGACATATGTAGGATCCTATGGCTTACATATCTGCATTTGAAAAACCCTCCTCCTAATATTTTTATTTTACCCCCATTTTCCTCCATGTAGCCCCTATTTCCTTATTTTAATTGTGTGAATTCCTGGAAGCCACTTTATATACTTTCCCAAACAAGATAGGGCATAAACAAATAGAAATAAAGAAATCAATTTAATTTATCTTTTAAGGTATCTTCTAAGGAATCAAAAATAGAAGATGACTGAACAGAAGGTTTCTACTCTGTAATATTAGCCATGATTTACTCTCCTTTACATTACAGATTAAACATAAGAAAATTTGTAGCAATAAAATGAAACCTCTTCAATTACTATACTAATACAGAAATCAAATGTCTTTAGATATGTCCTCCATATCTAAAGGTATACAACAGTGATGATGATATATGCAAATATTGATTGCAGCATGTTATGTAAAAACAAAATATTGAAAACCACTCAAAGGTACATAAATAGGGGATTTTTAAATTAATTATAGTACATTCATTCATGTAATGGCATACTGTATAGCCATTTAAAAGAATGAGTCAGGTTTAAATAAACTAATGAGGACTGCTTTCCAAAACGTAGTGTTACATGAAAAAAAAATCAAGATACAGAACCGTTTGTACTTCATGCCATCATTTATGAAAAAGGGAAATTTTGAAAATGTTAAGAAATCTCTACAAGGATCAATAGGAAACAGTGGTAGCCTGTGGGAAGGTGGAACTAGGTGTCAGGAAAACAGGAAAGTTAGAAATACTTACCTTCACTGCTGTCTTGCTCTTAGTATGTGTCTTTTAATTTTTCACCTAATCATGCATTTCTTACTTTTCTAAAAGGAGACAATTTAAGTATATAATTGGAATAAGGATTAGAATAACTATTAGAAAATATATGCCCCTATGGTTTTAAGGACACTACAAAAAGTATTTTGGTACAAAAATGTCTTAATATTTCCTGAAAATCTTTTTATCATAAACGGTGTCCCCAAAATGGTATTCAGATCTCAGAATTCTACATATTCCTCCTTAATAGGTTATAAGTCTAGAAAAAAAAAAAGCCCATACTATACACAAAGGTATAAAAATTATGGCTAATGGCCGGGCGCGGTGTCTCATGCCTGTAATCCCAGCACTTTGGGAGACCAAGGTGGGTGGATTACCTGAAGTCAGGAGTTCAAGACCAGCCAGACCAACACGATGAAACTCTGTCTCTACTAAAAATCAAGATACAGAATCTCTGTATCTTGTCTCTGGATATCAACTCCATCAGTTGATTACAAAAATTAGCTAGGTGTGGTGGTGTACACCTGTAATCCCAACTACTCGAGAGAGAGTGAGGCAGAATTGCTTGAACCCAGGAGGCGGAGGTTGCAGTGAGCCGAGATCCTGCCACAGCACTCCAGCCTGGGCAACAGAGTGAGACCCCGTCTCAAAGAAAAAAAAAATTATGGCTAAACTACAAAGATAATAAAAGATCAATGAATTAAGCAATTCCTAAAGGAATGCGTGGCTCTTTCTTACAAGTAAATGATAGGCAGGAAGCCACTGGGAGACCCTGGCAAATGGACACATCTCACTCCATTCTCCTAGCTTCAGCCCATTGCCTCTGGTCTGATGGGAAACAGATGATGGGAGCAGATGGACATTCACTGAGTTGTCAGAGGGATTTCTTGGGAAAGAAAAGGGATCAAAGAATCCTAAAATCAAGGAAAGATCAGACTCTGGATATGGGATTGTTGGAGCCTTTGGGTCAGCATCGCCATTCAGTCTTTCCCCTTAAACTATCTTCTCTACTGAGTAAGAAGTCATTGGGCAATTGATAAAAATTACAAATGTATCTGCCATTTGACCACATATAAAAATTTATTTTGCAGAAACACTAAGAACATGCAAAACAACATCTTTAACATATGTTCAAAGTTTTTTTAGAATTGCTTGTGTTAGCAAAAAATTAGAATCAACATAAATGTTCATCAGTAAGAGACTTGCTAATAAATTACAGTATAGCCATACAATGGAATGCTGAGTGCATAAAAAAGTAAGGAGGCAGCTGGGCAAGATGGCTCACGCTTATAATCCCAGCACTTTGGGAGGCTGAGGTGGGCAGATCAGTTGAGCTCAGAGCTGGAGACCAGCCTGAGCAACATGGCAAAACCCAGTCACTACAAAAAATACAAAAATTATCCAGGTGTGGTCGCTCACACCTGTGGTCCCAACTACTCAGGAGGCTGAGGTGGGAGGATGGCTTGAGCCCAGGAGGTAAGGGTTCTAGTGAGCCAAGATTATGCCACTGCACTCCAACCTGGGCGACAGAGCAAGACCCTATCTCAAAAAAAAAAAAAAAAAAAGTAAGAAGGTCTATAAATAAAACCTTTCAACATGTACAGTTAAGAAAAAGCAGCAGCATACAAAGCAGTGTATATAGTATGCTTTCATTTGTACAAAACAAGTGGGTGATAGGGGAGAGATCTATTGCAATTTACCCATAAGTAGGTAAAATATTTTTTAAAGTATACCAAAAACTAATCATGCTTGTTGCTCTGAGGAGGGATATTTAAGGAAATGAATACATTTTCTCCTACAAAATAAATTAATATTTTCCAAAGATTGGTGGAAAAATTTAAAATATTGCACAAAATCAATGGGAAAGCGGCAAGAGTGTCTGCATGTGGCAGTGGGGGGCAATAATGAGGGTTAGGCCATCAGAATCCCTCTCCCTTGCCCTTCCATCTCCCCTGTGATGAAGGCCCACCCCTGTGATGAATATCTTCCCTTACCCACTGAAAGACACTGCATAGAATCATTGAGCTTCACTAATTATCATCTGGAAAGCATACAGTGGATTCAACTAACTCAAAATGCAAAGAACATGAATTCTGTAGATAAAAAGCAACAAAAAGAAATGCTGGAAGTTACACACAGGAGGTGAGGGAGAAGACACCTACATTTTTTAAAGCATATCAAAAATTTCCACAAAGCAAACACAGTGTTGTTTCTGGCACCAGAAGTGCCTTCTTGGTCCCAGTGTGTACATGCGTGGGCAACTTCAAGCAGCATATCCCTGTGGCAGGTATTTGAGGACAGATCTAGTTGCTGAACTGGCAGAGAGGAGAGTGCTTCCCTTTAGTTGGCCTGGCCTTCTAGCTTAAGAAGTACTAAAATTTCTAATCCATAAAGGTTAAGACCTGGCCAGATTAAGCTTATGAAGGGATTTCAGGAAATTAGTAGATCTTAATAGTATTACATAAAGATCAGTTCTGATTGGGGAAAAGAATAAAAGAGCAAAGCAATTTCTCTGAAACTTAACTTTGAAGACTACACATACTAACAAATTACCTGTTTGAAAAGGTCAAGATTCTTCAACGCTGATCTTACTTTGGAATCTGCATTCCAAGACCACTTGAAGTTACCCAAAGGTACATGATGTTCTTAAACAACCTTTCAAGGAAAGTGGCAGTTAAATAATCTTAATCAAAAACTTCACTTCCTAAGGATTTGTGGATTCAAGTTTAATGTTGCAAGTAATCAAAATTATTCCTTGCCTTGCTTTTATTCCTACCTAAAAGCAAACAAACAAAAAACAGATTCTGCATTCTCACCTCAAAATTAGAGGAGGAAGCTACTACACTAAGGACAATGAAGTGTACTCCGCTCCACCAAGCTGGCCCCAGAATTCTGCTAGCAATCTTCAATATACATGTAAACAGTACAATCCCCACCCCTTTTGAGAGCCCCTGTTACTTTTTGGGTGCATACAGGTATAAAAATTGCTTTACGTTTAAAATACTAACTCATGTTCAATGGAAGTTGTCATAGTTGTTGACCTCAAATAGAAAGGCATTTACTAGTATAACCTCTCTGTGGAGGGAACACTATGTGTGGCCTTCAAAACAAATTCTAACATTCTAACAGCTCTAATTTTCTCTTGATTATTTTAAAGAGAGTATTCAAAATCCAAATAATCAAAGAAATATATAATCTATATAGTTTTGTGATTATGGACAGGAAGTTAATAACCAGTTTAGGGAGCAAAAATAAATCATGTTCCATTTATAAGACTGAGTATCTGAACCCAGATAGGAGAAAGAAATGAAACATGAAATTTAAATATTTTGTTTACTAAATCAAAATTCTCTGCTCAAACTAATAGCCTTTTCATTTGAAATGCAGAAAGAAATAATTCAATAATTTTTTCATCACTTCCAATATCCACAATCATTAGCCAGTAATATATATTATCCAACTAAAATTATTTGACCACTCCAAAACAGCTTCAGAATGAATTACTATATCTCAGTCCCTATGTTTCACTAACCTGTAAGTTTATCTGAAGCCGATAAGAATCCAAAATTTTCACTTTACGTGGAAGAGGCAGCAGGAGGTTCAGAGCTAACTAAGCAAGGTCAATCTGTAGGTGTAGGTTTCACATCTTTCCAAAATCTCCAGCAGAAACATAAGAAAACATCTCAATTTTCCCTGTTCTTAAGGATAAATGATACAAAACCATCCTAATTCACATAATTTCCTTCAGAAACCACAAGTTGCTCAATGACAGCCAAAGAACTCAGAAACGGAATAGTTTTGTTAAACCTTGGAACTGGTTGTATTTTTAGTTTTTCTTCACACTTCTATAAAATGCTTTTAACAAAAATGCTATTGTCATAAGCCACATATACAGTCAAATCTCCGAGTAAACAGAAGGACAACCATACAAAAATACAATATTTAGATCCTATATAGTTTTTCTACATTAAGGAAGTTTTCAGTTGCAGTTTAGAGCTTCAACATACCTTGGAAATATGCTTGTGTAATAAGAAAACTGTAGCTGAGAAATGTTAGACACCTATTCAGGTACAAAAGTCAGAACTTGAACTCAGTTATCCTAAATTATCTAGTGCTTTTGGTTAACAATTGTTTCCACAGTGTACACAGCTTTTAAAGATGAAATATGCAACCCTGAAAAATCTTTGTTACAGAGGTCTCCACTTGGTAGAAGGAGAGAAATAAAAGCATAATTAAAATATGCCATCAAAATGACAAAAAAATTACAGAGCAAGAAACACACATTTTGTGACAAACCTCTGAGTGGTTTAAGATGCTGTGTGCTGCAAATATGCAATCATCAGTGTGTGAACATATTAAAAAATTTTCACCTGACAATAAACAGCCACATCAATAGTCAATAAAAGTAAAGCCCATGACAGTTAGAAAATCAAATGTTGAATTTTCAATATGCTAGAGATCTGTTTAAGAGTCAAGAACACAAAACAAAGAATCAAAAAAAAAAAAAAAAAAAACAACCAAGGGTATGACCTACAAAAGAACTATGAAAACACAACCTGCCTATTTCTGGAACGGGTCATGCTTTCCCTAGCAGGCAGGAATGTTGGGATAGAATGTTGGGTGGTACAGGCAGGAAGCAGCAGGACAGGTTCTATGCCCATTTGAGTAGCATCTCTGATCCTTCCTTCCTGAGTCCTAGAGGGAAGGATATAAAGTTTCCCAGCTATATCTGGCTCTGCTTAGACATAGTGAGCCAGAAGGAGAGGTCTACCAGCTTTAGCATCCTGCAACATTAGTCGGTTTCTCCAAACAAGACCATGGATAGGAAGATAGCAAGTGAAAATGAAGGGCAGCATGTTTTGTACAGATACGTACATTTGACTCACATGAATATTAAGTCAAACATCTCACAAATGCTCAACCAAACGGAATAAACACTCACCAAAGGGTCACTGCACTAAGGCATAAGGTCTGTTAAATAATATAATGAGGGTACCACCACCTTTCCCTACCTACAAACACACCTTCTATGGGATAAGTTGGGAAGATCTATGCAGTAATGGGAATAGTTTCTTTTTGTTTTGCTATGCTGTTTTGAAGGAAAATTCCAAAGTGAATCATTCAGAAAAGAAGAGAACCAGAGCACCTCTGATGAGGAAGGGAGAATAGCCCTTCCTTATGGGAAAGAACTACATGATTATCTAAAGGTCGAAAAGGCAAAAACATTTCTCACATTAAATTCGCTAGAAGTTCTTTGGAATCTTTATAAGGAATCATATTAGATTGAATTGTTATACAATAGCAAGGCATTTTCTTGAACAAACGTAGTGACAAAACTTTTAATTTCATAAAGACTTTCTTTAAAATAATCAAGAGTTTTCAGAGATATTTCATTCAATCTGATCAGCCTCTTTTTGGTTTGTTCTGCCCCTTCAAGCTTACTTCTCAGCCCCACATTCCTCTACCTGCTTATATCAAAACAAAGACAGGCAGAACTCTGAACTGACAAGAGACATTTGCGCCATCTAAGATGCTGGAAAAATAAAATACACAGAAGGAAACATTCACCTTTGAGCTAATTTTTACAACCTCACCAACTTCAATGTTAATAGTAAAGAACCATTTGTGCCTTTTTAATTGAAAGGGATTTTATTTCACTGTAACATAGAAAACCTTGGAACTACTTTGATTTTGGAAGTATAAACATAAAAGGTGAAGCAAACGAATGTTTGCCTAACTGCTATGTGCGAGCTGCTTGGCTAGACCCTTTGCACGGGGGGTCAATTACATTCTGTTAAAGGGAGATGGTGGTAACTCCAGTTTCCAGTAAACAAAAGAAGTAGGCAAAGCTGCTGTACACTCACTGGTTAGTCTATTCAATATTGTTTTAAGGGAAGATGATCAAAAAAGAAGAATGGTGCCTGGTGGAATTTAGTCTTCTGTAGTATCAGAAGTATTTGCACAGCTGGAGACTGCAGGTATAGAACTACTCATTTTTCACTCAGGAGGGTTATGTGTAGGTGTGTTGGGCCAACAGAAGGGTCCTTTCTTCACATTTTGGTTATTAGAATCTGTTGGTTCTCAAATTCCATACCAGGTAGGCAAACATTCATTTCCTTTACCTTTCTATTCCCAACCAGAGATTGTGGTCTTTATGTGCAATTAGAGTCAATCTGTGACTGTCACTGTCCCTCTTTCACAAAATTAAGGAAGACATTGCAAGCATCCTCAAAAATTAAAATAGCAGAGGGAACTCCTAACTTTCCTGAACTTAAATTTGCCTGACTCCTCACACTAGCAACCCATCTCTAAGGCAGGCTTCTCCATTGCCAGCTCTAGCCTTCGTAACTGCCCTTCTCTCTTCCTCTAAGCCTCCTCCTCATTAGCAATAAAATATATATCCCAATGTAGAACCCAACTTAGTTCCCATCATCTTACCAGAAGTGCCCCCTACCCCCGCCCCAAGCACTCTAAGGGTGCTCTGGAAAGGTACTTGATCATTTGAAGACTATTTTTTTGCAGTAGGAGTGAGATACAATTTTAAGATCGCGATAAAATGCTGGGGACAAATTTCCTAAATTTCTCAAACTCTTTTGATGTAGCTCTAAATTTTACCATTAAAATATCCATTTGTGGTCACAGAAAAGGTGAAAATCAGCTTTCTGATTTGGTACTTATTACATGAGGTTGGTTACTTATAGAACTTACAAATAATGTTGTTTCAGTGGCTTTGTTTCATTATACTGGGTGGTCCATTTAAAACACTGTCAATACAACCCCAGTCCAAAAAAGGATTTACAAATGGGCCACTTTACACAACAGCTATGGTGAGGATTATATAAGTACTCTAAGGTTCAGAGTTTATTTTGTGTAAATACGGTCTAGACTCATTATCTTATCCCCAGTGTAAATACGGTCTAGACTCATTATCTTATCCCCATCTCCCAGCCTGGAGCAAGCGAGTCAGCGAGAGAGAGAGAGAGAGAGAGAGAGAGAGAGAGAGAGAGAGAGAGAGAGAGACAGAGAGAGAGAGAGACAGAGAGAGAGAGAGAGAGAGAAATAAACCTGGTAAGAAAACAGGAAGGAGATGCAGATTTGGGGGGAAAAATGCTAAAAGAAACATTTAAGGTGGCTCTCTGTGAATGACAAAGCTGGGCCGTAATACAGGTGGCTAAAGCTGAAAAGAAGCAGAATAAGGAGTCTGGACTGTACCTGAAAATCCCCAAGTCAGACCTGCAAGGCCAAGCCTTGCTCAGTAATGAACCCTCTGATATGTGGGGTGAAGCCATGAACAAGGTGGAAAGCCACACCTCCCAGGGAACTGAAGTCCCCAGGCTTGATACTCACGCTGACACTGTCCCCAAGACTGGCGAGCCCAGCCCCAGCAGCAGTCAATCCTCCCACCATAACGACATAGGCCAATCGATGACACTATTTGCCTGGGCCACCTACCAAAAAAAAAGATTCAAAATAAATAAGGACACTTTTGAGAAGAAAGGTAATTTCCTCTGTATTATTACTTCAGAAAAAATGTCAACCACACCCAACAATTTTCTACAAACTCTTTTATGCCTGCAGAAATTTAAGGTTAAAACACCTTCACAGAAATAGTTCTGCTATGATCTAATGTCAAATTTCAGACAGTTAAATACCCCATCCCCCAACACACAAGGGTAGGAGAAAAAACGGGAGGGAAAGATGCTTTCTTAAGTAGAAATAGCACCAGCTAACACCAACAATTCTCAAGGCTGCCACTCACAGGATAGTTTCTGAAGCTTGAAATAAAACAGATTCCTCAAAGACCCACACCTGTTACTGGGGTGAAAGCCAGGTTTGACTGATTCACCATAAACTGAAAAGTATTAAGTAAGACATGTCAAAGCAGAAAAAATTTCTGCCTCATATAAAAGGTGGATGGGGGAAGGAGCAGAAAGGTTTCTCAAAAATCAAGTGTAACAGAGCTCTTTTTGAGACATAACTGTGGCAGAAACAAAAAAAACAAAAAAGTACTAGAAAAAAGTCTAAATAAAACCAAGGAGAGTTTAAAGTGTAGCTGATATCTCAAGTATCCTTGTGGTTTGAAACGTGCTTAGATCAACAATTCATAGTATTTTCCTCTCTAATGTAAATAATGCCTAAAGAAAGTAATTTCAGGATACAGATTTATCCACCTGATTACACGTTGACACATTATTTGCTAAATTGTTTCCTTGTTTAGAGTCACACCTAAATGACTTTTTTCCTCTGGGTATCAACATTTTAATTTGCTGTTTTAGACATCTTTTTAAAGTTACAAAAAGCTATATGCATTCACATCATATGCATATCTTGTGATGGGTTTCTTGTTGCAAATATGTGTGCAAGAAATGCATAACATACCCAAATGTGAGCACAGAATTGCTTTTAAAAATAAAATAAAAAGGTCTACACTCTGGCTGCTATCACGTTTTCTTAAAGTCTCCTTATCTTTTTCAATTCCCCTTTTCTTTTACCTGCCTTTCTACCCCCAGGCCCAAAGTACAAAATAACCCCGAACTTTCTATTTCCTCCGACCAGGTAGTGAACAAGCAGCTGTGCTTTTTCTTGGCGCTCCACTGGTTCCCCTCCGTTCGCCTCCGGGTACAAGAAAGCGAATCAATTGTGGAATTGATTCGTTCCAAGATTAAAGGTAAAACAGGTGCGGCATCTTTCTTTAGGACTAGGCAGGGACCTACACGGAGGGGTGGGGGCAGAGGTCGCTGAAGGAAGGCGACCGGGCGACGGTGTGCGCCAGAGTAAAACCTCTTTTCGCAGCAGCCATCTGCACCCGGGACGAGCCTAGTCTGTAATTGCACAGAGGTGAGGGGGACCGAGCACACCCTCCCGACAGACCCAGTGTCTCTCACACACCGGAGCGGCCCCGGAGCGCGGGAGGACCGGCTGAGTGACAGCGGAGACGCGGCCCGAGGTTGTTGGAACCTGTCACAGCACGCCGCCGTCAGGCTCGCCCGAGTCTGAGGAGCGGCGCAGTGTGTGCGCTCTCACACACACATCCACACACTCATGCTCACATTCACGGAGCGCCCACCCTCCGGTCCTCATTTTGAGTCTCCTTCCCTCAAGAAAACCAAATGGAGAGGCCCACAAATCTCCCCCGTAGCCCAGTCGCTGACTCGCACCCACTCTCTGTGTGAGCGGCCCCGAGAGCCCTGAGCAGAGCCCGGGCCTCCCCCCGGGGGCCTGGAAGCTTCCCCAGTGAAGAGCCGTCTAGTTCAGGCGCGGGAGTTTCCCGGGTAAGGGATGTTTCGCGCGTCACCTCGGCGTAGGTGGCTAAACCGCGCCCTCAGAGCCGAGATCCCAGGCTCCAGCGGCTCCTCTCCCTCAGTCCTAATTCCCGAGCCGGGGCGAGTCGCCCTCGGGGGGCCGCGGATGGGGTCCCAGACTCGCAAGGGCGCGCCCTCTCCGCCTCGGGCGGGCACTCGGAGCCGCTGGACCGCTCTCCTCGCGCCACGCTGTGCGGTGGCCCAACTTCTGGATGGAGGAGACGCCTCTCTGACCACGAAACCCCGCGGGGAAAAGTGACCCAAGACAGTGAGTGTGAAATTAGCGCGGGAAGGAGGAGAGGGCGCCCCGGGGCCCAGCTCACCTCCCGTCGAACTCGGCGGCCGCCTGCAGGTAGAGCGAGGATACCAGCACCAGCGCCAGGAGAAAATCCATGTTGGGCAGCGGGTCCTGGGGCGCAGCGCAGTGGCGCGCGAGGAACAGGTTGGGGTGGTGGGCGCCGATGGGAGGCGCCCCTCTGAGAGTCTCGAGGAACCCCCAGCCCTCGCCGCCCGGGCTACTGCTGCCGCTCCCGGAGGACAGCGGCGAGGCGCGCGGCCGGAGCAGGTCTGCTGCGCGGCGCCCGGAGCCCCCTCCCGCTCCCTTCTAGCTAGGGGAGGCGCTGCAGGGGTAGCTGCACCGCCCGCGGGGAGGGGCGCCAGGGGCGGGCAGGGGGTGCGCGTGCGCCCGACTCGCCGCCCTCCCAGCCCCGGGCGAAGGGTGAGCGCGCTCCGCTCCTCCCGGGGGCCCAGCGGGGCAGGCAACTCGGGGGCAGGGGCGCTGCGGGACGGCAGTGGCTCTTGGGGGTTAGCCAAGCAGGGCGAGCCCCAGCCTGGGAGAAAAGTTGCAAACCCTCTCTGGGAGAGGGAAAGCAGGGTGCCCAGCAGGAAAGGGGAGTGGAGGAGGAAAGGAGCCCGAGGCGTAGGTGCACGCTCCGCAGGTTCCGCCCGAACAGGTGGTGACTGCAGGGGCGAGCAGTAGCTTTCACCGGAGGGCGGAGAAGCCCTAGAGCAGAGAGGTTTATGGGGCTGGAGCTGAGCAGTGTCTGCATTTACTAAAACCACAGCACGACTTGGACAAATTAGCGAAGGCAAACTCTGGGAGTTTGCTTTTCCCGCAGAGTTGGCAAAGGCATATTTTTTATTTTGTAACTAACCAAAAGAAATATTTGGCTCTCCAGTCGGGTTTTGAAGAAGAAATGAGCAGACTGTTTCTGTCTCTATCAGCTCAACTCCCGAGCACATTAGGACAGGACTGCCCCTCTAGGGATGAGTGCCTGCCAGAGAGGAAGGGCTGCTACTGCCTAGTAGTGTTGTGGTGCCTGATCTTGAGGGGATCACTTAGAAACCATTTTAAGTAATCATTGTTCAGTTGTTGCAGAGTAAAAAGTATTGTACTAAATGACTGTGTTCAAATGAAAACATGATTATCCTAAGATGTACATGAGCCCAATCAAGTCACCCCTCTTCCCAACCTTACCTCGAATGACAGCCTTGTGCAGTGATCATCTGTCATCTCCCGTACCTCTCAATGTCCTCATTTCTCTTCCTCCAGTCCATGGCCTCCTTGCCTTTCTTGCATGTTCCAGGCATGCCCCTGCCTTGGGGCCAGTAACTGGCTGTTTTCTCTATCTGGACCCAAATATCTACATGGCTCACACCCTCACTTCCTTCAGTCTTTGCTCAAATGTCACCTCTTCCAGGAGGCCAATCATGATCATCCTATTTAAAACTGCAACTTGCCCTCTGCAAATATCTACATGGCACACGCCCTCACTTCCTTCAGTCTTTGCTCAAATGTCACACCTCTTTGAAGAGGCCAGTCATGACCATCCTATTTAAACCTCTAACTTGCCCTCCTTCTGATGATCCTTGGCCTGTCCTACTTTGTCTTTTCTCCATACCACTCATCTTTTATATTACTATATAACTTGCATATTTTTTGTTTGTATGTTTTCTTTCCGCTAGAATGCAAGCTGTACAAAGGCAGGTATCTTTATCACCTAGAACACTGCCTGGCACATAGTAGGTGCTCATAAATGTTTATTCAATTCATTTGCTACATTACAAACGTTTTCCCCCCATCTTCATTTTCTTTTTGAGGTTTCTACAACTTCAAATTTTTAATGGAAAGTTCTGTGGTAGGGTGATTCACTATCCTGATCATTCAGTGTGTGTAAAAACAGGAATTTTCTTCAAGGAAAGGAAAAATAATGGTTTCAACTTAAATGGCTCTTTGATTTCTAAGTTGTTTTCAGTTAGCAAAACAAGTTTCTATTTTAATCTCAAGAAAGATCCATGCCAATTCAGGCTTGGGACATTATTTTAGGCAAACAGCTTGGTGTCATCCATTTCAGGTCCTTCTAATGAAGTCCAAAAATGTAGGAGTCAAAATATTTTTTCTGCAGAAAATCAAATTTTTGTAAGTGTAGGCATGGTTCCAGGTTCCAGTGGCTACTCCTTAGCTGTTTTTGTTTGTTGGTTGGTTAGTTGGTGCCTGGGTTAGATTTACAAATAAACCTCACTGTGTGCAATGGATGATTAGAGAGAAAGGGGGTAATATACGGCTAAAAAACTGGAGATCTAAGGAAAAGACGAAGAGTGGTGGATGAAAACAGGATAAATAACTGGAGGGAAAAGTGTAATGCCCCATCTACATGCGTCTTTCTTTTGTTTTCCATATATTTGCTTTGGCCTAGAAAACACTCCTTCTTCATTTAAATTTAGCCTCCTCTTCATTCCTCTTCCTTCTTCATTTGGACAATCTCCCCTTACCCTTTGAGTTTAAATTTAGCCGACAGTCCCCCAGGAAGCCTTTTCTGACTTTTTGATTGGCTGAGACTAGTGTTTTATATACTTCTATTACACTTAGCATGCTCTAAGGTAGCTCTTAATGTATTGTGTTGTCATTGCCTCCCTACCACTCTGGGTCCCGTGAGACATTAGTCTAACCAATAGAAGGGCCAGGGCAGTGTCTGTCTTGTCACTATATCCCTTATCCCCAGCACAATGCCTGGCACAAAGCTTAAGTTCAGCAAAGATTAAACAGATGGATTGGATTAAATTGAATTCTGCCTGTGAACTTTAGCTTCTCCCTTCAGTAAAATGTAGCTAATTATATCAGTCTTTGTTAAATCATGGAATAAGGAGAATCTAAAGGATTTCCAAGGTCTAACTGGTTATTATGCTGCAACTATGACCACCAATGATCATTCCGAAAAAGAGGCAGAGTTGCCATGGGAGTGACATTTCATTATCTCAGTCTTAAAAACAAATGAGCAAGAATGAGATCAAAACAGCTAGCTTTTAGCAATAACTACTTTTTCAGGAGGACAAACTTTTGATAGGCTTCTTACCAGGTAATGACACCTTGCAGGTAGTAATCTCAATTTTCTCGTGCACAAATAATTTTCTGTGACCATTCATAATGTGATACAGATAAATAGCAAAACAGAATCAAACAAACACAACTTCAGACCTTTCAAATTTAGAAGCTCATAGTCTTTTTTCTTTTCAGTAAATATTTATTAAGGACCTATAATGTATTGGCCATTTCTAGCTAGGTGCTAGGATTTCAGCTAAGGACAAGACAAAGTCCTGCCCTGAAAGGGTTTACATTCCAGTGGGGGAGCAATACAGAAGGACTATGTAGAGAAAAAAGGAGTAAGGAGAGGATAAAGGGAGGTTACGGTTGTAGAAAATGATGGAGGTGTGATTGTAGATGGAGTGCTTTGGTCACCTTTGGGGAAGTAACATTTGAGCAGAGACTGAATGAAGTGAGGGAGAGAGCCACGTGAGGGTGTGGGATGCAGCCCATGTCCACGCAGACAGTAGAGCGGTGTGTTTTCTCTATCAAGCTCTGAAATGACTTCTCATAGTTGGTGTCATACAAACCATTAAACAAGATATTGCTCCCTCTCTTCCCACACCCCATACACAGTAGTGGCACAGGCATAGGATGACTGCTTTTAAAAGCTCCTATTAAGATAAAGATACACATAGCTTCTTGTTCACAGCAATTTTGACTCACAGCTGAGCAAGAATTATGGAGACTCTCTGTTCTGGCAGTGCAGAAAGTGCCTTGGTTAGACATTTGGGATACTCTGCTTCTCTTAGAGGAACTACCTTGTCCATAATTTTCCATAGCCATATCAGAAGTGACTGTTACAGAAAATGCCTTCCTAGGGGGCTGCATATCATTCACAACCCCTTTTCTGCTGATAAAAATTTGAAGGCTTGAGTATTGCTTTAAGGAGCTAACAGATTCATGGTTTCTGTGGCAACTAGATTTCCTTAAAACCGTAATAGGCTTCTGATCTAATTGCTTCCAGTCAGTTGCTTGTGGAAATAACAGCAAAGTCTTTTCTAGTCCTAGTTCTGAAGGCTGCTCTATTTCTTTGCTTCCTTGTATCCATACTTTACTTTCTCATCTTAATGGAGGGCCACCTTGAGGCTAGCTGAAATAATAGTGTTGCTTAGGAGGGCGATACCTTACTCTGATCCTTGCCACAAGGCTTGGATCCCTGCATTTTTATTAATGTTTGGGTCACAAAAACAGCTGTCTTCTTCAGCCCTGAGAGGCCCTTAATTTCTGGACATTCTCACTTCCTTCCATTTCTGCTTGCAAAGCAGCCAGTTCTTGCCTGAGTTCATCTTTCTTATGATACCTTACTTAAATCAACAAAGAACAGTGAAGTACGCTAACATTCTCATTTTTACAACTATATTCCTTTGACTTGGATATGTGATGTGCCTTCCAAGTTATTATAGATAACAATTTTATGAAATAGCATAAGCATCACCAGCTTTCTAGCCTACACAGAGCAGCTATAGTTATGCCTTGTAAAACCACAGTCCAACTGAATAATCCCTCCAATGACTTCCCATCATAAACAGAGCAAAAAAACTCTTTGCTCTGCCCCCCTACCTATATCTTTAATTGCAAATTTGCCTGACCATTAAGAAAATGCAGGGTTTTAAATTAAGAAAGCATCTTTTCTGGTACCAATTTCTATGTCAGTTAAGGTGAAAGGTTAAAATGCTACAACAAAGAGCCCCAAAATATAATGACTTTCAAAAGATAGAAATTATTTCTTCACCATGTAACAGTCTGAAGAGAGTGTATCAGGTTGGTGGACAGCTCTGTTCCATGAGGTCTTTCAGGTCCCAGCCTGACAGTGACTCTCTCACCTTCACAGTCACTCTAATAGTTACCATTCTAGCTAGTGAGATGGAGGAAAAGGAAGTATGGAGGAGGCACAATTGTTCTTGTAAGGACTAGAGCCAGGAAATAGCACCTATTAATGCTGTTCCCTTTCACTGGAAAGAACTAGATCAGATAGTCACATGCAATTGCAAGGGAGACTGGAAAATATAGCCTAGTCATTAACTCAACCTTCTATCACTATGGAAGAAGGAAGAGCAGAATTTAGAGAGCAACTAATAGTCACCACCACAGACTATTATGTGAAGTTATACTTCAGACAAGTGAAGTGTAAGATGTCTTATAGACATTCAAGTGGAGAAGTCAAATAGGCAGTATGCTGCACAACTCTGCAACTCGGAGAGCCTAGGGCTCAAGATGTAAATTGTTAGTCACAACAGTATTTAAGTCCCTGGGACTGGATGAGAGACAGTGAATGTAGATGTAGAATGAAGAGAGTGGAGGGAGAGAGAAGAAGTCTAATTAAGAGAACTAAGGACTAAGAACTAAGGATGTTCCAAAATTTAAGTAGGGAAGAAACCCAGGAAAATGAAAAGGAGGAGATAGGGGTGTAATAGGAAACTCAAGCAAGTATATTGTCTTATAAGCCAAAGATAGAAAGGTTAAATAAGATCAGGACTAAGAAGTGATCATCAGACTTGACAAGGAGATCACTGATGATCTTGATAAGGCTAGTTTTAGTGGGATGGTGAGGATGAGAGTCTGATTCTACTGTCTTGAAAAGAGAAAATGACTTCAAAAGCAAAGTACTTTAGAGGTGAGACAAGATTAGATTCAGTGTTCAAGTCAAAATAAAAAATTATAAATAACAACTGAAATTACAGAATATCTAGAATGTATTGATAAAAATTATATTTAGCTATCTATGCATGGCTACGTCTGTTGCTATATTGCTGGTTAAAATGGCCCCCTGATTGGTAAACCACATTTAAACAGGAAGAGCCAAATACACCTCTTAGCAAACCACTGGGTCTCCTGTGTACAGTGACTCTTATGGGGCATATCCCTTGAAGGGACTCTGGGCACTATGCCTAAGGGGTTGTCACGAGAGATGCTCCAGAGGGGCATGAGTCTATTAAGCCAAGACAGTTTCCCACCTGTGTAAAGTGGGTCACATCTTACACCTGAGCTGTACTGCTGTGTAAAGTGTTCCACCAAAGAGACACAATTGATGCTACACTGGCAAACTGTGGTGGCTGTCCTGTATCCTTCTGTATAAATAGATGCCAAATGTAGCCATGATAGTCTCATGAGCCTGAAAGTTTACTTAAACCTAAGAAGACCTCCTAAGGGTGCTACAGACCCTATGATCAGCACTATATAATCCAGATTAAAACAAAACAAAACAAAAACTCTATTCATAGAGAGAGATGGATCTATTGAGATATATTTCTATTGGAAACAAAAAGCCAGAATACTGTATAATGGTGAAATCTTGGGAGAATTCTTATTCATGTCAGGAACAAGAAGAGGGTGCTGATATCACTATTTTTTATTTGAAATATCCTGGAAATATTATTTGATGCAATTAGACAAGGAAAATATATATAAATACTTGAAAGCAAGAGGCCAAGTTCTCATTATCTGAAGATGATATGATTATATAACTAGACCATATAGTCATTTAAAACCTATTGGAAAAAAAATAAGAATATTCAATAAGCTACATAGTTATAAAAATTGGTAATTTAAATATGGGTGAATACACATCTATATGAAAAATTTAAAAATATGAAAAAATTACCAACTCAGAAGACTGATCTTCAGAATTTTATGCTGGCTTTCTCTTTACAAACTGAAAGCATTTGATATGGTTTGGCTGTGTCCCCACCCAAATCTCATCTTGAATTGTAACTCCCACAATTCCCACATGTCATGGGAGGAACCTGGTGGGAGGTGATTGAATATGGGGCAGGTCTTTCCTGCACTGTTCTCATGATAGTGAATGAGTCTCATGAGATCTGATGGTTTTAAAAACAGGAATTTATCTGCACAAGCTCCCTTTTTGTGTGTGCCATCCATGTAAGACATGACTTGCTCTTCCTTGCCTTCCACCATGATTGTGAGGCTTCCCCAGCCATGTGGAACTGTAAATCCAATTAAACCACTTTGTTTTCAAAATTACCAAGTCTTGGTTATGTCTTTATCAGCAGCGTGAAAATGGACCAATACAGCATTGATCTTTTGGTCTAATGTAGCACATATGAGAAATCAACAGCTTCAGGCACAGCTATTACTGTGGATGTTTCTCACCTATCTTCAAATAATTTTGCCAAAGACAATAGAAGACCTTATTTAATAGACCTTTAATACCATTTTAATATCACAAGAAGAATTGAAATAGGCAGAAATGGCTGACCAACAAATAAGAAAGCAGTTTCAAGTGTTACAAAGTAGTTATATTTTAACCTTTCAGCCTTTTAAAAATTGTGTCAATGATCTGATACTTTTTTTAATTTTCGATTTATGTTTTTATTTGTAAAATTGGAAGATTATTCTATGTTGACAATAAATTTTTAGTATCATAAAACCAGCAGTGGTAAAGCTAGTTATATCCTGTAACACACTACTCCCAACATCTTTGGCTTAACACAATAAAAATTCCTTGCAATAGTGCAAAGTTTAATGCAGGTTGGACAGCTCTCCTAAACAAGTCTCCATAAGTGGCTACTCAAGGATCTGAGCTCCTTCCATCATTCTCTCTTTTAGGAGTTCTTTTGTAGACACATGGACAAGGGAGAGAGAGAACATAGGCAATCAGACCTGGGGATCTGTGGCCTGCCATTTGCCACTGCCTAGTCACAGGGCCCCCAACTTAACTGCAAGGGAAACTGGAATATGTATTTTTCTAGTGTGCCAACGAGGAAAGTGAAAACTTTTAATTGAATGCATAACCTTCTTTTTTCCATGTCCTTCAAGAAGCCAGCGAACTTAGTATATTTAATTACTGTCAGAAAAACTAAACATTATGACATTACTGAAAAAAATATTTTCTTTGAAAATCATTCTTCAAATTCCATTTAGTCAAAGACTCTCATCATACAGCAAGTCAATATATTTACTGGGGAATTCTTAACATGTAACTCACCCAGTTAAACTAGGTAAATTGCATAAAGTACGTAGCCCCATACATGACACATGTAGTAAGTACTCAACAAATATTGTTTGCCTCCTTAACTCAAGTGGAGACTTTCCTGCTGGAAATTCAATGGTTCTCTACTCAGGTTTTTCTATTTCCAAGGCAGACCATTGCAAACACTTACATTAACATTTTCTGTGCCTAAACCACTCTTGCATGTTGTGTTGTGAATCACTAATCACAACTGAATTTTTAATCAAAGTATTTGTGCTAATTTAAAGTTGCCTAAAACACCCTTGCATCCCACTGCTACATTGAGAAAGTACTAGCTAAGCTTTTCACCTTTCATAATAAATTGTCGTTCTACCCTTCTGGACTCCAAAACGTGCATCTGGTCTCAAACAACACAGAAGACCTATTTTTCTGACAAAACTTTAGTGCTTGTAAAAATCCTTGTTAAAATAAATGATATTTATGGAAGTGAGTCTAGATAGGAGATACATTGCCAACTCCTCTGGGTTTCACAGGTATTAACCTTTGATAAAGCTAGTCTCTTATAGCTAAATTTAGAACTTGGAAGACTCTTCTCTTACTGAGTTGGACTTTAGCTTTTATGAGCTTTTTTTTTTTTTTTTTTTTACAAGAAATAGTCAAATAAGATCTGCCTATGTACCTTCTGAAAGACTGTTGTGGATGTTATCTGATGCATCCATCTTGATCCCATAAGGTAATTCATTTCTTACAGAATTTAGGGCTACGAAAAATTCTGTCTCTTTGAGAAAATGTTACGTCTTCTCTTTTCTCGTTAAACGTACTATATCAAACTTTCCTTTTAAAAGTGGATTCCAGAAAACTATGGCAACAGTAAAACCATCAGTGGTTTCCAGGGTTGGAGAGAGGGATGACTAGGCAGAAAACAGAGAATTTTTAGGGTAATGGAACTATTCCGTATGATACTATAATGGTAGATACATGTCATTCTATATTTGCCAAAACCCAATATATATTTGTAGAATATACAACACCAAGAGTAAACCTAATGTAAACTATGCACTTCAGGTGGTAATCATGTGGCAATGTAGGTTCATCATTTATAACAAATGTACCATGTTGATAATGGGAGAGGTTGTGTATGAGAGCACACAAAGAATATGGGAAGATTCTGTCCTTTCTGCTCAATTTTCTTGTGAACCTAAAATCATTCCAAAAAAGTCTTTTTTTTTTTAAGTGACTGCCAGGAATCTCAGAGTTAAATTCTGTCACAAGAATTATTTTAACACTTAGGGTAGGTTAGCATGTGTGTTCTTTCCCTGCTTGCCCTGGTCTTGATTTTCTCTCTGTTTTATTAGCCTTATTTTATATGTTGATTTCTTGAGGATTTTCTCCAAGTCTATTTTAGAAAGAAGCAGGACTAAAATAAACTCAATAAGCAGAAGATAAAAACATAGTCCCTCAACTGTTAACATTTGAGTTTGATTTCAAGGCTCCAGCTTAGTTGTTTATTTGTTATTTTGGTATTTCCTATCAGTTTTTCTTTTTTTCCTGTTTCTTTTTTTTATTATTATTATACTTTAAGTTCTAGGGTATGTGTGCACAACGTGCAGGTTTGTTACATATGTATACATGTGCCATGTTGGTGTGCTGCACCCATTAACTCATCATTTACATTAGGTATATCTCCTAATGCTATCCTTCTCCCCTCCCCAAATCCCATGACAGGCCGTGGTGTGTGATGTTCCCCATCCTGTGTCCAAGTGTCCTCATTGTTCAGTTCCCACCTATGAGTGAGAACATGTGGTGTTTGATCTTCTCTCCTTGCGATAGTTTGCTGAGAATGATGGTTTCCAGCTTCATCCATGTCCCCACAAAGGACATGAACTCATCCTTTTTTATGGCAGAATAGTATTCCATGGTGTATATGTGCCACATTTCCTTAATCCAGTCTATCATTGATGGATATTTGGGTTAGTTCCAAGTCTTTCCTATTGTGTATAGTCCCGCAATAAACATATGTGTGCATGTGTCTTTATAGCAGCATGATTTATAATCCTTTGGGTATATACCCAGTAATGCGATGGCTGGGTCAAATGATATTTCTAGTTCTAGATCCTTGAGGAATCGCCACACTGACTTCCACAATGGTTGAACTACTTTACAGTCCCACCAACAGAGTAGAAGTGTTCCTATTTCTCCACATCCTCTCCAGCACCTGTTGTTTCCTGACTTTTTAATGATCGCCATTCTAACTGGTGTGAGATGGTATCTCATTGTGGTTTTGATTTGCATTTCTCTGATGGCCAGTGACAATAAGCATTTTTTCATGTGTCTGTTGGCTGCATAAATGTTTTCTTTTGAGAAGTGTCTGGTCATATCCTTTGCCCACTTTTTGATGGAGTTGTTTGATTTTTTATTACTATTATACTTTAAGTTCTTGTAAATTTGTTTAAGTTCTTTGTAGATTCTGGATATTAGCCCTTTGTCAGATGGGTAGATTGTTTTAGTCATGAAGTCCTTGCCCATGCCTATGTCCTGAATGGTATTGCCTGGGTTTTCTTCTAGGGTTTTTATGGTTTTAGGTCTAACATTTAAGTCTTTAATCCACCTTGAATTAATTTTGGTATAAGGTGTAAGGAAGAGATACAGTTTCCGCTTTCTACATATGGCTTGCCAGTTTTCCCAGCACCATTTATTAAATAGGGAATCCTTTCCGCATTTATTGTTTTTGTCAGGTTTGTCAGAGATCAGATGGTTGTAGATGTGTGATGTTGTTTCTGAGGGCTCTGTTCTGTTCCATTGGTCTATATCTCTATTTTGGTACCAGTACCATGCTGTTTTGCTTACTGTAGCCTTGTGTTATAGTTTGAAGTCAGGTAGCATGATGCCTCCAGCTTTGTTCTTTTGGCTTAGGATTGACTTGGCAATGTGGGCTCTTTTTTGGTTCCATATGAACTTTAAAGTAGTTTTTTCCAGTTCTGTGAAGAAAGTCATTGGTAGCTTGATGGGGATGGCATTGAATCTATAAATTACCTTTGGCAGTATGGCCATTTTCACGATATTGATTCTTCCTACCGACGAGCATGGAATGTTCTTCCGTTTGTTTGTGTCCTCTTTTATTTCATTGAGCAGGAGTTTGTAGTTCTCCTTGAAGAGGTCCTTCACATCCCTTGTAAGTTGGATTCCTAGGTATTTTATTCTCTTTGAAGCAATTGTGAATGGGAGTTCACTCATGATTTGGCTCTCTGTTTTTGGTGTATAAGAATGCTTGTGATTTTTGCATATTGATTTTGTATCCTGAGACTTTGCTGAAGCTGCTTATCAGCTTAAGGAGATTTTGGGCTGAGACGATGGGGTTTTCTAAATATACAGTCATGTCATCTGCAAACAGGGACAATTTGACTTCCTCTTTTCCTAATTGAATACCCTTTATTTCTTTCCCCTGCCTGATTGCCCTGGCCAGAACTTCCAACACTATGTTGAATAGGAGTGGTGAGAGAGGGCATCCCTGTCTTGTGCCAGTTTTCCAAGGGAATGCTTCCAGTTTTTGTCCATTCAGTATGATATTGGCCGTAGGTTTGTCATAAATAGCTCTTACTATTTTGAGAAACATCCCATCAATACCTAGTTTACTGAGAGTTTTTAGCATGAAGTGCTGTTGAATTTTGTCAAAGGTCTTTTCTGCATCTATTGAGATAATCAAGTGGTTTTTGCCTTTGGTTCTGTTTATATGATGGATTACATTTATTGATTTGTGTATGTTGAACCAGCCTTGCATCCCAGGGATGAAGCCCACTTGATCATGGTGGATAAGCTTTTTGATGTGCTGCTGGATTCAGTTTGCCAGTATTTTATTGAGGATTTTTGCATCGATGTTCATCAGGGATGTTGGTCTAAAATTCGCTTTTTTTGCTGTGTCTCTGCCAGGCTTTGGTATCAGGATGATGCTGGCCTCATAAAATGAGTTAGGGAGGATTCCCTCTTTTTCTATTGATTGGAATAGTTTCAGAAGGAATGGTACCAGCTCCTCTTTGTACCTCTGGTAGAATTCGGCTGTGCGTCTGTCTGGTCCTGGACTTTTTTTGGTTGGTAAGCTATTAATTATTACCTCAATTTCAGAGCCTGTTATTGGTCTATTCAGGGGTTCAACTTCTTCCTGGTTTAGTCTTGGGAGGGTGTATATGTCCAGGAATTTATCCATTTCTTCTAGATTTTCTAGTTTATTTGCGTAGAGGTGTTTATAGTATTCTCTGATAGTAGTTTGTATTTCTGTGAGATCGGTGGTGATATCCCCTTTATCATTTTTTATTGGGTCCATTTGATTCTTCTCTCTTTTCTTTTTTATTAGTCTTGCTAGTGGTCTATCAATTTTGTTGATCTTTTCAAAAAACCAGCTCCTGGATTCATTGATTTTTTGAAGGGTTTTTTATGTCTCTATTTCCCTCAGTTCTGCTCTGATTTTAGTTATTTCTTGCCTTCTGCTAGCTTTTGAATGTGTTTGCTCTTGCTTCTCTAATTCTTTTAATTGAGTTGTTAGGGTGTCAATTTTAGATCTTTCCTGCTTTCTCTTGTGGGCATTTAGTGCTATAAATGTCCCTCTACACACTGCTTTAAATGTGTCCCAGAGATTCTGTTATGTTGTGTCTTTGTTCTCATTGGTTTCAAAGAACATCTTTATTCTGCCTTCATTTTGTTATGTACCCAGTAGTCATTCAGGAGCAGGTTGTTCAGTTTCCATGTAGTTGAGCGGTTTTGAGTGAGTTTCTTAATGCTGAGTTCTAGTTTGATTGCACTCTGGTCTGAGAGACAGTTTGTTATAATTTCTGTTCTTTTACATTTCCTGAGGAGTACTTTACTTCCAACTATGTGGTCAATTTTGGAATAAGTGCAATGTGGTGCTGAGAAGAATGTATATTCTGTTGATTTGGGGTGGAGAATTCTGTAGATGTCTATTAGGTTTGCTTGGTGCAGAGCTGAGTTCAATTCCTGGATATGCTTGTTAACTTTCTGTCTCGTTGATCTGTCTAATGTTGACAGTGGGATGTAAAAGTTTCCCATTATTATTGTGTGGGAGTCTAAGTTTCTTTGTAGGTCTCTAAGGACTTGCTTTATGAATCTAGGTGCTCCTGTATTTGGTGCATATATATTTAGGATAGTTAGCTCTTCTTGTTGAATTGATCCCTTTACCATTATGTAATGGCCTTCTTTGTCTCTTTTGATCTTTGTTTGTTTAAAGTCTGTTTTATCAGAGACTAGGATTGCAACCCCTGCTTTTTTATTGTTTTCCATTTGCTTGGTAGATCTTCCTCCATCCCTTTATTTTGAGCTGATGTGTGTCTCTGCACATGAGATGGGTTTCCTGAATACAGCACACTGATGGGTCTTGACTATCCAATTTGCCTGTCTGTGTCTTTTAATTGGAGCATTTAGCCCATTTACATTTAAGGTTGATATGGTTATGTGTGAATTTGATCCTGTCATTATGATGTTAGCTGGTTATTTTGCTCGTTAGTTGATGCAGTTTCTTCCCAGCATCGATGATGTTTACAATTTGGCATGTTTTTGTAGTGGCTGGTACCGGTTATTCCTTTCCATGTTTAGTGCTTCCTTCAGGAGCTCTTGTAGGGCAGGCCTGGTGGTTACAAAATCTCTCAGCATTTGCTTGTCTGTAAAGGATTTTATTTCTGCTCCACTTATGTAGCTTAGTTTGGCTGTATATGAAATTCTGTGTTGAAAATTCTTTAAGAATGTTGAATATTGGCCCCCACTCTTTTCTGGCTTGTATAGTTTCTGCCAAGAGTTCAGCTGTTAGTCTGATGGGCTTCCCTTTGTGAGTAACCCAACCTTTCTCTCTGGCTGCCCTTAACATTTTTTCCTTCATTTCAACTTTGGTGAATCTGACAATTATGTGTCTTGGAGTTGCTCTTCTCGAGAAGTATCTTTATGGTGTTCTCTGTATTTCCTGAATTTGAATGTTGGCCTGCCTTGCTAGGTTGGGGAAGTTCTCCTGGATAATATCCTGAGGAGTGTTTTCCAACTTGGTTCCATTCTCCCCATCACTTTCAGGTACACCAATCAGATGTGGAGTTGTTCTTTTCACATAGTCCCATATTTCTTAGAGGCTTTGTTTGTTTCTTTTTATTCTTTTTTCTATAAACTTCTCTTCTCGCTTCATTTTGTTCATTTGATCTTCAATCACCGATACCCTTTCTTCCACTTGATTGAATCAGCTACTGAAGCTTGTGCATGCATCACCTAATTCTCGTGCCATAGTTTTCAGCTCCATCAGGTCATTTATGGTCTTCTCTTTGCTGTTTATTCTAGTTAGCCATTCGTCTAATCTTTTTTCAAGGTTTTTAGCTTCTTTGCGATGGGTTCAAACATCCTCCTTTAGCTCGGAGAAGTTTGTTATTACCAATCGTCTGAAGCCTTCTTCTTTCAACTCGTCAAAGTCATTCTCCATCCAGCTTTGGTCTGTTGCTGGTGAGGAGCTGCATTCCTTTGGAGGAGAAGAGGCGCTCTGATTTTTAGAATTTTCAGCTTTCTGTTCTGGTTTCTCCCCATCTTTGTGGTTTTATCTACCTTTGGTCTTTGATGATGGTGACATACAGATGGGGTTTTGGTGTGGATGTCCTTTCTGTTTGTTAGTTTTCCTTCTAACAGTCAGGATCCTCAGCTGCAGGTCTGTTGGAGTTTGCTGGAGGTCCACTCCAGACCCTGTTTGCCTGGGTATCACCAGAGGAGGCTGAAGAACAGCAAATATTGCAGAATGGCAGATGTTGCTGCCTGATCCTTCCTCTGGAAGCTTTGTCTCAGAGGGGCACCCAGCTGTATGAGGTGTCAGTCAGCCCCTACTGGGAGGTGTCTCCCAGTTAGGCTACTCAGGGGTCAGGGACCTACTTGAGGGGGCAGTCTGTCCGTTCT
Source organism: Homo sapiens (assembly GCF_000001405.40). NCBI lineage: Eukaryota > Metazoa > Chordata > Mammalia > Primates > Hominidae > Homo > Homo sapiens. Next base: position 105,880,828 of record NC_000004.12, on the reverse strand, counting down.
CAGATCTCAAACTCTGTGCTGGGAGAACCACTACTCTCTTCAAAGCTGTCAGACAGGGATGTTTACGTCTGCAGAAATTTCTGCTGCCTTTTGTTCAGCTATGCCCTACCCCCAGAGGTGGAGTCTACAGAGGCAGGCAGGCCTCCTTGAGCTGTGGTGGGCTCCACCCAGTTCAAGCTTCCTGGCAGCTTTGTTTACCTACTGAAGCCTCAGCAATGGCAGACGCCCCTTCCGCAGCCTTGCTGCCACCTTGCAGTTGGATCTCAGGCTGCTGTGCTAACAGTGAGCGAGGCTCCATGGGCATGAGATCCTCTGAGCCATGCGCAGGATATAATCTCCTGGTGTGCCATTTGCTAAGACCGTTGTAAAAGTGCAGTATTAGGGTGGAAGTGTCCCGATTTTCCAGGTACCATCTGTCATGGCTTCCCTTGGCTAAGAAAGGGAATTCCCCGACCCCTTTAGCTTCCCGGGTGAGGTGATTCCCTGCCCTGCTTTGGCTCACGCTCTGTGGGCTGCACCCACTGTCCGACAAGCCCCAGTGAGATGAACCCGGTACTTCAGCTGGAAATGCAGAAATCTCCAGTCTTCTGCATCGCTCACGCTGGAAGCTGTAGACTGGAGCTGTTCCTATTCGGCCATCTTGGAACCTCCTCCTTTTTTCCCTGTTTCTTAATACAACTTCTGTTCTTAGGAAAAAATTTGAAATGTCTGATTGTACCAGCTTTCCTATATGCAGGTATTGCACATTTATAACAGTTCACCCTTAAGGGCCCCTTGTTTAAAAGGTAAAATCTGTGTCTCACAGAATAGATTGCCTTTCCCTAGACAAAAATAGCAAGTAAAATTCCAAGATTTCACACCTCTTTACTGGAAAGATATTTGTGCATAATCTACATCAGTTAAGACTACTTTTACTTGTTCTGTTGAAGGTGGAAAAAACTAAACACCATTCTATACACAGCTTGAGCTATCTGATCTATTGTATGAGCAAGACCTTAGTCTCCAGTGCAAATAATCTGAAGTGTAAAATTCATTGAAATTGAGAAGTTGGAGGATATTGGTAAATTAATGTTTTTCATTATAGTATCTTTAACTGTGGTAATGTGCCTATTAACTGCAATTATTTGCAAAATAATTTCATCAAAGAAATCACATCATCTTAGAAGTATTATCTCATCTTCCAAAATGTATGTCTAGGGGTACAGTGTGATTCTGAACAATTTTCCTTAATAAAAAATTAATGCAGGACAGTACTTTAGGGTCTGTCAAATTGCAGATTTAACCACACTCATAAATACCAGCTGAACTCTGACTAATCATTTACCCTCTCTGAAACTCAGTTTCATCTTCTATTATATAGAAAAACTAATATGTGTCTTGCAGAGTTATTGTAAAAATTTAGTGAGTATATAATGCCATCACTACAGCGTCTGTTACATAGATGACATTCCATTAACAGTAGCTGTAAAGTTTAACATAGGAAGTATAACTCCAGCATTTATTATCCAGATCACAGTGTATGCTGTGGCATATGTGAATATAAAGCAATGGAGCATCTGTACTTCTATTTCTTTCCACAGCATCTAGATAGGAAGGAATGCTGGACTGTTTGTGCATTCTCATGAGTCTCTCTCTCTCTCTCAGCATAGGGTTTTTGTTTTTGTTTTTGCTTTGTCTCTTACTATGATATTAATAGAAGCTGGAAGCAGAGGTTCCTGTCTTTCAACAACAGGTATGAATACTGCTTGCAGAATAGCCAGTGTAAGCCTTAGGAAGCTTCTGGAGAAGGAGGGAGTCACCTGAACTAGAGACATAAAGAGTTTATTATTTTTAATGAAATAGGGATGAAAGTGGCACATACCAATTCATAAGAGAGAAAAGAAAAGCCTGGCTGGACTTGCTATCCAGGTTTAGCTTCTAGGAGCAGAGCCAAACGCTGCTTGCCAGGCAGGAGATTTCTCTCAACTCATGTCAATCCCTGGTGCAATCAGCTCAAATGTCTTTATAGTCTTGAAGAGAGATTTATTTTTTCAATAGATATCTATTGCATAGCACGTGTGTGTTGTACTGAAACAGGACAATTCCACCAGGACAAAGTTGAAAACATCCTAATTTGTGACTGTTAAAACAGCATGCACCTTGGCTGTGAAAAATCATAGTTCTAGAGATGCCAAGAAAAAGCAAATGATCACAGAAATTTTAGGCTATTCCATTTGGCTATAAGGATATTCTTCAGAACCTGTGCAGTCATGTGTATTTTCTCCATGAGGTGAATTCCCAATTTATCTATTTGCCACAATTATTTTTAACACATTTTTTTCTATTTTTTTTTGAAAGAAACTTGTTTGTATCCTCCCAAATTCATTTACTCTTACCTTAGATTAAAAGATAAATGATTCCTTATCCCTCAAATTGAAAGGTAAATGAATTAATAGTCCTTTGCTGGGTACCAAATTAGTGGAGGCTTGACAAAAACACTAGAGCTTATTTAGCAATGCTTGGAAGAAGTAGTTCAGCATGAAAAGAATAGGCCTACTGCTCGGAAAAGAGAGTAAATGTTAACAGATGCTATGAAGAAGGCATAGTTACTCAACTCCTACCATTCTTCTTCATCAAGTAAAAGGAAGCATCTTCACTTTGAAAAGAGTAGGGCGAATGTAAAGTGACTCATAAATTTTACAACTCACTCTCTATAAAGGAATTGAATTACAAAATATGATGGTCTGACTTTCTCTAAGGCCATATATATCTAATCCAATACTGTAATTAACATTAAGTTTAAATGTCGGTAGCTTAAAAGAATGAACAGAAATCTTGGATGGAAGTATTTCAAAGAAGATGCCATTATCAAATACTCCCTTGCTGTGGATAGAGTTAGACATGTAGAATTTTTAAGAGAATATGGCTTCACTCTGCCTTAGAGCTCATTTGGTTGCAAGAAACAAACTCATTCTGGCCACTTAAAATACAGGAGGATTTATTATACAGATGCTCCTCATGGAATTCAGGAGACGAAGGATCGTTGAGTGCCATGGGGCATCAGATTTTCAAGAGAAAAATAATCAGACTGACTTGGCTCATGGATCAGATGTTCACCACCCCCCCCTTTTTTTTTTTAAATCAGAGAGTGTTGGGTTTATTTGGTATAAATGTAGGAAGAAGGGCTCACTGCTAATGTTATAGTTGAGGGAGAAAGAGAGGATGCTCTTGAAGAAAACTGGGAAGAAATCTCACAATGTCTCTCTAATCACTACGATCAGGACTTAGTGTTTCAGTATCCTGGAATCCTCACAAAATCTTAAGTATTAAGGACAAGTTCAAATACTGGAACAGGTTTTGGCAAAAGCTTCTTAAGGGAAAAGTGGATATTTTAAATATATGTAAACTATTCCCCACCAAATGAGGCTTAAACTCATACGTTTCTACCAATGAAATGACATTCTAAAACTGAAATAAAACTTTTAGTGACACATTTGAACATTAACCAAAGATTTTTAGGAAAAACACCAATGAAGTTGTATATTTAAATCTAATAGAATGTGACACATTAGGAAAAGAACATTAAATTCATGTACATGCAATGAACAATTATCAATAAATGATTTTCTGATTTTTGTTTTTGTTTTAGAGACAGGGTCTCTCTATGTTGCCTAGGCTGGCCTTGAACTCCTAGGCTCAAGTGATCTTCCACCTCAGACTCCTGAGTAGCTGGGACTTCAAGAACGCTACTGTGTCCTGTCTCAACATATGATTTTAAAGCAAAATGGCTGTTATGATGTAGCTTAACTGAGACAATGTGAAATCTTCCAGAGGAGTCAGCAGAGACTACTGACACCTTCACCTATGTGGGTTAGAGTAAGCTTCTAATCAGAACAGGCCCTGGATCAAAAAGTTCCTAGAGAAGCAGCTTCTGCTGCTGCCATCTGCCTGAAACAGATTCAAAGCTCAGAGCTAAATCCCAGCCTGCCCAGATTTGATGGCCAGACAGAGGGGGCATCAAAGGGTGTGGTCAACTAGCTTGACTTCAACTGTCCTGGGCTATCATTTCAGGATCAGAACTTACCTCTGTCAGCAAAATAGTGTAATAGCAAAATAATGTTATCAAATTTTAATAAAATTTGAAACACTTTAAAAGATATGTAGTCTCTTAAATTTTAAATTGTTTACTTCAGTTTATTAAATTAATGGTTCCTTCTATTCAAGCAAAAAAACTGTTTGAGTACATAGTTGAAAATATTTTTTGAAACTTTTGAAACTTAGAATGTTTTCTCTAAGTTTTTCAGTTATAATTAAAAAGAAAATTTTAATTTTCACCTATTATTTTGATTTTGTATTCTGTGTTCGAAGCATATGTTATTGATTGTTTTTCTTTTGAAATCCAGTTTCAATGTCAGTGTGTCATTGGATTAGTGTTTTATGTTTGAATCCTTTAATATCAAACTTTTGTGTATAATTTAGTAGCTGTCATATTCAATCAAAAACTAAAGAAAATTAGGTATTTTTTATATTGCTCTAATACTTGAGGATATCTTATTTTAAATCCAACTATAGTTTTTAATGAATGACAACATTTTTCCAAAGTGGGAAGAAAATGTGTCTATAATGTCTGATTGGACATTCATATTTGGCATACACTTATTTTTTGACCTTTATTTGTAGAGAGAATGAAAGGAAGCCGGATAACTAAGCTAAATTTTTAAGTTCCTTTTCTAGGAAAAACAAACAATTTCTAGGTTAGTGTTGTCCTTGGTTTTCCAATGAAGAACCAGAGACCAAGAGAGGTTAAGTAACTCACCCAAGGTCACACAGCTAGTAAACGGCAAAGTCTGGTTTCTAATTCAGGTCTGTCTAATTCCAAAGCCTGGGCTCAGTCTACCACACCCTGTGGCCTGATGGTTTCACAGACTGTAGATTCACAGCACATATTGCTAGGGTGGAAGAAAATGTAGGCTTGAATTAGTTATAGCACAATTCCATTTAAAAGCTCCATTTTGAGTGTATGTGTATGTATGAGCATGCTGGGGTGACAGGGAAGTGATTTTCTCACTCTATCATTACAAAATAACACTTTCTATAACTGGACAACCCACTTTCTCCTATAAAAGAGGAGAAAATAGATATTGGCAACAGAGCTTTGTGTAGTGAACTCACATTCAGTTTGAATTATCATAGCTAAAGTAAACTCACAGACATTGTAGTATGATTATACAAAAATAACAACATACAAACAATTCTATTTCTGAGTATTCTAGGGTTGACAGTATTGAAAACAGGGTAAAAAGGAACATAGTTTTACATTTTGGGATTCTGGAGACTTTCTTACTGGGGAAAGGCCTTAAGGTCATTTATACACAGCCAACTAGGTAAAAAGTGAGAGCTAAAAATAGGTATGCTACAGCATCATGGGTACATTAAGGTGGAGAGTCAGGGGTGGAACTATTTAAAACCAACACATTCATATGGCCTCTCAACCAAAATGTAACACATATATAATAACTAAAGTAGTGTATCAAGACCTAGTCCTTTCTCAAAGGACTACACACAGAAGCATTTGAGCTAGATGCTCACATTCTTCCCCCTGTTATTTTCTCAGAGCCCAACTCCAGGTCCTAGCAGTTTTCTTCTTCTTAAGTGAATTGCCCTAGAGAAAGAGCAGGCACATGTCTGCTTTTTTGTGTTTTTTTGAGACAGGATCCTGCTCTGTCATTCAGGCTGGAGTGCAGTGGCACAATCTCGGGTCACTGCAAACTCCACCTCATGCCTCAGCCTCCCGAGTAGCTGGGACTACAGGCAGGTGCCACCATTCCTAGCTAATTTTTGTATTTTTTGTAGAGACGGGGTTTCACCATGTTGGCCAGGCTGGTCTCAAACTCAGGCCTCGAGTGAAATGAAAATTTTCTAAGCAGGAAGGATGCTCACGCACGTCTGTATTCTATGACGTGGGAAATCCTTTCCAGAAGCTGTAAGCAGACTTCTCCTTATCTCTCATCCCCAGGCAAGAACCTAGACTCACCATTGGTAAAAGAGAACAAGATTGCCATGACTGGTTTAGGTCAATCATAACTCATCCTCTGTTCCGTTGGCAAAAAAGAAGGAGAATGGCTATTGGGTGGGCAAACACCAGTGATTGCTACAATATTAACTGTGTCTTAACATCTGCCCAGAAATGTTCTCTGTATACTTAAGTAAATAAGTTATAAATAGTATATAATGTAATACATGTCATTATGTAACTATTGACATAGTATTATACTTTTATAATGTTAATATAATTTATGCTCATATATGTATGTGTATATATATATACACACAAATATTCACAAATAATAATTGCCTAAGTATCTTGCATTTTTTTGTATAAATGGGGTACTCTGTGCATAATGCTCAGCATATAACTAACATGTAGTGTTTTATCAATGCAAATTACTATTAATGCTATTAATACTTATAGTCTTTAAGACAATTTAAAAAAGAATGATTATTTTCTTGCAGATACTAAATTTTACTTTATTGGTACTTTAAAAACTATGTGAACACATTTATTTGGAGCTATTGAATATTTTTGAAAATAGTAGCCACAGAGCTCCTTTTAAAAGATAGAAGAATTACTGTAGTCAGCAGCAAATTCCATTTGAACAGAGTAAAATAATTTTGTGAATATCAGCTAGGCGACTAAATGTTTACTTTCTGATGAATATCTAGGCACAAATATTTTCTAATCATGTTAATATACAGGCAGAAGTAAGAGGGTTAGGTATTAAACATTTTTGGCATATTTTCACAAAATATTATGTTTGCAAGTGAATTTTAAATTACTGTCAGATTTCTGGAGGAAAAAATAACTTCACTACTATTTGCCTAATTTATGCTGCATGGAGATAAGAGTTGTTTGAGAAATTTTTATGGAAGAGAAGGTCGATATAGATACTTCTTTTCAAGTATTGGGCATAATTGGATGAATGCCTGTAGAAAAGAAAGGCCATGAAGGAAGAAACTCTCCTTAGTTACCTTGTGACAGGATCCTGATCAAGGGTCTAAGGGTGGGCATGATCTGTGGTGAGCCCACCCTTAGAATGTCCTACAGCCTACACAGAGCTGAACTCTCATAGTCCTTCAGGCCAAGCTTAGTTTTTAGATTAGTTTTTGCCTTTTTTGGTGAAAACTTTTTCTTTTAGTTCCATTTCTCATTTCTTGTCATTTGTCCCCAAATGTATTGCTAAGTATGAAAATATTACGATTATATATGACAAGTTATTTAATCTCTCAGACTTAAAGTTGGTCAATTTCTAAACACATTAGTAGAACTAGATTATGGCTAAAAGCTCCTCCAGATCTAACATTGTAAGTAAAAGATTAGCGTTTGTGGAAGTAACTGGTCATCAGAATCATCTGAAGGAATTTCTAAAAATATAAATTCCTAGACTCTACCTTTAGACATTCTGATTCATTCAGATTTCTGGAAGAAAAAATAACTTCATTACTATTTGCCTAACATACACTGTGTAGAGAAGATGAGAGTTGTTTGACAAATTCTCAGATTTGAATATTGTGATCACCACAATATTAACCATGTTTTAATATCAGCCCAGAACTATATATTTAAGTAAATATAAATACTATTAAATTTATTATATATGTCATATATAATTATTGATGTGTTATATTATTATAATTAAATAATACATTCATTCTGTGTAGAATCTTACTTTCAATTATGAATCTCATTTTGCTACTTTAATTTGTTTTACTATGTATAAACAATGCTTTAAAAATGATTATTGAAGGTCTTGGGTTAAATGCTGGGTACACAATGTAGGGTCTTGGGTTAAATGCTGGGTACATAATAATGAATGAATGCATTAGTCTGTTCTTGCACTGCTATAAAGAAATACCTGAAACTGGGTAATATATAAAGAAAAGAGGTTTAATTGTCTCATGGTTCTGCAGGTTGTACAGGCTGCTGCTTCTGGGGAGGCTTCAGGAAACTTATAATTATGGTAGAAGGGAAAGGGGAAGCAGACTCGTCTTACATGGCTGGAGCAGGAGGAAGAGAGAGATGGGGGAGGTGCTACACACTTTTAAAACAACCAGATCTCATGATAACTCACTATACAGTACCAAGTGGGGGATAGTGCTAAACCATGAGAAGTCCACCCTCATCAGTCCATCACCTCCCACCGGGCACCACCTTCAACACTGGGGATTATAAGTTGACATGAGCTTTGGGCAAAGACACACATACCCAAACCATATCAATGAACCAGACTTAGTCCTATTTGCTCCATCCTTTACAGAAGGACTGAGATTGAACCCAGTCATCTGTGTTTAAAAAATATTTTCCAGGCAATTCTGATAATTAGAGATTTACAAAGATAAAATCAAAGCAGTTTATGTCTATATATTTTTAGTTTCTCTGCAGGAATCAGGGTTCCAGCAGGTAATAAGTAACATCAGGTGGCTTGTCTTAGTCTGTTCACTGCTGTAACAAGATATGAAGACTGGGAAATCTATAAAGAACAAAAATTTATTTTATCACCGTTCTGGAGGCAGGGGAGTCCAAAATCAAGGCACTGGTAGATCTGGTGTCTAGTGAGGGGTGCTGTCTTCTTCCAAGATAGCACCTCTTGCTGCATTCCTACATAACAAAAGGTGGAAAAGCAAAGGGAGCAAATGCTATGCAAAGCTTTTTAAAATAAGGCTTTAAACCCATACACGAGGGTGGAGCCCTCATGACTTAATCACCCCCTAAAGTCCCCACCTCTTAATACTATTGCATTGGCAATTGTTTCAACATATAATTTTGGGGGGCACATTCAGACCATAGCATGGTTCAAATGCAAACACTTTAATGCAGGGACAATGGACAGATGTGTAGGCTGAGTGAAGGGAATAAGAGGTGGTGAGATGCAAAGACACTAGCAAAAATGGGAAGCATATAAACAGCTTTGGGTGTAAAGGGACAATGGTGGAAACCGCAGCCCCTGACAACTGCAACCCTAGAGGAAGGCCCCTAAGATAGTTCTTAAGACATACAGAGTGCCATAGACTTCTTCATGGACACAGAGAGCAGGGAGTGGTACCCTTATATCTCTATTTCTTCTGTCTTCTGATTTTCTACTGATGCCTCCCAGTGTCAGCTTCTTGGGGACACTAGCCGGGCAGAAAATGGATAAGAGATGTGTGGATAATTTAAGGAACACCCACTGACTCTCTAATCCAGCAAACTCTCTAAAAAAAAACAATTTAGAGTGGATGTTTAAAAATATACTCCATTCTTTATACATAGACTGCTTTGTGGATCCATGGCTGTCTTTAAATCTAAACCAAGTTTTTTTTGGTTGCAAACAAGTTTTTATGTTTTTACTAAATCCCAGCTGCAAGAATTATATGCTTTTTTATGTTGCCACCTCTCAAGTGTCATATTACTTGTAGTAAATTGCAAGCAAAGAGCCAAGTCTAATACAAAAAGATATTTTGGATTACCTATAAATTGCTTCCTTAATTTAGCATGGATAATCGAAAATTTGACTTTAATGATTAAACTAATAGGATTAATAAATTTTTCAATTTATGTGTACATTCCCTCTTATTATGGGGAGTTGGCTGTGTAGTTACAGCACTTCTATCATTAGCATGGGTGTGAGCCTGAGTCAACATTCACCCAAAGCTTGTCTTTTTGAATACATGGCTAATTGACAGTGCCAAAATACATTTTATAAAGTCAGCAAGAAAAAGAAGGAATCATTGCTAATGCTGCTGAAAACCTGGATGAATAATTGGCTTTGAGATGCTGCAAGATGAAGATCGCAGCAGCTCAAATGTCATCGCCTAAAGGAGGACAACCAGTATTAGGCTAGCTGCCATTCAGTGATTTCATAAAAGGTTACCCAGGATTGGTCCCCACTTCAAGCAGCACAAATGTCATTGCAAGGACCCTATGTTCTTCAAGAGCAGTGATATAAAAAGACCAAAGGCAATTTGATCCAGAATGATAGATTGAGCATCATATAAATGATTTGTACAGTCAGAAAGCAGTATGCCTTTCCCAAGAAAACAGTTGAAAAAACACTTGTGCTGTGAACACTAGTACCACAAAGCAATATACTAGTTACTAGTTATCAAAGAGTGAGGTAAAAAATTAGTAATTTTATAGTAGGAAAGCTAAATTTTTCTATTTTCATTTATTTTTCTCATGTGGAAAAGTCACCAAAGGTGTAAGGCATGAGGCAGAAAGTAAGAAAACCCATTCAATTGCATTTCATTTGCAAGTTACGATTTAAGGTAAATGTTGACCATTTGTGTCTTTGCAATTATTTTCAAGTAACCTAAGTAAACTTTATTTCTTAATAATTTCAGCTTTCACCATATGTGTAATGTTTAGGTAACCTGAAGATTAAGAAGAGATTGTTGATTAGAATTGAGTAGAAAATATGCCGTCTCCATTAGGTTACTCCTTTGCTTTTATAATCCCTGATGCCTAATAAAATCCCCAACAGGTCAAAGTTTTGCTAGTCATTACTCACATTTTTTTACCTGTTTTAATTTGCATCAGCCAATTTATTTCAGCCACAGGTAGCAAGATATCCAGAAGCACTAGTTCCTGCCCCTCCTGAGATAGTCCACATCTATTTTGTTGTGAGATGGTCAAGTCTTGATTTCAAATACATTGGATTTTCCCATTTCTTAAACTCATCCATTACTCCCCTCCTCAAAGGAATGAATGGCTTCTTATTGAAAATAAGACTGTCACAGGATAATGTATTTAGAAATTCAAATTTAGCAACTTAAAGATGACCTTTTTTTTTTTTCTATCTTTTCCAAAAGTCTGAGCTTGGCGATAAGACAAAGCTATGTATAAAGGACAAGGAGGAGAGGTAAAGGGTGACTTTGAGGAAAACACAGATGAGAGGAAGATTTTCTCCAGACTACAAAAATCAGTGAATTCATTGTGAAGGCCATACAGATACACTGTAAAAGAGCAGCTGCTGCTATAGCTCCTTCATTCTGGAATCCCTAGGATGGGACCAAAAAAAAAAAAAAAAAAAAGACCCTGAAATGCTTCTCCTCTCCCATGACATTTGATAATAATCTTTTAATTTGCATCTGATGGCAACTGGCAATCTTCTTTCAATTGCTTTGGCACATCATCAGAGACATCCATAAGTGCTTCTTACTAGTGACATAAATTTATAGTACATTTTAATATATGACTGGGAGATAGGAAAACACACGATTGAGTATAAATTACTCTGGATTTGCATTCCACCATATCTTCTTAAGGACCATGTGCCTCTTCAAGAAAACTGTTCAAGGTTTCATTCTATTGTACATTTTCTATTACTGTTTCTAAAATTTGGTCTTGAAAAACACTTTTGATGATATTCATAGTAAAAGCCTCCAAGAACTATAGCAAAGTGAGTATAAATTCTATACAGTAAATGTCTGTACCTTTAAAAATCATTGAAGAAAAAACATTGCAAGCACCTTGCTGATAGCTGCCAGCAACTCTTCATGAAGAATAAACACTGTCAGACTCGCCTGATCTATTAGGATAAATGTCCCAGGTAGATCAGAAGAAAGAAGAGATAGTTCTAATTTTTCTTGGCTCTAGGAAGGTTAGGTGATTCACTTGTACAAGGCAATAAATTTAGAAAATATGGTCTAGACAGCGTAACTATTAGGTGAGAACACAAATTGCTAGAGGGTCAAAAAATAATACAAGGTGTTTTTCAAAGTCAGTTAGAAGCCTAGATTTTCGTTTTAAGTTTTCATCACCAGCCTAGATAAAGAAATAAAGTCAACCCAGACAATGTCTTAGAAAAATACATCTTAGAAAAGTGATTCAAGAAGAAATGGAAAACCTGAATATACCAATTACAATTAAGGAAATTTAATAAATAGCTTAAAATTTAACTTGTTTTCTCCCGTCCCCAAATATACTAGATGGTTTTATAGGCCAGTGAACCAAGCATTTGAGAAAAATTATCCCTGTTTTATAAAAGCAGTTCCAGGGAATAGAAAAAATATTCTTCAGATCAGTTAATGGTGCTAGAATAATCTTGATCCAAAACAGATCAGGATAATATCAGAAAGTCCAATCACACTTAGGAACAAAGATAATAAAATTAAAATTAAAAATAAAATGTTAGTAACTGGAAAAAACCTTTTCTTGAGCAAGTTAAGTTTTTCCTCAGGAATATAAGAACAATTTAACATTATAAAATATATTAATGGAGCCTGTAATCCCAGCACTTTGGGAGGTCAAGGCGGGCGGATCACGAGGTCAGGAGATCGAGACCATCCTGGCTAACATGGTGAAACCCCGTCTCTACTAAAAATACAAAAAATTAGCCGGACATGGTGGCAGGCGCCTGTAGTCCCAGCTACTCGGGAGGCTGAGGCAGGAGAATGGCGTGTACCCGGGAGGTGGAGCTTGCAGTGAGCCGAGATTGCGCCACTGCACTCCAGCCTGGACTACAGAGCGAGACTCCGCCTCAAAAAAAAAAATGTGTATATATATGTATATATATGGAATTACCCTCACTAAGATACCAAAAGGAGAAAACCTAGATGATCACCTCAGTAGATACTAAAATTGGCAACCGTTCATGATAAAGTAGGAATTGAAGGGAACTATCTTGTTCATATATACCATGTTGAGGAATAAGAAGACTTTAGAAGATGTCAGTTCTTCCCTATTAATCTCTAAATTGAGTGCAGCTCCAATAAAAATCCCTAAAGCCTTTTTCATGGTACATGGAGAGCAGATCTTAATTTCGGATGGAAGAGCAAAAGGACAAGAATAGCCAAGACTATTATAAGGAAGAACAAGGCAGGGCTTCTCTGTCAGACAACAAGAATTACAGAGTTTTAGGTAATTAAGAGGATGAATAATTGACCTTAATTATTCTGTTCGAATCACTTACTAGTTCTGTAAGATTTATAGCCAAGAAGAAATTGAAAATTGGGCTAGACTTGCTAGATAGCCTTAGAAATATTCAAAGATGTAGGAAATAAGACTCAAAAAGTAAAATTAGGACTGCTCAGTCTGATAATTCCAACACTACTATATAAACAATAATAAAGGAAACACAGGTTAAAAATAGTAGTTTTGAAGTACATTCTAATTTAAAGCAAGGGAAGTTAGTTGATAGTTGTTGTCCCTTTCTATTGACATAAGTACCTGAGAGATGCATTTTGTTTTTCTCAATATTATCTATCAGTCTATCTGTCTATCATCTATTTATGCAGGTTCTCACTCTGTCACTCAGGCTGGAGTTCGGTGGCATGATTATAGTGCACTGCAGCCTCGAATTCCTGGGCTTAAGCAATCCTCTAACCTCAGCCTCCCAAGTAGTTGGCTCTACAGGTGTGTGCCACCATAGCTGGCTAATTTATTTTTTGTAGAGATAAGGTCTTGCTATGTTGCCCAGGTTGGTCTTGAACTCCTGGGCTCAAGCAATCCTCCTGCCTTAGCCTCCCCAAATGTTGGAATTACAGGTGTGAGCCACTGCACCTAGTTTCTGAGATGCATTTTAAATGTATTAATAGCATGAAGAGTTTGTCTAAAATAGAATTTCCTTGAGGTGAGCTATGGAAAATATGCTAAAGATTTACTGAGAGGATAAAATTTTTTGCTCTGGATATCTTTAAAAATCAGATTGACTTTATTCTGTCAGAAAATTTGGAAGTTTAATGATGATGCTGAAATTCATGATTTGGTTACATGAAATATTTCCAGTTGTGCAATTCTAGAAATAATCCAAAGATGCTCTCTTATGGTAAGACTGGGGGAAAAATCAAGCTTTAGTAATTCACGTGCATTGTTTCCTCTCTCCCCACCACCCCCTTTCATTTCCCAAAATACATACACACTTTCCCAAAGCAGCTGGCTGCTCTTAATTCAGTAACAAACATGCCTCCATGTAGTCAGCTAAAAGCCTACTCAGAGTATCAGTGACATCACTCTGCATTGTGGCAGTACTAAACTCAAAATATAGTAAGAAAAGAGCAGTCACTCTATACTTAGGAATGTATTTATGTTTTTTTAGTCTCATTCAACTTTAAAGTAAGTTCTGGGATGATTTGTGAGGGATCTAATATGAAAAAGTTTTAAATCAAATAACTGACATGATCATTTATAAATTTGCAGTGACAAAATATATGTATAAAATTCACTTATTATTATATATAGTCAACTCCCAGTTGTTTATGTATATAAACCATGGTTTTAATTGTCCATGGTAAATTTTAATCCTACGCTGGGTTTCCTTGCCCACCCAAGAAGTTCTAGCTTACTTTTTCTAATTACTGAGAATGTTTTAAGGGATAAAGTTGTTGTTCTCAACAAAATATGTGCTACATTCCAAAACTGTACTGAGTTATCGATTATTCTCAGATAATTGAGCTAGCTGTTCTATGTAAAGTAGAAAACATCCAGCAGGAAAATTAGTCTATAGGCTCTGCATATGTTTTCCCTCTGACTGAAACACAAGCAGACGGTGAGAAAAAATCTGTGACTGAACCTAGTTATCAGACATGTGGAAGAGCAAGCTTCCCTTTTCTTTCTTATTTATTTATTTATTTATTTATTATACTTTAAGTTTTAGGGTATATGTGCACAATGTGCAGGTTTGTTACATATGTATACATGTGCCATGTTGGTGTGCTGCACCCATTAACTCGTCATTTACATTAGGTATATCTTCTAATGCTATCCCTCCTCCAGACCCCCACCCCACATCAGGCCCCAGTGTGTGATGTTCCCCTTCCCGCATCCATGTGTTCTCATTGTTCAATTCCCAACTATGAGTGAGAACATGCGGTGTTTGGTTTTTTGGCCTTGTGATAGTTTGCTGAGAATGATGGTTTCCAGCTTCATCCATGTCCCTACAAAGGACATGAACTCATCCTTTTTAATGGCTGCATAATATTCCATGGTGTATATGTGCCACATTTTCTTAATCCAGTCTATCATTGTTGGACATTTGGGTTGGTTCCAAGTCTTTGCTATTGTGAATAGTGCCGCAATAAACATATGTGTGCATGTGTCTTTATAGCAGCATGATTTATAATCCTTTGGGTATATACCCAGTAATGGGATGGCTGGGTCCAATGGTATTTCTAGTTCTAGATCCCTGAGGAATTGCCACACTGACTTCCACAATGATTGAACTAGTTTACAGTCCCACCAACAGTGTAAAAGTGTTCCTATTTCTCCACATCCTCTCCAGCACCTGTTGTTTCCTTTTTAATGATCGCCATTCTAACTGGTGTGAGATGGTATCTCACTGTGGTTTTAATTTGCATTTCTCTGATGGCCAGTGATGATGAGCATTTTTTCATGTGTCTTTTGGCTGCATAAATGTCTTCTTTTGAGAAGTGTCTGTTCATATCCTTCGCCCACTTTTTTGATGGGGTTGTTTGTTTTCTTTTGTAAATTTGTCTGAGTTCTTTGTAGATTCTGGATATTAGCCCTTTGTCAGATGAGTAGATGGCAAAAATTTTCTCCCATTCTGTAGGTTGCCTGTTCACTCTGATGGTAGTTTCTTTTGCTGTGCAGAAGCTCTTTAGTTTAATTAGATCCCATTTGTCAATTTTGGCTTTTGTTGCCATTGCTTTTGGTGTTTTAGAAATGAAGTCCTTGCCCATGCCTGTCCTGAATGGTATTGCCTAGGTTTTCTTCTAGGGTTTTTATGGTTTTAGGTCTAACATTTAAATCTTTAATCCATCTTGCATTAATTTTTGTATAAGGTGTAAGGAAGGGATCCAGTTTCAGCTTTCTACATATGGCTAGCCAGTTTTCCCAGCACCATTTATTAAATAGGCAATCCTTTCCCCATTTCTTGTTTTTGTCAGGTTTGTCAAAGATCCGATAGTTGTAGATGTGTGGCATTATTTCTGAGGGCTCTGTTCTGTTCCATTGGTCTATATCTCTGTTTTGGTACCAGTACCATGCTGTTTTGGTTACTGTAGCCTTGTAGTATAGTTTGAAGTCAGGTAGTGTGATGCCTCCAGCTTTGTTCTTTTGGCTTAGGATTGTCTTGGCAATGCAGGCTCTTTTTTGGTTCCATGTGAACTTTAAAGTAGTTTTTTCCAGTTCTGTGAAGAAAGTCATTGGTAGCTTGATGGGGATGGCATTGAATCTACAAATTACCTTTGGCAGTATGGCCATTTTCACGATATTGATTCTTCCTACCCATGAGCATGGAATGTTCTTCCATTTGTTTGTATCCTCTTTTATTTAGTTGAGCAGTGGTTTGTAGTTCTCCTTGAAGAGGTCCTTCACATCCCTTGTAAGTTGGATTCCTAGGTATTTTATTCTCTTTGAAGCAATTGTGAATGGGAGTTCACTCATGATTTGGCTCTCTGTCTGTTTTTGGTGTATAAGAATGCTTGTGATTTTTGCATATTGATTTTGTATCCTGAGACTTTGCTGAAGTTGCTTATCAGCTTAAGGAGATTTTGGGCTGAGACGATGGGGTTTTCTAGATATACAATCATGTCATCTGCAAACAGGGACAATTTGACTTCCTCTTTGCCTAATCGAATACCCTTTATTTCCTTCTCCTGCCTGATTGCCCTGGCTGGAACTTCCAACACTATGTTGAATAGGAGTGGTGAGAGAGGACATCCCTGTCTTGTGCCAGTTTTCAAAGGGAATGCTTCCAGTTTTTGCCCAGTCAGTATGATATTGGCTGTGGGTTTGTCACAAATAGCTCTTATTATTTTGAGATACATCCTATCAATACCTAGTTTATTGAGAGCTTTTAGCATGAAGCGCTGTTGAATTTTGTCAAAGGTCTTTTCTGCATCTATTGAGATAACCATGTGGTTTTTGTCATTGATACTGTTTATATGCTGGATTACGTTTATTGATTTGTGTATGTTGAACCAGCCTTGCATCCCAGGGATGAAGCCCACTTGATCATGGTGGACAAGCTTTTTGATGTGTTGCTGGATTCAGTTTGCCAGTATTTTATTGAGGATTTTTGCATCAATGTTCATCAGGGATATTGGTCTAAAATTCTTTTTTTGTTGTGTCTCTGCCAGGCTTTGGTATCAGGATGATGCTGGCCTCATAAAATGAATTAGGGAGAATTCCCTCTTTTTCTATTGATTGGAATAGTTTCAGAAGGAATGGTACCAGCTCCTCCTTGTACCTCTGGTAGAATTCGGCTGTGAATCCATCTGGTCCTGGACTTCTTTTGGTTGGTAAGCTATTAATTATTGCCTCAATTTCAGAGCCTGTTATTGGTCTATTCAGAGATTCAACTTCTTCCTGATTTAGTCTTGGGAGGGTGTATGTGTCCAGGAATTTATCCATTTCTTCTAGATTTTCTAGTTTATTTGCGTAGAGGTGTTTATAGTATTCTCTGATGGTAGTTTGTATTTCTGTGGGATTGGTGGTGATATCCCCTTTATCATTCTTTATTGCATGTAGTTGATTCTTCTGTCTTTTCTTTTTTATTAGTCTTGCTAGCGGTCTATCAATTTTGTTGATCTTTTCAAAAAACCAGCTCCTGGGTTTATTGATTTTTTGAAGGGTTTTTTGTGTCTCTTCTTCAGTTCTGCTCTGATCTTAGCTATTTCTTGTCTTCTGCTAGCTTTTGAATGTGTTTGCTCTTGCTTCTCTAATTCTTTTAGTTGTGATGTTAGGATGTCAATTTTAGATCTTTCCTGCTTTCTTTCATGGGCATTTAGTGCTATAAATTTCCCTCTACACACTGCTTGAAATGTGTCCCAGAGATTCTGTTATGTTGTGTCTTTGTTTTCATTGGTTTCAAAGAACATCTTTATTTCTGCCTTCATTTCGTTATGTACCCAGTAATGATTCAGGAGCAGGTTGTTCAGTTTCCATGTAATTGAGTGGTTTTGAGTGAGTTTCTTAATGCTGAGTTCTAGTTTGATTGCACTGTGGTCTGAGACAGTTTGTTATAATTTCTGTTCTTTTACATTTCCTGAGGAGTATTTTACTTCCAACTATATGGTCAATTTTGGAGTAAGTGCAATGTGGTGCTGAGAAGAATGTATATTCTGTTGATTTGGGGTGGAGAGTTCTGTAGATGTCTATTAGGTCTGCTTGGTGCAGAGCTGAGTTCAATTCCTGGATATGCTTGTTAACTTTCTGTCTCATTGATCTGTCTAAAGTTGACAGTGGGGTGTTAAAGTCTCCCATTATTATTGTGTGGGAGTCTAAGTTTCTTTGTAGGTCTCTAAGGACTTGCTTTATGAATCTGGGTGCTCCTGTATTTGGTGCATATATATTTAGGATAGTTAGCTCTTCTTGTTGAATTGATCCCTTTACCATTATATAATGGCCTTCTTTGTCTCTTTTGATCTTTGTTGGTTTAAAGTCTGTTTTATCAGAGACTAGGATTGCAACCCCTGCTTTTTTTTGTCTTCCATTTGCTTGGTAGATCTTCCTCCATCCCTTTATTTTTAGCCTATGTGTGTCTCTGCATGTGAGATGGTTTCCTGAATACAGCACACTGATGGGTCTTGACTCTTTATCCAATTTGCCAGTCTGTGTCTTTTAATTGGAGCATTTAGCCCATTTACATTTCAGGTTAATATTGTTATGTGTGAATTTGATCCTGTCATTATGATGTTAGCTGGTTATTTTGCTCATTGATTGATGCAGTTTCTTCCTAGCCTCGATGGTCTTTACAATTTGGCATGTTTTTGCAGTGGCTGGTACCAGTTGTTCCTTTCCATGTTTAGTGCTTCCTTCAGGAGCTCTTGTAGGGCAGGCCTGGTGGTGACAAAATCTCTCAGCATTTGCTTGTCTGTAAAGTATTTTATTTCTCTTTCACTTATGAAGCTTAGTTTGGCTGGATATGAAATTCTGGGTTGAAAATTCTTTTCTTTAAGAATGTTGAATATTGGCCCCCACTCTCTTCTGGCTGGTAGAATTTCTGCCAAGAGATCAGCTGTTAGTCTGATGGGCTTCCCTTTGAGGGTAACCCGACCTTTCTCTCTGGCTGCCCTTAACATTTTTTCCTTCATTTCAACTTTGGTGAATCTGACAATTATGTGTCTTTGAGTTGCTCTTCTCGACGAGTATCTTTGTGGCATTCTCTGTATTTCCTGAGTTTGAATTTTGGCCTACCTTGCTAGATTGGGGAAGTTCTCCTGGATAATATCCTGCAGAGTGTTTTCCAACTTGGTTCCATTCTCCCCATCACTTTCAGGTACACCAATCAGACGTAGATTTGGTCTTTTCACATAGTCCGATATTTCTTGGAGGCTTTGTTCTTTTCTTTTTATTCTTTTTTTCTCTAAACTTCTCTTCTCACCGCATTTCGTTCATTTGATCTTCTATCACTGATACCCTTTCTTCCAGTTGATCGAATCAGCTACTGAAGCTTGTGCATTCGTCATGTAGTTCTCGTACTATGGTTTTCAGCTCCATCAGGTCCTTTGAGGACTTCTCTGCATTGGTTATTCTAGTTAGCCATTTGTCTAATCTTTTTTCAAGGTTTTTAACTTCTTTGCCATGGGTTCAAATTTCCTCCTTTAGCTCGGAGAAGTTTGATCGTCTGATGCCTTGTTCTCTCAACTCGTCAAAGTCATTTTCCTTCAAGTTTTGTTCCGTTGCTGGTGAGGGGCTGCGTTCCTTTGGAGGAGGAGAGGCGCTCGGATTTTTAGAATTTTCAGTTTTTCTGCTCTGTTTTTTCCCCATCTTTGTGGTTTTATCTCCCTTTGGTCTTTGATGATGGTGACGTACAGATGGGGCTTTGGTGTGGATTTTCTTTCTGTTTGTTAGTTTTCCTTCTAACAGTCAGGACCCTCAGCTGCAGGTCTGTTGGAGTTTGCCGGAGGTCCACTCCAGACCCTGTTTGCCTGGGTATCAGCAGTGGAGGCTGCAGAACAGTGAATATTGGTGAACAGCAAATGTTGCTGCCCGATCGTTCCTCTGGAAGTTTTGTCTCAGAGGGGTACCCGGCCGTGTGAGGTGTCTGCCCCTACTGGGGGGTGCCTCCCAGTTAGGGTACTCGGGGGTCAGGGACCCACTTGAGGAGGCAGTCTGCCCGTTCTCAGATCTCAAGCTGTGTGCTGGGAGAACCACTACTCTCTTCAAAGCTGTCAGACAGGGACATTTAAGTCTGCAGAGGTTTCTGCTGCCTTTTGTTTGGCTATGCCCTGCCCTCAGAGGTGGAGTCTACAGAGGCAGGCAGGCCTCCTTGAGCTGCGGTAGTCTCCACCCAGTTCAAGCTTCCAGGACTCTTTGTTTACCTACTCCAGCCTCAGCAATGGTGGGCACCCCTCCCTCAGCCTCGCTGCCACCTTGCAGTTTGACCTCAGACTGCTGTGCTGGCAATGAGCGAGGCTCCGTGGGCACAGGACAATCTGAGCCAGGCGTGGGATATAATCTCCTGCTGTGCCGTTTGCTAAGACTGTCAGAAAAGTGCAGTATTAGGGTGGGAGTGGCTCTATTTTCCATGTGCTGTCTGTCACCCCTTTCCTTGTCTAGGAAAGGGAATTCCCTGACCCCTTGCGCTTCCCGGATGTGGCGATGCCTCGCCCTGCTTCGGCTCATGCTTGGTGTGCCGCACCCACTTTCCTGTACCCACTGTCTGACAATCACCGGTGAGATGAACCTGGTACCTCAGTTGGAAATGCAGAAATAATTTGTCTTCTGCATCACTCACGCTGGGAGCTGTAGATTGGAGCTGTTCCTATTCGGCCATCTTGGAATCACCTTAACCTCCTTTTCTTATTAAAGATGTACTAGTGACAGAGAAGTAGCATGCCCTACAGATTGCACATTTCACTGTCTTATTCCCTTGATGGTCATTCAGTATCACTCATTCAACAGATATTTATTAAGCACCTAGTTTGAGCCATGCTCTATGCTGGGCCAGATTTATGATGGTAAATATCAAACTAACATTTTTTGAGAAACTTCTCTCTTCACTTTGGCATAAACTCACTCAAAAAAGCCCTTTTGCTTTTTCCTTCATGGACAGGGAATATAATTGACCAGCATCCTCTTTATAAAAACTATTCAGATGACATAAGGCAGTAACTGTTACTCCTTTATGTTCTTTAGCATTTGATTTGCTCATTTGTTAAGGACATTAAACAAAATAAAACAATACAAACCAAAGCAACACAATTCCCCACATGAAAGAGATTAAAATATATTACTGATTCTGTATTTATTGAATTCCTACTATGTACCTGACACTGAATTAAGTACTGAGAGTATAATGGTGGATAAAATGGACTGCTTGGAGCTTACATTCTAGTGAGGAAGACAAAATAAACATATATACAAATGTATTGTGGGGAAATAGAGAGTAACTGGGAGAGAACACTTTTGTTGGACAGAAAGGCTTCTTCTTGTATGCAATAGCAACTAACACAATATCTGACTCACTGGAAATTTTCGAGACTTTTTAGATGAGTCATCCACTAAATATACTCTTCTGTTTGCTGCTGAGTTTTGTTTTATTGTTTGATTTTATACTGTTGTTATTGAGATAGGATAAGCTATGTCTAAAAGCAAGCAAATAAACAAAAAACCAAAAGCAAATGAACAAAACCTCACTTTCCTATAGTGCTATGAAAAAGGAGTTTTACAAAAGCAAATGACTTTTTGTGTAAATATTGGAAGAAAATATTTTAATATTTGGCTAAGTTCTTAGTGCAGAACATTGAATTATATTATAATGTTTTCGCTTCCTTTAGGTTAGTGATATTTAATGTTTTGGGTCATGGATCCTTTTAAGAATCTAATTAAAATTATGGTCCATCTCTTAAGGAAAATCCATATACCTGTATTTTTGAAAAACTGGGTACAATTTCAGGAGAGCTTATACCTTCTATGTATCTCAGGTCAAAAACCCTTAAGATAATTACCAAACAGAAAACAGCCCGCTGGATGTAAAAATTTAATAGAAAGCTGCAATAATTGAGTGAGTGTGGTTCTGGTATAAGAGCAGACTGTGGGAAACACCAGCAAGATGGCTGAATACATACAGCTCCAGTCTGCAGCTTACAGCGAGATCAGTGCAGAAGGCAGGTGATTTCTGCATTTCCAACTGAGGTACCCATTCATCTCACTGGGACTTGTTAGACGGTAGGTGCAGCCCATGGAGGGCGAGCAAAAGCCGGGTGGGGTGTCGCCTCACCCAGGAAGCACAAGGGGTTGGGGAACTCCCCTTGCTAAGGGAAGCCCTGAGGGACTGTGCCGTGAGGACGGTGCATTCCAGCCCAGATATGATGATTTTCCCATGGCTTTTGCAACCCACAGACCAGGAGATTCCCTCAGGTGCCTATACCACCAGTGCCCTGGGTTTCAAGCACAAAACTGGGCGGCCATTTGGGCAGACACCGAGCTAGCTGCAGGAGTTTTTTTTTTTCATACCCTAGTGGCGCCTAGAACCCCAGCAAGACAGAACCATTCACTCCCCTGGAAAGGGGACAGAAGCCAGGGAGCCGAGTGGTCTTGCTGAGCGGGCCCCACCCCCACGGAGCCAAGCAAGCTAAGATCCATTGGCTGGAAATTCTCACTGCCAGCACAGCAGTCTGAAGTCGACCTGGGACACTCAAGCTTGCATGGGGGAGGGGCGTCCATCACTACTGAGGCCTGAGTAGGTGGTCTTCCCCTCACAATGTAAACAAAGCCGCAGGGAAGGTTAGACTGAGCAGAGCCCACCACAGTGCAGCAAAGCCACTGTAGCCAGACTGCTTCTCTAGATTCCTCCTCTCTGGGGAGGGCATCTCTGAAAGAAAGAGAGAAGCCCTATTCAGGGGCTTACAGATAAAACTCCTGTCTCCCTGGGACAGAGCACCTGGGGGAAGGGGCAGCTGTGGGCATAGCTTCATCAGACTTAAATGTTCCTGCCTGCTGGCTCTGAAGAGAGGAGCAGATCTCCCAGCACAGTGCTTGAGCTCTGCTAAGGGACAGACTGACTCCTCAAGTGGGTCCCTGACCCTTGTGCCTCCTCACTAGGAGATACTTCCCAGCAGGGGTCAACAGACACCTTATACAGGAGAGCTTCAGCTGGCATCTGGCAGGTGCCCCTCTGGGATGAAGCTTCCAGAGAAGGAGCAGGGAGCAATCTTTGCTGTTCTGTAGCCTCTGTTGGTGATACCCAGGCAAACAGGGTCTGGAGAGGACCTCCAGCAAACTCCAGCAGATGGTCCTGACAGTTAGAAGGAAAACTAACAAACAGAAAGCAGTAACATCAACATCAACAAAAAGGACACCCACACAAAAACCCCATCCAAAGGTCCTCAGCATCAAAGACCAAAGGTAGATAAATCCATGAAGATGAGGAAAAACCAGCATGCCTCTTCTCCTCCAAAGGATCACAACTCCTTGCTAGCAAGGGAACAAAACTGGACAGAGGATGAGTTTGACGAATTAACAGAAGTAGGCTTCAGAAGGTGGGTAATAACAAACTCCTCTGAGCTAAAGAAGCATGTTCTAGTCAGATGCAAGGAAGCTAAGAACCTTGAAAAAACATTAGAGGAATTGCTAACTAGAATTACCAGTTTAGAGAAGAACATAAATGACCTGATGGAGCTGAAAAACACAACACAAGAACTTCGTGAAGCATACACAAGTATCAATAGCTGAATCGATTAAGAAGAAGAAAGGATATCAGAAATTTAAGATCAACTTAATGAAATAAAATGTGAAGACAAGATTAGAGAAAAAAGAATGAAAGGAATGAACAAATCCTCTAAGACATATGGGACTATGTGAAAAGACCAAACCTACACTTGATTGGTGTACTGAAAGTAAGGGGGAGAATGGAACCAAGTTGGAAAACACACTTCAGGATATTATCCCAGAGAACTTCCTCAACTTAGCAAGACAGGCCAATCTTCAAACTCAACAAATACAGAGAACACCGGTAAGATACTCCTCGAGAAGAGCAACCCCAAGATACATAATCATCAGATTCATGAAGGTTGAAACGAAGGGAAAAATGTTAAGGGCAGCCAGAGATAAAGGTTGGGTTACCTACAAAGGGAAGCTCATCAGACTAACAGCTGATCTCTCTGCAGAAACCCTACAAGCCAGAAGAGAGTGGGGGTCAACATTCGACATTCTTAAATAAAAGAATTTTCAATCCAGAATTTCCTATCCAGCCAAACTAAGCTTCATAAGGAGAAATAAAATCCTTTACAGACAAGCAATTGCTGAGGAATTTTATCACCACCAGGCCTACCTTCCAAGAGCGCCTGAAGGAAGTACTAAATATGGAAAGGAAAACTGGTACTAGCCACTCCAAAAACATACCAAAATATAAAGACCAATGACAATGAAGAAACTGCATCAATTAATGTGCAAAATAACCAGCTAGCATCACGATGACAGGATCAAATTCTCACATAACAATATTAACCTTTGACCAGGAGCGGTGGCTCATGCCTGTAATCCCAGCCCTTTGGGAGGCCAAGGCAGGTGGATCATGAGGTCAAGAAATTGAGATCATCCTGGCCAATGTGGTGAAACCCCGTCTCTACTAAAAATACAAAAAAATTAGCTGGGCATGGTGGTGCGTGCCTGTAGTCCCAGCTACTCGGGAGGCTGAGGCAGGAGAACTGCTTGAACCTGGGAGGCAGAGGGAGTTGAGATTGCACCACTGCACTCCAGCCTGATGACAGAGTGAGAATCTGTCTCAAAAAACAAAACAAAACAAACAAACAAAAAAACCAATATTAACCTTAAATGTAAATGGGCTAAATGCCCCAATTAAAAGACACAGACTGGCAAATTGGATAAAGAGTCAAGAACCATTGGTATGCTGTATTCAGGAGACCCATCTCATGTGCAAAGACACACATAGGCTCAAAATAAAGGGATGGAGGTATATTTACCAAGGAAATGGAAAGCAAAAAAAAAAGCCTGGGTTGCAATCCTCGTCTCTGATAAACAGACTTTAAACCAATAAAAATTAAAAAAGACAAAGAAGGGTATTACATAATGGTAAAGGAATCAATGCAAAAAGAAGAGCTAACTATCCTAAACATATATGCACCCAATACAGGCGCACCCCGGATTCATAAAGCAAGTTCTTAGAGACCTACAAAGAGACTGAGACTCCCATAATAATAGTGGGAGACACACTATATTAGACTCCCACAATAATAGTTGGAGACTTTAACACTCTGCTATCAATATTAGCCAGATCAATGAGACAGAAAATTAACAAGGATATTCAGGATTTGAACTCAGCTCTGGACCAAGTGGAACTAATAGACATCTACAGAACCCTCCACCCCAAATCAACAGAATATACATTCTTCTCAACAACACATAGCACTTATTCTAAAATCGACCGTATAATTGGAATGAAAACACTTCTCCGCAAATGTAAAGGAATAGAAATCATAACGAACAGACTCTCAGACCACAGTGCAATCAAATTAGAACTCAGGATTAAGAAACTCACTCAAAATCGCACAACTACATGGAAACTGAACAACCTGCTCCTGAATGACTACTGGGTACATAACAAAATTAAGGCTGAAATAGGTAAGTTCTTTGAAACCACTGAGAACAAAGACACAATGTACTAGAATCTCTGGGACACAGCTAAAGCAGTGTGTAGAGGGAAATTTATAGCACTAAATGCCCACAAGAGAAAGTGGGAAACATCTAAAATCGACACCTTAACATCACAATTAAAAGAATTAGAGATGCAAGAGCAAACACATTCAAAAGC
The DNA here is from genome assembly GCF_000001405.40 of Homo sapiens. NCBI lineage: Eukaryota > Metazoa > Chordata > Mammalia > Primates > Hominidae > Homo > Homo sapiens. Next base: position 105,855,137 of record NC_000004.12, on the reverse strand, counting down.
TAGCAGAAGACAAGAAATAACTAAGATCAGAGCAGAACTGAAGGAGATAGAGACACAAAAAATCCTTCAAAAAATCAATGAATCCAGGAGCTGGTTTTTTTGAAAAGATTAACAAAATAGATAGACTGCTAGCCAGACTAATAAAGAAGAAAAGAGAGAAGAATCAAATAGACACAATAAAAAATGATAAACAGGATATCACCACTGATCCCACAGAAATACAAACTACTATCAGAGAATACTATAAACACCTCTATGCAAATAAACTACAAAATCTACAAGAAATGGATAAATTCCTGAACACATACACCCTCCCCAGACTAAACCAGGAAGAAGTTGAATCCCTGAATAGACCAGTAACAAGTTCTGAAATTGAGGCAGTAATTAATAGCCTACCAACCAAAAAAAGCCCAGGTCCAGGCAGATTCACAGCTGAATTCTACCAGAGGTACAAAGAGGAGCTGGTACCATTCCTTCTGAAACTATTCCAACAATAGAAAAAGAGGGACTCCTCCCTAACTTATTTTATGAGGCCAGCATCATCCTGATACGAAAGCCTGGCAGAGACACAACAAAAAAAGAATATTTCAGGCCAATATCCTCGATGAACATTGATGTGAAAATCCTCAATAAAATACTGGCACACTGAATCCAGCAGCACATTAAAAAGCTTACCCACCACAATTAAGTCGGCTCCATCCCTGGGATGCACGGCTGGTTCAACATACACAAATCAATAAATGTAATCCATCACATAAAGAGAACCAATGACAAAAACCACATGATTATCTCAATAGATGCAGAAAAGCCCTTCAATAAAACAACACCCCTTCAGGCTAAGGACACTTAATAAACTAGGTATTGATGGAACATATATCAAAACAGTAAGAGCTATTTATGACAAATCCACAGCCAATATAATACTGAGTAGGCAAAAGCTGGAAGCATTCCCTTCAAAAACTGGAACAAGACAAGGATGTCCTCTCTCACCACTCCTATTCAACATAATATTGGAAGTTCTGGCCGGGGCAATCAGGCAAGAGAAAGAAATGTATTCAAATAGGAAGAGAGGAAGTCAAATTGTCTCTATTTGCAGATGATATCATTGTATATTTAGAAAATCCCATCGTCTCAGCCCCAAAACTCCTTAAGCAGATAAGCAACTTCAGCAAAGTAGTAGGATACAAAATCAATGTGCAAAATTCACAAGCATTCCTATACACCAATAATGGACAGAGAACCAAATCATGAGTGAACACCCACTCACAATTGCTACTAAGAGAATAAAATACCTAGGAATACAACTTACAAGGGATGTGAAGGACCTCTTCAAGGAGAACTACAAACCACTGCTCAAGGAAATAAGAGAAGACACAAACAAATGGAAAAACATTCCATGCTCGTGGATACGAAGAATCAATATTGTGAAAATGGCCATACTGCCCAAAGTAATTTATAGATTCATTGCTATCAACGTCAAGTTACCATTGACTTTCTTCACAGAATTAGAAAAAACCACTTTAAATTTCATATGGAATCAAAAAAGAGCCTATATAGCCAAGGCAATCCTAAGCAAAAAGTACAAAGCTGGAGGCATCACGCTACCTGACTTCAAAGCATACTACAAGCCTACAGTAACCAAAACAGCACGGTACTGGTATCAAAACAGATATATAGACCAATGGAACAGAACAGAGGCCTCAGACATAACATCACACATCTACAACCATCTTATATTTGACAAACCTAACAAAAGCAAGCAATGGGAAAATAATTCCCTATTTAATAAATGTTGGGAAAACTGGCTAGCCATACACAGAAAACTGAAACTGGACCCCTTCCTTACACCTTATACAAAAATTAAGTCAAGATGGATTAAAGATTTAAATGTAAGACCTAAAACCATAAAAACCCTAGAAGAAAACCTAGGCAACACCATTTACGACATAGGCATGGGCAAAGACTTCATGACTAAAACACCAACACCAATGGCAACAAAAGCCAAAATTGACAAATGGGATCTAAATAAACTAAAGAGCTTCTGTACAGCAAAAGATACTATCGTCAGAGTGAACAGGCAACCTATAGAATGGGAGAAAATTTTTGCAATCTATCCATCTGACAAACGGCTAATAGCCACAATCTACAAGGAACTTAAACAAACTTACAAGAAAAAAATAAACAACCTCATCAAAAAGTGGGCAAACAATATGAACAGACACTTCTCAAAAGAAGACATTTATGTGGCCAACACACATATGGAAAAAAAGCTCATCATCACTGGTCATTAGATAAATGCAAATCAAAACCACAATGAGATACCATCTCTTGCCAGTTAGAATGGTGATCATTAAAATGTCAGGAAACAACAGACGCTGGAGAGGATATGGAGAAATAGGAACACTTTTACACTGTTGTTGGGACTGTAAATTAGTTCAACCATTGTGTACCACAAATTCCTCAAGGATCTAGAACCAGAAATACAATTTGACCCAGCAATCCCATTACTGGGTATATACCCAAAGGATTATAAATCATTCTGCCATAAAGACACATGCACATATATGTTTATTGCAGCACTATTCACAATAGCAAAGACTTGGAACCAACCCAAAAGTCCATCAATGATAGACTGGATAAAGAAATTGGACATATATACACCATGGAATACTATGCAGCCATAAAAAAGAATGAGTTCATGTCCTTCACAGGGACATGGATGAAGCTGGAGACCATCATTCTCAGCAAACTAACACAGGAACAGAAAACCAAACACTGCATATTCTCACTCATAAGTGGAAGCTGAACAATGAGAACACATGGACATGGGAGGGCAACATCATACACCAGGGCCTGTTCAGCGGTTGGGGGCGAGGGGAGGGATAGCATTAGGAAAAATACCTAATGCAGATGACAGGTTGATACGTGCAGCAAACCATCATGGCATATGTATACCTATGTAACCTGCACGTTCTGCACAAGTATCCTAGAACTTAAAGTATTAAAATAATAATAATAATAAAAGAACAGAATGCAAGTGAAGAAAGTCCCTGGTGTACTTAATACATAATAAAGGCACTTCAAATCAATCTGATACAAATCTGGCTTTTTTACAATGGTATTTTGAAAAGTAACTAACATCAAAAGGAATATTAGATTTCCACCTCAAACTACCAACCAGAAGAAATTATTGGTAGTTTAAAGATTTAAATGTAACAACTAAAACTATTAAAGAATTAGAATTTCAAAAATATAGATATTTTTTAATTGGGGGGGATTTTTTTCTGAGAAACCACAAGAAAGTGACATATATTTTAAACTTTACAATAGCAAACTAAAACAAAACAACACCTTCTTCCATAAAGGCCAACTCAGAAAAAGATAATGTAATAAAAAGTCTTTAATCAACACGTAAACTTTTACTAATTTATGTGAAAGATGAAAGTACCAGGTAAAAAATGAGTAAGAAACACAAATGCAATGCCTAGGCTCAAAGTTCAATAAATGTGTTGATTAAATAAATTAATAATTGCCTAGAGAACTCAGATTATAAATTGTGCAAAAACATATGTAAAAGTATGCAATCATATACTTTTATACAAGATAGCATTCTTTGCCCACTAAATTGGCCAATATTTAAAGAGATATCTGATAATGCCTGTATCGATGAAGGGTTTAGGGAAATAAACACTCATATATTCCTCGCAGGAGTGTAAACTTGTACCTTCTTAATGGAATATTTGGTACTAAAGGTCAAATACTTTAATATATGAGTCAGAAATGGACTTTGCAAATTTGAAACACCATTTAATGTTTCTCCAACCTTCTAAAGGTAAGTGTGAAAGTTCACAAAACAATATAGTTAATTCCCTCTCAATCATGGTTTCGCTTTCCACCATTTCAGTTACCTGTGGTTTGAAAATATTAATTGGAAAATTCCAGAAATAAATAATTTATAAGTTTTAAATTTCATGCTTCTGAGTGATGAAATCTTGTGCTGTCCCATTCCATCCAGCCCAGGACTTGAATCACCCCTTTGTCCAGTGTATCCACACTATATAAGCTAACCATGCCAACTTAGTAGCCATCTTGGTTGTCAGACTGAAACACAGTATATATAGGGTTCAGTACCATTCCAGGATTCAGGCATCTGTTAGAGATCTTGGAACATATCTTCTGCTGATAAGGTGGGGAAAACCATAGCCGGAAATGCCTATAGCACATGCCTTCCTTCTCTTTGATGGATTAGAGAGAATGCCCTACACCAAGTCAATGGCATGTAAGAACTCTATTTCCAAACTGGAATATATGATGGTCTTTTACTTTTGTCTTTTCCCCTCATCCTCTCCTTCCCTTTCTTTCTTCAACTACATTGTGGGTGGCATGTTATATTATTATATAAAGCTATATATCCCCACCCTATTAATATCAGGAGGCACTATATAACTCACTTTAGCCAACAAAATAAGGGAAGTAATGTGTATCACATCTGAGCTCAATCTTCAATAACTAGCTGGTAGTTTGCCATGCCAATTTTTCCCTTGCCAGGAGACCAGCTATGTTCCCAGTAGAGGCTAACCAGTCAGGCTAAGTCATGGTATGATGATAATGTGAAGTAGTCATAGCAATTTGGACAGATATGTGGTATGAATGAAAAATACATCCTTCTTGGGTAAAGACACAGAGATTTTGTTATCATAGTTTATCCCAGCCAATCCTGATAGGATGGCTAAAGAGCCTTAATTTGAATATTAGTTCTACCAATTACTGGCTGAGTTCAAATCCAGGTCTGCATTTATTGTGTAAACTTAGCCTCAGTTCCTGTAAAATAGGATTACTAATGGTCTCTAGCTCATAGGGTCACTACGAGGAAAAAAGACTTAAAAGACTAAATGAGTTATTTGTAAAGGGTTTAGAATAGTGCCTAGCAAATATTAAGTACTGTATGAATGTTTGTTAAATAAATCTGGGTGGGCCAGGTGAGGTAGCTAATGCCTGTAATCCTAGCACTTTGGGAGGCCAAGGTGGGAGGATTGCCTGAGCCCAGGAGTTCAAGACCAATGTGGGCAACATGGTGAGACCCCTATCTCTATAAAATGAAAAATGAATAAAAACAAATGTGTGCGTCTATAAAAAAAATAAGTCTAGGAGGCATACAACAAAGTATTAACACCGTGAATTTAAGAATTTTCTTCTTTTTGTTTAGCCACATCTTCCTTTCTACAACAAATATGTATTTCTTTGTAATTAAAAATGTGTATTTGGCCAGTTACGGTGACTCACACCTGTAATCCCAGCACATTGAGAGGCTGAGGTGGGCGGATTGGTTGAGCCCAGGTATTTGAAACCAGCCTGGGCAACATGATGAAACATCATCTCTACAAAAAAATACAAAAATTAGCTGGATGTGGTGGCATGTGCCTGTAGTCCCTGCTACTCTGGAGGCTGAGGTAGGAGGATCACTTGAGCTCAGAGAGGTGGAGGCTGCAGTGAGCCGTGTTCACCTGGGTAACAGAGTGAGACCCTGTCTCAAAAAGAAAAAAAAGTATTAAAAAACTCCAAACTACTTTTGTATTCTTTTAACAAATTATAATTTAAAAATGTATCACTTTATTATAATTTCATTATATCACTTTACAGAAACATCTCTAATTTCATTATGAAAGTCAGTAGAAAAACAGGTTTCAGTATGTGAAAGCTCTATTAATAGCAATTTTCTTGAACCATGGAATGGGCAACTCCTGTAGCCAAAATCTATAGAATGAAACTAAATGTTTAATTGGTGTTATTTACATATTATCTTGCATGTGTGCCCTGAAAATATTTTGATATCTAATATGACTGAAATTTGTCTCCCAAGATAAGATAAAGTAGTTTAGCCATTAATAATTATACTCCTGTTTCTGAGTCAGGCTCAAAAGTCAATGAAAGATGAGCTGTGGTTTCTAATATTATTACAACCTTCGGAGAGATAGATCAGTGAGCAGTAGCCTTGCATTTGATGGACAAAGGTGAGGGTAAGATCAGGTCACTTGTTGGGCTTTTATCATTGCAACAATCTTCCTGCTCCCTGCATCCAACTCTTTTCATTTGCCCTGGCTGGGAAGAAGCATTGGCAAGGATTTACATAGAAAAATAATGCCCGAAGAGCAATCACAATACCCATATCTCTTACTAGCCGCAGACATCACAGCTGGAGAATGCCATGCCAAGATCAAGCATGGGAGAGCAATGGGGTCCCCTTTCTATTTTTCTTTTTTTGAGACAGGGTCTCACTGTGTCACCCAGACTGGAGTGCAGTGGCACGATCTCAGCTCACCACAACCTCTGCCTCCCAGGCTCAAGCGATTCTTCTGCCTTAGCCTCCCTAGTAGCTGGGATCACAGGCATATGCAACCACCACCAGGCTTATTTTTGTATTTTTAGTAGAGACAGGGTTTCACCACGTTGGTCAGGCTAGTCTCAAACTCCTGACCTCAAGTGATCCACCTGCCTCGGCATCCCAAAGTGCTGAGATTACAGGCGTGAGCTACCACGCCCGGCTCCCCATTCTATTTTTGTTCTCCATACTCATCAGATAGGCTTTTTGTTTTTGGTGGTGGTGGTGGGGGGGTGTACCTTGAGTCACCTCGGGAGGACTGAGAAGACTACTCTGGATGGTAGACATTTTATAACAGATACCTAATTCCAGGGAGGTCAAGTCTCAGAGCAGAAGGATGAATGACATTAAGCTAGTGGGAGGGGTAAAAGGAGGTTATTCTAAATACAGGGAACATCATGTAAAAAGCTCAGGGTAATAACATCAAAAAAATAAAATCATAATAAATAAAACAAATCTTCTACACAGAAAATTACAAAATGTTTCTGAGTAATTAAAGGAGACCTAAACACATGCAAAGATATCTTCATAGATTATAAGATTCAATCTTGTTAAGACATTCATTTTCCTCAAATTGATCTAAAGAGAACAGGCAATATCAAAAATCCCAGCAAGCTTTTTTGGTAAAATTTTAAAAAGAAATTGATAAGTCAATTCTACGATTTATCTGGGGATACAATGGATCCAGACAGCCAAAATAATCTAGAGAATGAAAAATAAAATTGGGAGACAAACTACCTGATTTCCAGATTTACTATAAAGCTACAGCAATCAAAACAAACAGATTAATGGAAAAGACTAGAGAATTCAGAAATAGAACCATACATATAGATGAACTGATTTTCAACTGAGGTGCCAAGGCAGTTCAATGAAGAGAGGAAGGGATTTTTATTTAATGATGCTGAAACAACTATATATTCCTCAAAACCTACCTGCCTTTATATGTGAGTTTGATTTGAGATCGATCATAGACCTAAATGTAATAAGCTAGGATCATAAAGTTTCTACAAAAAAAATCTTAGGAGAAATCTTATAACCTCAGAGTTCGTAAAATTTATTAGAAAGAACACAGAAAATATTAATCATTAAAGTAAAAGGGTAAGTTAAATCTTCATCACAAGTAAAACATTCATTATGAAAATAAGTAGGTAAGCCACAGACTGGAAAAAATATTCTCAATGTGTTTACCTGACAATATTTAAGGGGAATATTCTATATCTGATTCCAGTGATGGTTACATGTATATATACAGTTGTCAAAACATCTCAAATGAATACTTAAAAATCTGTTATTGTATTGTATATAAATTAAACCTCACTTAAAAGAAGAAAGTCCACAATAAAAGAGCATGTTGTTTTCTATAGGCACAAATGACTAAAATACTCAGGGCTAATGATTAATTCTTTTTAAAAATTTTATCCCAGAAAACACGATTCCAATATGTCTCCCACCCCCACCCATACTGCCCTGTAAAATATTCCTATATTTTAATCCATAGTGATGATCAATGATAGTGCTTTCTCCTCATGATACATGTTACACAGGGGTTGAAAACATTAAAATAAATCTCAAATGGAATAAATTGGGACATGTAAAATTTAAAGAATTAGCAGCATTGAGAAAGGATGCATCATTTGTCTTTTAAAATGTTGGCTGGCAGAAAAAGAATTTAGGTAAGCTTCCATATTCTGCACTCCTCACACCACTAATAAGTTTTACCCAGAAATATATAAATAAAAATGATTGACATCTGAATAACAAATCCTGTGACAACACATTGTAGTATTCCATAAAGAACATGGCCAGGTGAGGTGGCTCACGCCTGTAATTTCAGCACTTTGGGAGGCTGAGGCGGGTAGATCACCTGAGGTCAGGAGTTCGAAACCAGCCTGGCCAACATGGAGAAACCCCATCTCTACTAAAATTACAAACAAAATTAGCCGGGCATGGTGGCAGGTGCCTATAATCCTAGCTACTCGGGAGGCTGAGGCAGGAGAATGCAGAGGTTGTGGTGAGCCAAGATCGAGCCACTGAATTCCAGCCTGGGCAACAAGAGTGAAACTCTGTCTCAAAAAAAAAAAAAAAAAAAAGCTTAACTAATTCTTTAATCTTTTTCTTCTAGATGATCTACTTCCATAGGCAAAACATTATGTCTTTTGCAACTCATCTTTGAATTGAAAAGAAACTAGGCCAAGGTCTTGAAAATACTGGATCCTCAATAATTACTTATAAACTTAAATGTATTAATCAATGTACTTATTGTTAAAATGTATGTCCAAATTCCACATTCCCGTAATAGGAAATTTATGGCAATTATTTAATAATTTGAACCAGTGACAATCTCATTTGGTAATTTATGGGAAATTTATTTATTTATTTATTTGTTTATTAATTCATTCATTGATTTATTTTGAGTCTGGGTCTCATTTTCCCAGGCAGGAGTGCAGTGGCGCTATCAAGGCTCACTGCAGCCTTGACTTCCTGGGCTCAAGTGATCCTCCCACCTCATTTTTTGGATTTTTTTGTAGTGCAGGCTGGTCTCGATATCCTGGGCTCAAATGATCCTCCCACCTTGGCCTCTCAAAGTGCTGGGATTATAGGCATGAGCCACCATGCCTGGCAGAAATATATTTAAAAGGAGTATATTAAATGCTATACAAGTTCAACTAACCCCAGCTTAAAAATAACTGTACTATAATTACCTGACTAGATTTTTTTAAAGTGATAGAAAAAGTACAATTGTTAAAAATATAAAAAACAAAAAACTCCACTGAGTCTACTTTCAGTTCCCATGTGAATATCTAAATAAGTATAAAATAAAGGCTGTAAGTGCGCTGTTTTGAATTAAACATCACATTGGCAAGATCAGAGGAGCTTGTGAAGTGAGAAGGAAATTGTTATTCCTGTGATGGAACCTCCACTAGTATTATTCTTTTGGCAGCTGAGACTTCAGGGGATTCTCACTATAAAAACCAGCAGTCCTTTAATCACACATTGTAAAGCATTTGTGATGCTTTGCAGGGAGCCTTTACTTCCAAGATTTCCCTGTTGCTTTCCTTCCTGAGCACAATAGGTTCAAGATGGCTAATGCTGTTTCCTAGTTATGCCAAGAACCTCCTGAATGCCACTGGGCATCCAACGTGAAGACGGATGGCAAAATATCAAATGTGAATATCTCATTTTAAATGGGGACTCCCACAATCATGTTATTTTTGGGAGAGCAGCTCTCTGGCTCCATGGATATCACTTGAACGGAGTATCCACATTCTTCTGCAGCTCTTGCTCGATCCAGATCCACCAAGCACATGCACTGTTTTCCTGAAACACAGTCAAATGGTATCATGAGACACCCTTTCACTAGCAGGACAGTTTCAGTTTGTTTAAGGGAATCTATATAGTGACAAAATCTGCAAGTACTATGGAGCATGCTTTGTACCCCTAAGTCTTGTTTAGTTTCTTTCAATTTACTTCTTGATCAATGTGGAAAGATGATGGTGACAAAAACATGGCACTTCATATATTTGCCTCTGCTAATAATTTAAAGAATGTTAACCTTTTCAGATGTATTTATAAGCAAATCTCAAATTAGAGCCTCAGACTGTATTTCCTACTTTGGTTAAAAATACATTTAAAGACCTTTTCTCTGCTTTCCCTATAAAACTAGATTATCTGTAATGTGGAAAAAAAATTTGTCTTTAAGAATATTTAAAATAACATGCTGATTAAGTGGTGTCTGAAAGACATTAGCTTTTCCAGCTGAAGTTTTTTAGGGCTATGAAGAAGTGAGAAATGAAAAATATTTAAGAAAATTCTCAATTACATGCCTTTTATTTCAGGTGGAAATGTAATGTTGAGTGTAGTATACTCTTAATTTTCTGAGCTCCTGTCCCTCTACAAAATAGTGGTATTGTATTTCATTTACAATCTTTGGAAGACAAAAAAGGAAACCTGACTGGCAAGAAAAGCAGTTAATTTGTTTTCCTTTGGCAAACACAAACTTCAAAAGTAGCTTGGGAAAAATGATTTGGGGCTGAATATATTCAAAGCCATGATTTACTTTTATACTTTCAATTGCTTTAAATTCAATATATAAGCTTCTTCAACCCCCTGGAAAAAGATTACTGACTATGCAGAACTTCATTATATTTTTCCTAAACAATTATAATAATGGCTAAACATTGAATGACAGTGGAAACTGATAAACTAAAACAACTTCAGAAATGAAGACAGATCACCAAAATAGAAAAGTTCTATGAACAACAGAATCCTCACAGAAAAAAACAGTGGAAGGTGAAATCAGTAGGTAAGAATTAGCAATGAGAGACTCACATTTAAAATGTTTATTTTGTACATTTTCCTTAAAAGAGCCCATCCCACAAAGAATAAACTGGGTTAGAAATGATATAAAAAGAGATGTCCAGAATTCCATTTAGGCAAAATCATCCCTTCTTCATTAACAGCCTTATGGCCGACATTCTTTTTTTTCCCTTAAAATATTGTCTTTCCTTTAAGACATCTGTAAATGTTTCTCCCATCTACTTTTTAGCTTAAAATGAAACATTCTGTGTCAGAATGGGATGCTCTACATTCCTTAAGTACCCACCCAGGGTTTACATTGAGCTCATCTACCCTTGGCTTTGATCCCAGTCCAGTTAATTTTTCCTTTTCCATTATGTAGAAGAATTTCATGTTTTCACATGTTGAAGTGTCTCTACAACTGAAATTTAGCTGCTGATAGTCTACCTTTGTGGGCCTGGGGAGGAATGGCCTGTGTAAAGCAGAGATGTAGACGTGACAGCTTTCTCTCAATGTGATTCCCCCCGTTCTTCCCATTGCCAAATGCCCACCCCCACCCCCACCACTCTAGCAACTTCCCTGCCAGATACTCCCCTTTAGTTTGATACCTAAAACACACATCTACCATGTACCCATCCATCCACCATACTAATTATGTCTTCATTGGATTGCTATCATTTGAATGTGTCCTCCAGAAAGCATGTGTTGGAAACTGAATCTGCAATGCAACAGTGTTAGGAAGTGGGGCCTAATGTGAGGTCATTAGGCCAAGAGGGTGGAGTGAATGAATTAATACCATTATCATGGTAGTGGGTTCATTATCTAGAGTGTGGGTTCCTTATAAAAGGACAAGTTCAGCCTTCTCTTGCTCTCTCTCTTGCCATGTGATGCCTTTCATCATGTTATGATGCAGGAAGAAGACCCTCACCAGATGCCAGCCCCTTGATCTTGGACTTCCTAGCCTTCAGAAATGTGAGCCAAATAAAAATTTGTTCATTATGAATTACCCAGTCTATGGTATTGTGTTATAGCAGTGCAAAACAGACTAAGACATGGGTCTAGTGAGTGGAGTCTCATCAAATGTGTATTTGATTAATTCAAAGTGTTGGAGATGGGAAAAGGAGGAGCAAGAAGGAAAGGCATTGAAAGACAAAGAGGTTGCAGGCAAGAGAGAATGAGTTCTTTCCAAATGTTTATGCTGCAGAGAGTGAGAAAGAGAAGGAATCACTTACTCCTTGAGTCTCAGGTCTCAGGTCTCCAAGTGTGAGCATCTTGCTATGCTGCCTTTGATTTTAGAGTTTAAAGATAAGGATTTCTCATACGACTTGGTCTCTGAATGTAAGCTAACAGCTTCATCTGGTGCTCAGCCAAAGAAACAACAATCTGTTTTCTAGTATATCATGGAGGAAAAGGGGCTACATTGTAAATTTAGAGAAAAAATATAATGGTGTCCAATGTTGGGTTTCTCTGAATAATTTTAAGATTAGTTTTGACTGAACCCACTTATCTTAAACCCTGATATGACACCAGTATGCTGGGAAGCAGTAACTAAGGTGGACAAGAACTTCATGTCCAGAATCAAATAAGTTGGGTTCATAGTATAGCTCCATCATCTACCAGATGAGGGACCCCAGGAAAGCTTTTGTCTCAGTTTTCTTATCATTAAAATGTAAATAATAGTACCTACCCCATATGTATATTTGTAAGAATTTACCAAGATAACAGTCAAGAGCATTTAGCTCAGTGCTTAAATGTATAACTATTAACTGCTATTATTCTTTTAAATGTGATTGTTTTTTCTAAAGTGATGTCTTCAATAAATCAATTACTTATTAAACTTGAAATGTTTCTGTGGTCTTCCAATTTAGGTAATATTTAATATTGTCAAACAAATTCATCTATGATAAATAATACACAAGTATCCTTTTTCCTGAGAAAGAAAACATTATCATCCCTGTGTATACATTTTATAATGCATCAATTTTGGTATATATAGTTGACTTTTTAATCTTTATTATTTTCTTTTATGGCTTTTGATAGATCTTGCAGTTTGTTCATAACAGTAAGAGATTTAATGTAAGAATTCTACTCAATGTACAAACATTCAAAATACATTTAAAAGTATTAAAGTTAACCAAAATAGGATAAAATGTTATAGTTACAATACCCTTTTCAATATGAATTAAGTTTTTTTGGGAAGAACATATTTAGTTTCTCATTGAAAAATAGACTTCATGTTGCTAAATTTTTCCCATATAGACTTGGTCCAATCATTCCCAGTCATATTGTGCATAATACACTCAACAGCTGCTCTGTGAAAACACATACCTATGAGCCTTCGTTGGGGTGGGAGCTGGACAGCTGTCTGGTCTGCAAATCTGCACAGAATCATGTGTTCCTAAAAGAAAAAGCAATAGAATGTGGGTTTATTTTTATCTTCTGCTTCAAAGTTATAAAAACAACCACCAAAAAAACTACCTCATTTTTCTGGAGTTCAACATTGTTTAACTGAATAAAGTACTGCACAAATAGTATTTTTGAAAAAAGTAAACTTTCAGAAGATGGTACTTAATAATTTCTTCCCTTCAAGTACACTGTATTTTTTTGTTTTGTTTTGAGACAGTCTCGCCGTCGCCCAGGCTGGAGTGCAGTGGCGCAATCTTGGCTCACTGCAACCTTCGTCTCCCAGACTCCCAGTGATTCTCATGCCTCAGCCTCCGTGTAGTTGGGACTACAGGCACATGCCACCACATCTGGCTAATTTTTTGTATTTTTTGTATTTTTTTTTCAATAGAAACGGGGTTTCACCATGTTGGCCAGGCTGGTCTCGGACTCCTGGCCTTAGGTGATCTGCCCACCTCAGCCTTCCAAAGTCCTGTGATTAACAGGTATGAGCCACCATGCCCAGCTGGCCCAGATGTAGCTCTTAAGAATAGATGCACAGAAAATCCTCGGGGTCATTTTGCCCAGTTGCTTTTAGCTGAAATATAAAAATATGGTTACATTTTGCTATTATGTGTTAAATTAAAAGACCAAAAATTCACTTATATTTTTCTTTTATAAAATGTATTTGAAACTCTGGAATGTGGTTCTAGGCAGTCTTGCTAAGTGGGTTTTCTTTTCTTTCTTTTTTTTTTTTGAGACGGAGTTTTGCTCTGTTGTCCAGGCTCCAGTGCAGTGGCACAATCTCGGCTCACTGCAACCTCCGCCTCCTGGGTTCAAGCAATACTCCTGCCCTAGCCTCCTGAGTAGCTGGCACTACAGGCGCACGCCACCATGCTGGCTAATTTTTGTATTTATTTATTTTTTTTAGTAGAGACAGGGTTTCACCATGTTGGCCAGGCTGGTTTCGAACTCCTGACCTTGTGATCTGCCCGCCTCTGCCTCCCAAAGTGCTGGGATTACAGGCATGAGGTACCGTGCCTGGCCTGCTAAGTGGCTTTTCATTCTATCAGAGGAAAAGGAAGCAATGCAGATCACTGTGTGGCTTCTGTAGTTTTCTGGGATATCCAGCAGGGTGGTAGCTAGTTCTTGGCTTTTCCTGACTCTTCCCTTCACTTAGTCCTTTTAGAGGAAAGAAGCTTGATTTCTTTCTCTCACTCCAAAAGGCTGCAGGAAGTGTATCCCTTTCTGCCTTAAGACAAACTGTAAAGACGGCCTGAGGTAAGGACCTGATTATTACTTCTGCTTAACAGTCTTAGAAAAGAGTGCATTAATGAAAAAGAAAAGAAGGCTTTAAAAGCAGAGTTGATGATTTTGCACAGTACTCTTAAATCTGCATGTAGCCAAAAGTGAGTGATTAGGCAGAGTTGAAATGAAGCAATGATCCCACGACAACTGTTCATTCAGAACAGCTGTTGTTTCTAAGTGTGTACATAATCTCACCTGTCAGCTTAGCAAACAGGTTAAATTCAGATTCATCATTTGTTCCTTTAGTATTCTGTACATTAAATTTGAAGCCTCCATTTTTAATAAGTGAAATGATTGTGGCAATGTTGGTTTTTTAAAAGGGATATCTTTGTCTAAACTTGTATGCTTAAAAAAAACATTTTAATGCTCACTATAAAATTTCATGACAATGGGTGAGAAACTAATAAAATGGTTTCAATGAATAACTTTAACTCCCCACAAACTAACAGGCATCAACGAAAGGAGAGAAGGAAAATTTAGAATTACATGATTTGAAGAAACAGTGTGCACTTTGTCCTCATGGTGTTTGTAAATTAAGATTCATTTTATATAATGGTAATGTCAAGGCAATCGCAATCTCAGGTAAGATTCAGTTCTCTTGTACTGATAAGTCTCACCATATTTTATTGGAATTATTTGTGTGTATGTTCTCTTTGGTCAAAATCAAGTTCTGAAAGGGCAAGGCACATGGTAGGTACTCAGTAAAGGTTGCTGTCTAAATTGAACTGCAGAGAAAAACACTTCCAAAGTGAGTCTCAAGATACTTTGGCACAAAGTTCTGAGGCCTTCAAAAGGCCAAGCAGCTTTTGGGGGTGTTGGAGAAAGAGTAGATAAAGGTTATGACTGGTGTACTGGGGAGTTTCTGCTTTCTGAAAGACTCTGTGTGCCCTGTCCCTACTGTAGAAATTTTACATTCTTTTCTAGCCAGGAGACCATGGGCAGCCTATCTCTTCACCACCCTTGATTTTTTCCATACATCCTTTCATTGTTTGGTTTAACTAGCATCACTCAAAGGAGGGATTAGAAACAGGGGTCTAGTTTTTGTTTTCCCAAGTTCTTTTTTCTTTTCTTTCCTTTTCCTTTCTTTTCTTCTCCTCTCTTTCTTCTCTCCTCTCTCTCTCTCTCTTTTCTTGAGACAGAGTATCACTCTCTCACCCGGGCTGAAATGGGAATGCAATGGCACAATCTCAGCTCACTGCAACCTCTGCCTCCTGATCTCAATCAATTCTCGTGCTTCAGCCTCCTGAGTAATTGAGATTACAGGTGTGTGTCACCACACCCAGCTAATTTTTGTATTTTTAGTAGAAACAGGGTTTCACCATGTTGGTCAGGCTGGTCTTGAACTCTGTTCTCAAGTGATCTGCCTGCCTTGGCCTCCCAAAGTGCTGGGTTTACAGGCGTGAGCCACTGCACCTGGGCTGTTTTCTCAATTTATTTTCTACTTTATTGACATAGCCTTGTGAAAGAAAGGTGAGATGTTTTGAATGTTATGCAAATAAAGTTTCTTGGGTCCTAATGTTTCTTCCAAAATCATACAGTTTCCTAAAATATGTAAACTTTTAATCTAGTAGGTGAAGGCCAGCAATGTTGTGGTTTTGGCTGAAAGCATGAACACTAAAAGTTCTCCCCTTTCCATATCTGTGCATATTTGTACAGGGTGCGGGGTTGGTAGGAAGAGGGGAAGGTGTGAGTAGCACATAAGGTGGTAAGAGACAGAGCTGGAAGTGGGCATTTGAGTTATAAAGCAGGAATGAAGGAGATACAGCTGCTGATGTGGTAACAATGAACATTTTTAGGTCACTATACCTCACTATATTTCAACTGTTTGATGGAAGAGAAAGTAAAAGTCCTAAAATATAGGGGCTGGTATATAAAAGGAGACTATGTTTTTAGTGAGTCTGTGCAAAAAGTGGCATTAACTAAGAATCCAAATGAATTTGTCAACTTCTAATGGAATTATTTATATATTTTTCTCAAATATTATCATTTCTTAAATTGTATTATATCATGCTATTGACCAGTTAATTGGATAGTGGTGATGTTTAGGAAGCTAGAAACTGTTTTGATCAGATTGGTGACTAAAAACTATGTATGTTCTGACTACTTTTGGAAGACAATTCTCTGTGGGTCTCTTGTGTTTCTTCATGTTTTACAAGCAGAGACACTGACTGTCTTTGTTCCAGACCAATGGTCAGCAAGGTTTGGCCCACAGGCCAAGTCTAGCCTATGACCAGTTTTTGTGTGGCTTGTGAATTAAGAAAGTTTTTATATATTTAAAGAGTTGTAAACCAACAACAAAAACAATAAGAATGTCAAGGACAATGAGAGGAATACTTGGAGATTTGTTATGGCCAGCATAGCCTAAAATATTTACTATCTGACCTTTTACAAAAGAATTTTCCTCTGTTATAGATTATCTTTTCAAGCACGTTTACAGAGTAAACAGCCTTGGAAAATATATAGTTTCTCCCTCTGGAACAAAAGGGCAGGTGTTACCTGGCCCATTTGCTTCTGCCCTGTGGGAATTGGGCCATAGAGAGTCAGTGTGAAAACAATGGTATTGTGGCTACCACTATTGCCATGAGCAACAAACTGTCTTTTGTCTCTGACTTAGGGGTCTCATATCTTCTGCCAGCATCCACTGGGCAGGCTAACTTGTTAGACTGCAAGTAGAGTTAAAATCTCAGACCCTTCACAAATCTTGTTACCTACTTGAAGAGTTAATCTGGATTTGCAAAAGAAAGAGAAAAAGAAACCCATATTAGACATTCATGAGTTATTCAATTATAACTATAGATTATTTACTCCACTAGAAATATGAGAGGGAAAAATATAAAGGATAAAAAGTGTATTAGGATGATATCTAGATCTTTTTAAGGTTACCTTGTATGATAAAGTTTTCTTGAATTGTTCACTGAAATAGAAAAAAAAGGAATTAGTCATCATTCTAAATATTAAGAGTAAGATAATCTTGAAGAAACTAAATTATATAAAAATATGCTTTGTATGTAGAAAGCATAAAATGCTATGGTGAAGTAAAAACTATGCCAGTTTGAAATGCTTTTATAAAAAGACAGAAAAGCATATCATCAATATGTTATTAATTTTAAGAAATCTATTCCACAGATTGTTTACACTGTTAGAGAAGCACCTTTTTTGTCTCTATCCCTCATGGGAACACTAAGATCCAGGTGTTTTAACATGTGGGTTTTACTGTTATTCAGATGTGCACAGCCAACAGATCAGGAGAGGACTGCCATTGAAAAGATACTTTATTACTCACAGTTCCCCAAGAAGAGGGGGCATGCCATGTGATGAAGGGCCACATGGGGAAACACCAGTATAGGTCAGGAGGCGGTTTCCATGGGAAGAAAAAGGTGAGGTAAGCAGGCTTGGGAGTGGCTAGTTTGAATAATTTCAGTGAACTCAGGCATAGGGCCGTTCCTACTTGTTTGATATCTGGCCCTAGGGTAGTAGGGCAGGGGGATAGTGGCCTGGAAGTAATAAGAGCTTGATAAAGGAGGTAGTTGTGGGATAAGGGCTCTGGGTTGGTGAGTTTACTTATGCAAGGTATGTTTGTTGATAAGACCTTTACTATCTCTAGGAATTGGCTAGCCCTGGGAGGAACAGTCTCTCCAGGATTAGCAAATAGTAAAACATCAGAAAATTTAAAAAGGCATGATTAATACATCAGGAAATCACTGTTGTCACAGCTAATAAAGATAAACATACATTCAATTCCATAAACATTGTCTTTTATTAATGCTATAACCTTCACTCTTAAGTCATTCAAAAACATTGACTTATACATTTGATACTAAATTTATTAGTGCCAATTAGTTTGTTTGAAAAGAGTACTTCTTTCCACGTACTATAGAAACAGTATGCTATTTATAAATTCCCAACTGTATTTTTGGTGATTGAGATAGGTCTTATTCACAAAGAAACTTTCTAAAGATATCAGTTCAAAGGACAAGGGAGGACAAATGTCAGTAAATCTACATAGGTGTGAAAAAGACAGGAAGTGGTAGTAACATACTGTAAAGGCCACCAAAAGTTGAGGCTGAGCCCAGGCACTGTGGTGACCTGGCCAGCTGTGTGTGCACTCAAGGTGGTGCTGACATGCCAGCCCCCACCCCCGCCTCAGCCCCCTCTGGACTTTGGGCACTGACGAGCATGAGATGGACACCAAGGGGGTACTGAGGGCAGCTTGACATGGGCCTGCAGGCACCCCTTGGCACAAACAGCCTGGGTGCCATGGGCACCATGGATGGCAGGTTGATGGCAACAGGAGGCAGACAGGCTCCTAGGTAGAAAGGGGCAGGTCCCTGGTGAAGCCCCACCATCAACCCAGAAATGGCCCGAAGCTTGGGGTCCAGGCTGCCAGCTCCGTGGACCAAAGTGAGAACTTAGAGTGCTTTTTCCAGGCCCACCCATGGCCACCCATGGACCAATCGCATGCACTTCCTTCCCTCTGGAGTCCATAAAAACCCCGGACTCTGCCAGACTTAGGCAGACAATGGATGACCTGCCTGCGGAGAGAAGCTACCCACTCTGTATCTCTTCTTTGCTGAGGGTTGCAGAGATGAGATGAGATGAGATGACCTGCCTGAAGACAGCAGCTACCCACTGCAGGTCTCCTTCCACCTGAGAGCTGAGTAGATATTGGGATGACCTGCCTGCGGAAAGAAGCTACCCACTCTGGATCTCTTCTCTGCTGAGGGTTGCAGAGATGAGATGAGATGAGATGACCTGCCTGAAGACAGCAGCTACCCACTGCGGGTCTCCTTCCACCTGAGAGCTGAGTAGACATTGGGATGACCTGCCTATGGAGAGAAGCTACCCTCTGTGGGTCTCCTCTCGGCTGAGAGCTGAGCAGACATTGGGATGACTGTCTGTGGAGAGGAGCTACCCACTTTATCTCCTGAGAGCTGTACTGTTGCTCAATAAAGCACCTCTTTGCCTTGCTCATCCTCCAATTGTCTGTGTACCTCATTCTTCCTCGATTTGGGACAAGAACTCAGGACCTGCCAAATGGCAGGACTAAGAGTTATAACACAAACAGGGCTCACATGCCCCCCTGCCCCCAAATACACCCACTCGCCATGTTGCAAGCATGAGAAGGAGAGAAGAGAGAAGGAGAGAAGAGATGCGGCCCTTCAGGGAGCCCAGTCATAGGAGCTCCCTGAGCCAGGGCTGTGATACCCTCTGAGGGGTTCTGTGGCTCCTGGCGTTTCCAAGCTTCTGGTTGCCACTGTGTTCCCTAGTGCTCACAGTGGAAGCTGCTTGCAGTACACCTGGTCCAGCTGCAGCCTCGCAGGGAGCCAGCACCCAAGCTGGTGCCTGGAGATGCCTGCCCCACAGCAGCCAGCATGCCTGGCTGTGTGAAGTGGCCGGACCCTGTGCTTGCTCATTCATGTACCCCTCACCACTCTGTACCTGGCTCACCCTTGGCAGGTGTGGGATCTGTGCTGGTAGTGCAAGCCAAAAGCAGCCTGCCAGGCTGAGTGAGTGGAGTGAGCCCAATGGGCCCAAGCAAAACTCAGGCAAACGCTCCACCAACCACAGAGGATCCAGCTGGCAAAGCGACGCCCCAAGGATCCTGTGACATTGCTACCATTATTAGCAACAGTTCACATTTATTGAATACTTATTCTTGCCACTTCTAAAGGCTTTACACATATCATTAAATTTTCACAAAAACCTTGAGGTAGTTATTATCATAACCCTCATTTTGTAGACAAGAAAACTAAGGCAAAAAGATTTTAAGTAATTTGCCTTATAAAATGATAAGGAGCTAGTATTTTCCCCCAGGCACTATACTTCCAGGTCCTAAACACTTTACTATACTTGACTGCCTCTCATAGACATTATGTACGGTTACAGTTTTAAATTTATTCGGAAATACAGAGAGAAGTGCTAAAGCCAATAGACTTCTAGTTGCCTGTCTCCTGGATAGCCTTGCTTCTAAATTTCAGTAAAAACTGGATCCAGGGGAAAAATCAGGGACAAACATAAAGGAGTTCTTCTCTTCCTTATACAATTTACAAACAATATTTGGCATTGTGGAAAGAAGAAATGAGCCAAAAATTAAGTCATTGCAACTTTATATCAAACAAGTTTTGTGTCCTGGCTTATACCCATGTTGGTGTCTTATGTAGAACACTGAATTTCTCACCTTTTTGGAAAATTGAACTTTGAGGTGTTCTGAATGAAACCATAACAGCAAGGGCATGTGACGAAGGAAGCCCGTGTTTTGATACAGTGCTCAATCACCATGTCTGTTGCCACTCCACAAGCATGCAATGCTACCTACAAAATAAAACCAGGCCTTAGCACTAAGTTCCCTCTTAACTCACAGTGCAATTTTTATGCCTTTTAAATAGTTCTCATTTGGCCATACCAAAGGACCACTTAGCTACACATATCAATTAATTATGAAAACTAAGCAAGTTTGAAAGGTTGCAAATGGAATATTGCAAATAAAGCATAAGATTCATTCAACGGAAAATTTGATGCAATTTTAGTGTGGAAAAATTAACACAAGTGTTTATCTAAACTATAGCATCGTTCCAGGAACACTAGATTCGAAACAAGAATTTCGAGTCTATTACTCTGGTTGCCTATATAACCCTGAGCCACTTAAAATTTAGCTTCTTTGGGCCTTAATCTCTTCAACTATAAATGATGGTTAACAATATGACATGTCACAATGCTGTTGCAAAAATTAAATAAAAATGTATTTGAAAACACTTCCTCAAATGCCATATTAACATAATCTAATCAGGGCTGTATTAAAACTAACTGAATCATATCATGTAGTACCCTTTTAAGATGTTTTCACATAATAACAATCCTTAACATTGAATGATGAGTTACAGGAACTATTTTCAATGAGTTTATTTTAAAAGGATTGAATGAAATTATGAATTAGAATACTGAGTGGGGCTTCAATAACTCATAAAAATAACTCAAAACGATTTTTAAGTGTTTTTAAAACACATATCCTTAAGTATATCTATACTTACTATAATCTTACTACAAATGAGATAATTATGAAAATTCTTAGGCCAAATAAAGCCTAAATAGGACTCTCAGTGAAAATCAGATGTGGGGATTCTAAAAGATGAATAACCTGTACTGGATTTTGACAAAAAACACCAAAAAAACCCCTCACATCTCCATTTCATTCTGAACAAACATAAATTGTAATGAATTATAATCTTCCCTCACCAACTTCAGGGTAGGGAGGGGCTCTCAGGGTAAAGAGGAGATTTTCTGTAAATTTTAGAAACTTTTTTTTTTTTTTGAGACAGAGTTTTGCTCTTGTTGCCCAGGCTGGAGTGCAATGGCACAACCTCGGCTCACTGCAACCTCCGCCTCCCGGGTTCAAGCAATTCTTCTGCCTCAGCCTCCCGAGTAGCTGGGATTACAGCATGTGCCACCACGCCTGCATACTTTTGTATTTTTAGTAGAGATGGGGTTTCACCATGTTGGTCAGGCTGGTCTCCAACTCCCGACCGCAGGTGATCCGCCCACCTCGGCCTCCCAAAGTGCTGGGATTACAGGCATGAGCCACCGCGCCCAGCGAAAGTAAAATATTATAAACCAGATGCCCCCTTTGAACTGGAAAGCTAAAAACAATACAAACAATACTCTATCAGGAAGAGGAAAGCAAGATCTCTGTTCTTAATCCTCCTCCTGAATTCCTCCTCCTCCTTCTAGACTTACATGAGCCACATAGAAGTCAACAATCTCCATGTTGCTGTCATCCCACCTTTCTTGTTTCACTCTGAAAACAGCCTAGGAAGGCTGGTATCCAGTAAAGGCAGCAACAACTACAGGGAATGGGAAAGTAAATAACCTTGATTTCTCATCTGCTTCTTTTAGTCAGCTTTTCAGAGTAAAAAACAGGCTAATCCTTATTTTCATGACTAGTTGGAGAAAATTTCATAGTAAAAATTATAGACACATCTTCCCCTGGAGGGAAAGCAAACTGACATTTACTGAGTGTTTATGTGCTGGCACTATGCTGTGCTGGGTGATGGCACTCAGAACTATGCTCACAACATCCCTGAAAGACTTTATTATCTCCAATTTAGATGCGAGGAAATGAAGTCTTGGGAAATTAAGAACTTGCCCACAACAAAACAGCTACTGAGGGGCAGGATGCTGACCTCAAAGCCTGACCCCATGTATCAGGCGGCTTCTCTACAAAACCCTCTTCAGGCTCTGAGCAAAAAAGAGTTTAGAAAATTTACTTTTATAAGTCTCTCTTTACTTAGGTTCACATTCCTTACACTACATGCAAAAAAGTGAGTTTATTTCCTTCATTTAAATGAAATAAGTAACTTGAATAACTATACAATAGTTTATAGATAATGTAATAATTGTCTACTAATAATAGGTTTTTGGTCGAAAAGGTTTTACTGCATCACATGCTCCTAGTTTTCACTGTTATCAAATGAAACTCAGAAATAACAGGCAAATAATGAGAGATATAGACCAAAAAAAAACCATTGGATATGGAAATTTATCATACAATAAAGGTGGTATTTCAAACCAGGGAGAAAAGATGGACTTTTTAATAAGTAATGTTTGGTTAACCAGACAGCCATATAAAAAAATAAAAATTAGATCTTTTCCTCTCATCACACATAGGAAATAAATTTTGAATGCATTAGAGATTTAAAATGCAATAAATATGAGTAAATTCCTGCACAACCAAGGGGAATGGGAAGTAATTCCTAACTAAGCTAAAAATCTACGTGCAATAAGGGGTAAGGTTAATAAATCTGACAAAATAAAATTTATTTTTATTTATTTATTTATTTTTGAGATGCAGTTTCGCTCTTGTCACCCAGGGTGGAGTGCAACGGTGTGATCTCGACTCCCTGCAACCTCTGCCTCCAGGGTTCAAGCAATTCTCCTGCCTCAGCCTCCCAAGTAGCTGGGATTACAGCTGCCCACCACCACACCCAGCTAATTTTTGTATTTTCAGTAGAGACTGGCAGAAAACCAAACCATAAGTAAAAAGACAAATGACAAAGTAGGGAAAGGATTGACAACTTACAGCACAAACAAAAGGCTTATATTCTTAATATATAACAAACTTCTAAAAAGAAAGAAAAAGCCCAATAAAGTGAGAGTAAAATGAGCAAGAGATGTGAACACACAAACAAAAACAAGCAAAGAGTTCTTAAACAAAAATTGGTCAATATTGCTCCAAGTAAGAGAAATAATTGTTAATATTTTTTTTAACAAAGAGCCAAGATTTAATCTCAATGTGTCTGACTCCAAACCAAACTTCTTTTTTTAGTTCTCTATGCTCTATTTACTCTTTTCTTTAGATATGGAAGTAAACAGAGAGTCACTGACTGGACTTCTAGACCCAGCCCCCACATTAACTTGCTAGGTCACTCTTCCTTTCTTGTAGCCTCAAATTCTCTACCTGTAAAAGGAGAAGGTTGAACTGAATGATCTCTAAACTTGCCCCAGCCCAATCATTCTCTCCGGTGTTGCTTTTCGAAGAAGGATTCTTAACTCTAGATACCTTAGACAGAGAAGCAGGCTAGTCCCACCTGTGTACTCTTGTTTCCCCTCTTTTAAAACTTTCATACAACAATATTATAGGTAATCAGCTTTAAAATTCAAATAATGCTAAAAGGTATGCAATTATATTAAAAGTCCCTGTTTTGTACACACTGCCACACCACTGAAAGAAAATCTGTGTACCAAAGTCAATGCTGTTCAACTCATTGGTTTACTTCCTGAAAATCTGTTTTTCTATATGATGAACGTATATTGATATCTCTTGATTTGTAAATATTAGACATTATTTATTATCTTTCTACTAGGAGAGAAGAGCTTTTGGCCTTTTTTTTGCACATTTATACACTATCTTCCCTTTTTCCATCTTTTCTCATGGTTTTGTATATACTGTTCACTGCCGAGGGAAGTGTGCTGGATATCAGGGTTTCTGCTTGTTTTTTTAACATCCAAGTTGTTCCCTACCCAAAAGCTCTGTAAAATGCTCTACAATATAAATTTCCACTGTTTGAAAACTTTCAAATAATTGGTCAGCTCCATTTTTTCTTTCCTAGAGACATCTTTCCTGGGCTTTCTGACGTTTTACTAAAATATGGACTCAATGCTTTCTAGGCCTGTTGCCCAGCTCTTGCCCTAAGACTTCCCTCTCCCATGATACTAAAAATTTTTCTCTTGTATTGGATACCACTTAATCCTTTTTCTTATTTACTTTATATTTTAATGAAGCACATTATCTAGTAGCTTGCTGAAAAGGGGTATGTACAATGTACATTTTATTGAGACCTTGACTGTCGAATTTTTCTTTATTTTACTTTTTTTTACTAGACTGATGGATTAGCTAGGTATAGAATTTTAGATTAGAAGTTTTCTGTTAGAATTTTCGAGATATTGTTTCACTGTCACTGAGCCTTCCACACTACTATTAAGAAGTGTGATAGCATTTTGATTCTAAATTATGGTATATCACTATTTTTTTTTCCCTCTGTGGAAACAGTTGGGAAAATCTGTTCACCCTTGGTGTTCTGAAATTTCACAAGGTGCCTTGGCTTAGGCCATTTTGTAAGTTAACTTTATCAAAAGAAATGCATTCTTAATTATTAACACATTTTCCTGTATTTTCTTTGATGTTTTCCTCCCCACGATTTACCAGTTTTCTTTTTCTGGTCCTGCTATTACTGAGGTATTTGATTCCTGGACTAAATCTCTAATTTAAAAAATTTGCTTCTTTCCAGTTTCATTTTTCTTTTTCTTTTTTTTAAGTTCTATTTTTTTCAAGTGGTATCCTATACTTCTTTAAAAAAATACTTTATCTCTTAATTTTTAATTTGTTTTCAATTTTGGCTAACATTTTTATTTTTCAAGACGTCCTTTCTTGTTCTCTGATCGTTCCCTCTTTTTCTATTATATCCTTGTTTCACTAATGTATTATCTTCTTTAGTCTCTCCCTAAGACCCTTGATTATGTTTGTTGCTTTGGTCTTGATATGGTTTGACTATGTCCCTACCCAAATCTCATCTTGAATTGTAGCTCCCATATTTCCCACATGTCATGGAAGGGACCCAGTGGGAGGTAACTGTATGATGGGGGTGGGTCTTTCCCATGCTGTTCTCATGATAGTGAATAAGTCCCATGAAATCTGATCGTTTTATAAAGGGGAGTTTCCCTGCACACACTCTTGCCTGCCACCATGTAAGATGTGACTTTGCTCCTCATTCGCCTTCCTCCATGATTGTGAGGCCTCCCTAGCCATGTGGAACTGTGAATCAATTAAACCTCTTTTCTTTATAAATTACCCAGTCTTGGGTATGTCTTTATTAGCAGTGTGAGAACAGACTAATACAGGTCTCTATCTTCCATTTTGGAAGTTTTCCATGTTTGGTATTCCTTTAGCTGTTCATATTAAAGAGTAAACCACTAAAAAGTTGATTGGAAATTCTGAATGAAAGAGTAAGGCTTTGAAAACTGGTGGGCTTCACCAGTGATTGGGTGATCAAAAAGCCTGGATAGGTGCCTTTCTTTTTTTTTTTTTTTTTTTTAATTATAGCTGTAGTATCTGTAGTTCTTTTCTCTGGGGACAGTTCTGCTTCTACAGAGAAGAATCTTTTAATTCTCATGATTGTGGAAATGATCCTGGTTTCTGTGGTTCTGGAATTAGAAGGCAGATGGGTAGGGAAGAGATCTATCCTTCAGTATGCAGATTCTCATTTAGTTCTTATTCTTGGTATGGCACATCACCATTGCCCTTCTCTATGCCTGATATCTCTATACTTGGTGCCTCTCTGGTTCAGTTTCTTCTACAGAATAAACTTCCTGTCTCTCTTAGGAGTTGGGGAGAGGTAGTTTCTTGTTTACACAAGACGAGAGCAGGAATCTTGTCTCTAAATAATATTTTTAATTAAACACGATTTCAGTCCCTCCCTATTCATTTCCTCTGAGGTTTCTGATGCTCTGAATTCCCAAACTTTTCTGGGATTCTGTGGGAGCAAAGTGGTTTGTGTCCTGATAGCCTTCTTGCCACTCTGCCTGGCATGCATTTAAATTTTATCTTCCTTCTCCTCTACTCAATAACTTATCATTTTTCTTCAATCTGCTTTTCACCTTCACACTTCATATTGTGATTCAAGTTACAGAATGTTGAATATAGCTTCATCATAGAGTTTGATTTTTCTGATTCTTGTTCTTGTTATTTGGGGATCTGAACTTTTTTGGGGAGAAGCGGGGTTGAAATACCTCTATCTGCTATTTTCATCTCAGAAGTCCCCTATTTTGCCTTAATGATTTTTAAAAAGCGTGCCTGCAGAATATATAATTTCTCAAGGTCCTTATCTTTTAAAACAAGGATTATATAATTACTCATCAAAAATGTTACTGAATTACAGTCTATAATTACACATGCTTCTTTTAATTGTACACTAACATACATACATAAATAGAAATGAGCTTATAATTAACTAGTCAGCACTTATGAGTGATAAACAATAATTAAAAATTATGTTGTGGGCAAAATAGCAAAAAGCAAATACCAATAACTAGAAAATAAAACTGTTTTGAGATTTTCATATACATGTTGATGAACAGAAAGGATTCGCCAATACTGTTAGAAATCAGTACCTTATCATCTGGTTGAAATGACTGTTTGTTATTGTTGAAATTTTCCAACTAAACATGTTGGTGGCAGGCTGTTTAGCCTTGATACGGTTTTTGTTTTTAATGCAAAATGAGCATTTTTCCATAGTCATGACCCTTTATGTAATACTATTTGCAAATAAATATTTGTAATATTGTTTGAGAGCATGGGTATTAATACACATATTATAAAATTTAATAATTTAAAAAGACTTAGTTGTTTCTAAGTCTTTTAAAATTCTTTCATTAAAATCTTGTTTATACTATTAATTTTTATATCTAAAGAAAAATAGTAAATGAAAAAAATAAAGCATTTACTAAGCAAAGATAAATGCTAACTAAGCCCTTATTGAAATGTCACAAAACCATGAATTTATGCAGTTTTAATGCATTTCCAATATCTGGTTATTCTGCTTTCCTCTCTAGCCACAATATTTTTTAAATTTTTTTGTGTGTATACTGGAACACATTTAACACAGGAGTTAGAACCTCTGATGCATTTAGTCTAATTTACCTAGTGACAATATCTCAATTACTCTCCTAGGCAAATTATTCTCTTCAGAGTGAATCTACTTTTAATTTAACCTTCTAAGCAATTTTAATCCATTTTCTATACACCTTGACAAGGGTAATTATGAAAGGAAAAAAAGTCATTATAGATGTATTACAAAATGTAGAGAAAAATTTCACTTCCAAAGAGATATATACATTTTTAGTTGGCATTAGTAAATTATACACTTGGAAGTTACAAGAATATGCTAGAGTGATTTAGCATCTATAAGTCATGAAGGGCCAAGAGACGGATGGAACAGACATAGGCTGGAAATTCCATGCTTTGTGAGGTAAATAAATGGGTAGCAGTCCACATTTACTTGCTACCATTCTGTCTGGTGTACTGGTAATATCTGGACTGGTTTAATGGCTTGTTTCATGGGAGAAGCGCTAAACTTTACCTCAACATTTATGTAAAGTTAAAGCTGCACAGGTATTTTTTAATTTGAATTTTCTAGATTACATGTCTACATTTTCCTGAATTTCCTTATTAACAGCCAGGCTTATAAAAAGAGAAGTAAACTGTAGATCGTGTCTGCAAAGGAAACGAATAGCATATTTTTTAGGTTGGAAAAAAATTACAATAAACCCCCAAATTTGCAGTAGTCAATATTTAAGAAATAAATTTCACTGGGTAAAAATCAGAAATACTATAAAAGGTCTGAATTAGTTAAGTTGATAAAAGTTCTACCTAGACAACCACATGTTTATATGAACATATGTAATTAGAAAGGATGTCAGTAAGAACCTTCCTGGAAAGTGGTTTGGCAAATGCATCAAAATTCTTAAAGGATGCATAAAATATCCATCATAGTAATAATTGCATTATAACAATGAGAAAAAAAAGTATGATTAAAAAGTAGGTAAAAGATTTTTAACAGTATTCAGTCAATGCAGGATCTATGTAGTATGGTCTTAACAATGTTCACATATGTGTAAAATATGCATTTATATGCGTGCATAAATATAAAAAACTAAAGATTTTTGATAGTATTTATCACTTGATAGTAGGCATATAGGTTATTTCTTCTTTATATTACTATGTATTTTTCTGTATTACTATCAAAATGTATATTCCTATCAAAATCAGAAAAAAAATTATTTAAAGCAAATATAAGAAATAGCAGCAACACTAACATGTTCATAAAACTCAAAGTCTACAAAAAATAATAAAACCCTGGGGTTTAATGATCAGGCAGAATTACATATCTTAGGGATTTTTCATAATATCAAATAATAACAATTTGATCCAAAGGTTTAGAAACATGATCAATATACTTTCTCTCTTGGAACCTGAAAATACATGTAAATATAAAATCTTAGCTAAAAAAAATCACAAGGCAATGCTTGTATTTAGAGATTACTAACAAGTTATTTTCTTTTCTTCTTTTTTCTTTTCCTTCATTGTCTTCTAAAAATGCAGAATAAACCAAGGCAAGTCATGTTCATCAGAATCAATTATTCAATTATTAACCAGTTTTCAGCACTTGCTACTGGGGATTCTGTAGTGAAGAAAATAAAGTTCTGGTCTGATAGAGGAGCCAATGTTATCTCTGTTATGTAATGATGAAGTGCTATGAATATAATAATATTCATTAATATGCTATATTTCATAGATAATATAAGTATACAAAATTATAAATTTGTTTGGCAAAGAACACAAAATTATCTTTTTTATTTACTCTAAGGCATGTAATTTTTCTTATTTAGCTAATTAAAGAAATTGAAATTACTTGATTACTTACTCCAATATTAAACATCCCAGTAAAATATTCCATATTTGCTTGAATGAACCAAATGTTGCTTAAACCCAGTTCATCACTTCTCTTCTTAGCACGAATTAATGATAATTCCTTGTTTTCTATTAATGTAACCTAGATTTTACCCAGAAAACAATAGTATATTTAGTAACATAATTCAGACATTAGGCAAAGCATTATCACTATATTTCATAGCTTTAATAATGTAGAACGTATTATATTGAGCCTCTATTCTGTGGCAGGAAGTATGTCACATAATCTGGTACAGAAAGGAAAAATGAAAGGTCTTTGAACTATAGTGATATAGCTTTGAAGCATAGTGATATAAGTGAAACAAGCAATAATAATACAGCGTGGGCCGGGCGTGGTGGCTCACGCCTGTAATCCCAACACTTTGGGAGGCCGAGGCAAGCGGATCACTTGAGGTCAGGAACTCGAGATTAGCCTGGCCAATATGGTGAAACCCCGTCTCTACTAAAAATACAAAAATTAGCCGGGCATAGTAGTGTGCATCTGTAGTCCCAGTTATTCGGGAGGCAGAGGCAGGAGAATCCCTTGAACCCAGGAAGCAGAGGTTATAGTGAGCTGAGATCGCACCACTGTACTCCAGCCTGGGCATCGCAGGGAGAATCTGTCTCAAACAAACAAACAAACCAACCAACCAACCAACCAACCAACCAACCAATCAACCAACCAAGCAAACAAAAAAACCAAAAACAAAACATCAAAAATAATAATAATACAGTGTGATAAGCGTTAAATGAAAGACAAACAATGTTAATGGGAGCATTCAAACTTGATGACTATTTTCATGGGGAAGTAACATATTAACTGAGGCCTAAAAAATGAATACAAATCGGTTTGGGGGGAATGGAAGGGTATTTTAGGGAGAGAAACACATGAAGGCCCAAGATGAGAAAGAATATGGCATGTTTGAAGAACTGAGAAAATTGGTACGCAATTTCCAGGGCACAATGTGTGTCATGGTGATAGTAGTGATGGGGGGACAGGGTGTAAAGGGTGAAAATGAGGCTGGAGAGGTAAACTGAAACCAGATCATGCAATTATGATAAAAGAAGTTTTAGTAGTCTGTAATGTATGGTATGGATTGGTGGCAACAAGGCCAGAGGGCAGAGAAACCAGTTAGGAGACTCCAGTGATAATCTAGGCAGAGAAGATGGTTTGAATGGAAAAAAATGAAAAGAATTAAGTCACTTTCATCACTATCATTCCTAGTTCTTATTTTGTTCTTATGCTTGTCTGTAAGAAAAAATCCGTTTGAAAAACCTGTTAGACTATACTTGGTGTGAAAGGCTTTCCTGACTTTATTCTAGACAAGATTACTCATTTTTGGTTTCAACCTTTCTAAACTTCCAGAAATATTAATAAGGGAAGAAAAAATATTACATCCCTGACTCTGCTTCTCAGAATTTTACTCTGTGAGCTCTCTTCCTCCTACTCAATCACAAAATTATTGCTTTACTTAATAATAAAACAAACAACTGCCTCTTCTCCCAGGATTCCTTATTTATTTTCCTGTTTATTCTCTAAGAAAAGAAAAATAAAAGAATGCTATTCCCTGTCCCCTCGTCATCATTCTGTTACATGTTATTCTGGCCAGTCTATTAGTTCTTCCACATTTTTTTTTCTTCCGCAAGTATTCACTATAACTAGTTCACACCTTCCAGAGAGCTCACAAGCAAAGACTCTGTTGCAGTTGAGTTTGTATTAAAAACAAAACAAAAACAAACAGAATTTTATGCTAAGAAGTGGTCACAGTGAGGAACTGATTTAACATGGCAGAAGACTAAAATCAGCACAAAATTCTAACAAATTGTGGCAATGATTGAATACATTCTGATATATTTACTTGAAAATATATTTGGTAGTCTCCGAAATATGATGATACGTAAAACTATTAGCAATAGGGAAAAACATTTATGATACAATATTGAGTGAAAGCAAGGGATACATTGTGTTTGCATTTTTAAAATTTGCAACAATTAGCATCCCTATGGACAGTGACTTAATGAGAACAAGAAAAGCAAAGCATTTGATGGATCAGTATGGTAGGTTTTGGGTTTTTTTTTTTTTTGCTTTAAAAAATTTTGCTATTGTTATAATTTTGATGCAATGGATCAAAATCAAGATACCAAAAGAATATGCTCAGCAAGTTTCAGAGGTCAATATTTCCATTTAAAATTATATTGAAAATTAAACTAGTTGAATCATAATTATTTTATTTAGCAATAAAATAGCTACTTCTTTGAAAAATTACTTAAACCTATAAACCTCTTTTAAAAATTGATAAATGTTTTATGATCTTACTTTACTTTTTTTTCCTTAAGATTCTGAGTCTTGAAAGTTTATTTCAAAGAAAAGACAATGCCTGTGCCACATATTTGACTTGGGTGAGTGACTAGAAACTCCAAGAGCGGGATAAACCAAATTTGGCTAGCTGAACTGTATAATTTTAAAATATTTCCTTTTATCTCTTATTCTGGCTTTACCTGACATGATGGCAGCATGTGAGCAAGGACAATTCCAACATGGCCCTGAAAAAGTCAGTAAGACAAACAAGTTAGCTTTGGTCCCCACAGCTTTTCCTCATTCTGAAACCACAATCTTGCCAAATAAAAACATGACCTTGAATGTAATATAGAAAAGTCTCATAATCTTAGAAAGACTAAAAAGGATGAAAGGAGAGATAAAATACCCCACCGCTGCAGAAATCCACAATTCTGTCACCAGGTTTGGCCTGATTTGTTACCACATAGACAAGGTTGTTCAACTGTTGCTGCTTCCTCAAAGCTCGATCACTGGACATTTTACCTGAGAAAGACAAGAAATGAAGAACACAAAACATTATATATTTTGAGGGAACAAGAAGACACGCTTAAAATAGACTACCAGCATAGAGGAGGAGGAGGGGGAGGAGCATACACACATACATACATACATATAAAATAATAAATGATAAATTCCATGTAACAGACTATGAGGACTAGGAGGACTAGAACCCGAGATGAACTTTATTTTTGCTTGTTTTACTTTTATGTCTATTCAACATTTCCTTCAATAGCCATTGAAAGGAAATCTATGGGGAACAATATGTCTTTTAAAGCATGGAAACAATAACTGAAACACTAAGTTTAGGGTCATAAACCAACTGTCCAATTAATGTTGGCAGAATGGAAAAAATAACAGTAATTGTCTTCTCCCTTTATCTTTTTTCAGAGACATATTGTAAAGAGTACCTAATTTCAACACATTGCTTAATCTCCTTATAGAGAGATCCATAATAAGTAAAAATATTTTTATTGTTTAATTGGCACATCCTTGAACTCTTGATTCTTCTGTGTAGGACACTGGGAAACTTTGAAACACAGGTGTTACATTGTCTGAAATATATCAATGGTTACTGTATTTAGGGAGAAATTGGATTTTCTGTTTTCTGCTTTGAAGCTTCCTTTCCTCATGAGTCAGACAGAAATATAATGCAATTAGAGATTCAGGATAGGGCATTTCCAAGTATGAAATGCCTGGGGCCCCACAACATAAAAACATCTTAACTTTCCTTTCAAAACTGCTAGTCAAATCCATAAAAATATCTTCAGAAGAATGAATGAAATTATTTGTTTGTACATATTTCAAGTGCATTCTTTACAAGAGCAAAATTAAGAAAATGTAAGACACCAGATTTCCATGATATAGATAAAAGGGAAAATCCTGATAATCTTTTTGGTTTGATAAAAAATTAAACATACTAAGGTTTCCTTGCTCCTTTTTCCCAGAAAAATGGCATGACATTTTTCTTTTCTTCTCTTTTCTGTTTTCCTTCTCTCTTATGTTACTAAGTTAAAAAGCACAGGAAAATATTATTTTAGGAAAGATTTTTAAATGTAAATAAAAAACTATATAAAAAAATTTATAGCATCATAATTCAGCGATAACATTTTATGTACATGTATGGTTACTTTCAATTATATTCATAAATTTTATGTGTTCTAGCTAGGTATAAAATATAAAATGTTATATTACAAAATATGAAATATTGTAAATATCTTTCCATGTCAATGCGTTGCTTCCTATCTATATATTTTAATGGCTGCATAGTATTCCATTGACTATATATACACTATAATTGAAGTACCCAATTTCCTATTGTAATGATGTGAGCATCATACACAGCTGATTCTTTTGTCACATCCTTAATTATTTAGCATGGATGAATGTAAATTTCAAATATGAAGAATATTTAAGTCAATACTCTGATGACTTCATTTGTGATGACAGATTCATGTAGCTTTTAAAAGAACTATCTTCATTTTTCTCTAATAATATATGTGTACAATATTTAAACACAGAAGAAGTAAAAGCTGTAATCCCACCCTTCATGGGTAACCACTCCTAAGAGATTTTTGTCATGACAACTTTCAAGCATCTAGCAAAACTGAAAGAATCTTAGAGTGAATGCCTTTATACCCTCCACCTAGATTCTACCATTAACAACTTACTATACTTGATTTATCATACTTCTATCCATCCTTCTATTCATCTAAATATGCCTTATATTTTTATGGCAATGCAGTTTTAATTTGCAGTAGAAAGAATAAGAACAAGAAGAGGGGAGGAAAGGAGGTGTCAGAAGGCAAAAAGAAGAGTACTTTGAGGCTCTTTGGAGACCTAGAGTAAAAAATACTGCCATTAAATGGAGCCACCATGAAGTAAGGAATGAGCACGAGCATTTCTGTCTTTGCTCTGTTTGTAGATTTCTTAACAGTTCCTTAGTCAAAGAATTTTCATAAAAGAAAGTTAAAAGGAATGTTTTTGTTAAGAATAAGGAGATAGGAAAAAAATTATTAAATGGAATATCTAATATCAAGTTCTATACCACATTTTTATTAGAAATTTAGAATTACCTAACTTCCTTAGGTCTGTTTCAAAAGCAAATGCTGATAGAGATCTATTTTTCTTGCTAATACTGCATCTTTGCATATAAAAAAATACATGTAGAAATGAAGGCTGAAAGCAAAGAGGTACTTTTCAGGGTTGTGTTTAAGTTGAGAGACCATACGCTGCACATAATATTCACAGAGATTGAGCTAAAAATACAGCAGCATGGTGCTCAGATGCTTTATGGAAAAGCTGCCTCTAATAAAGCATTCTCTTTCCCCGTTCTAGTTTTATAAATATTACGAAGCTCCAGGAAATATGAGCAGGATCTCAAATATATTCAACAAGGTAAAGAAGTGGTATTTTGGGATACAGTATTAATTTAAAAATCAAATCCTACTTTCTATTTTTATTCAGTATCCTTGTGCCTGAGACAATATTTACAAGCATAAAATTACAATCTATTTTTAGCTTGACTAAAAATGATGGATCTCTAGTGTCACGGAAAAAGAAATCTAAGTGTAGAATATTTTAATACAAATGATGTCATTTGTTCTGCAATGCAATTCTTCTGCAAATGAGTTTTTTCTTTGTCTAATTCCAGTTAGGAGGTACTTGATTAGACACTTCAGTGTGGTTTGCATTGCCAGAAAAGAAAGTACAGAGGTAAAGGAGCCAATTTTTAAGCAAGGGGGAAGCCATGTTAAAACACCAGCATTTTTGGTTCATCCAAAGCATCAAATAATGAAAAAAAAAAATCACTGGAAAATGTGTACATGTACCACCAGCACACATGTTCAGTGTAGTAATTTATGTCCCAAATCAGGCAGCTCTTAATTTTTTGTTTCTTAGCTTAAAATAACAAGTATCTTACAAGTTATAACTTACTTATAAAAGAGTGCATGGATACTCATTAGATGTCTTTACTAAATATTCTTTTGCTGTTTTGTTTTCAAAACATTTGTTTGAGATATAGCACACCAACAGTATTCTGTGTGTTTTTTTTTTAATATGGAGACAAAGAAGGCTAAAACTATGTTTAGAGCTTAAAAACACACCGAAAAGGTAAAAAAATCAAGAGCAAAAGCAAATTTTTTCAACAGAGATCAATGTTGTATACACCACTCTTTTAAAGAAGGTATAAGACAATTGAATAGACAAGGTGGCACTAATAGAACCTTGAACAGGTGAGAGGGAAGACGACAACCACAAATGTTAATGTTTTCAAAAGAGGTCTGATTAACAGCATTAAGAAAGACAAGCTGATGAATGGTCATTTATCATGCTTTATAGGGCAATCAACAGCAAAGCCGAGGTTCTATCCCCACAGTTGCTATGGTTTTCATGCTTGGAACAATAAGTAAGATACCTACTTATATGCCCAATACTCATCTATATGCAGAGGACGCATCTCAACAGAAATGAATAAGAAGACATAGTTTCTGTTCTTAAGAAGTTAACGGTATTTAAGAAGAAGGTGTGTGTTAATTATGTGCAAAAGTATGTGCATTGAAGATAAAATAGAAATGTCTTGAGACATTAGAATGGCCTTTAGAGAGACTTGGGCATTTAAGGAGGATCAGAAACTTACCAGATAGAATGGGGATGGGGAAGGCATACCAAGAACAATATGACATATTTAGGAGAAAACTACAATTAACTCACTTGCACCTAAAAATGAGAGATCAATGGGGGAAGTAGTAGAACATCAGATTGACGTGAAAATACAGGCAGACAGTGCCAGATAGGAAATGACATTGCTTGTTGTTTGCCTCTCTGTGTCTTACCGAAAACATGGCCTTGCTTTCATATTTAATGTACTTAGAGCTGCTTAGGGACAAGTTCAATCTGAATAGACAGCACTGTTAATTTTACATTATTACCAACTAAGGTGTTCTTTTATAATGTTAGTCTGCATCATTTTTATTCTGGATATAGTATATCTTCAAATTAGATAGGATTATCCATAAAATTATCTGGAGCATTGAACCCCAATTGATGCTCTCTGCCATTAAGTGATTTAATTAAAAAATAAAATGGAATCAATTGAACTCATTAAACCATTTTGAACCCTGGTGTTCTAGATCAAGAAATCTTTTGAACCCCTATTAAATTCTCCTCACTCTCCTTCTCAGGCTCCTCTTCCCTTGTTATACCCCTGATGCACTATGCTCACCACATTCTGTCTCGTTGTTCCATAGCTAATCACTGAGCATGCTTTTCCTCAGTATATTACTAAAGTCCCTTCCAAATGTACCCATTAAAGTATCTCTCCTTTGCTCAAATACCTTTATAGGCTCCTCTCTGCCTTAAGAAAAAAATATTGATGTCTTGGCAAGAAAGCAAGGCCTTTAAATGATCTGGGCTCTGATTAATTTGCTAACCTCATCTGCTACTTTCGATATTTGCCCATTGTTCCAGCCTCTCTACACAAGTGACATTTCTTTGAATTTCTCACACCTTATGAATTAGTTCCTTTATATAATTTGTTCCCTTTGCTTAAAACCTATCTCCTTGCTTTAAAACTTTAGGAATCCCATCACCTTTCCTTATTCCAGAATGAATTTAAAACATCTCCTACTTTTGTCAATAACAATTTTTTTCAAGACAAAAGAGAAAAAAGTTACTTTTTCAAGCTCTTTGTTACTACCCAAAATAACAAATCTTTTATACTATAAAGTCTATTATTGTTAACCAGTGAAATGATTTATTATAAAATGAAACCTAAGTATAATTCATTAAAATAACTCCCCAAAAAACCGTTAGCTGAAATTGCTTCTGTCTCCCTGAAATAGATATGAATATTTTTTCCTGGAACTGCATAAACTTGGGTCCAATTAAATGAAAAGATTACCAGGAGACTGATAAGCACATAAAAGGTTCTCAATAAAAGTTTAATGAATGAGTTTTCTCTGCAAATATGACAAACTGCATTTCAAGGCATTATGCTAATTTTTGCAGGTACTAAGTGTGAAAATGCGTTAGATATCGATGCTATGCATGCATTTGTCAAAACAGTAAAAGAAGTCAACTATAAAACAGTATTTTAAGTAGGGATAGAAAAGTTTCTGAAAACTTTTGTGAGAGAATAACAAAACAGCCATTTAAAGCTGTGTAAGTAGACTTCAAAAGCTAGAATGGAAGAACAGAATTCCTAAAGAAACTCCTGAGAAAATACATGAAATTAGTCAGCAACATAAAGTTTACACTGTAGGTTAGGGCAACTTTGTTTAAATTTTGGTGATACCTTGTTGAAAACACTAAAAATCTAGAATAGTTATTTTAATTTTACATTTTTAAAGCCAATTGGAGGCTACTATCACTAATCCTCTTAGCTGCACTGACCTCAATGTGACAATTTTCTTGTAACAGTGGATACAAATAATCTGATACTCTCCCCCATTCACAAACCCCACAGTTCAGTCTATGAAATCATCAACAGCTTAACAGTGTGATGGCATTTTTACTCTTATAATTTTGTTATATATACTATTAGAGTATTCAATAATTAAATAATTAACTAAAAAGACAGCAGAATTCATTGGAATTCATAATGTTAAAAAAGGCTAATTTATACTTCCAAATTGAGGAATAATGATCTCATAAGTATCTTTCTCAATCATTCATTCAACACATCAAACAACTAACTTGGCCTATATAGAACTGTTCTCTAAACTGTTAGAGATGTAAAGATATATAACTCTTAGTTTCTATCCTTAATGAGCATATAGTTTGTTTAATTAGTACAAAACATTATATTTGTGCTTAGAAAATGTATTTTATTAATCACATTGTACAATGTTCTTAAAAGAAATTTTAACAGCCACAACTTACAAAAATCCATATATGTTTCATTGAAGTTCCTAAAATGATGGATACTTTCTGCTTATATGATGCTTTACAATATATTAAGCACTTGCATATTTGATACACCATCTAACCTCAAAACTCTGTCAGGTTGTTAGGGTAGATGACATTTTTCTTATTTTACAAATGAGGACACTGATCACTAAATAGGTTGCTCAAACTTTGCACTTGTTCAAAGACATGCAACTGGTAAGTGGTGAAGCTGGGACTCTAAAGTAGGATTTCTAATGTCAGGTTCAGTCTTCTTTTCAATATGATCTGTTATGTCTGTCTTAAACAGATGCTTTTAATTAATTGTGATGTCAGAATTTCAATGCTGGTGTCTTTTTCATATGCGTGCGTTCAAGGAAATGAGGTGCTTTCTAGCAGGGAAATGAGTGATTCCCTAGTAATTATATCTTAGGGAAAAATTTAATTATTCAGAGTCAATCATAAAATGTATTTTACTTCAGTTTTTCCTCTAAATAAAATTTTCAAGAGCAGACTTATCAATGAAAAGGATCAATTTAAGTTTCGAATGTCAGGATTTTAGAATATATTGCTAAGGCATTAGAGGTCTCCTAAGTCACTCTGTTTAATGAACTGACCTTTGGGTCTCACCCTTTCCAGAAAGAGACCATTTCCCCACCTTGGGACTGTAGCAACCTTTTTGATTTTATTGAAAAGTGACATGGAGAGGTTGAGCAATCAATTTGTTGCAAAATCGGATTATCCAGAAGGAAAGAAATGAAAATAGATTGGGAAGATCTTTCATGTTATAGTACTGCAGATGCTGACTAAAAATATCATGCACCTTTCACCCTTCCATATCTAATTCTAAAGCTTCTTTTAAAAAGTCAATAACTAAAAACTGTTTAGGCAAGATGTTGGGTTGAGGGACAAAAGTTGAAGAAAGTATAATCACATCTCTTACCAGGTCAAAGCTTCTGCTTTGTTTATAGAAGAGCTTACATACAGTGAATAATGGAAATTGTAAAACCTTCTTATTCCTGCTATTTTTTTCTCTAAGATGAAAAAAAAAATTTAATTTCCGAATACCAGAATCCACAGTTAATTGAACACATATATTTTCATTTCATCCAAATACCATTTACACCACACAAAGTAAACATTACTCTGCTCTGGCATTTTGGGTTTTTGTTGTTGTTATTTTAAGTCCATAATATTGTCTAAGTTGCCCACAAGACCAAACTGAAATGTTTTTAAAACAAAAAGGCTAACTGTAGAAAATAGTTAGGTATTTACTTCTTTTCCCTCTTTTTCAGAGGCTTAAGTTAACAACAGTAAGGTGTCTTAATAGTTTTGTTAACTTTTTGAGGCCATTCAAGTAATCCTCAGTTGGCTTCCAATTGATGTTTCACAGTAATTAGGTTAAATGCCACTGTAGTAGTCTGAAATGATGCCAACTTTCCCAGAGTCAAGTGATTTTTTAAAAAAATACTTCTTTTGTGCACATGGTGTTCTAATGTCCGCTATGATCTGACCTTATAGGTTTTCTTCTTTGATTTTTTTGTCATATATTTTATTTTGTTTAAAAAATGAAATGCTGAATATCTAAAGTGACACGGCCCTAAATTCTTGGCAATATTAATACTATATTAAAATATGGTATTCCCATCTAGAGGTGGCATCTATGTCTGTTATTAAATCTCAGCTTCATGACTGTTTGATCTATCTAATACAGAAACAACATGGTGCTCTTTTCTGGCAGCTTCCAATTTTTGTCTTTTGAGATGGTTGCTCTTGGAACACAGAAATATGCTTTAAGATGTCAAGCCTCCTCTGCTGATGCTGTATGGAGAACAGACAAGCTTTCCCATCAAGCCCTAACCAAACTGCAGAACTGTGAATAAAATCAATAATTGTTATGAAAAGGCACTAAGCTTTGCAGAGGTTATTTATGTGGCAATGGAGCATAAGACAGATACCATAATATTGGCTTTGTAAGAATTAGCATCATTGAATAGCATCTATTAGGGCACCTACCTATACATGAGATAGTGCTCAATACTATGACAATAACCAAAATAGAGAATGGTTATTAAACTTAAAAGTTAACACTCAAAGGCAGGGCTATTCATACAAGTTACACAGGGTCTGTATAAACCGCAAAGGCAGTTTTGCATTCCAGTTCTACCATTCCTTTTCCCTTTCTAAGGATCCTAACTTTACAGGCCTAACTGTAAAGAATGTTAGGATCTCAGCAGCAAGGGATGGTGGAAAGAAAAAGACTCTGGGAATGAACCCAGCTACAGGCATGGATGGGGTGGGAACAGTGATCCAAATTAGTATTCAAAAAGGACTCAGTCTGGGAAAGTATTGATATCCGCATAGGTCTAATTTGATGGGTGGTACCTAGCAGTGGTAGTATTTATTTTTTTAATTTATTTTTATTTTTATTTATTTATTTTTTTTGAGACAGAGTCTCTGTCAACCAGGCTGGAGTGTAATGGCACTATCTCAGCTCACTGCAACCTCTGCCTCCAGGGTTCAAGCAATTCTCCTGCCTCAGCCTCCGAGTAGCTGGGATTACAGGTGCACACCATCACGCCCAGGTTATTTTTGTATTTTTAGTAGAGACGAGGTTTTGCCATGTTGGCCAGGCTGGTCTCGAACTCCTGACCTCAGGTGATCCAACAGCCTCGGCCTCCCAAAGTGCTGGGATTACAGGTGTGAGCCACCACGCCTGGCCAGCAGTAGTGTTTAGCAGTGCTCCAGCCAGCAGGGTTTAGGAAAAGGGAAAGATACAAAGGGCTAGGCAGAGAAAGCTTGCACTACAGGAGACATGTGGGTGACCATATCTTATCCTAAGTAACAATGGATGTCAGATCTAAAATAGCAAGACTATACTCAAACTATACCAGTTGGGAGGTCTGAGTCTACTGAAATAGGTATACTGGTTTAGGGCCTAGGTAGGGCAGGGGAAGGCATTTTTTCCGAAACTGAAATTTTGAATCTCCCTCTTTTTCTCTGGTTCTTTCATGACAACCTCAACAGACTAGTTCATTAATTTAGCAAATTTTTTTAAAGCACTTATTATATGCCTGGCCCTGATCAAGGTGCTGGAAACAATGGAGAACAAGAGTGATGTTTACATTCCAGTGATGGGAGTTTTATAATAAAAAATTAAGTGATGATTTGGAGAAAATTAAAATAGAATAATATGGTTGAAATTGACTAGGTGAATATTTTATATTAGGTAATCTTGAAGCCATCATTGAGCAGGTAACTGAATTGAAATTTGAATAAAAAGAAGAAGCCAGCCATGGGAAACAAGAGAAAAAGCACTCCATATAAACGGAACTGCTGATGCAATAGTCTTTAGGTAGAAAAGAGCTAGGGATGTTTGAGGGAGATCATTACAATTGTGCATACTTAGACTCATCATGAATGTTGGTTGAGTGTCTGAAATGCTTGGGACCAGAAGTATTTTGGGTTTCAGAAATTTTTTTTCTGGATTTTGGAAAATTTGCAAGTACATAAGGAGATATCTTGGGGATGGGTCTCAAGTGTAAACACATAATTTATTTATGTTTCACATATACCTTATACAAATAGCCTGAAGGTAATTTTATGCAACATTTTAAATAATTTTGTGCTCAAAACAAAGTTTGTAATAAGTACTTATGCATGGAATTTTCCACTTGTTGCATCATGTCTGCACTCAAAAAGTTCCAGGTTTTGGAGCATTTTAGATTTTGGATTTTTGGATTAGTGATGCTCAACCTGTATATATGAAGTCCACTGAATGGATATTCTTATTTGCTGGTATTAGCACTACTGAATGATTACGATGTGCTAAGCATATTTTATTTATTATATCAATCCTTTTTTGTAACAGCTCAATGAGGTTGGGTACTGTTATTGCATTATCAGATGAAAAATGTAAACAAAAATAATGAAGTAGCTTGCTTTGGTCACATAGTTACTCCATGATGGAGCCAGGATTTGAATCCTGCTGGTCTCAGTTCAAGGTGTGTGCTCTCACCTACCACCCCAGAAAACATAAATCCTTTATTAGTAAAATATTTTGAATAGGACCCAAATATACATAGTACTAACAATTTCTCTGTTAAATAGTAGTAAAGCTTACTGTCTTTTTAAGAAAAATAAATAAATATAACTTTTTTCTACTTTAGAATGCACTATGCTGCCTCCCCTCTGTATTTATTTCATCTGTTTTTCTGACACCAGAGAAATTTTCATCATTATTAAACATTATCCTTTTGATAATATATTTATTTCAATCTAAAATCAGCATGAGAGACATGCTAAAGTATATTTTTCAAGGAAATGTCATGTGGTGGGAGTGCTGGAGTTAAAACATATATATATAAATGGCTTGGATTTAGTAAAAAAAATATATATATTCAAGACTTACCTTAATGGTTATTGTATACCCAGAGTAGGTGCTTCTTTTGGCCACAACCTAATTCAGTAAATACAAATTCTCCTATGTCTTCACTGTTTAGACTTTTAAATGCAAAAGTAATGGACAATAGCTGATTTAAAACATAGTATACAGCCAGGTATGGTGGCTCACATCAGTAATGCTGGCACTTTGGAGGCAGAGGCGGAAAGACTGCTTGAGGCCAGGAGTTTGAGACCAGCCTGGTCAACACAGTGAGACCCTGTCTCTACATGAAAATAAAAATAAAAATAAAAATAAAAAACTATAGTGTGTAAGCATGCACAAGCACACATACGCAAAACCAACCGACCAAATAACCAAAGTAATCACAGCAATCCTGATGTTTACTTGCTAAAGGTATACTTTCTAGATTTTGATAACATTTAAAGAAATTTTCAGAAACTCAGAACCAAAGATTCTGGATTTGAAGTAAATTTACCACAGAAAAACTCAGGTGGGATGCGTAACATTTATCAGAAAGATGTCTATTATCTCTCTCTTGTCCTCTTATGGTTTGAAACATCATACTGATACCCAAAACTATACATAGTTCAGTTCACACTGCTCTCTAGAACTGTAGATCAGATTTTCCAATTGCATTCTTAATATATGCCTGTGCCATCCAGAGACTTCAAGCCAAACATGTCCAAAAACTGAACTCTTTTACCATGAAACTTGTTTTCTTCCTGATATTCTATTTGTTAATAATATCATCATCCACTCATCATCCTCCAACCAAAGCCACATCTTCAGTTCACAATTATTTATCACTTGTAATAGTCTTCTAATTAAACACTCAGATCTAAAGTCTCACCTTTTCATGCCCATTCCTTCTAAAATGCAAATGTGTTCATGCTATTTCCCTTCTTAAAAGTCTTCATTGGTTCCCCCACTGCTGATAGGACAGATTTTTTTTTTCTTTCTTTTATTATTATAGTTTAAGTTTTAGGGTACATGTGCACATTGTGCAGGTTAGTTACATATGTATACATGTGCCACGCTGGTGTGCTGCACCCACTAACTCGTCATCTAGCATTAGGTATATCTCCTAATGCTATCCCTCCCCCCTCCCCCCACCCCACAACAGTCCCCAG
The DNA here is from genome assembly GCF_000001405.40 of Homo sapiens. NCBI lineage: Eukaryota > Metazoa > Chordata > Mammalia > Primates > Hominidae > Homo > Homo sapiens. The sequence goes on along the minus strand of NC_000004.12, from coordinate 105,811,517 downwards.
AGTGTGATGTTCCCCTTCCTAGATTTTTAACATTGAGACTTCATCATCTGGTTGAGCTCACTTCCTGCCACTCCTTTACTCCCATAATCTCATCATTCTCTGGTCAGATGAAACTACCAGTTATTCTTCAAACACGCCATGATGTATCATCTTTCTGAGGTTTTAAACATGCAGTTTACTTTGTCATGAATACTAATATTTCAGAAATTTCACACTTGTGGAACAGTAGTCTCTCAAGATACTAAGAGGAAAGAGATATAAAAAGATATTTAGAGAGAAAAATAGTGAGTTCTACCATCAGGTAGCTTTAGAAAATTAATACCTTTTCTATTTTTTTGGAGAATCGCAATGCCCACTAGCATAGTAAAAGTGCTAAGGAGTCTTGCAGTACAGAAAGTGTTTAATCCAGAATAACATAGTATTTCCCCAGATTACTTGACAACTGAATGTTTTTACTATCTAATTATCTTTAGGGACTATTTTAGGAATCTACTTCAGGAAATATTGCTTTATTTACCTCTTTGCCTAAAAATGCCTACTTGCTCTTTAAAATCCAGTTCCAATGAATGCAGTGAGTCAACAAAGACACAGATCAGATTCTTTAGATTATAGACCCTTCCACCTCAGGACAACTGTATTTCCCAGGGACCTCCAGAAATTACTTAAAATGCAAAACTCAGTTATATGCTACTTGGGCTCCTGTCACTGAGAAGGTAATATTAACATAAAGGAATAAAAGGCACCAAAATAATTTTTATTCCTTGAAATTGAGAGCTACAAAAATGATGTTTAAAAGTTCAAATATATTAGTTATTATAATATGTCTTCTTGAAAATTAACATAGGAAAACAACATGACATATACAATGTAAACTTTAAAAATATCCTGAGAACATAAAGTCATAAGTAGTGTTCACCGTTAAAATCAATCATTTAATTTTATAATGAAATAGCTAATTGTGTATGAGAACTCTTGAAGATAATGCTTAAAATTTAACATTTCTGGATACCCAGTAAAAAAACAGAATATAAACACCTCATTATCTTCTCTGAAATCCATCCCCTGATGTTAGAGACACAGACATGGTAGCATGAGGGCATTTATAAGTAACATTTGTGTATCTGCATACCCACAAAACAAGCATGATAATTTCCTCACTCGTTCAAACAAACCAAGAACTGCTAAAATCAGACTTGAGGTCTTATATATTTCTTCCTATTATTTAAATCCCACATATATATGATACACAGAGAAACCAAATAAATAGAAGAAAAAAAATACCAGGGCGATGTTGGTGAGTTAAAATTTTGCATTAGTTTAATCTTATAAACATGTGGCTAGTTTTACTTTTAATTCAATACAGAGAAGTTAGAACTTTCTCCCTTCATTAGCCAATATAAGACAGGTAGACTTCCTAGAGAATTATGTAGGGCAGTAAAATAAATACTTTGTATTGATGGCCTTTAAAATTCATAAATGAATGATTTAATAAAAGACTTTGTGCTATTATTTATAATAAAAAAAACTAGGTTAGCATCTAAGAAATTTGTTACCTTTTAAGGAATCATATCCAAATACTGAGAAAAACATACTGGGATTAGTAGTAGCAGCAGCAACACTATAAATAACCCATTAATTTATACAACCTAGAAAAACACAATTTCTCACTGCAGTATACTTTGAGACAATGTAAACAATGTCTTAGGAGGAAAAAAGACCAGGTATAAAATTAAGACTTACATTGAAAGTGGAAAAAAAAAAACCAACCTGTCTTTACTTGTCGTCATTAATAGAATACTAAGAATTTCAACAGTTAATTTAACAAATATTTATTAGGTGCTTAAGATGTGCTAGGCACTGTTTTAAGGGTTGGGTATATTGCAGTCCTTGCTGCCATGGAGTACACATTCCAGTGGGGGTAGATAGGTGATACACACAAAACAAATAAATATACTATATTAGGGGTTAAAAAGAAAAATTAGAAAGGGGAGAAAGAGCAAGGAAGAGTAAACGTATTACAGATAGGCTGACCTGAAAGGGCCTCTCTAATAAGGTGACATTGAGATCTGAATAAAGTGAGAGAGTAAGGTGTATGGATTATCTAGGGGAAGAGTTTTCCAAACAAAGAGAATAACAAGTATACAGTAGTCTCCCCTTATCCTTGGGGATGCATTCTAAGACCTTCAGTGAATGACTGAAACCTCAGATAGTATTGAACCCGACTGCCATCAATCAGACCACATTTCTGCTCATGTCTTCTACCCATGAATTTAAGGACTTTTCCATCTTAACCAAACACTTAAAAGACACTGAAATGGCCATAATTTTTGCAGCTTGAGGTATGGCAGCAAACCTAGAATGGATTCTTTTCCCTTCTTCATAATTTCATGGATAGATGTGTTCTTACCACAGATCTTAGCAATCTCAGCATATGAGTTTTTTCTGTCCTTATTAAGTCAATAACTTTTACTTTTTCACTTAATGCTTGCACTTTATAGCTTCTCTTCGGCATATCCAAACTGTCAGCATCATTACTTTTGTGCTTTGGAGCCATTATTAAGTAAAATTTGGACTCAAGCACTGCAATATTGCAGCTGTCGATCTGATCATCAAGATAGCTACTAAGTGACCATCAGGCTAGTAGTGTACACAGTGTGGATTTGCTGGGCAAAGGAATGATTCATGTCCCAGGCAGAACGCAGTGGGATTGTGCCAGATTTCATCATGCTACTTAGAATGATGTGCTATTTAAAAGTTATAAATTGTTTATTTCTGGAATTTTTCATTTAATATTTTTGGGCCACAGTTGACTGCGGGTAACTAAACCACAGAAAGCGAAACTGCAAATAAGGGAGGACTGCTGCAGTTAGTGAATTCCAGACCGCAGAAGAGAAGATCAAAGAAGTAGCCAGGGGCTACAGTATGCAAAGCTTTTTAATCTATGTGGAAACTTTGGATTTTATTTTGAATTAGATGGATTTGGGGACATTATTTGACTTAAATAGGAAGTCTAACTAGGTCACTACTGAAATAGTCAAGGCTAGACATGATAGTTGCTTAGATTAAGATACAGCAGTGGAGGTAGTGAGAAGTGATTTGACTTGAAACATATTTTAAAAACAGAGCTGACAGAATTTGCTGATGGACTGATGTAGAGAGTAAAATAAAGAGACAGGGATAACTCTAGAGTTCTGAGCCTGAGCAATTAGAAAGAATCAAACTGCCATATATTGTTTTGCAGTGGAGGTATAAGGACTAAGCCCTGAGTTTTTCAATGTTTAGAGATTTGGAAGCTGATAAGGAGACTGATAAGGGGTTATTCTACTGGTTTCTCAGAAGCAAACCAAGGGGTATTTCAAGAGAAAAATGATCAACTTTGTCAAATGCAGCTGATACACCAAATAAGATAAGGACTGAGACTAGTCTATTATATTTAGTAAACAGAAGTCATTAGTAACCTTGACAACAGCAGTTTTGTTAGAATGATGGGACAGAGGTCTGATTATCATAGGATCAAGAGAGAAGAAGGAAAACTGATACATGTACAAGGCATAATAGAAATACAAAAATCACCATTTAATAATGACCGTTGTAATAACTGATTTGCATAGAAATCATCAACGGATGCTAAAACCATTGAGGAAAACTTACTGGAGAACACGATGGTTTCAAAGTAGCTCCTCAGAGACTATTATTACAAAGGGAAACCGGTATTCTTACAATGAAGAAATCTGACAGACACCATATCAACCAAGTGATCAAACCTAATATCACAAACAATGTGTCAAACTGATACCATGTGCTCCCTGCTGTGGTATACTCAAGGCATACACCATTAGCTCTATAGTATGCTGGCCAAAATATTTGAGTCATTCTGTTGCAGTCTTGCCAATAGTTTAATTTTCATCTAATAGAGGAAATAGATAAATCCAAATTGAGAACATTCTGTAAAATACCTAGAATAGATTCTTTTTCAAAATGTTAAAGTTAAGAAAGACAAAACAAATTTTATAGGACAGGATCCTATATTAAAGGATACTTAAGATATATGACAACTAAAAACAATGCCTATCTTTGATTGGTTATTGCATATTCAAAGAGAGTGAGAGCGCTATTGAACAATTGGGAGAATTTCAATACAGGCAGTGTATTCCATAACATTATTATATTGATGTCAAATTTCCTGTAGGTGATAATTGGCTTGTGATTATATAAGAGAATGCCCTTTTTCTTAGGAGACACACGTTGAAGTATTTTGCGGTGAAATGTTATGATGTCTGCAAGGAACTCTCAAATGGTTGAAGAAAAATGTGTATGTCAGATAAAGAGGGAAGGTAAGGCAAAATAGTAAAAACTGGTGATTCTATATGAAGGCTACATGGGTATTCATTATACTACTTTTACAACTTTAAAAAATGGGTAATTTTAAACAAAAGATTGGAAGAAGAAAGTAGAGGAAGAGAAGATGAAGTCATGAATATCTAAGGAGTTTTGTTAAAGGGGAGCACGTAAATGGCGTGGTCGGTGTAGGGCTAAGTGAGGTAAGGGAGGATTTTAAAAAGTGAAAGTCACCTTAGAATTTTTGCTATCTGATTGGCATAACTGATAAGAAAAACTGCTGAGGACACAAGGGGATGAAATGCAGTGCACAGTGAGACATGGGCTTAAATGGGAATAGGATCGGAGGGCCTATAGCGTATGGACATAGAAACAGATATGTTGGTGTGTTTACTGATAAAATATGTAGAGCTCTTTCTGATTTTTCTATTTTCTCTTTGAATTAAGAGAGAAAGGGAGGAAGTACTGAACATTTGAAGAGAGGAAGAGATGATATGAAATACTTATATACACTAAGTTGACTTGGAAAATCTGTATACGGATGGTACCCACTTCCTTAAACAAAGTTCTACATAATTATAAAGATGAAAGAAACCCTAAAACTCACCAAGTCTAATCCAGTTATTTTATAGGCAAAAACATAGAGACTTGGATATTCTTTTTAATTGATAGGTTCAGAGTAGGGAAACAGATAATGTGGAGAAAATAAGCATGGTTTAATGGCCAAATATAAAAACAGTACCAATAATATAAACCATTTATTGGAATCCTCCTACATGGCAGTACTATGCTAAGAACCTTGTATACCTTATCTCCTGTACTGAAAACTAACTATAGAAAACTATATAAAGGTCTGCATTTGTCCTCCATTTTCCATATGAATAAAAGAAGCTCAAAAAGTTTAGATACTCTCTCCACAGTCAGATACCTATTTTCATTTGTACTGGAGATATCTAAGTTAGTCTTATTTTGAGGGATTTTCAATAAGACTGCAAACTCTTATATTTATTCAACTCTATACCAACTGTTACAAGTCTTTGTACCTAGATTTTCAGATATGTTTATTGAATCAAACACTTCAGTAAACTTGACACCTATTAAGGACACAGTGTTGATCATCAGACACTAAGGAAAAAGGAGATGAATGAAAAAGGGACACAGGCAGAAACTGAAGTAGTAAATATAATGCAAAATCAGCCTAAGTTTTTTCACTGATTAAATATACAGATGATGCAAACTGGATTCAATGCTGATTGACATTCTAAATTTCTAACAGATGTAATGGGAAAATTTCTTAAAAAAACAGTGTTTCATACATGTAATAACAATAATGGCTTACATAGGGGGAGGGAAAGAAGAAGAGGCAGAAGAATGGAGGCTAAATTACTGGTAATTTATAAATTCTCATATAACAAGGGGAGCTTGAAAAGTAAAACTTTCATTGCCTCACTTTAGTGCAATGCCAGTTTTTTAATCCCTTCCTGACCCATTTTTATTCAGCACTGAAAAGGGTACATTGTTTGATTTGGGTATTAGCTTTTAAGGAGATTAGTTTCCAGGAAAAGTAAAGCATTTTGCATAAAAGAGCGATCCTGATACAAGGCATCAGAGTATACTCTGTTCCCAAACCACCTGTTAAAAAACAATAAAAACCAAACAGAATCTTACATTCTATTCCCTCCCAAAATGACAGATGAAATTAAAAATAATTGTGTATTAAAAAATTCTCAATGAAAAATATATTAGAAAACCTTTCAAAATAGATGTGCCTTCTCGAGTTTTAATAAAAGGGAAGCTGAATCCTTTTATTCATAAACAAGAAATGAAAAGTAATAGATTTTTTCTTATTCATGGATGTCAATCTGCATTAGATTATTAATTATGGGTTATAATGCAATTAAAATAAAAACACAGTGGAGAAATACATAAAGCTTCTAAATCTTCATGTAATTTTTCTTAGAGATTTCTGGCTTGATCTTAACCCTTCAGAAAAATTAGTCCACATATTCCATATGGGTTTCAGATTAGTTTTTTCTTAGCCCTATCAGTTTTAACACCCTTTTACAATAAATATTTTATAATATCCCTTTTCAATTATTGAATTTAGCTTATTGACCTATGTAATCTAAATAAAAATAAATATAATAGCTGTAATATGAAGGAGAAATAAAATCAGTATTTTACTATGCAGCCATAAAAAAGGAACGAGACCATGTCCTTTGCAGGGACATGGATGGAACTGCAAGCCATCATTATCAGAAACTAACACAGGAACAGAAAACCAAACACTGCATGTTCTCACTTATAAACGGGAGCTGAACGATGACAACACATGGACACATGGCAGGGGAGCAACACACACAGGGGGCCTGTTGGAAGGGAGGGTGGAGAGCATCAGGAAAAATAGCTAATTGATGCTCGGCTTAATTCCTAGGTGATGGGATGATCTGTGCCACAAACCAACATGGCACACGTTCACTTATGTAGCAAACCTGCGTATACTGCACATGTACCCTTGAACTTAAAATAAAGGTTGAAGAAAAAAAGAATCAGTATTTTAGAATAGAATAAGTATTGCAATGTGTAGATGCTCAGTCATGATTACTAGAGGGTAAAAAAATGTCCTCCATGAATTTCTACAACACCCTCAGGTATTTAACAGAAATTTCTACAATGCCCTCAGGTAATTAACATTAAATAATCATGACATATAAATCCTCTGAATTAGGTGACGCTTTCTCTAAAATTTAACACAATGTTTTGTTACTGAAATTTACTCTTCACTAACCCAAAGCACCAGAATTTTTAGAAGACATACTATAATTTAGGGGATTATTCTATTTTGAATAATTCCTTTTCATAAAAACTATCTAATAAATACTGTTATCCAAACTCTATTTAATAGAAAAGTTTCTTTATTTAAATAAATGAATATTATTTTAAAAGCAAGCTTCCTGATATAGCCATCTGTTTATGTTTTACATTGTAATAATAACAATAATGAATCACCAATCTGACATTTTTGGAAAATTTCTGATAACTAAATACTACCAGATAACTAAAATATACTCTTAAGAACCAGTTTTTTTGGTTCATAAATAGAAATACATTTTAAACTACATGAGTTATAAATAATAATGGTGATGATAAAAACTACTGAAGTATCCATTATCCAGCTTTACAAAAACAAAAAATTAGTAGTATTTTTGAAGTCCTATGTACATATCCCTAACCAACTGTATCTCCCTCACCTTTCCCAGCCCTGAAATAACCACTATACTGAATTTTGTGTTTACCATTCTGTTGGTTTTCTTTTGAGTTTTACCACATAGATATGTATTTCTAATAATATATCATTCAGATTTGAAGTTTCCTAAACTTCATATAAATGGAATTATATGTATAATTCTTGCATTTTTCATACAACATTATGTTTTCAAGTTGCATCCATGTTGACACATGGAGTTGCATTTTTTTTTTCACTACTCTTAGTATTCCATTTTAGAGCTATGATATAATTTGTCCATTCTCCTGTGGATAGTCATTTGGGATATTTCAATTTTTTCTGCTATTACAAATAACCCAAAACATTTTTTACAACTTTGAAATTTCTTGTCAGTTACATGTTTCCTAGCCTTCTTTAAAAAACTTGAACATAATTTCATCTTTTCTTAATGACTGTGTCATATTTATGAGTATCAATTATAAATAATATAGCATTATAATAATGCCCTCAGGTTATAGAGATACATATTCTAATTTTTATGAGAATCAGTAAATTTAGTCTGCTTTTTATACTTTTTCTATCTCCTCTCTGACTCTTAAGCTATTGGCAAGAACTTCTTGATGCTATCAATGTTTATTTTAACATTTTCTACATTCAATATTTCCCCTGTAGAACTGGAGGCCAGCCATTTGAGAATAGTACCAACAAGAAGGAAAAATAAATTATGACTGAAAAACCAAATGGGAGCTTTTCTCAGGGAAATGCATGTTGCCATATGAGATGAAAAATATTGTGAAAGGAACAAATGTTTTGGTATTTCATATTTGGCCCATTCATTAGCTGTCTGACCTTGTCAAATACTTCTGAGTATTTGCCTTTCATCTGTAAAATGTAAATAACAATAGTATTTGTAGGACTATTGTGAGAAATAAATAGTACTGCAGCAGAGTCCCAGCAAACCAGTGGCCTTCAGTAAATGTAAGTTGCTTATCCTTCACATCTACTCACCTCACACTAGAGTGTAGGGTGTTTGCCCAACTACTTCAAGAGATCAGAGACTTCTTGGCTTACTCCTGATTCCAGATACATCCTACGTGATCCCAGATATATGACAATCTTTATAGCAATGTGGTGTTATTATAGCTTTACAAACATAGCAAACGCCACATTATAAATGTTAAGAAGCAGATTACTATTGCAGAAAAACTGGATTATGGCTTAAGAGAACCTCCTGAATGCAAAGAAGAGGACAGAGAGAAAAAAGAAGTTAAAGGGAAGAGAAATATGAGGAGTATGGTGAATAGATGATGAAATGTAAACTTATGGATAACCAGTGTTCCTGAAGACAAGACCAGAATATATGGAAGGAAAATTTTATTCAAAATGTAAATTGTTTTGAAGGAAGGAAATATTACTAGACAGAAAATAGTTATAAATTATATTTCAAAGAACTCACCTGGTATGGTAAAAATAACAAACAAAAAGATTCTACTGCCTTTAGGTATCCTAAGAAAAAAATGAATAAACAGGCAAAGGTTTTGATCAGACAGAACACTTTAAGTATTAAGGCATGAAGGCAGGATAACAGGTTATGCACAAGTATAGAAAAGAGGCTGGCCTCAGATCACTCTACAGTATTATATGCCACATAATGGAGCAACATTTGAAGAGAGAATTGTGGCTTAAGAATACTTTACACAGCTGCATTTACATATGAAGGCAGTAGAAACATATTCAAGTATTTAGAGAGATACCTTCTCTGACAAAACAAGCAAACCAAACAAACAATATCATGATGTGCCAAGCTTTAGTCTAAGTAGTTTTTATATACTGTACTATCCCATTTCATCCTCATAAACATTATCCTCATTTTACAATAAGAATAAATTATATCCTTCATTATATTCATTTTACAATTAGGGATATCCTTCATTATCTATATTTGACAATGAAGTTAAGAGTGTGCTTACAAATGTTAATAAATTTGCCCAAGTCACACAGCTAGTAAATAGAAAAGTAGAAGTCTAACCAGGTCTGTCAGGACTCATAGGTTTGACTTCATAAGCACCCACTGAATGGCTCTTGGAAAAGAAAATTTTTAAAAGAGAAGTTATAAAATGATGCTAATTATCACAAGAAAATAACAGTGGATTTTATGTAATCTTGGTGCAGATAATTTTTCTAAATCTGTCATCAAAATTTGGTTTTAATTTTATTTACTTTAAATTTTTGTTCCCAACATAATTACCCATTTTTCTTTTCATTAAAAAAATCAGAGAATACTGCATGCTCATTACAGCAGAAGAATGAATCAAACAATATATTGATGAACTTTATACAGAAGTCATGTTACCCATAATAGATACTTATTTACTTCTTAATTTGATTTCATCAAATTAAATCATAATTTTAACATGTCATTTTAAGTCATTTCATTACTTTAAAAAACTTGTAAGAAGAAAACTACCCTTTATTCTTTAACACTATCACCCTAATAAAATTCATTTAACAACGTTTGCACTCATTCCGTCTTGATATCTCCAAGGCCTAGAGTAGAATGGATGAGATACAGTCAATTCTCATTATTTGCAGATTCTATATTTGTGCATTTGCCTACTTGCTAGAATTTATTTGTAACTCAAAAATCCATTCTTGAGTTGCATTTGTAGTAATTTGTGAATATGTACAGAGCAGTGAAATATTTGAGTCACCTGATTACATGTTCCTAGCTGAGGTTGCACTTGATCTTAGCCAAAAGGTCGAGAAGCAGTCCTAGCTGAGGTGGAACAAGATGACTATCTTTCTTGTTTCAGCTCTCATATTATAAACAAGTATCCTTCTCATGGTCCATTTAGTTCTACATTTTTCAAATTTTTGTGCCTTTTTTGGGTGATTTTGCTATTAAAATGGCTGCCAGTGCTGAAATGCTGTCTAGTTTTCCTAAGTACAAGAAGGCTGTGATGTGCCTTATAGAGAAAATTTATGTTAGATAAGGTTTGTTCAGGCATGCATTATGGTGCTGTTGGCTGTGAACTCAGTGTAAATGAATCAACTATATATATTAAATAAGATGTCTTTAAATAGAAGCACATATAAAATAAGGCTATCAGTTGATAAAAATGGGACCAGAGGCTTGCAAGAACCTAACCCTATATTTCCCCAGGAGCAGTGGTTCAGTATTTGCCAACTCAGTGTTTGTAGTGACTTCATAAAACATAACTACTACGAATAATGAGAATTGACCATATTATTGGGCAACTATTATGCATCAATAGCAATTGACATCAATTTTGAATATTCTCTTCCTTGCTTTGCCTATGTGTGGAATAATTTCAAATATTTTTGCATTTTGTGTCATACACATTTATAAAATCCATCATTTTGCTTTATAGGCTTAAACATATTTTTCACTTTTTCTTCATGTTCAGACTTGGGAAAAATTTCAAACCCAAGATTCTTAAAGGTTAGAAAGCTCCCCCAAAATCAGTGACATCAGGCAAAACTGCCTAAATGGTATTGATATGGTTTGGCTGTGTCCCCACCCAAATCTCATCTTGAATTATAACTCCCACAATTCCCACGTGTCCTGGGAGGAACCTGGTGGGAGGTGATTGAATTATGGGGGTGGGTCTTTCCTGTGCTGTTCTTGTGATAGTAAATCTCATGGGATCTGGTTGTTTTAAAAATGAGAGTTTCCTTGCACAAGCTCTCTTCTTGCCTGCCGCCATCCACATAAGATGTGACTTGCTCTCCTTGCCTTCCACCATAATTGTGAGGCCTCCCCAGCCATGTATAACTGCAAGTCCATTAAACCTCTTTCCTTTGTAAATTGCCCAGTCTCGGGTATGTCTTTATCAGCAGTGTGAAATGGACTAATACAGGTATTTGTAAATTTCTATGTAAGTACAATAAAAGGATTTAATAATCTTCCGTGAAAGCCATGTCAATGAAGAATTTTCACCCTCCTTTTACCCTACACCCTTAAGTAGGCCCTGGTGTCTACTGTTCCCTTCTTTGTGTCTATGTGTACTCAATGTTTAGCTCCCACTTATAAGTAAGAACAAGCAGATATACCTCTTTCTTATTGTGCTTTAGAAATACTGTGTTTTTTACAAAATGAAGATTTTTTTTTTTTTTTTGCAACGCTGTGTTAAGTCTATCAGTGCTGTTTTCCCAACAGCATGTGTTCACTTTATGTTTCTGTGTCACATTTTGGTAATTCTCATAATACACCAAACTTTTTCATTATTATATCTGTTATGGAGATCTGTGATAAGTGATCTTTGTTGTTACTATTGAAATTATTTTGGGGAGCCACGAACCATGCCCACTTAAGACAACAAACTTAATCAATAAATGTTGTGTGTGTTCTCACTGCTCCAACAACCAGCTGTTCTCCTGTCTCTCTCCCTCTCCTTGGGCATCCCTATTTCCTAAGACACAAAAATACTGGAATTAGGCCAATTAATAGCCCTACAATGACCCTAAGTGTTCAATGAAAACAGTCACATGTCTCTCACTTTAAATCAAAGGCTAGAACTATTAAGGTTAGTGAGGAAGGCATGTTGAAAGCTGAGACAGACCTCTTGCACGAGCTAGCCAAGATATGAATGCAAAGATGTTCTTGAAGGAAATTAAAAACGCTCCTTTAGTGAATACATGAATGATAAGAAAGCAAAATGCCTCATTACTGATATTGGGAAGTGTTTGTGGTCTGAATAGATCAAACCAGACAAAACATTCCCTTATACAAACGCCTAATCCAGAGCAAAGCCCTAACTCTCTTCAATTCTATAAATGCTGACAGAGGTGAGGAAGCTACACAAGAAAAATTGGAGCCTAGCAGAGATTGGTTTATCAGGTTTAATAAAGGAGATATCTCCATGACATAAAAGTGCAAGATGAAACAGCAAGTGCTGAAGTAGAAGATGCAGCAAGTTATCCAGAAGATCTAGATAAGTGATGAGGTGGCTCCACTAAAGAACAGATTTTTCAATGTAGATAAACTAGCCCTCTATCAGAAGAAGATGCCATCTAGGACTTTCATATCCAGAAAAGGAAGTCAATGCCTAGCTTCTAAGGACAGGCTGACCACTCTTGTTAGGGACTCATACAGCTGGAGACTTTATGTTGAAGCCAATGCTCATTTACCATTTTGAAAATCCTAGGGCCCTTATAAATGATGACAAATTTATTCTGCCTGTATTCTAGAAATGGAATACCTGCTCAGAGCATGTTTTAATAAATATTTCAAGACCATTATTGAGACTTACTACTCAGAAAAAAGATTCCCTTTAAAATATCATGACTCATTGACAATGCATTTGGTCACTCAAGAGCTCTGATGGAGATCTACAAGGAAATTAATGTTGTTTTTATGTCTGCTAACACAACATCCATTCTGCAGCTCATGGTTCAAGGAGTAATTTTGACTTTCAGGTCTTATTACTTAACAACTTCATTTCATAACACTATAGCTGCTATTGGTAGTAACATCTCTGAAAGATCTTGGCAAAGTAATTTGAAAACCTTCTGGAAAGGATTTGCCAATCTAGATGCCGTTCAGAACATTCATAATTCACAGGAGGAGGTCACAATATCAATATGAACAGGAGTGTTGAAGAAGTTAATTCTAACCATCATGGATGACATTTTGAGGGGTTTAAGACTTCAGAAGAGGAAGCAACTGTGGATATAATGGAAATAGCAAGAGAACTAGGATTAGAAGTAGATCCTGAAGATGGGACTGAATTGGTGCAATCTCATGATAAACCTGTACAGATGAGGAGTGGCTTCCTATGGATGAGCAAAAAAAGTGGTTTCTTGAGATGGAATCTACTCCTGATGAAGATGCTGTGAAAATATTGTTGAAATGACAACAAAGGACTTAGAACACTATATAAACATTGTTGATAAAGTAGCAGCAGGGTTTGAGAGGACTGACTCCAATTTTAGAAGTTCTATTGTGACCTGCCTGGCCAACATGGTGAAACCCTGTCTCTACTAAAATACAAAAAGTCAGCCAGGTATGGTGGTGCACACCTGTAATTCCAGTTACTTGGGAGACAGGAGAATCGCTTGAGCCCAGCAGGCGGAGGTTGCAGTGAGCCAAGATCGCACCATTGCATTCCAGCCTGGGTGATAGGGCAAGACTCTGTCTCAAAAAAAAAAAAAAAAAAAAAAAAAAAAAAAAGTTCTATTGTGTGTAAAATGCTATCAAACAGCATCAAATACTACAGAGAAATAGTCTGTGAAAGGAAGAGTCAATCCATGCAGTAAACTTCATTGTTGTCTTATTTTAACAATTTGCCACAAACCTCAACCTTGAGCAACCACCACCCTGGTCAGTCAGCAGCCATCAACATCAAGGCAAGACCCTCCACCAGCAAAAATATTATGACTTGCTGAAGGTTCCAATGATGCTTAGCATTTTTTTTTTAGCAATAAAGTACTTTTAAACAAAATTATGTATGCTTTTTAAAGACATAATGCTATTGCACAATGGACTACAGTATAGTGTAAACACAACTTTCATGTGCACTGGCAAACCAAAAAATGCATGTGATTCACTTTATTGCAATATTCACTTCATTGTGGTAGTATGGAACTGAACCTGCAATATCGCCAAGGTATGCTGGTATATGAACACAACTATCCTTGTGTGATATTTACTCCAATTATTTATTTACAAGTTCCAACAGGGAAAAAAATAGGACAGGAGAAAAAAAAATAACAAGAAAAAAGTTGAGGTAGTGGGAAAGAAATTAACTAACTACCTAACATGATAGGTATGACTATTAAATCCTGGTGTCTGTGAGCCTATACTGACAAACTTGGCCTCCTCTGCTGAACCCAGACGCACACACACACACATACACACACACACACACACACACACACACACACATGTATCTCTGTCTCTTATCATTTCCTCTTCAACCTTTCTCCATACCCAAGTCAATCTTTTTGAGGCACTGGAGCTTTTCTTGCCTCAGAAGAAATGGAGTTAGCCTGGTGACTGCAGGAACTTCTTGGAAGCCGATCCTCTATACATAGAAGTGACTGTATGTCATATAAATATAGCTCCCAATCCAAACTAAATGCACATCCAATTCAATTTCCTCTTACCCATTTCCAAAAATTACTGATGTATAAATCTGTAGCTTTTTGAAAGTTGGCAAATAATTTAAAAAGATGTTTTAGGAGTATATGGCCTAATCAATACATATCTGTGGTTTTCTGGCCCAAGGACCATCAGTTTGTGACCTTTATACCAGAAGCCAAAAGTAAGGGGGTTGGAGAGCAAAGAAATATGATCAATTTGGCAAAATTCAGGAAAACAGAAACTAAAGACAGTAAGAAAACATGAAGAATAAAGGAAAAAGATACATTGCCTAAATAAAACCAGACCTGGCAAATGTTGTATTTGGCTACCAAAAGATATGAATGCTCAGATTTAATAATAATAAAAACATAAAAATCAGCTAAAATAAAAATGATATGACAAAAAATGGAAATAAGAGTGAATATCAACATTCCAGGTCAATATGGTTTGGCTGTGTCCCCACCCAA